>NC_000002.12:117489618-118114618 GCF_000001405.40 Homo sapiens
CATGGATAAACAAGATTCCATCAACTCTGGGCAACTCTTCTGAGACTTGTGGTGTTGACTCACCCTTAATCTTGAATCCTTCTACTGTCCCTTGCTGCCTACCTGTGAGTAATAAATTTGCTTAGCTTAACTTGTTGTGTGATCGTTCTGTCTCACCAGACTCATGCAAGCAGTGGAAATTGCAGCCCAGATGCAGTGGGCTGAAGTGGTAACCAGTGCAGAGTAAACCTGTTTCACAGGGTGGTGACTGATGTAATCAGTAATGTACATATATCATATCATCATGTTGTACACCTTAAATATATAAAATCTTTTGTGTTAATTAAATGTTTTTAATTTTTTAAGAAGATAGATCAATAAATAAAGGTAAATTCAACTGGGTACCTGCCAAAATCTCATATAGTCCTGAGAGCAAAATTTAAGGGGAGAATACCACCAATTCTGAAGTCAGTGAGCAGCTACTGTACATGATTGGTCCCAGTTTTGGGTGTTTCAGATGCCTGTCCAAGATCATTAAAGGTGTAAAGAAGAGATGAACATGTAAAGGAATACCGGAACTTGAACTTTGGGCTTTTATTGTTATATCTATCTTTCTCCTAGGACAGATTCAAATCCAAGGCCCTGGTTGTCCCATATTCAAATGTGCATGCATCAAATGATGCACCTGAGAGGCATGCATATGGCAGGCAAGAGAGATGGCTAAAGTAATTCTGAAGGGTAATGACTTCTAAATGTTTATTTTTCTTTAACCTTTTTATCTAGAACTTCTTTTTAGAATCAAGACAAATTTCCCATCAATCTGCTCAGGGGTCTAATGGTTACATTTTGCGAAGAACTTCCTCCCTTACCAGTGAGAAGACACAAATGCAGAGGATTCACTAGTGCTAATGTCTTGATAAAGGCAACATTCAACAAGGGGAGGGATAGCAGTGGCCTGATCCTAGCACCGAAATCAATATCTTATTAAAAAATTCTTTAAAAGTAACTACATTTGTTAATTTTTCAGATTAAAACAAACAAACAGAAATATAGCAATAGCATCCAAACTCCACTCTGGGTAAGACCTCGCATAGGTATAATTTTAGTTTTCAAGGCTGGTTTAGTCTAGGAAAAAGAGCTGAATCTACATATCTTCTCTATTTTTTGTTGTGTTCAAAAGATATTCTCTATTTCCTCCCCAGCCAAAATTTTCAACAATCTACTATTCTTCTAAACATACTTATCTGTCAGAAGTGAGCTTCACTTCCTGTGGTATTCATCTTCAACTCAGGAATGGACTTATTTTTTTAAGTGCATGCTAGTGCATTACAGCTGCTAGAGTTTCTGCTTCTTTTCTATGTAAACACAGATTCACTCACCTCCCATGACTCGGCATCAGCCTCACTCTCAGCTGGCTTTATTTTTCAAAACTGCATAATGTCTTCCTACACTACCAGAAACCTGTTTGGGGGAAAACAAACATCTTTAGCTTGCTAGTTTCATTGCAGGTCATACAGCTTTTTCCACTGTTGGCCACTGAGACCCTCCTGGGTTCCCAAGGCCCCAGTTTGCCTACACCATTATCTAAAAGGCTTCTCTAGGCATCTGCATCCAGGTGTGCCTGCTGCACCTTTGTGACATGGGCTGATAACAATGGCATCTCAACAGTTAGTCTTCTTTTAGTGAGGGTCCAGAAGTACCTCAGGGATTCATGCTGCCTCACAAAAGTTAGCAACATGAGACCAGATGGGCTAGAAAACCAAAAGCAAAGTGCTTCCATAGGAAAATTGTAAGGGGCAGGTTTAGAAAAGAACTGCAAAAAATGTTGTAAATCTCTCTCTCTCTTTCTTCATGCCCCTCACCACAGCCTACATCATTTCTTTCTTTAAAATCTATCTAAGTCACCAAGGATGGATCAGAATACTAAGGATGCCAAGGATGGATCAGAATACCAGTTAAATTTTTTGGAATTCTTTTCTTACAGCAAGAGGTAAACTGATTAAAAATCTTAACATGGATCTTCCCTACATTTCTTCTGGGCCTCTGTACCCATCAATTTATGCAAACTCCCTCTTGTACTCATTCTGTCTACCTAATCTTTCTGATTATTATTATTGACCAAACTTCTTCCCCCATGACAAAATCAAATGATAACTTCTACTGACCCTAACTTTATGTAAGGCTGTGAGTGTATGTGTGTGTGTGTGTGTGTGTGTGTGTGTGTGTGTGTGTGTATTCTGGGAATTTAAAAATGTGTGGGAAACCACTGCTCTCAGGATTGTTTCTGAGTTTACTGAGGAGCAATTACACGAATTAAACATTATAAGAGCAACATGAGGGATGGTCCATTCTCATGAGGGAATGAAAACTCAAGGATTTTAAGGGATGTTCAGTTATTAATTTTTAGAGTCTTAATTGGAATTTAAGTTTGCTGATTACAAAACATTTGCTCTTGCCAACTCAGCATGCTGTCCTCAAGGAATGTGGACACAAAATTGAGTAACAAGGCAAATTGAAAGTCACAGTTCAAGAAAAGAGAGGCTTCCTGTGCATACTTTCATGCCAAAGAATTGGCACAGGCAACAGTCCATGCATTTCGTGTGTTTAATCTCCATATTAGACATATCATTGCTGCAGTGAAGTTGGGATGGAGGGAATAAATGTTAAAAGCAGGACAAATGGAGTTATCCAAGACTATAGAATGAATAGAGAGCCTTTCTTACAAAACAAAGTCCACCAAGAAGTCAGTTTTCTCTGTGTAATGCTCAGCCAGTTAAATCTGCAAACTCAGTAGCACAGAGAATGAAACAGTAAGTAGCAGAGAGAATTTACATTACAAAAAAGCAGATCCCTAGCTTTTCAGCAATGCATGTTACTGTTTCTAGTAGACACTTGAAATAAGAGATGACTAAACCTGTAGAGATACTCTTGATGAAATTCGTGCTTTAACAATTGCAAACACAAGAGACAGAAAATTTTCTAATAGGTCTAATTTTTCTAACAAACAGAATTGAATAGTCCATTAGCACACCAGGGAATGATACAACTATCAGACATCAGCAAAAGAGAGAAACTGGAGCTGTATTGTAGTGTCTGTGATTAAACCAGTTGCCTTTCTTGTGATAATGTTCAAGTAAGTTACATCAAATTATTTATTACTCAATTGTTTCATGCCTAAGTGAGTTAAACTAGGATGATACAATCGTCAAGAAGGCAGATATTGTGGTGGACTGAATAGTAGCCCGCCAAAGATGTCTATCCCCTAATCCCTTGTGAATATGTTAACATTACATGGCCAATGGGACTCCACAGATGTGACTAACTTTTAAGGGCCTTGAAACTAGAAGAGTGTATTAGTCTGCTCAGGCTGCCATAACAAGATACCACAGACTGTGTGGCTTAAACAACAGAAATTTATTTTTTCACAATTGGAGGCTAGAGGCCCAAGATCAGAGTCCATCAGGGTTGGGATATGGTGAGGCTTCCTTTCCTGGCTTGTAGACACTACTTTCTCACTATGCACACGTGCAAAGATAGAGAGAGATCTGTGGTAGCTCTTGCCCCTCTTATGAAGACACCAGTCCTATCAGATCAAGGCCCCACTCTTATGGCCTCACTTGACCTTAATTACTTCCTTAAAGGCCCTACCTCTGAATACATTCACATTTGGAAGTTAGGGCATCAACATACAAATTTTGAGTGGGGAGACATAATTCAGTTCATGACAAACAGTAGTCTGAATCATCCAGGTGGGACCAATCTAATCACATGAGTCCTTAAAAGCAGAAACTCTTCTATGGTTAAAGTCAGAGAAACTCGGTGAAAGAAAAAGCAAGAGAAATTTGAAGAGGGAGAAGAATTCAACATACTGTTGCTGGCTTTGAAGACACAGGGGGCCACAGACCAGAGAATACAGGTCGCCTATTTGAAGTTAAGAACATCCTGGTCAGTGGCCAGCAAGTAAACAGGAGCTCCGTCCTTCACCACAGGACACTGCATTCTATAATACCAACAAGCCGAATTAGCCCAGAATCAAGTTGTCTCCCAGAGCCTCCAGAAAGGAGCATACTTGCTAATACCTTGATTTCAGTTTTTAAGACTCAGATAGAAAAACCAGCTGAACCCACTGGATTTTTAATGTATAGAATTGTGAGATAAATTTGTGTTGCCAAAAGTTGCAATGTTTTGGGCAACTTTTTATGGCAGCCATAGAAAACTAATACAAATATGATCTCATCCCTCCTGGAGCTTATATTCCAGAGGGCTAAATAACAATCATGTAAGCTGACAAATGAGTAAAATAATTGCCAAGTGTAGTAAAATAATTGACCTGTGAGAAATAAGCAAATAGATGAAGCAGAGAATAGCACAGGGGACCTAGATACTAAGAGCTGTTGGTAAAAGTGATATTTAAGCCAACTAAAAGGAAGAGAAGGAGCTGGCTGCTCAAAGATGCAGAACAAGAGCATCCCATGCAGAGGGGACAGATATGCAAAGACCTTGAGGTGTGAAAGGGCTCAAGGTGTTCAAGAAACTGAAAGATGACCAGTGGTGTTGAGCGTAGAAAGGGCAGAACTTAAAAGAATGAGGCTGTAAAGATAGGCTGAGCAGAGAGCACGCAGTGCTTTATAGAACATGATTAGAAATTTGGGTTTCATTCTAAGAACAGTAGGAAATCCTTGCAAGCTTTTAAGCAGAAAAGTGCTAAAAGGGTGGGATTCTGAAACAGAAAAATGACATCAGTAGAAAAATTGAATAACTTCAAAAAATGTCCTTGGTTTAGTTAATAGTATATCATCAGCATTAATTTCTTAGTTTTGATAATTGCACCATAATTATCTAAGGTGTTAACATTCAAGAAAGCTGAGTGATCGATTTAAGGAAACTCTCTGTACCATTTTTGCAACTCTTCAGTAGCCTAAAACTATTTTAAAATAAAAAGTTAGAGAGGAAAAAAAAATGTCATGACCCACTTTTTAATTTAGGAAGATTATTCTTACTTCTCAGCTGGAGCATGAGCCATAGAAGCACAAGAGTGAGAGGGTGAATACCAGTTAGGAAACTGACTCTGTAATTCAAGTGAGGGATAGTGGATCAGAGAACCTGATAAGGGACAACTTTTCAAATTCCATTTTTGAAGTAGAATCCCCAGGACTTGACGATGAATGCATGTGTGCATGCTCAGACCTGTTGCTGGGCTGAGAGGTAGGAGGTGGGTAGTAAAGGAATGGGATAAATGAAATTCTAGGTTTCTGTGATCTCGCTTACTAATGGGAAGATTGCAGAGTGTGAGGAGAAAGGAATATAAATTTTTAAGGTCAATAGGCCTCTAAGTGAAGATATTAAGTAAGCTGAAACTCAGAGGCAAGATCTGGGCTGAAGATGACTCCAGGTAGCTGAAAGCAGAAACATGATGTTTATATGCTGCTCTCTTGTGGGAGGAGTTAAGAGCCATCTACTTATGAATAATCAGGAAAGGCAATGTCCAGGAAAGAACCTTGTAATGTAGAGCAGCAGATCAGTGCTAGAAGGTAGAAGACTGTCCACCAGAAAAAAGATGCTTTTACATTTTCACTGAGCTGGTTTCCTCTTTTCTTTCTTGGTAAAGGTCTTATCAGAAATGCTGTCATACCCAGTTCTGCTCAGCAGAATCATAAAAGGGAATTGTTTGTTTATTCTTGAGCCATGGTAGAATGAGAGGAGCTGTAATAGGTGAGCGAAGATTATGGGCCATCTTTGAAAAGACTCTGGGACAGAAAATTTGTCAGTGTTTTGAGCCAGGGGCTTCTCTTTTCAGTGATTACTTCTAAAGTATGTATATATATATATTCTTACATCTGTCTATATATTTATATTTATACCTATTTATAATATATATACACATTTATATCTATAGCTAGATAAATCAAGCCAGCCATTTCTTCATACAAGATGTGCTAGCACAGAAGTTGTGGCATCTGATAATCACTGGTGGATTTCTTAGTAAAAAATCCATAAAGAAATTTCTGAGCAGCCTATTTGAATTTAAAGTGCAAAAAATGTTATATTATTTCCCTAAATTGAGATGCTAAGGTTGGATGCTTCCTAATGAAACTTTGATAAGGTATCACCTAAGATGACAGCCACATGGAAGAATAGACAAATATCTACATCTAACAGATTTATAACGTATCTATCCAAGGGTCGAAGAAAATTCCCCTCATTACTTCTTTTCTTAGAATATTTGCATAGCATTTCCACTTCATTGATCTCTTGTCCAGACTTGCAGTGTTCAATTCCTTTCTCTCTAAGAGCCATCCAGAGTCCAGATACAAAACCTGGACACCATCTCTGTGTCACTTGAATTATGCTGCAAAATGGATGGTCTGACCTTATGGGTTAGTTTGTTCAATTGATGTAACAGAAATACACATTTCTTTTAATTAAAAAACTGTTTAGATTTTAGATATGTTTCATAATGTAATATGCAACAAATGTTATCTTCTTAGATGTAATAAATACATAAGTATTATTACAGAAAGAACAATTTGATTTCATTGGGACGAATTCAATTTTGTTTTTAAAATGGAAATTTTTTATCCAAGTAAATTTGTGTTTATCCCATTTGATTCAGAAACTAAGACAGGGTGTCATTTTCTACATAGGTTCTCTAGTTTCCACTTGAATCTACTGAATAATATAGAGTCAAGGAACATTAGATTACAACCCCCAAGTCACAACTCTAAGAGCTGGCATCTGACTTTCCCAGTACTGCGCTAAGCTCCATGTGAGAGCTACAGATGCTAGCATTGTCCCATTCTCTCCAGATGCTACTGATGTTGCTATCCTTTACAGGCCACTCCCCATTTTCCCTGAGCATGGCCAAGTTTTCCACTGTTGGGCAATATGCCCAACCCCAGCCATCTACTACTCCAGGGCCTACTGTTCATTTGCTGTTGACCTCAGCTGCATGGGCAGATAATAATGTCTAGGCATAGACTGCCTTTCATAAGGCAGTTACTTCAGTGTTGCAGTCCAGATGAAAAAAAAGAAACAGAAAACCTCTGTATTAGCTACAGAGTTGTTGGCATTACCCGCTGAGTTCATTGAGATGAGCTCCCAGACCAAGTTGACCCTTCAAGGAAAGAGCGAGATATCCCATGAAGCAATTGTTTAAACCACTTAGTGGAACTCCATTCTTTAAGAGGATCACCTGGTGGTTGACATCACTTCCTTGCTTTAAAGCATTACGATTTTCTGTGTTTTAACTTGGTTATCTTTTTACAGGCTGAACCCCCTGCTGAATTCTTCAGACATACACCACTCACCCCAGCATACTCTCTCTGGCAGTGGGTAAATGGCAAATAAAAAGGTTCCCTCCATCAAGTCAATTGAGGAGGGCAGGTGGCAGGGTACCCAAGGATGCTTTTGCTCTCCATGCCGCTTAATGTCTCTAAGATCAAACACAAAGATCATGGGAGGAACAGGTGATCAGCGGGCAACAATAGATGACTGTACTAGGTTCTGGATGGGTTGTGCAACTCAGACAAAATGGATGGCCCCATTTAAAACGACTTCAGAAGTATCAAAGGAGGTCTCTGTAGTTACCGTATGTGCCTTCAGACTCGAACATTATTTTCGAATCCTGCTGGTGCTACTATTGCAGAGTGAGAAGGAAATATGAAAAAGGCTTTCTCTTCATTCAGATTTCTTCCACAGATGCTTTTTCCAAAAAGAAATGCAAACTTTATATGTGAGTTTTGGAATGAGGCTGAGATAGTGTACCCCCATTCACAGAAATGTTTGTGGGATGCAAGAAAATAGGCATGCTGTGCCCAGCAGGTTTTCACCAAAAAAAATTTCAGACAATTTTTCCATTACTCATCAGGGAAGTTGTGTCCCATTACTCTACCCCTACCCCCCAGAGAAATGGTAATCTTTGTTCTAGGATTATTTGTCAACTCGTTTTATTATGTAATGGAAATACAAGTAGCTCTCTACACATATATTTGACTTTCATAAGAGTCAAAATGAAACCAAAATTTATCCCAACATTTTATAGGGCAAATGTTGCTTTGTTTTGTTTTTTAAGTATTAGTGTTTTTAACTAATATTATAAAAATTCAAACAGTGCAAGGGACATCAATTTTGTCTCCTTCTCACTCTAAATTTCCAGTTTCCTCATTCTCTCTCTCTCAGAAACAACCGCTACTCCTGGTTTCAATGTAATCGTTCAGAGTTAGTTTGCACATTTACAAAGATTTCTATATGTGTTTTTATATATTTGTCGTTCTTAAATTTTTTACTCAACCGAGTATATAACATCCATGCTGTTCTATTCCTTGCTTTTTCAACCTACTTCTTGGAAATGTCTACATAAAGGTATATATATATGTCTACTTCGTTCTTTTTAATGGCAACATTTCATTCTATAATATGTACACTCCAAAATGTACTTGTTCTATCTCCTTTGGTTGATATTTGCATGGTTTTCTCTTGTTTCTGTTAAAAACAATGCAACAATAAATACTATATAGTATTAGTATTAGTATATATATTTTACTAATATATAAAACTCTATGGTTACCTAAATATAGAATTTTTGCACACATGTTTAAATATATCTGTAAAATCATTTTCTCAAATGGAAATTTTAGAGGAAAATATCTGCAGATGTTTTGACAGATATTACTGCATTGCTTTCCTAACAATTGGTACCAATGTAAGCAATCACCAGTAATGTATAACATAACCTATTTCCCATAAATAGTTGTCAACACATGTACACTTAAACTTAATTTTCCTTGTCTAATTGAAAGGTTAAAAGATGCTATATATCTTTAAACATACCTTGCATTAATTATGAAAGAGGCTGAGTTGGTTTCCATGCATTTAATGTCTTTTCTGGGAACTGACATTTCTTATCTGTTGATTTGGAATGTCACCTACATGTTATGTTGAGCCATATATAATTACCATTTTTATAAGGAAGCAGACATGAAAATTAGTAATTTTATATAGTGTAACTCAGATAGATATATAGGTAGACAGAGTATATATAGCTGCATCAAAAATTTAATTAATATGGCTTAAAAATACATAATGACATGCCTTATTATTCATCTTTTTCAGAAATATCTCAGCCATTCTTGAATGTTATTTTTCTACCTATAAAGATATCATCTTTTTCCAAACAAATTAATATGCCATTTAAAAATTTGTATTTAATTTCATTGATAGTCTAATTTAGGAATAATCAATATCTTTACATGATTGCCTTTTTTTATCCTTATCTTCTGGTATACAAAAGTCTACTTTTGTAAAAATGTCAAATCCTTGATATCTTGGTACACACTTAGTTTTTATTTCATATAGGTCTTGTGTATTTTTATTAATTTTATTTCTGGTATTTTATAAATATTAATATTATAATAAGATTTTTTTCTTTTATTATATCTTCTAATCTGGGGTCTTTTGAGAAAATATTAATTTTTGAATATCAATTTTATAATCTAATACATAATTAAATTTTAAATTATTTTTAATACTTTTTAGTTAATTTCATTGAGTTTCCAAATATATAAGCATACCATCTGCATATAACCATAATATTTTATACCTCTCTTTTTCTTACATCAAATTGTATCAGCTAGTATTTACAAAACTAATAGTCTGTTGTTAAGCAAAATCCTGGTTTCTGATTTTATATATATGTATGTATATATACACATATATTTATGCCTATATATATATATATATATATACACACACACACACATATTGAGAGTTTATCTATTTCTATTAAATTTGGTTAATAATTTTTATGCAATATACTTGTTAAATTTTATCAAACACAATTTTAAAATACCTTTCACAGATAGTGAAAGGCATACATGTTTTTTCTCCTTTGATATCTATTAACAACTAATTTTATTAATGGGTTTACTAAAAGTGAACCATCCTTGCATTCCAGATACAATTGCTCTTCACTGTGGTGTAGTCTTCTTTCATGTGTTACTGAATTCCATTTGCTAATGTAATTTTTTAGTTCAATTTTTATATCAATATTCATAAGTAAAATTGGCTTGTAGCTTTATGCAATATTATCTGTGCAACACTGGCCTCAGGCATAAAGAAATGAAAATTATCTATCTCTTTCAGGGATCTAGAATAATTTAGGCAACTTCAAGTGATCTGATCTTTGAAGATGAGCAGAATTTCCCTTTGAAATTGTCTGGGTCTGGTGTTTTGGGGAAGAGCAGAGAAGCTCTTTGGCAAAATTTTTGTTTTTGCTAAGATGCTTAATATATTTCATTTCCTCTTACATATTTTATTTTAACCTTTTTCTATATAACTTTAAAGTATATTTATGTTTTCCCAGTTTTTCAATGAAGTAGATTATTGAGAATAGAATATAATAACACTATGAATATATTTTAATCGATTATGTGAAGAAAGTCTACAGTGAATCATCAATTTTTGACAAATATCTTTGTATTTATCTCTGTAATTTCTGCAGTTTCTAGACATCAATAATGGGCAGAATCACAAGACAATATGGTAAATTTGTGTGTTTATGTATTGTATGGGTAACGTGTCTAACAGGGCTTCTGACTAAGCATTTCTATCAATAATGGATTTCAATTCACTGCTACATATTTCAAGAAATCTCAAAGTTGAAAGGTACATGCAAAATTGTTTATTATAGTCTTATTGTTTTATAAATAGAGAAATTCTGAAAGGTAGGCAATTTTCCCAAGTTTTCAAGGCTAATAAAAAGTTTAGCTAGAACTGAAGACCACACCTGAGAATCCTAAGATTATTTTCACTCGACTATATTGCTTTATTTCCTCAAACAGCATGAAGAATCGTGAAATGGCTAATTTAAATTCTATAATTTATAGTTTAAAGGTATATAAGGGTTTTAAGTTAGTATGACTCCTTCAAATAAAAAATACTGTCAGTAAGTTAGAAGATTTTAAAAATTTTTTCTTCAATATATCAATATAAGTAACTACATTAAAAAATAATTTGTGTACATTATAGTTAAGATAGATTCATAATAACTGACAATTGACTTTAACCAATCATTTGTAATGGCTAAAAAAGAGAATAATCTTAGTTGTCAAAATACATGCAATAACTTTCTTTTCTATTATCATTCTCTTTTTTGAGCCATTATGGTTGGTATTGGGTTAGGTAAAGTAAGAAACATACAGCTGCGGTTTCATAGGTACAGAGAGCTCAGAATTCTGTGAGAATTGAGTGATGAGCCACTCATTCCTGCCATAGCTTGAGGTAGTCATAAGAATATTTTATAAGCCAACCTTCACCAGCATCTTTCTTGGTAACTACCTGCATCACATAACAGCTGGGAAGTGTGTGAGGGTGGGGGAAAGATACGGAAGAGACTGACTCAAGAAGATTCTGATCCTATCTTTTCAGATCTCGAATCTTTTTAATATTTTAAATATGCCATAGCTAAATGTCTCTATGCCCCATATCAAACATTAAATTCAGAATGATCAGAATGAGCCACATAGGACAAATAAGCCTTCTTCACTTTCTTATTTCACCTACACTCATGTGTGGCTCTAAGTAATACTGAAGCAGGAGAACATTCTCAGGGACATGCTCATGCTGTCAGCTGTGACTGAAAAATCTATAGAACTGGCAATTATAGAAATTTTCCTTTACAAAACTTCAGTTCCTGGAGGAAGACATACTTGTATTTTTCTGCCTGTTTGTGTTATTTACCACTTTCTAATTAATATAAATTTCTGTCTGAATAATACAATTCCTCAAGCGTGAAGTTATCTGACTTTATTACTTCAGTTACAAAGCTTGGTTATTGCATGGTGGACAGTATAGTAAATCTTACCATGATTTAGCACTAAAGTTTGATAAAGAAGAAAGTTCCCAAAACATGAATGATTGCAAAAAAGGCATTGCATTCCTCCAGGCCTCTGTCCCCTCACCTGTGAAAAGAAAGAGGTGGCCAAATTAACTTGATGAAACATAACTGTCAGTTGCTGAAATGCGACTGAAACTCAGGAATTTGCTTTTTTGCTTATGTCTCTTCTGAGATTGTAGGTTTCATGTAGGAAGAAGGTGAGAAAGAATAGTCCTAGATAAATAAATGATTCTCAACTGATTACTAGATCTAAAAGGGATCCATTATTGAATAATGCAGCAAGAATGTCCCAAATATTCACCAATAGTTTTGCAGCCTTATTCCCTGATAATAGAAAGTTATCTTTAACCTCTTCCCACTACATTTATCCCTTCACTATGGGACAACAACTGAGACTAGATTCTATTCAGACCAGCACAAGTTTGGAAATTTCTCTTTACTTTCTCTCCAGATGCCCAGATGTAAGAGTGTGTGGTAGGGGAAGAAACATTTATTTTTACCTTCATATCCTCCATTCCTAAATATTAAATACCATCCTTGTTATAAAATGTAAAAGCCAACACGAATTATAGATTTATTTGGATTTTAGGAGACTAACTAGAGACGATCACTTCCATGGCAAGGGAGGATATTTGTGTATTGTAATATACGGAACTGTAAGTGCACTCAACATTTGTTCTGTGGTGTTGTTTTTCATTAACCAGTTAGACAGGGAATGCTAATGATGTGTTGGGGGAAGATGTCAATATTCATGATGCTGCTGGAAATGTATATAAAATGTGGTTTCCATTACTCCCCACTGGGAGCAATAAGTAATGCTGTGTACAAGGGAAGGACAGCTTGTTCATGAATATGAGCACAGCAGCAAATTGTATGGCAAGGCAAAACTCCCAGGATTTTATGACTCTTAACGATTCCAGCCCTCAAGTGTCACTATCTGTGACTTGGCTGTGAGTAATGAGACGCTGCCTTGCCTTTGTCCAAATTTTACTGGGAGCATTGAAAGGCACGTTGCGTACCACCTATTGCCATCATGCACTGGAAATCTCTAGGATGCCATGTCAGGCAGGAAAATGCTGTTGGTGATCTCAAAATTATTGCCAATTGCTGGGATAAAATTGTTGTTAGAGTCACATTCCCATTCCTTCATTCAGCAAGGTGAAAAACAGCTCATTGTTTATACACCCTACAGTGATGAATTATGAAGACATTCTAATGGAAAGTTTGCCATGGAAACTGCCAGTAAAATGTGGCTAAGAGACATCAAATTACAGAAGGTACCTTTCAATAATTAGAAGTGTTTATGAACTAGGTACATGGTGAGAGCCATGTACATATAAAACAAGAGGTAAAAATATTCTCAAATTAAATCTCCACAGTAGGAGAAATAAGGGGCTAAGGCAGAGACTGCATTTTGGAAGAAGATGTTCTGTACTATGCTAAAATGCTTTCTGGTATTGTTACATTGGTATTTTTAAATAGTAATAATGCTTTTACTTTTATTTTTTCTAATGGGAAGTATAATCATGTATTTTATTTAGAAAACCTTAAATATTAAAAGCCATAAAAGAAGTGGGGGGAATTAATGTTTTTTATGCAAAGTGGCATTCTAAAATGTGTGGTGTATTAGGTAACCTGGAGGTGCCACTACAATGCAGCCTGTATTTTTGCCTAGATCACAGTGGCAAATGTTAACTGAAGTAGGAATGTGAAGATAGGAATCCAGTTTTGCCACTGTGAGCTGTGTGATCCTGGGCAATTTATTACATCTTGAGGCACAGTTCTCATTATCTAAAGACTGGGCACAAAGATCTCTGCACCACTTACCTCATAAATGGGTGAGGAGAAAGATGAAAGGAAATTATTATCGAAGTGTTTTGATTAAAATATACTGGAGTAAGCAGAATGATAATGATTCGTTCATTTATTCAACAAACATTTTACTACATCCCTAATGTATTACGGGCGCTACTTTGGGCGCAAGAAATTCAGTAGTTAACAAACACTTCTTGCCCTTATGATCTTACATCTTTATGTAGATGAAAAAACAGACAAATTGGCTCATATATAATATAATCTTAGGTAGTCACAAATGATAAGAAAATAGTAAAGCAGCAGAAGAAAATAAGAGAGTGATTGTATTTGTGTGCAGAAACTTCTGGATAAGTTGTCAGTGCAGACTTTTCTGATGAAGTGTGATTTGAGTAGAGTCTTAATTACTTGAGAGATGAAACCTGTGAAGATTTGGGGCCTAAGAAATAATAGTTAAAGGAGCAGCAAGTAAAAGGAACTGAAGAACGAACATATTTTATGTGTCTGAGCAGCAGCAAAGTGGCCGGGGGAGTTGAAGCAAGGTGAGAAGAGTAGCAGGGAGAATACTCATCAATGACACTGGGAAGGCAGCCAGGGCAGATCATGTGTGGGGCCGTCACAGTGACCTAGGATGGCATTTCAGGGGCAATGGGAAACTACTGGAAATTGTGGGCAATGGAAGCCCAGGCCCTGATTTCTGCTTTAAAGTGATGATTTTGGCTGTCATACTGTGGCCAGCAAGAGTGATAATGGAGGCTTCTGCAATAGTCCAGTTCATAGATGATAGTGACTTGGACTAAGGTAGATGCAGTGGAAACAACGAATTTGGGATACTTTTGAAGGTGGAACCTAATGAGTTGTGAGATAAATTTCTTATAGTTGGTACAGTAGACCTTTGAGTGTTGGCAGGGCTACTGTACCAACTGGAAGTATGGGAAACAGTGAGCCTTTATATTTCTGGGCTCCTCTGACCATGTGGATGCCTCAATCTCACATTGTTTTGAACCGAATTTAGTGTACCTCAGGGAAGAACTAGGGAAGGAATGGGCAGCTGCATCTACTCTCTTGCCATCTTGACCTTGTCTACCCTCTGCATAATATGTTTGCTGCTTGGTAAGAAACCACAGTGAAAGCAGCCCAAGCTCCAATTCAATAGATAATACAATATATTTTCTTGGTGAAAAAATATACGCAAGGAAATTAGCTGAGAATAAGGTGCTGGAGAGCCTGTTTTGAACATTAAAGTGCGAAGAGGTACAAAATAGTTATACTGGAGAGTGGGAAAGTAAATTGACTATGGAAATGTAGTGAGACTAATAAGCACAATAAAGACCAGCTTGAAATTAGTGTTGATTATGTAACATTAGGCCAGGTAGCATGGCTGTGTGTTCTTCATATCCATGTACATCTGTTGCATGCCAGGACCACTGTAGTTAGAGAGCTGAATGTAACCACCTTAGGGTTTTTTCAGGAAGTATGATGCAAGAGAAAGGAAGGTGAAGAGCCATGGACTATAAATTGGATGAGCAGGCACGAGGGTGGTAAAGGACACCGAGAAGGTGGCTGGTTCCATAGATGGAAGGACTTCAGAGTGGGCAGACAAGAGGGACGATTCTAGAAAGATAGAAAGTGGTCAGAGATTGAATCCTTGAAATTAGTGATGGCATTATTCGTAATCAGCCAGGTTTTATGTACGGCCCTGGGAATGGGTGGCTATATAGACCGGGTAGCTTCAAGTATTTTTGGCTCATGATTGATTCTAGCTGGTGGTGTCATATAAACTTTGAGACTCTAAATTCTTTGCAGAGCATTTTTATTTGTATGTGTGCTTTCTTTATTAACCATGTGTTAAGTCTGGAGTGTCTAGAATATTTCATCTAAAAAGATGAAAGAATGGGACAAATTCTTTTTCTGAAAACCTCATAAAAGATATAGATTGTTTAGGGTCTTTCTGACACGTCAGCCCTCAAGTATAAAAACACTTTTTCCTTGAACTTGAAATTTCATGCTCTAAGATGAAGTGTTCGTTGTAGACCTTAAATTATTTCATATCCATTTTTTTCCTTCTCCTCCCCATCTCCTCCTCCTCCTCTTCATCTTCCTCCTCCTTCCCTTTCTCTCATTTTCTTTCTTTTTGTTTCCAAATAAAGAGGTAAACATAGATAAATATGAATACATAAATCAGAAGGTAGATAAACAGATAAATAAAATGTCTTTGCACTCATATTTAACTGAAATCCACTATGAATCAAACTGCATCACTGCTGGATAGTAGCAAGGTTGTTTGTTTTTTTTTTTTTAGCATCAAAAGGAATTACATATCCACGAAACAAATACATTCCTAAGGCCTATGAGAGATCAGACTGTAGGTCCATAACTCCCAGAAATTTATGAAATAGATGTGGAAGACAGAATATTAAACAAGTGGCCTTGTGTTGTAGATAAAGACAAATTAGCGTAAAAGATATGACTGTACAGCCTGGGCAACATAAAAAGACCCCATTTCTAAAAAAGAAAATAATAATAGAAAAAAATTACTGGAGTGTGATGATGTTTATCTGTAGTCCCAGCTACTCTGGGGGCTGAGATAGGAATACCACTTGAGCCCTGGAGGTCCAAGCTGAAGTGTACCATGACTGTGTCTCTGCACTTCAGCCTGGGCAACAGAGCAAGACTGTTTCCCCAAAAAATACATGATTATATGGTAATGTGACTTAATATTTTTTAACCAAATGCACCAGAGCTTACACACCAAAAATGAAAGCTTCCCCCTTCAAAATAGCCACCTAGGCAAGTTATGTAATTATTCCAGTGATGTTGATATTGCTGTAGACATTTTGTGAGCCACTCTTCTGGGCTTATTTTAACTTTATTTTGAATATGTTTAAATGGTGCTGAATTACACTTTGGAAAGAAGATTTGGCCACAGGAGGCAACTT
Organism: Homo sapiens; assembly: GCF_000001405.40. NCBI lineage: Eukaryota > Metazoa > Chordata > Mammalia > Primates > Hominidae > Homo > Homo sapiens. Next base: position 117,506,242 of record NC_000002.12, read on the forward strand.
AAGGTAATTTGGAGCTGAAGTCAGCAGGAATCATTTTAAGAGATTTAGACCATAAGTAAGGAATGACTTTAATAAGGACATAGATTGGTTCACTTGTGAGCATTGTAAACTGACTCTGAAGGCAGTTTGCGAAGAGGAAAGACTAGTATTTTGAGCTATGGCACCACCATTAAACAAAATGCCTGACCTACCAGCCAAAGTGACCATTTTGCAGTGGAGGGCTCTCCTTTGGGATATTTGCTTTCTGACCCCAAAGAGAGCAAAAAGTAAGGATGCCTGCGGTAAACATTCAGTTTCCCTATTTCCCAATCCCACAGTCCACAGACACACGATTTAAAAGTATTTTATTGTTCAACAAAATTAAAATAGCTGATACCAAAATGAGGCCATGGCCAAATTCCTGGAGAATTACCTGCGGCCTGCCTATGAAATGCCAAAGCCGCAGAAAAAGGGTAGGCATTAGCAGCAGCAGCCCAAGTCCTTTCTCCCACAGAATGAATGCATTTCAAGGACATCTCCCATGGCTCATGGCTGTTTCATTCCACGGCTGTCTGTTCTTGAAAACGCAGAGGCTCAAAGGACAGCCACCTTCGTAGCTTGTATAGCAGGAATGTTGGTTTCATTAGTGATCAAAACTTGCACTGTGAGAGTCCTGATGTTATTTTTAACATTTCAAGCTCCTTTAACTGTGATTCTCAGTAAAGTCATTATCCAAAATGCTGTTAGAAGTTGATTTGCTAAAAGTTTGGCCCTGGAACATCAGGCGTTCTTGCTCTTTGCTCTCCTGTAGGTCAGGAAGCAAATGCCTCCTCTCAATTCCTCTTATGTCCAATTTCTATCAGGTGGGTGAGGCGGTTTTCCTCCTCAGTTTCCCTGCTGCAGTCCTGCTGCAGTCTTGCTGCTCTTTGAAAGAAATAAAAGAGTTTCAAATGCATTATGCCTAGCTAAAGTGTGGTGATCGTGTTGTTAATATAAAAATGATACACACTTTGGTCAAGAGATTTTTTTCTTCTCAAGGTTTTCTCTGTTATATCTATCTCCCTGAAGTCATGAGAATCAAATTTTATATAATTGGGAGTAGTTTAATATTAAGGAGACAGTGTGCTTTTTTAGTTATGATGTCTGTTCATTCTTATTTAGAGCACTGAGGATTTTACATCCCAGACCTAGAAGAGGTGATGACAGTGGCATTGGTGACAACCTTATTGAGATCAAGAAGGAAGGCCCTCAAGAGCAGGGAACTGGGTCAGTATGAATTTTTTTCAATGACCAGGGATCCATTGTATCCTAGATGTGGCAGTAGTAGTAGTAGTAGCAACAATGACAGCAATGAGAAATGAAACCTATTGAGAATGTACTCTCTGCTAGTTTATAGGTTTTTAAAGCTGTTTTCTAGCATAATTCTCTAATTCTCTCATCACTATGTCGCATGAGCAGCAATATTTTACAGATGAGAAAAGCAGAGCACAGAGGGGTTAAGTGACTGTCCAATGCAAAACTGAGAAAATGGCAGAGTTGGGATTTGAACCCAATAAGCTTGACTCCATAGCCCCATGCTTCCCTGTTACAGTGCTCGCTCTCTCTCCAGTTTGCCTAATTGACACATGTAACTTCTGAGAGTGCAGAACTGTACTTCTGAAATTGGTAGTGAACATGGAGGCAGGCAGAAATAGAGTGTGATGATGAAGATACAGTCAAACCCTACAAACCAGGCAAAGGCTAGAGTCATTGCTTAGTTGTTCCCGTAGAACTTTCTGCTTACCCCATCACAGCCATTGACTCTGTACTTTATTTCCTGTGTGCCTGTTTCCTCCAGTAAATTCTAAGTTCTTTGAAATAAGGGCTATGTTTTGTTCAAAATGGGATTTATAACATCCAGCAAAATAACCAGAATGTAATAGATATATGGTAAATATTCATTGACTTGATGAATAATCACAAATGGAATGGGCACATGTAATATATAGAAAAATTATTTAAATTCTGATTCTAGGATACTGGCTGGCACACTGAATTGTCAGATTCCTATCTTCTATGCAACTGATATAGTTCTTACCTTCTTCTCTACTCCATAGGCAGACAGGGATATCTGTGGGATGTGTACCCATAAATACACATAGACAGAAGATAGATGATAGATAGAAGATAGATAAATAGATAGATGATAGGTATATATATGTGTGTGTATATGTATGTATATATGGGTATGTGTGTGTATCTGTGCGTGTATATATATACATATATATATAATGTAGGTATGTATACACATTATTTTTATATATAATGTGTGCATATTAGTCGGTTTTCATGCTGCTGATAAAGACATAACTGAGACTGGGCAATTTTCAAAAGAAAGAGATTTAATTGGATTTACAGTTCCACGTGGCTAGGGAGCCTCACAATCATGGCGGAAGGCAAGGAGAAGCAAGTCACATCTTACATGGATGGCAGCAGGCAAAGAGAGAGGACCTGTGAGGAAAACTCCTCTTTTTAAAACCATCAGATCTCATGAGACTTATTCACTATCATGAGAAGAGCATGGGAAAGACTTGCCCCATTATTCAATTACCTCCCACTGGGTTCCTCACACAACATACGGGAATTCAAGATGAGATTTGGGTGGGGACACAGCCAAACCATATCAGTGTGTGTGTGTATGTATAGATAGATAGATAGATAGATAGATAGATAGATAGATAGATGATAGATAGATAGATAGATAGATAGACACATTATATATAGATAGATATATTTTTCCCAAGTGTCCTGAACACTTTGAAAGTTGATGTATTTTGTATTTACAGCCAACTTATCTTCAACAAAGGATACAAAAACATTAAGTGCAGAAAGGACACTCTATCCAATAAATGGAGCTGGGATAATTGGCAAGCCACATGTAGAAAATGAAACTGAATCATCATCTCTCACATTATATAGAAATCAACTCAAGATGGATCAAAGTCTTAAATCTAAAATCTGAAACATAAAAATTCTAGAAGATAGGATCAGAAAAACTCTTCTATACACTGGCTTAGGCAAAGAATTCATGAGCAAGAACCCAAAAGCAAATGCAATAAAATCAAAAATAAATAAATGGGACCTAATAAAACTAAAAAGCTCTGCACAGCTTTAATAATCAGCAATTATCAACAGTTATCAAAAATAATCAACAGTTATCAGACAACCCACAGAGTGAGAGAAGATATTCACAAACTATGCATCTAACAAAGGACTAATATCCAGTATCTACAGTGAACTCAAACAAATGAGCAAGAAAAACATCAGATAATCCCATCAAAAAGTGGGCAAAGGACATGAATAGACAATTCTCAAAAGAAGATATACAAACTGCCAACAATCATATGAAAAAATGCTCATCATCACTAATTCAGGGAAATGCAAATTAAAAACACAAAGAGATGTAACTTTACTTTTGCAAGAATGGCCATAATTAAAAAATCAAAAAATAATAGTTGTTGGTGTGGATGTGGTGGAAAGGGAACCCTTTTACATTACCGGTGGGCTTGTAAAACTAGTACAACCACCATGGAAAACAGTATGGAGATTCCTTAAAGAACTAAAAGTAGAACTACCATTTGATTCAGCAATCCCACTACTGGGTATCTACCCAAAGGAAAAGAAGTCATTATACAAACACACACACACACACACACACACACACACACTCGCACACGTTTATGGCAGCACAATTCGCAACTGCAAAGATATGGAAGCAACCTAAATAACTATTGACCAATGAGAGGATAAAGGAAATGTGACATACATACATCATGGAATACTACTCAGTCATAAAATGGAAAGAAATAATGGCTTTTGCAGCAACTTGGATGGAGTTGAAGGGCATTATTCTAAGTGAAGTAACTCAGGAATGGAAAACCAAATATAGTATGTTCTCACTTATAAGTGGGAACTAAGGTATGAAGACACAAAAGTATATAATGGTATAATGGACTTTGGGGACTTGAGGGAAAAGGTGGAGGGGGTGAGAGACAAAAGACTACATTTTGGGTACAGTGTATACTGCTCAGGTGACAGGTGCAACAAAGTCTCAGAAATCACCACTAAAGAACTTATCCATGTAAACAAAACCACCTATTCTCCAAAAGCTGTTGAAATTAAAATTCAAAAAATAAAAATAAAAATAAATACCTATTTTGTTTTAATTTGTTTTTGAGATGGAGTTTCACTCTCGTTGCCCAGGCTGGAGTGCAATGGCATGATCTTGGCTCACTGTAACCTCTGCCTCCTGGTTTCAAGCGATTCTCCTGCCTCAGCCTCCTGAGTAGCTGGGATTACAGGCACCCTGCCACCCTGCCCACCTATTTTTTTATATTTTTAGTAGAGATGGGGTTTCACTATGTTGGCCAGGCTGGTCTTGAACTGATCTCAGGCAATCCACCCACCTCGGCCTCCCAAAGTGCTGGGATTTCAGGAGTGAGCCACCGCATCCAGCCTTTAAAACTTTTTAATGTATTTTTAGTTTTTTGTTTTTTATTTTTGTTTTAGGTTTGGGGTACACGTGCAGGTTTATTACATAGGTAAACTTGTGTCATGGGAGTTTGTTGTACAGATTATTTTATCACCCGGTTATTAAGTAAGTCTAGTACCCATTAGTTAACTTTCCTGATCCTCTTCTTCCTCCCACTCTCCACCCTCCGGTAGGCCCCAGTGTCTATTCTCCTCTACCTGTCCGTGTGATCTCAATTGATATATTTTGGGTCTGCAAATATCTATGCTGTACCAATTCAAGTTCAGAAAATGATGAAATTTAGAGCCATTGAACATTGGCTTAAATGGCTCTGAATTAAAATAATCTGGACATATGAATTTTAATTTTTCAACGTCCCTCATGGAAGCTGCTAAGTGAATGTGAAGAAGGCCTTGGGTGTCAGGACTTAACAGCCAGGTGGATTGCGCTGCTGCAGATTCATCCACATGCCTGATGAATCCAGGTCAGCCAAGCTTAATGTTAGTTTCTACAACTTTAGAAAGTAACTAAAAGTTACTGAAATCCAGCAGACAAATCACTTGCATCTTTCTGGTTCCTGCACCTGCTGCTCAGATTTCTGGTAGAACACGCTTCCCACTTTCCTTGCCTGATTTTGGAACCTTGTTGCTGAGCCCAGACTGTGATTCCCCGCCTGCATCTCTCATTCCATGCCGTAATTCTTTAATTCCCGGGAATCTTCTGGTTTGGGACCACCTGCTAATCCCTTTGTACATTCCCTTTGCCTTTCCCTGAGCATTCTGGATTTATCTGCTTGCCTTATGCCTGACCCACTTCTTATCCCGATTCCAGCTACATTCAAGTGGTCCTGAATTTCCTGTCACAATGGACACCTCTGCTAACCTTAGCTACTTCTAGCCAGTGACCTCACCAAATCCACCAGTGCTGAGCTCAGGTTCATAGCCAGCTGGCTTCCGTCCTCTCATCAGAGGTGCTGCTGCTGTGCTCTGGCATGGGCCTGCTCCTCTGTGCTAAATCTCTGTATACCAACTCCACACTCTCTGATGGGAAATTTCCTCCTTTTTGCCTCTTTAATTTCCTATGCTATCTTAGAAACCAGCTTTTTCCCACATGGAATTCCTGTTCTCTTTATTCCTACTCTTCTGCCTAGGCAGGCTGAGCCTCAAGCCAAGCTTGTTGTCTCTGAACTTAGGACTCTGATCCCCAAAACAGTTGTCTTTCCAACTGCAAAAACCTTAGAGCAGTGATTCTTAAAATGTGGTCCTGGGTTGAGCAGCAGATGCATTGCCTGGGAACTTGTTAGAAATGCAATTTTTCATGCCTCACTTCAGATCTATTGAATAAGAAACTCTGGAGGTGGGCTTGGAATTCAGCATGTTATCAAGTCCACCAGGTGATGCTAAGGATGCTCAAATCCAAGGACCATTGCCTTAGAGAAATGTTGCCTTTACTCTGGCCTAATCTTCTTTCTCTTCCTGTTGCCTTTTGAGCTTAGGACAGACATATAATTTCTATTTAGTTCCTGTTTCTGAATCCCTGCTTCTCTGGGCGTTGTTGTTGTTGTTGTTGTTGTTGTTGTTGTGTGTGTGTATCTGAATCCTAGATAGTCAACCTGCCATTAATAAAATATCTCTGCTTGGTCATACTCAGCTGCCTTCCCACTGTATGTCCCACTGAAACTGCAGCCATGCCAGTGTCAACAGTATACAAGTCCCACTCTGCCAAGTGGCAGCACTGCCGCACACATCCTGCTACATTGTGAGCAATGGCTGGGTAGAGTCATTCTGCAATGCAGAAGCTGACCTCATGTGGTCATTTGTATCTTGTCATGCCTCTGAGCAATGGCATCCAGGAGGAAGGATACTTAAGAAGTACCAGGGTAGATGAACCCCTCTGCTTACTGCAATCTTAATCATCCTTATTTCCGCCCTCTAAAGAATCCCAAGCAATTGAGGGCCAACTTCAGAAATAAATGAGAACATTTTCATGGTAAAATCAATACTTATAGACTTTTGAAACGTAGTGTCCTGTTGAATATAAACAACCTCATCACACTAGTAGTAGATGCTTGGTTGAAGCCAGCAAGAAGTATATAAAACCTAATAGCACTATATCTCTAGTCATTTTGCATTTATGATCCTACATTTGAAAGGCCAAGGGAAACTGTGTTCTAGGGCCTGAAGAAAGTGTTTGTAGATAGCACAGAGCTGGTGCAAGCCACTACATCAGGTTAATTCCAGTTAAAAAATTAAACAGGGTAAATTTTTATTTCTAAGCCAATGTTAGCAGTTAGTTTTGACAGGAAAAAAATACATCTGAGATCAATGTGTATTTTTTTGTGTTTGTTTTTGCCCACACTTCTTCCAAGTAGTCTCATTTCCCTTTGGTGCATCCTAATCTCAATTAACCAAGCAAGTGTATTAGTCTGGAGTTTGAGAAAACATCAGTTTGAGAAGCAATTGAGATGATGTTGTCTGTGACTGGCTGCCACTTAGTCTTGCAAACCATCTCTGGAAGAGGTGACTTAGGAGTGTGTCTGGAGGCCTCCATCCATGTTACCTTTAGATGCAGGCACCTTATTAACTGGACCAGGAAGGCCTTGTTTTTGCAAAATGCACAGTTGCAGTGAAAGAGGGAATGAAATCATGTTTCTGATTTCGTGCAGCCAGATAAGAAGCAACTCTTCCTAAATGTAAACACCCCATCTTCAGCCCTGCACTATTGCTGAGCCCCCTCTACCAAACATCCTTAATCTCTAGGGCATGTTCTGTCAACATCTATATCTGAGCACATTTGATGGACTGGTGGGCAGAGTAGCCAGGAGCCAGCTTGCTTAAGGTTTTTATGTTTTGAAGTTTGTATTTTGCCCAGAGGATTCTGGGAAATGACTGGAATTGGTAGACCACATAGTGTTTACCTAAGAAATGGCATCCCAGCCTGGATTTTATCACATATCTGGGCCCTAGAGAGAGAAAGTGAAAGTCCAGTTTTTATAAGGCACTCAGTAAGGAGATGGAGGCCAGGTGAGAAGGTTCAGTGAGTGGTTTTGACCTGGCAAAGATAACAGTGCCTGCACAATTCAAAATAGCACTGGGACAATATCTACGTAGGGCAGGGGCATCAGTGTTGTTGTGAGGCCTTAGTAGCAATGGAAGTAGTAAGGTGCTGCCCTTTCATGGCTGCCAACAGTCAAGGAGAAAAGAAGAGCAAATCACCATAAGTCTAGGAGACTCAGAAATATTACAGAGAAATTATTTCCTAAGGAATAGTACCAGCAGATTTAGAGTGTTGGTCTAATTTGGCCCATATTTATTCCAATACTGGTAAAACGAGTTACCCAAGAAAACTCAAGGTCTATGAAATCCATTAAGGAGTCAGTCTTGCTTCTATTTTCTCAGGTCATCTCTTCGCCCCCAGCTTTCCAGAAATTCCACTCCCATAGGATGAAATCCACACCCCTTATATTAGCACTCCAGATCATTGAGTTGGTCCCCATTGAACTTAGTGATCTTCTCATTTCATTTTCCTAACAGCACTTTGGTCACATGTATATCTATATGGTGTCCTCTAATGTGTCTTCTCTCTGCCCCTCTGAACTTCCTTATTTGTCAAAGCCAGGTCATGCTCTGCCATTTCTTTGAAGCTTTCTTTGATCATCTCAGTCGGCCCCCAGTGATCTTTCACATTGAAATTCTTTCTCAGTTTGACATTTCCTTCTACATTATTCATTTAGCTTTTAGCATACATTACCTTATGTGTTAGTCATCTTTTCATGTATACATTTTGCTCATCTCCCCAGATGTATTACAAGCCCATTTACTTCTCCTCAGCCTCCTGCTGGGTCTGGCCCACTGTTGGGCATGTGAGGCTGGTGAGAATTGTTGCATGATTGAGCCACTGATTATCTGACATTGGTATCTTGGTGTGATTGACTCATGCTTCATTTTTGTTGAGATATGGGAGCAGAACAGAAGGTCCCAGTAAATGGCTCTTCAGTGCATGAGCATATTTATCAGTACTTTGGCTCTCACTGATTTATGACCCTCTGGTGTTCACCCCTGCTGCCTCGGTTTTCAGACCATCCCAGGCAGTGGGTGGTTGGAGCCGTTTGCTGACTTTTTGAGTGGGAGTGTGGTGTCCTGGGGCAAGGATGAAATGATCAGGCTCATTTTCATTTTTGAACATAAATTCCCTGAGGCCTGGATTTATTTTCTTGGAATAAAGTCATATAATAGTAGAATGTCAGAGCAGGGAAGAAACTTATATGTTGCATCGTTATCATTATCATCTTTATCATTGAGCCAGATGGATTTGAGTTTGAACTCATAGTCTTACATTTATGACAACTTCAACCTTGCACAGGTCAGTAACTTTCCTAAGACTGTTTTATCTGCAAAGTGGTGGTAATACTCTTACTTGGAAAGTTACTGGTGGAGATTAAGTAAATTATTGCATGTGAAGTATCAAGAGTCACAATTGGCTACAAAAGTAGAAAGTGCCTAATAAATAATAACTGCAATATCAATTATTAACCAACTACATAAATTTAGTATATTTCTTGTAATAGGTATCAGGGATATAAAAGCATTATCGTAAATAGCCTTTTCCAAAGATGCCATTAAATTCAGTTACAGAAATAGAACATAAATATAAAAGATAATGAAATTTAAATTTGACCAAAATTAATGAAATTCTGCTACTGTGACAGGTACAAGGACAAATCCAAGCTACACGAAGATGACACATATGCTGCCTACTCTCAAGGAGCTGTCAATAGTACCAGGAAACCAGATGCAATTTGAAGTAACAAATAGGGGAAATACAGGTATATTTGTTATATAGATCTAAGAGTCCTTTTGTCTGCAAGTAATAACTTTGAAAAAGTTCAAACTGTTTTAAGCATTAAAGGTGATATATTGTTTTAATATGAATAAGTTCAGACTAAGGACTGCGAGGCAACCACTAATATCTTGGTCTATGTAAATCTAGCTGTAAAATGCATAAACTGCATGACCCTGTGTAGTGGACCCTCATATGGTAGTATTCAGGGCTGGTGGGCTAGTAGTTCAACAACGTCACCAAGGACTTAGATTTTTTCTGTCTTTTCTTTCTTCTGCCTACCATGGTAGCTTTAAACTTGGTGTTGTAGTTTGGTTCATGATAGTCATTAAAGTTCCTTGTTTCCTTTTTGTGTCCAGAAAAATAGATTAAAAAATGGAAGTGGGCTGGGCACGGTAGCTCATGCCTGTAATCCCAACACTTTGGGAGGCCAAAGCAGGTAGATCACAAGGTCGGGAGTTCGAGACCAGCCTGACCAACATGGTGAAACCCCGTCTCTACTAAAGATACAAAAATTATCTGGGCATGGTGGTGTGCGTCTGTAATCCCAGCTACTCAGGAGGCTGAGGCAGGAGAACTGCTTGAACCTGGGAGACAGAAGCTGCAGTGAGCCATGATCATGCCATTGCACTCTAGCCTAGGTGACAAAGACTCCATCTCAAAAAAACAAAAAACAAAAAAGGAAGTTGGGTGAGGTAGGCAGAAAATCAAAAATCTTTTTATTTATTGGGCCAACGTTTTCACTTAGCCAAGGATAATATCATATGGGATTGGATTATGTTTGGGTTTCCAAACCATCAATAATCACTGTTGCCTCCAACTAATAAAGATACACCTTTGGACCTAGAGTCAGTGCTCTAAACCACTTGGCTGCTACACAAATAGAGAGGGTGGAATACACATTGGAGGGTCACACACAATATGCAGCACTGGGCCTAAGTACAATATGAGACCAGTTGACTTCATGGCTTTATTTATACAGTCATGTGTTGCTTTACAAAAGGGATACGTTTTGAGAAATGCATCGTGAGGTGATTTTGTTGTTGTGTGAACCACAGAGTATACTTACACAAACCTCCATGGTACAGGCTGTATGGTATAAACTATTGCTCCTGGGTTACAAACCTGCACATCATGTTACTGTACTGAATACTGCAGACCATTATAACACAGTGGTAAGTATTTGTGCATCTAAACATAACTAAATGTAGAAAAGGTAAAAATACAGTTCTATAATCTTTTTTTTTTTTTTTTTTTTGAGACGGAGTCTCTCTCTTTCGCCCAGGCCGGACTGCAGTGGCACTATCTCGGCTCACTGCAAGCTCCGTCTTCTGGGTTCACGCCGTTCTCCTGCCTCAGCCTCACGAGTAGCTGGGCCTACAGGCGCCTGCCACTGCGCCCGGCTAATTTTTTGTATTTTTAGTAGAGACGGGGTTTCACCGTGTTAGCCAGGATGGTCTCGATCTCCTGACCTCGTGATCTGCCCGCCTCGGCTTCCCAAAGTGCTGGGATTACAGGCATGAGCCACCGCACCCAGCCAGTTCTGTGATCTTATGGGTCCACAGTTATTCAAGTGGTTTGTCATCAATCTAAACATCCTTATGTGGCACATGACTATACATTGTTTCTTTTTATCAATAATCTTCATCCTGGACTAGTTATGCCAAGATGCTAAAACATATATTATCTTTTACTCAATTATAATGCCTAAATTATATAAATCCCCCATTAGGCAGTGTTAGTTATGGAAATGATGGATAGGGTGCGTCCTACTGACCTACTAGCTAAAGGAAGTTTTTGAGATTTTTGTAAGTTGTTTTTCTAAACATCTCAGGGTTTTATTTCAGTATTCTTGTTCAGAGTACAAGTAGGATACCCATTAGATATTCAATCATCAATAGTGAGAAATTAATTCTGGCAATAATTAGTGGGTGTTAAAGGATAAGCAGGATTTCACTCAGCAAAATAGGTGACGAGAAGAATTTCTCAGGCAGAGGGAGCATCCTAAGTGCAGATAAAGAGGCCAAAAAATGATGTGATGTATTTGTGAAATGGTGAATGCTCCAGGATTGTTAAAACCTTAGGCTTGTAGAGAAGGAAAGTGATGAGTGATGAATCTGGAAGTAAAGTTTGAGGCTTGTACTGGTCAATTGCTTCATTGTAAGCAAGAGACACTGTGATTGGCTGGCTTATGCCCAAGAAAAGAAAGCATGTGTTTAAATAGATCAAGAGTAACTCACAGAATCTTCTAAAAACCTGGAAAATCAGGCACAGAACACAGGCAAAGAAAAGAGAAACTAAGCAACCCAAGCCACAGCAAATTAACCCCCAAATCAGCCTCAGGATGACACCATTGTCCGCACCATGCTACAGCTTCTGTGCAGACACCTCTGGATGCTGGCCCCACCATTAGCAGCTGCAGTTGCTGCAGTCCCGCCGCCAGCATGAATCCTTCACTGCTTCTCCACATTGCTCACTCCCACCTCAAAGTCAGAAACAGGCATACCTGAGATTCTTAACATAAATTGCAAGTTAGGTGCCTAATACAAGAAAAGCTGGTAAATTGAGGATGCTTTCCAAAAAGGAGGATGATTTCCCAAACTTACAAAACATTTGTAATTAAGTCTTTCATCAATGGAGAATGCTACTGCTGATGGCAAAAGTGATGGGGAGAATGATGACAATAGTGGCCATTACCACAGAGTGAATTACCTGATGCTTACCCTGACAACCACTTGAAGATGAGTATTATTATTTCCATTTAACACACAGGAAAACTGTCCACGATGGGTTAACTGTTAAAGGTACTTTCAGGGGATGTAGCATAATAAATATGCTCTAGAACGATCCCTTTCACAGCTGCAAGAAGGACAATTAGGAGTGGAGAGATTGTAGTCAAAGAGACTCAAGAGAGGATGACAGCCTAGAAGAGAAGAGGAAGAACTAGAGCAGTTTTCTCCAACTTCAATATGCATCAGAGTCACCTGTGGGATTGTTAAAACCCAGGTCACTGGGTTCACACCCCAGAGTTTCTGATTCAGCAGGTCTGGCTGGCCTAGGAATTTGCAACTCTAACAAATTTCAAGTTGATGCTGCTGTTACTGGTACAGGGGGAAGTTTTAAATTAAATGGATTCAATAGATCTAAATAAATGGATTAAAGAACTGTTCCCCAAATTCAGTAATATATGACACCCTTTTCATGAAATGTATTATTGAGACTATCAATACCTCTCCACTGTTTTTATCATATTACTTAAAATATAAAGATTCAAAATTAGGCACAAACTCTTTATGCTATAGCTCACATACAACAATAAAACCTAAACCATATTTAAATTAAATACAAACAACATTATGAAATTAATAAAATTCAAATTAATATTAATTTAAACATAACATTATATTGGTCTACTGAAATTAAATGTCTGTTGTTTCATTTAATAGAAAACAACATATAGCCTCAAAACTAATTTTATTTTTAATCTACTTTCATAATACTTGTGTTAGAAATGACCATTTGCATAAGTATATTTTGCAAAATGGTATATCAATAACTTCAAGGTTCTGTTTCCAACCTTAAACTTAATCAAAACTCTGCCAGTGAGCACTTCTATAATGGCAGTTTTAATAAGATGTTTTCTAGTACCTCTGTGAAGTGAGTTTCTTGTGTATTCTAAGAGAATTGTGACATTATCAAAATCTGGATTAAACAGTTACCTAATGTGGTTATTATTGAACTTGGGAACATAAAAATTTCTCATAACATATTTACAACTGTACTTCTGCTGCTAGGGATCTGGTACAAATTAATATTTGCCATGATCTGTTCTGTGTCAATCTTTAATTCACACCACAGATACGAAGATAAATGGCAAGGCACATGTATATTAACCCTTTTAGTTCAGCATTTCTCACTACCACATGTCATGTGATGTTTCCATTCTACTTTTGCCATACTTTTCTCAAACTACTGAAAAACTTTTATTTATATAGCATATGACTGCATTTGAGTTCTCTAGAGTCCATCTTTAAGATAAGAATTCTAATAAAAGAAATTGATTAGGAAGTGTTCTCAGGAAAAACTAAGTAGGCGAGTGAAGAAATGGGACAAGCTAGGAAAGAAAGCCAAGTGAAGGCATTATACCAAGGAAAGTCCTGCAGAGAAGATGGTTGGCTGAATCCTGCAGAGGATCTCTGAAGATGGAGTGGGTCACACTCCAGAGTTCTCCTGACTAAGGACTAGGGAGCCTAAATATTTATATGCATGCATTCATCACACCCATTAGTCATTGGATAAAGGCTGTCCCTAGGGAGACATAAATTACCAAGCACTTCAGGAAGGCAGTCTCTAGCAACCTGAGGGTTACCCTCTGACAAAGATATACAGGTGCCATCTGCTGAGTGTGAAAGCAGGCCATGAATCAGTGTGCATGAAAATGATAAGGGGATTGGAGGGGATATGGGTGGAGAACTGATATTGTCAACTACAACATCCTAGGACACTATTTGGCCTTTACTTATGAATATATAATTTATTGTTCCTTGACTCCAAATCTAACCTTCTTTGCCTTATGCCACTGGAGCTAGACCCTGTGAATATTTCTCTATTACCAGCTGAATCCATGTTAGGTTTTGTCAATAGAGGATACTGGAGCAATGCTAAGCACAGCAACAGGGAGGGCCTTTTACCACTAGTTCTAATGTGCTGTTTGAGGAGCAGCTGCCTGAATATTAAAAATGAGAGGCCTAGGAGAACTCACCTCAGTAGCTCTCATGCAACACCTGTAGCCTACATTACGAGTTTCATCAATCACTGAGCGGACTGCCTCTATGAACCAGCTGGGACCCACTCTCACCTTTTCTCAAGCCTCTCAGCTACTTAGTGAACTAGTTCTAGAAACCAGCTCCAGTCTATGCCTTCTGGCAAGTTTCCTTACTCCCAGCAAGCTACACGTTTCTGTGACAACAACACTATCTGTAATAAGGTCTGAATCTCAGCTTTGGGTGAGTCCTTTTGAGTATATAATTTTTTTCTTGTTCACGTTCTCTCAGCTCTACAGGTCATAGCTTCTTTTTGCATTTGGTATGTCTGTATCCTTAAGAATCTTATTTTACTCCTTTTGATAGTTAACCAGCATTTAGTAGTTAATAATTCATTATATATATTTTTTCTCTTCAAATTATTGGTGTGGTTTTTGTCTTCTGATTGAACCCTGACTGATTAAAATGGATACTGAAATTGTGTGATGCTTAGTAATAAAGTTTCATCAAGCTCTAAAATGTAAATTTTTAAAATACTTGGAATTTTGGATCCCAAAAAAATATGGCAAAAATCACTTTGAGAATCATAGGGTTAGAGGGACATTTTTTTTTTCTGAAAAATTTACAAGACTTGATAACCAATTGAATTTTAGCATCTAAGAAAATATTAAAGTGAAATAATAGAATGTTTTGCTTGGGAAGACTTGGTGCTTGATGATTGTTTCAGGTGAGTACTCCAAGCAGCTGCTGAGAGGAAGTCACAAGTGCAAGGGATTTACTTGGTGAGAGGGAGGAAGAGAAGGCAGGGAGAGGCTTCAGACCATGATACAGGGCCAACACCTTTGAAAGCATATAGGGAAGAAAAGAGGACCGAAGAGGGAAAGCCTCAGATATCATTATACCTCTGCAGAAGCCTTGACTTGTCCAACAGGGAGCTCTGGTGCAATGACTGTAGAAGAGGCGTGCTTCTGCTTGAAACTCACCCATGTCTTCTCATCTGATGCAAAATAAAATATGAAGTCTACCATGGCTTACAAGCCCTCTACAAACAGACCCCTAATATATTTCTTATGTCATCTCCTACTGCTCTTCCTCCTGACTCTTCCTCTTCTCAGTGAGTCTTGGACACCCAAGCATACTCCTACCTCAGTGTCTTTCCACTTGTTGTTCCCTGTGCCTGGAATGTCCTTCTCTCAGATTTTGGCATGGCTTGCTCTCTTTCTTCAAGTCTCTGCTTAAATATCACCTTCTCATTGGGGTTCCCCTGGCAATTCCATTAACACCTTCCCCATAATTCTCTGCCCCCTTACATCGATACCTGTTGCATCTTCTCACTCATCACCAAATGACATGCCGTTTGCTTGTGTATGTGTTCTGTGTGTGTATCCTCTCACTAGAATATAAGCTGGATGAAAACTAGGATTCTGTTCATTTACTGCCATATGTCCAGCAACAAGAACAGTTCCTGACACATAGTAGACACTTAATAAATATTTATTAAATGAGTGCTTGAATGAATTAATTGATTAAGCTGAAGAGTTAGGCAAGAACAAGATCAAAACAAGGTCTTGTGGCCTAAGACAAGGATTATTTTAAAAGCAAATCATTTTTTAGCAGGCAGATTGGCATGACCAGACAGTTTGTTAAGAAGCTCATTTGGACTGAAAAAGGAAGTATGGGATTCAGGGCAACAGATAAAAGACAATTGTGATGATCCCAGTGAGTGATGATACAGGCTTGAACTATGATTATGGTAGGGGAGATAAAGAGATGTGAGGTATTTAAGAGGTGAAATCAATTGTGAAATATTGAATATTGAAGGATGAAGAAAAAGAAGATGTCAGATATGACAACAGAACAAAATAGAGACAGAACACTGGAATGATGAGATTTTGCATGGATGATCATGAGATCATTCCTGACCATATACAGTTTAAAATTGAGACATCAAGGATGCAGATGGACAATAATGTCTGGAGTTCAGAGAAGAAATCCTAGATGATTATATAAGTTTATAATCCACCTGCATACAGATAATTATTGAAGTTGTAGGCACAGATGGAATTGCTTAGGAAGAGAATGGGGAATAAAAGAAAAGAATCTCCAGGAATAAGCCTTAAAGAATTACAATATTTAATGGCTAGGCCAAGGATTTTAATCCTTAGGAGACAGAGAAGAGGCAGCACATAAGTAGAATAAAACTAAGATTATTATGTCATGAAAGTCAAGGGAAAAGAGAGTTTCAAAAATGAGAATGTCAAATTCTACCAAAAGATTAAATGAAATCCAGTTGGATTTAGCAATGTGAAAGTCACTGGAGGCCTTGATGAGAGATTTGATGGAGGTAATGAAACTAAACATAACTTGGAGTGGGTTGAAAAGTAAGGAGAAAGGAAGTCAGCAAGTAGAGACAACACTTTCTAGAGGTTCAGACTGTCTGGGTCCAGACTAAATGGAGGAAGCATATTTAACCCTATTTTTCCCATGAAGTGCAATTTAAAACCTTGGGTTAAACACATAAAGCAATGATCAGAAAACTCTGAAAGGTTGATAAATGCAGGTAACCCAATAATGACATCTAGACTCGAGAGATGACCAGGCAAAATATCTGAACAGACTGATCACCAAAAAAGATACACAGATGGAAAATAAGCACATTAAAAGATGCTTAACATCATTAGTTATTAGGAAAATCCAAATTAAATCTGCAGTGAAATACCATTACATGTCTAGTAGAAGACTAAAATTAAAAATACCTACTCAAGTGATGGCAAGGATGCAAACCAACAGGCACTCTCATATCTCATTAGTGGGAATGCAAAATAGTACAGTCACTGTAGAAAACAATTTGGAAGTTTCTTATGGAATTAAACACTCTAAGTCCTCTGGACCCTAAGTACTAACTCATCTTACACCCCAAGTCCTTGTTCTGCTTTGCCCATGCCATAGTCTGTCATTCTTTTTTCTTGTCTCTTGGATCTTTTGCATGATCCTGCTACAAATATCTTCAATTTGCACTGACTCTCAGAGCTTGCCTGCTTCTATAAATTCTGTAACCGACTGTACTGCTTTAGTTCAGGCTCGGGCTTGGCACCTGGCCAAATCTCTGTAGCTTGGCAAACTGCCTGCTGGCCCTGAACTCCATAAGAAGGAATCAGACCAGACACACCTGCAGGAAGTGACCTTGGCATATAACTTAAAGGAAGGAAAAAGAAAGATTTCATTTGCTGGACACACACACACACACACACACACACACACACAAAGTCATTCTAAGGAATTAAGATAGCCTTGCAAAGATTCCACAATGAAAGAGAGAGGAGAGGCCAAATCTATATAGCCCAAATTTTAAAGCACAGCATTAATGTTTGGGGACATGCTGTACAGAAAAAAATATATATCACATATTAAGCCTCATGTGTTACAACCTCTACTTTAGACAGAATATCTAATAATATTTCAAAGTTCAGTCTTCTCATGCAGACACATTAGTTAAATAATGAACTTTCAAGAACAGCACAAAATGTCATCAGATTAACAGACATGTCTGCCATTTTCTCTTGCACGTGTTAAATAAATCCATTTGGTATTGATTTCACAGCTAAGTTTCAGCCTTGATGTAATTTTTACTGCCAAAGTAGATAAACAGTTCCTAGAAAAACTTGAACATGTTATTTTTACTCATCAGATGAGTGTTATACAGATTACTAGGCAACTTGATCCACTGGGTGTTTCATTACAAAAGCTACCAGCTTGGAGGCTTACCATGTCCAGCTGGAGCTGTACTACAGGGACATAAAACAAGGACAATGTAAGAAATTCTAAGGAAAAATGTACATAAGATACAGTCTAAGTTCCAGCATATTTCTGACTCATGATCACTACTGCTACACAAAGATAATAATAAAGGAAGACATCTCACCCAAGAGTTCTGGTATTTGACCCTGGAGGTCTAGATAGATGTAATTTCATGTGGCAATATCCCCATATATACACATTGTGGCCCACTCACTGGGCAAACAGGCCTTTCCTTCCCAATGAGTGATTTCCCAATGGCTGGAGCTTTAGAAAGTATGAGGATCAATCCCATCTATATACCACGGCCTCACTTGTCTCTGAGTTTTTCTTTACCAGAAACACTCCTAGATTCAGTATACTCCCTCCCTTAAATTTGAGCAAAAAGGATCCCATGCTTAGAGCAATGTTTCTCAAATTGTTCTCAGAACAGCAGCATCAGTATTACCTACAGACTTGTTAGAAATGCAAATTCTTAGAACACAACCCAGACCTAGTCAGTCAGAAATCCAGCGTGTTTTAATAAATCCTCCAGATAATTCTAATTAATCTTAAAGTTTGGGAGGCAATGCATTGTGGGCCCTAGTCTGGTCCTCTTCTAGCAGTGCTCCTCCTCATAGAATGAGAAGTCCACAGGGCCAAGGGAGGTATTCCCCCCAGCCCCCTACTTCCACAGAAGTGGTGCCTCTCCATTCCAGATCCCTTTCTTGGTACTTGGAACCTGAGAACTCACTGCCCAAGTGGCCTCAAGTCTGCTTCCAGGGTCTGCCTTCTCTAAGTCTGTCCCGCAAATTGGCCTGGCCACAATTCACAGAGTTGCCAAGAGAGAGCTGAGAAGAGTGGAATCACGTAAATGAAGATGTCTGTCCACACCTGTGAAGACAAGACCCCACCGCACTGAGGGAGCTGGGGGAGGGAAGCAAAGGGAGCTTGTCCCTGAGTAGGGAGGAAGCCAGGAAGCGACAGTCCCTGTGCTACTCCACTTCAACCCAGAATTTGGAAGGTCTGACAGTTTCAAATTTGAGCTCAGCCTGACAGGTTGTTATTAAGAAATATTTTTCAAGGCAGGAAGGATAATACATAATTGACTTAGTTTATTAGTTTGATTTATAATTTTCAAATATTTAGACCTATGGCACCATTAAAAGATAAACTGGGACACAATAAAATTTTTAAAGAGTTTATTTGGGAAAATAGTGATTTATGAATCAGGAAGTTCCAAAAAGAGGTTTCAGGCTCTGCTGAAGAAGCATATGGGCGGGGAGGAGCCAAGATGGCCGAATATGAACAGCTCCTGTCTACAGCTCCCAGTGTGAGCGACGCAGAAGACGGGTGATTTCTGCGTTTCCATCTGAGGTACCGGGTTCATCTCACTAGGGAGTGCCAGACAGTGGGCGCAGGTCAGTGGGTGCGCGCACCATGCGCGAGCCGAAGCAGGGCGAGGCATTGCCTCACTTGGGAAGCGCAAGGGGTCAGGGAGTTCCCTTTCCCAGTCAAAGAAAGGGGTGATGGACGCACCTGGAAAATCGGGTCACTCCCACGCGAATATTGCGCTTTTCAGACCGGCTTAAAAAACGGCGCACCATGAGATCATATCCCGCACCTGGCTCGGAGGGTCCTACGCCCACGGAGTCTCGCTGATTGCTAGCACAGCAGTCTGAGATCAAACTGCAAGGCCACAGCGAGGCTGGGGGAGGGGCGCCCGCCATTGCCCAGGCTTGCTTAGGTAAACAAAGCAGCCAGGAAGCTGGAACTGGGTGGAGCCCACCACAGCTCAAGGAGGCCTGCCTGCCTCTGTAGGCTCCACCTCTGGGGGCAGGGCACAGACAAACAAAAAGACAGCAGCAACCTCTGCAGACTTCAATGTCCCTGTCTGACAGCTTTGAAGAGAGCAGTGGTTCTCCCAGCACCCAGCTGGAGATCTGAGAACGGGCAGACTGCCTCCTCAAGTGGGTCCCTGACCCCTGACCCCCGAGCAGCCTAACTGGGAGGCACCCCCCAGCAGGGGCACACTGACACCTCACACTGCAGGGTACTCCAACAGACCTGCAGCTGAGGGTCCTCTCTGTTAGAAGGAAAACTAACAAACAGAAAGGACATCCACACAATCAAAGACCAAAATAGATAAAACCACAAAGATGGGGAAAAAACAGAACAGAAAAGCTGGAAACTCTAAAACGCAGAGCGCCTCTCCTCCTCCAAAGGAACGCAGTTCCTCACCAGCAACGGAACAAAGCTGGATGGAGAATGACTTTGATGAGCTGAGAGAAGAAGGCTTCAGACAATCAAATTACTCTGAGCTACGGGAGGACATTCAAACCAAAGGCAAAGAAGTTGAAAACTTGAAAAAAATTTAGAAGAATGTATAACTAGAATAACCAATACAGAGAAGTGCTTAAAGGAGCTGATGGAGCTGAAAACCAAGGCTCGAGAACTACATGAAGAATGCAGAAGCCTCAGGAGCCGATGCGATCAACTGGAAGAAAGGGTATCAGCGATGGAAGATGAAATGAATGAAATGAAGCGAGAAGGAAAGTTTAGAGAAAAAAGAATAAAAAGAAATGAGGAAAGCCTCCAAAAAATATGGGACTATGTGAAAAGACCAAATCTACGTCTGATTGGTGTACCTGAAAGTGATGGGGAGAATGGAACCAAGTTGGAAAACACTCTGCAGGATATTATCCAGGAGAACTTCCCCAATCTAGCAAGGCAGGCCAACGTTCAGATTCAGGAAATACAGAGAACGCCACAAAGATACTCCTCGAGAAGAGCAACTCCAAGACACATAATTGTCAGATTCACCAAAGTTGAAATGAAGGAAAAAATGTTAAGGGCAGACAGAGAGAAAGGTCGGGTTACCCTCAAAGGGAAGTCCATCAGACTAAGAGCAGATCTCTCGGCAGAAACCCTGCAAGCCAGAAGAGAGTGGGGGCCAATATTCAACATTCTTAAAGAAAAGAATTTTCAACCCAGAATTTCATATCCAGCCAAACTAAGCTTCATAAGCGAAGGAGAAATAAAATCCTTTATAGACAAGCAAATGCTGAGAGATTTTGTCACCACCAGGCCTGCTCTAAAAGAGTTCCTGAAGGAAGTGCTAAACATGGAAAGGAATAACCGGTACCAGCCGCTGCAAAATCATGCCAAAATGTAAAGACCATCCAGACTAGGAAGAAACTGCATCAACTAACGAGCAAAATCACCAGCTAACATCATCATGACAGGATCAAATTCACACATAACAATATTAACTTTAAATGTAAATGGACTAAAGGCTCCAATTCAAAGACACAGACTGGCAAAATTGGATAATGAGTCAAGACCCATCAGTGTGCTGTATTCAGGAAACCCATCTCACGTGCAGAGACACACATAGGCTCAAAATAAATGGAGGAAGATCTACCAAGCAAATGGAAAACAAAAAAACGCAGGGGTTGCAATCCTAGTCTCTGATAAAGCAGACTTTAAACCAACAAAGATCAAAAGAGACAAAGAAGGCCATTACATAATGGTAAAGGGATCAATTCAACAAGAAGAGCTAACTATCCTAAATATATATGCACTCAATACAGGAGCACCCAGAATCATAAAGCAAGTCCTGAGTGACCTACAAAGAGACTTAGACTCCCACACATTAATAATGGGAGACTTTAACACCCCACTGTCAACATTAGACAGATCAACGAGACAGAAAGTTAACAAGGATACTCAGGAATTGAACTCAGCTCTGCACCAAGCGGACCTAATAGACATCTACAGAACTCTCCACCCCAAATCAACAGAATATACATTTTTTTCAGGACCACACCACACCTATTCCAAAATTGACCACATACTTGGAAGTAAAGCTCTCCTCAGCAAATGTAAAAGAACAGAAATTATAACAAACTATCTCTCAGACCACAGTGCAATCAAACTAGAACTCAGGATTAAGAATCTCACTCAAAACCGCTCAACTACATGGAAACTGAACAACCTGCTCCTGAATGACTACTGGGTACATAACGAAATGAAGGCAGAAATAAAGATGTTCTTTGAAACCAACGAGAACAAAGACACAACATACCAGAATCTCTGGGACACATTCAAAGCAGTGTGTAGAGGGAAATTTATAGCACTAAATGCCCACAAGAGAAAGCAGGAAAGACCCAAAATTGACACCCTAACATCACAATTAAAAGAATTAGAAAAGCAAGAGCAAACACATTCAAAAGCTAGCAGAAGGCAAGAAATAACTAAAATCAGAGCAGAACTGAAGGAAATAGAGACTCAAAAAACCCTTCAAAAAATTAATGAATCCAGGAGCTGGTTTTTTGAAAGGATCAACAAAATTGATAGACCGCTAGCAAGACTAATAAAGAATAAAAGAGAGAAGAATCAAATAGATGCAATAAAAGATGATAAAGGGGATATCACCACCGATCCCACAGAAATACAAACTACCATCAGAGAATACTACAAACACCTCTACGCAAATAAACTAGAAAATCTAGAAGAAATGGATAAATTCCTCGACACATACACTCTCCCAAGACTAAACCAGGAAGAAGTTGAATCTCTGAATAGATCAATAACAGGAGCTGAAATTGTGGCAATAATCAATAGTTTACCAACAAAAAAGAGTCCAGGAGCAGATGGATTCACAGCCGAATTCTACCAGAGGTACAAGGAGGAACTGGTAGCATTCCTTCTGAAACTATTCCAATCAATACAAAAAGAGGGAATCCTCCCTAACTCATTTTATGAGGCCAGCATCATTCTGATACCAAACCCGGGCAGAGACACAACCAAAAAAGAGAATTTTAGACCAATATCCTTGATGAACATTGATGCAAAAATCCTCAATAAAATACTGGCAAAACGAATCCAGCAGCACATCAAAAAGCTTATCTACCATGATCAAGTGGGCTTCATCCCTGGGATGCAAGGCTGGTTCAATATACGCAAATCAATAAATCTAATCCAGCATATAAACAGAGCCAAAGACAAAAACCACATGATTATCTCAATAGATGCAGAAAAAGCCTTTGACAAAATTCAACAACCCTTCATGCTAAAAACTCTCAATAAATTAGGTATTGATGGTACGTATTTCAAAATAATAAGAGCTATCTATGACAAACCCACAGCTAATATCATACTGAATGGGCAAAAACTGGAAGCATTCCCTTTGAAAACTGGCACAAGACAGGGATGCCCTCTCTCACCACTCCTATTCAACATAGTGTTGGAAGTTCTGGCCAGGGCAATTAGGCAGGAGAAGGAAATAAAGGGTATTCAATTAGGAAAAGAGGAAGTCAAATTGTCCCTGTTTGCAGATGACATGATTGTATATCTAGAAAACCCCATTGTCTCAGCCCAAAATCTCCTTAAGCTGATAAGCAACTTCAGCAAAGTTTCAGGATACAAAATCAATGTACAAAAATCACAAGCATTCTTATACACCAACAACAGACAAACAGAGAGCCAAATCATGAGTGAACTCCCATTCACAATTGCTTCAAAGAGAATAAAATACCTAGGAATCCAACTTACAAGGGATGTGAAGGACCTCTTCAAGGAGAACTACAAACCAATGCTCAGGGAAATAAAAGAGGATACAAACAAATGGAAGAACATTCCAAGCTCATGGGTAGGAAGAATCAATATCATGAAAATGGCCATACTTCCCAAGGTAATTTACAGATTCAATGCCATCCCCATCAAGCTACCAATGACTTTCTTCACAGAATTGGAAAAAACTACTTTAAAGTTCATATGGAACCAAAAAAGAGCCCGCATCGCCAAGGCAATCCTAAGCGAAAAGAACAAAGCTGGAGGCATCACATTACCTGACTTCAAACTATACTACAAGGCTACAGTAACCAAAACAGCATGGTACTGGTACCAAAACAGAGATATAGATCAATGGAACAGAACAGAGCCCTCAGAAATAACGCCATATATCTACAACTATCTAATCTTTGACAAACCTGAGAAAAACAAGCAATGGGGAAAGGATTCCCTATTTAGTAAATGGTGCTGGGAAAACTGGCTAGCCATATGTAGAAAGCTGAAACTGGATCCCTTCCTTACACCTTACACAAAAATCAATTCAAGATGGATTAAAGACTTAAACGTTAGACCTAAAACCATAAAAACCCTACAAGAAAACCTAGGCATCACCATTCAGGACATAGGCATGGGCAAGGACTTCATGTCCAGAGAAATGCAAATAAAAACCACAATGAGATACCATCTCACACCAGTTAGAATGGCAATCATTACAAAGTCAGGAAACAACAGGTGCTGGACAGGATGTGGAGAAATAGGAACACTTTTACACTGTTGGTGGGACTGTAAACTAGTTCAACCACTGTGTAAGTCAGTGTGGTGATTCCTCAGGGATCTAGAACTAGAAATACCATTTGACCCAGCCATCCCATTACTGGGTATATACCCAAAGGACTATAAATCTTGCTGCTATAAAGACACATGCACACGTATGTTTATTGCGGCATTATTCACAATAGCAAAGACTTGGAACCAACCCAAATGTCCAACAATGATAGACTGGATTAAGAAAATGTGGCACATATACAGCATGGAATACTATGCAGCCATAAAAAATGATGAGTTCATGTCCTTTGTAGGGACATGGATGAAATTGGAAACCATCATTCTCAGTAAACTATCGCAAGAACAAAAAACCAAACACCGCATATTCTCACTCATAGGTGGGAATTGAACAATGAGATCACATGGACACAGGAAGGGAAATGTCACACTCTGGGGACTGTTGTGGGGTGGGGGTATGGGGGAGGGATAGCATTGGGAGATATACCTAATGCTAGATGACGAGTTAGTGGGTGCAGCGCACCAGCATGGCACATGTGTACATGTGTAACTAACCTGCACAATGTGCACATGTACCCTAAAACTTAAAGTATAATAAAAAAAATAAAATAAAAATAAATACATAAATAAAAAGTCAAAAAACAACAGATGCTATCAAGGCTGCAGAGAAAAGGGAATGCTTATATGCTGTTGGTGGGAATGTGGATTAGTCCAGCAACTGTGAAAAGCAGTCTGGAGATTTCTCAAATAATTTAAAACAGAACTACTATTCAGTACAGCAATCTCATTAATGGGTATATATCAAAATAAAATAAATCATTCTACCAATAAGATACATACACTCACATGTTCATTGTTGCACTGCTCACAATAGCAAAGATGTGGAATCAACCCAGGTACCCATCAATGATAGACTGCATAAAGAAAATGTGTTACATACGCACCATGGAATACTATGCAGCCATAAAAAAGAATAAAATAAGGTCCTTTGCAGCAACATGGATGGAGCTGGAGGGCATAATTCTAAGCAAGTTACAGCAGGAACAGAAAACCAAATACTGCATGTTGTAACTTATAAGTGGGAGTTAAGCATTGAGCACACATGAACATAGGTATGGGAACAATAGACACTGCGGACTACCAGAGGCTTCAGGGATGGGGGAGGATGGGTTAAAAAACTGCCTATCAAGCCAGGTACTAGGCTCATTACCAGGGTGGTGAGATCCATACTCCAAATTTGAACATCATGCAATATTCCCATGTAACAAATCTGCACATATATCCACTATGTCTAAAATAGAAGTTGAATTTTTTTAAAAAAGGTAAAAACTAAAATATAAAATAAAAAAAATTTAATAAAAAAAGAGAAGCATATGGGACAGGCTTTTATAGGGCAAATGCAGAAGTGAAGCAAATAAAATATTTGATTGGCTATATTCATACAGTTGCCTTATTTGGCCCAATCCACTGTAAAATACTTAGTTATATAATTATGAGTTAGTGGCTTCCAATTGGTTGAGCTGAAGTTTTATTTTTCTCTAATAAGCAAGCATTTACCAGAAATGGCCCAACTTTCACTTATGTTTTCAATTCAAGCTAGGTTAGGGTTACTGTCAAAGCCTAGCTGTCTTTGTCTGCTCAAGGAATTGTGAGGGTTGGTCTCCATTTTAATTTACCTTAACAATATGTAGGGTCTATTTGTGTACTCTCCCTGGGCCCTGCAAAACTTAAGGGAGGGCCTATATTCTGTACCTATTTGCTTATCTTTTGCTAACATTGAGGCCTCAGCAAAATTACCTTTTCTTTACAGAAGGCTTCCCTGGTCCCCTAATGTATGCTCTGATTAGAACCATCTGGTTTGTGCTCCCATGTCTCTTCATAATTCTTTGCCCTGTGACTCATAAACTTTCCTATCATCACTTATTTTATGCCTGTTTCTTCTAATGAACTGTGAAGTCCAAGAAGGCCTCCATTCTGTATTTAGTATATAGCATAGTGCGTGGCATACAAAATACCAAATAATGAGGGAGTTAATTATGATGGTAAGAATAGCAAACTTATATAGCCCTCACTATACTCACTATCTGACAGGCAGTACTCTAAGTGTGTGTATATATATATCTATATAGACACACACATATATATATTTCATTTAGTCCTAATAACCCTATGAGACAGATATTACCATTATCTCCATTTTAAAATAAAGGAACAAAGTTAATATTTGTCTCTGCCCAAATCACATGTTGAATTATAATTCCCAATGCTGCAAGTGGGGCCTGGTGGAAGGCGTTTGGATCACAGGGGCAGATTATAGCTTGGTGCTGTCTTTGTGATAGTGAATTCTTGTGAGATCTAGTCATTTAAAAGTGTGTGGTACCTCCCTCACTCTGTCTCTCTCACTCTCTCTCACTTGCTTCTGCTTTCACCATGAAATGTGCCTGCTCCCACATCAACTTCTGCCATAATTGTAAGCTTCCTGAGGCCTCCCTAAATGCCTAGCAGATGAGAAAACCATGCTCTCTATAAAGCCTTCAGAACTGTAACCTGATTAAACCTCTTTTCTTTATAAATTACCTAGTCCCAGGTATTTCTTTATAGCAATGCAAGAATGGCCTAATACAGTAAATTGGTACCAGGAGTGGGGCATTGCTATAAAGATACCTGAAAATGTAGAAGCAGCTTTGGAACTGGGTAACGGGCAGAGGTTGGAAGAGTTTGGAGGGCTCAGAAGAAGATGGAAAGATGAAGGAACGTTTGGAACTTCCTAGAGACTGGTTAAATGGTTGTGACCAAAATGCTGATAGTGATAAGGACAGTGAAATCCAGGCTGAAGAGATCACAGATGGAAATGAGGAACTTATTGGAAAATGGAGCAAAGGTCATGCATGTTATGCCTTAACAAAGAACTTGGCTACATTGTGCTAGGGATCTGTGGAAGTTTGAACTTCTGAGTAATGATTTAGGGTATCTGGTAGAAAAAAATTTCTAAGCAGCAATGCATTCAAGATATGGCCTGTCTGCTTGTAACAACCTATACTCATATTTTAGAGCAAAGGAATGACTTAAAGTTGAAACTTGTATTTAAAACGAAAGCAGAGAATAAAAGTTTGGAAAATTTTTATCCTGTCCCTGTGGCAGAGAAAGAAAAAGCTTTTTAGAAGAATTCAAGCAGGCTGAGGAGTAACCACTTGCTAGAGAAATTTGCATAACTAAAAGCAGGCCAAATGCTGACGGCCAAGACAATGGGAAAAAGGCATTTCAGAGACCTTTTTGGCAGCCCTTCCCATCATAGAACTGGAGGCCTAGGAAGCAAAAATGGTTTTGTGGATCATGCCCAGGGCCCCACTGCCTTGCACAGCCTTGGGACATTGCTTTCCACAATCCAGCCACTTCAGGTCCATCTGGGGCTCAAAGGGATTCAGGTACAGTTTGAGCTTCCACTTTTGAGAATGGAAGCCATAAGCCTTGGTGGCGTCCTGTGGTGTTAAGCCTGCTTGTGTGCAGAATTCAACAGTAAAAGAGACTTGGCATTCTCTACCTTGATTTCAGAGGATGTATGGAAAGGTCTGGGTGTCCAGGCAGAAGCCTGCTGCAAGAGTGAAGCCCCCACAGAAAACCTCTATTAGGGCAGTGCAGAGGAAAAATGTGGAGTTGGAGGCCCTACACAGATTCCCCACTGAGGCAGTGACTAGTGGACGTGTGAGAAGGGGACCACTATCCTCCAGACTCGAGAATGGTAGATCCACCACCAGCTTACACCTTGCACCTGGGAAAGCTTCAGGCACTCAGCAACCTGTGATAACAGCCACAGAGGCTGTACCCTCCAAGACCACAAGGCAGAGCTGCTCAAAACCTTGGGAGCCCACCATTTGTACCAGTATGCCCTGGATGTGAGACATGGAGTCAGAGGAGATTATTTAGGAGCTTTAAGATTTAATGACTGACCTGAGTTTCGAAACTACATAGCGCCTGTTGCCCCATTCTATCGGCCAATTTCTCTCTTTTGGAATGGGAATATACCCCCATTGTTTCTTGGAAGTAAATAACTTGTTTTTTTATTTTATTGGCTCAAAGGTAGATGGAATCCAGTGAGACTTTGGACTTTGAACTTCTGCGTTAATGCTGGAATTAGTTAAGACTTTGGAGAGCTGTTGAGAAAGCGAGATTGTATTTTTCAATGTGAGAAGGACATGAGATTTGGGAGGGACCAGGAGCAAAACTATATAGTTTGAAGATTTGTTTCTGCTCAGATCTCATGTTGAATTGTAATCCTCAATGCTGGAGGTGGGACCTGGTGGAAGGTGTTTGGCTCATGGAGGAGGATCATGGCTTGGTGCTGTCTTTATGACAGTGAGTTCTCATGAGATTTTGTTCTTTTTAAAAATGTGTGGCACCTCCCCCACTCTCCCTTGCTTGTTTCTGGTTTTGCCATGTGATGTGCCTGCTCCCCTTTGCCTTCCACTGCGACTGTAAGCTTCCTGAGGCTTCCCTGAAGGCTGAGCAAATGCCAGCACAATAATTTCTGTATAGCCTGCAGAACCATGAGCCAACCAAACCTCTGTTCTTTATGAATTACCCAGTCTCAGGTGTTTATTTAGAGCAATGCAACAGCCAAATACATAGGTCGAGAGAGCTTAGGACTTAGTCTTAATAGTCACACAAGTGGCAGGATCAAGACTTCAAATATGAGTAGAATGGATTTTTTAGGTTCTAAATGAGTAACTGGATGAATGAATGAATGAGTAGCTAAAACTAGCACAAGACATATTCTAAATAGTGCTGCACATGAAAAACAGACAAACCAAATTTATCTGTGGTGGTTAATTTTGTGCACCAATTTGACTGGGCTCTCTTGCATTTTTTATTTCATTCATAAATATTTCAGGGGCAGGAATTCTATTTGGTTCTTTTTAATGATATCCATCTATTTGTTAAGTTTCTTACTATGAATTTGATTTCCTGATTTTGTTGAATTATCTGTCTGTATTCTCTTGTATCTTACTGAGTTTCCTCAAGATCATTATTTTAAATTCCTTTTCTGGCAACTCATAGATTTCCTGTTATTTAAGGTCTATTACTGAAGAGTTACTGTGTTTCTTTGGTAGTGTCATATGTCCTTGCTTTTTCATGTTTCTTGTGTTCCTGTGTCAATGTCTTTGCATCTGGTGGAATAGTTTATCTTGCAAACTTCATAGAGTGGCTTTTGTAAAGAAAGATTTTCACTTGCAGTTGGGTTTTAGTGTACCAGTTGGTGTGGTGACTCTGTTTTAGGATAGTTACAGTGGTATAGTCACTGTGCAACTTCTTCAGCTGCAATCAACCTCAGCAATAACTGTGAGTGACTCAATGGCCTGGGCTGCCGAAGTTTGTAGCAGCAGTGGTGGGGATGTAGATTGTTAAAGTCCTCAGTGGCAAGAGGTTTTGAGGCCCTTCTATTCTTATTTTTCCCACAATGGAAAGACTGAGCTAAGGTGATCCTTCTTGGTGTTGAGTCTGACACAGCCTACAAGCAGCTACAGCATCACCGGGTTTCAAGTGCAGGTACTTATAATACCTGTGGAGCTGGGGTCCTAGGCTTTAGGTCTCACAAACCAAATGTGGCACCTGGGTCTTGAGGTTTAGGTTCACTCTCTGTGGCAGGATTGGATGTAAACTTCCAACAGAGCCAATATCTGTGACTCTGAAGCATGCTCCAGCAGCTCACAGTCAGGGGTCCAAGTTTTTCTCTGTTATTATGACCCTAGGGAGAAGGCCACAGCACTAGCTCAGCTTCAGGGAAGAAGAGAGGATCTGGAGGTTTGGGCCTGGGGAGCAGGGTACAGCTGCAATCAGGGAACCAGAGTCAAAAAATGTCCCAGGAGATAAGGCACCATCTAGTGGTGATTCTAGACCCTGGGACAGTGGGACTGAAAAGTATCCCAGACTCTGTGAAAGCAGGAGCAGCAGCAGCAAGGACTCCAGAACAGCGGACTGCAGCTGTCATTTAGACCCTGGGCGAAGGTGAGCAGCACAGTGATGATTCCACTCCCTAAGTGGTGCTAAGAGAAGTTTCTTAGCACCTCAGTCCCTAGAGGGCTAGGCTAGTCCTGTTCCAAGAAAGCAGGATATGAGAGTTTTTTGGCCTGCAAGGGTTGGTGTCTCAGCTTAGCCACTGCTCTGTTTCCCTGAGATGCAGGGTACTATAGCAGCCCTGTCCAGGGATTCACAACTGTCCAATTCACTAATTTCTTAGGGATCAACGTGCCATTTCAGCTCAGGCCTGGGGAAGCGTGACTGCTCTGGCCCAGCAACGTACAATTTTCCCAGGAGACAGGCTACCAATGTAGCACAGGCACAGGGGGCATGACTGCTCTGGGTTGCCAAGGCACCATTTCCCCTGATTGTCAGGTGTTGCTTCAGCTCTGGCACATGAGGGCAGGGCACAGAAGCTACTGAGAAGCGACTCTGCCCCAAGGCACCATTTCCCCAGGAGACAGTGTACAGCTTCAATTCCAGCTTAAGAGGATGGGACATAGCTGCCACTGGGAGGGGTAGGTGGAGCAGCTCTACTGCCCACTTGGCCCCCACAGGGAAGGGTGTAACAACTGCTCATAGATCAGCTTAAGAATGTCTGGACACAGGAAAAGGGTGATTCTGTGGCAGCTTAGACTCAGGGATGAAAGGGTGCCCTGGCTACTCACCCCTGGAGCAGAACATACTCCAGCAGTAGTTCAATTTCCAAAATAGTATATAGTGCAGTAGGCACATGGACCACAGGGGGCAGGGCACAGTGTTGGCTCCTTCGTTAGCAGGAGTACAGCCACGTGGATTCCAGGCAGCTTCTTTAGCTGGGCTTAGTGCCTGTGAGGACTACAGGCGTCTCCAGTGGTCAGGACTATAGTTGTCCAAGGTGCAGATGGGGGATGCTCAATTCCTCATGCTTACCTTTGTGCTGAAGGGCGATATTCCTCCTGGTTGCCAGCTGATCTGGGCTTGAGGATGGGGTTGTAGAGGTCTGGTGTTTCCATTCATTCTCTATGCGGCTATTCTGAGCTTCTGTGCTCACCAAGGTTTCTGTGACTTCTTTGATGTACTCTGGTGCTCTCCTTTAGTGATTTTCATCAAAATGTACCTGTTTATTTGTTGTTTTGGCTTTATTTGCCAGGGAGGGGGCATTGGGGTCACAAGCATTAGGGGATTTTACTGGGCCATCTTGCTGATGTCATCCTTCCTGAATTTTTAAATGTGGTTCTAGGACCTTCTGATGCTGAGGAGGGTCAACCTTAATTTCATAGTCATACTTTAGAGATGGAGGGTATTTGGTAATAAAATGATCTCCAATTAGTGTAATGAAAGGTCATGACCAAAGCATCGGTGGAAAACAGCACAAGATATGGGGTAGGAAACTACATGGCATCACACCCAACAGAACACAGCCTGCCCTCTGCACACAGCAGTGCACCTCAGACTAGTTTTCAACTCTGACCAGGTGCGGCTGACTCTAAAGCCTACAGGCATTCAGGAAGCCAGATTTCACAACTTTCCCCTTGAACATAGCAGTACAGTCCAATCTAACTTTTAACTCTAACCATGGCCATGTCTGACTCTCAGAATTCACAGACTTCCAATAGTGACCCAAAGGCATCGTGGGAGGTCATGTTTTGTAGTGATCGAGTGGCAGGCACCAGAGTCAGATTGCTTAAATTAGAATCTGGAGACAGCCTCTTAGCAGCTACCACGTGACCTTGCGCACATTCCCTCAGGATTCCAAGCTTCATTTTGCACATTTTATTACAGTATGGATAACAACACCTACCTCTTGGGGTTGTTATAAAAGACAAAGTTGGAAAATTCATGCATTCGGCAACTGTTTTATGGGTATCAACTATGCTCCAAGTACTCTCTCAAATTCTGAACAGTGGTTTGCAAAGCAGACATGACCCATTTCCACAGGGTCTGGTACACAGTATGCATCCACTAATTCTGAGACCAAAAAGGACTTTCTCAGGAGACATATTCCTCTCTTTCTGACTAACCCACATCACATTATGGATTACCTCTAGGAAGCAGAGGGAAAGAGAAGGGGCGAGGAGGAATGATATATGCCTGGGTAGAAGAAAGGAGTCCCCCAGAGCACAACCTTTAAGAAGAGCCAAAATCACTATCAAGGAAGAACTGAAGCCTCAGTCATGTGAAGGCCCAGAAGAGAAGGTGAGAATGGAAATGGGAGTAACTAGGCTGATAATTGCTAGAGGCAAAACAAAGGCTAATGAGTTGGAACTAAGGTTACTGACATTTTTTATTATAGATTACGCTCAGCAATAATGATGGCAGGTTAAAGGAAAACTTATAGAATAATTTATTTTAAACACCTTGCAGCAAGGAATTTTGTCTTTTACTTTTTGTAATACTACCAAGTACTAAAAGCATCCTTAAATTAATAATGGCCACAATGATAATCATAATGGGAACTGCCTTTCATTTAGGATTTATAATGTACTAAGCCCTGTAATAAATGTTTCACAAATCTCATTTGGTCTTTACCACAACCTTTTGGTAAGCATATATTTTCACCTTTTAAAAAAATTCATTTCAAAAAAAAGAAAAGGATTCTCACACATTTTAACTAAAACACACAAAGTCACTTAGCTAATTTGTAGTGAAGATGAGATTCAAATTCAGGTCCATGCTCCTACACAACACTGCATCTGTAAGGAGTATAGGTGAGACAGGGTTGGTTAAGAACCAACTTAACCTCTCTAGACCTTAGTCTGTGTATAAAATGAATCTAAATTGAATCTAACCTATGGAGTTATTCTGAATATTCAATGAGCTAATTCATGTAAAGCATTTATTGTAGTGTTTGATGCATAATAAGTGCTATAAATAGTATCTATTACTATTATAAGGCATACCATTCTGGCTTCCAAATGTTTGCTCTTTAAATCAATATCTGCATCTTTTGTCATAAATATTGATACTAGCTCAATTTAGATAATAAAAACACTATAAAAAGAAATTACAACCTGATCATGATGGTAGAAACTTTCATACTCACTTTTACCTTGAAGATAATTAATTCAATGAAATTTAGTCATGTAAGAAACCACTGCTCAAAACCACCAACATATTTAAATGTGTCAATTTTATCCCTGTATTTACGAATCAGCTTCCTGATCAATATGAAAGCCACCTCAAACATGTCTAGTGCTCCACACTTTTTAAAGGTCATTCACAGGCATCATCTTATTTGAACCTGATGACCACTGTGGGAGTAGGTTAAGCTAGTACCATTTTTATCACAAAGGAAACTACACCCTTAAAACAAGAAACTTGAAACAGAGAGTATGTTAAATAGACGATCTGATATTAACTCCAGATCTCTCAGCTCCTCATCTGCTCTTCACACCAGACTTCAGATTTGAAATTGAAAAGAACATTGCTGTCCTATTTGCAACCAATGAAAACAAGGAAATGGCACAGTTGTATACATGCAGGTGGTCAGCTTGGTTAGACTAAAATTAAGCCTTGCATTGATGAAAGCTCTCTCAAGGTACTCCAAAGGATGAAGGTGAAGCAATCAGGAGAAAGTGTATAATTAAGAGTTCAGACTTTTCACACTTGGAGAAAATTCCTACCTACATTCAGAATAGCAATAATTTGCTAAAGGATGTGGTAACCTCAATTATTACAATCATATTAAAATTGTGTCAGTGTGGTTGTTCCTGATAAGCACAATAACCAAAACAGAGAAAAGTCCAATAGAAAACTTACTCTTTTAAAGAATTCAATTTCGTCAACATATTTTCTTCAGACTTTTAAAACAAATTATATTTTACTAGCAGTAACAGTAAAGTTTCATAATCCTAAAACCAATTTCTATTTTCCCACATTCTCCTGTAGTCCTGTCCTTTGTACGTTGTTTTACAAGTGCTGCAAAATTTCAACTTTTAAAAACTTATTTTTATGATTTACCTTTTTAATAAATTACATGGGCTTTCACATTTCTTTGATTTTGCATATGCTGCTGTCTCTCTTTATAAAACATTCCCTCTTTTGTTCATCTGTCATGGTTCACTCGCTCCTTCAAGAAAATGTAATTGTAGAATTTTCCCTGATACTTCCTTAAAAAGTTATTGAATTCTTTGGAGTTCCATGATTTTTCTTATACATACTCAAGATATCTCAGTTATATAGCGGTAACAGGATGTGTTTTCCAATCCATATTGTGTGTTAGCTAGTTATACTGCTAATTCACTGCCCATCAGACTCTGTTGGAATGGTTTCACCCCTTTCTTTTCCTGCATTGTCAGACTGCAAGACTCAACATTCTTCCAATGCTGCCTTTTGATCACCATTATTTTTAGTATGTGATTCACATTTGTGTTTATTGTCCCAAATGTTTCGTACTTATCCACAAGTGCAAGACAAGAAATTAAAAATGCCCATAAGCATTGTTAAATTATTTTAGCCTAAAGCTACTTCCTTACATATTTTAAGGTCATTCTACAGCTATCTCCCTACATACTGAACTGTACCCTAACGGGATATGTAAACAGATTGTAGCCACTCATTTGCCAATCACTGAGTTTTAACCAAGGGCAGCCAACTATTCAAACCATGTTTAACTAAGGGAAATGTTGAGTTGTAACCCATCAGCTGTTTCTATATTCCACATCTGTTTTCTGTACATCACTTTCTGTTCATAAATCTTTGACCACATAGCAACAGCAGTGCTTCCCTGAACCAATGCTTGTTCGGGGGCTGCCCAATTTGCAAATTGTCCTTTGCTCAATTAAACTCTTAAATTTAATTTGCCTTAAAGTTTACTTTTGACAGCATGTATGGCCAGAATATGAAAGTCAAAGAGAAAAGAGTGTCCAGAACCCTCTCCTAGAACTAGAAGATGCCCACTGAGAGCCACAGACATGTGTGTGCTTGGTAAAAGTGTATTAAATACATGAATGAACTAAGGAATGAATAAGTTGAAACAAACAAGGATAGCCAGGCTGAGTGGAATTGGAAGAAACATTTATCTGGAGATGTTAAATTAGTGTACACAGAAATCATCTAAATTATATTCAAGGAGATATGCCAGAATTAGAATTTAGAAAATTATTAGAAATGCTATGTCAATGTATGAAGGAAGGAACATAATGAAAAACTGGCTAGAAGCTGAAATCACAGCATGGAAGCAAGACAAATAATTGACCAACAAAGCAGGACACTGAGAGGAAGGCAAAGGCCCATTTATGCAGTGTCCCTGGGTATCAAATGAGGGGTTCTGGAACTTTGAAATGTGCATGCAAGGCTACAAAGGAGGAATTGAATGTATTTCCCATCCCTGCTCTACATTGTTTCTGAAGATGGACTTTCTAGGTCTCTAACTCCTAGGAATTTAAACTTTTAAACATTAAAATCATATGTGGCCATGATGGGAAGATTTGGAAATTGCCAGCAATTTAATCTTACCCATCCTAAGATCCATCTCCATTAGCTCAGATTATGGCCAGTTTTCTAAATATGTGTGCTTCATATACACTTCTCAGAAAATGGTTCTTTCTACCAAAAATATTGCTAATGCAGAGAGTGCCCATTCCAGTTTGCTCAGGACTGTCCTGCTGTGTGCCTGTTGCCCCAATGTCCCATACTATCTGCGCTCTCCATTTCCTTATATCATTACTAATAACTATGTTAAAATAAGGCAGAATGGGTTTGATAGACCTCCCCTTCGTAGCACCAACTCCCACCATGATCTCATCTGGTAGTGTACAAACAGATTTCTGACTTGAATACATGCTGAAATCTAAGAGATGATTTTCCATACCCATATTTTCTTTCCTGCCCCTTTCACACACAATTTAACCAATAGCTCACTTGGAAAGACATTGCCCAGGGTGCTCAGTGATTACAGCACACCGTGCTTAGACACTAGCAACCAGGAACAGCTAACTCCTTCCAGTCTTGAGTGTAAAATATGTACAGGGAAGGGAGGCTGGGCACTCCTGTTGCAGAACATATAAAGAGTAGTTAGCCACAAAGGTTTTGTCATTTGTTATATGATGCCATTCTACAATGTTTACGTATTTTATATTTTTGGGTTTTCTTTCTGTTTTTCAATAAACACTGCTGGTGCAGTAACTGAAAATGTACATTCTTAAATTGCTGAACTGGTTATCAGAAATTTGACCTATTTCAAAACCTGTTTAAAAAGTTGATGGTGAAAGTATAACTTGCACAAAACATGTGTTGACATTTATCCACAGTAGGGGAAGGGGCAGGTAGTGATATCATTGAGTACAAGAAAACTAAAAACACAAACGTATGAGAAGCAGTGTCTTCTAACTCAAAAGCTACTAGTTACTTGAAAAAGACTGTATCTCAAGACAACTATTTAACATATACAGAAGCAGACGTGCATTTACATATCACTCTGTGAAGCATGACTTTTCACCTAGATCAACTAATTACTCCACTAAATTAATTTTGCTCATTTTCAATTTCAAATATACTTGGCATATGTGAAAATTAACACCAAAAGTAGAAAAATTGCATTCAAACAAGACAATGATGCCTGTGTTATATCCATGCCATCAGCGCTGTAATGAAAAAATCGGTAATTTCAGTAATCATCCTATTTTTAATTTAAGTTTTAGAAGCAAAGCAAAGTTTTGGAAGTTCACTCTATAGAAGAAGTAATGTTCAACATTATTGCAAATGCTATTGTAATCTGGGTTAAGGTGTTCAAACTTGAAGATAAAATTACCTATTTTGGAGTGATAAGAATACAAATTTTGGTAGAGAACACTGCTGTAGAAAAAAGTACATCCCTACTTGAAGAAATCTATGGAGCAAAATAATGTACTTGTGATTAGTTATGGTACACAAATATTATAATTCATAATCATATTCAAACTATAATATTCCACTAATTAGTGCATATAGGTAGTCAGAGTGACTGAACTGCAAAATGTCTGTGGTGGAATTAATGTTGAATATCCTAAAATATTTCCGTACATACTTTATCTTTTTGCCATCTAATATCAATTGGATTTTAGAAATGTTTGAGCTTCTGAAGCACTGCTTTGTAAATTAACCTAAGTGACCCAGAGTGATATTGAATTTTTTGCTAACAAATTTTCTGAACTTTGTTTGCATTTTGTTAAGTATTAATTGGAAATTCTTAAGCAAATTATTCAGCAAACCATACACAGAAATCTTCAGTTTTTGAAGCTTCTTGTGTAACGAAGGTTTTTTAATGCTGCAACAGGAAGACATTGAAATTTACCCCCTACTGATGTTAGAAATGGATCAACAAATTAAATAATGAAAGCTCAAATGGTGAACAAGATTTTCTCTTGAAATTATGTAATTGAACTATCTCCATGTGTAGATGAAACTTTTGATGCAGCTTCTATTTTTAGTTGAAAGGAATAAAATTTTGCAACATTAAAAGTATAATAATTTAATTGATGTTTTGTCTTATAAAATGTTTATAGAAAGTCTGAATTTTAAAAAGGCAGTACTTGTGAACATGTTTGAGTTAAAATGTTTACACATTTCAAAACTGATGACATGTAACGTAGAATATCCCCTATTTAGCAGGTTTTGTACTAAGCTTACTAATTACACTGGCACCTTACAAATTGTATTTTCTCGATTAATAGTATTATAGCCTCCAGAAAAAAAGTCAAGAAAGGTGTCAACAATTTCAAATGTATTAACCATATGACCTAGGTGTATAGTGGGCTACACTATCTATGTGTAAGTACACTCTATGTTGTTTACAGATGATGAAATTGCCCAATGACACATTTCTCAGAACATATCTCCATCACTGTTAAAAGGAGTTAATGATGTATGACTGTATAGCTAAAAACTGATTAAAGCATGAGGATATACATCAATAATAATTATTAGAATATACCTAAGGCCATTTAATGTTTCATCTTTATATTTATTCTAAGACTCCAGGAAAGTTATTTCCCTTAAAGGCCCGGCATGGTAGCTCACACCTGTAATCTCAGCACTTTGGGAGGCCAACGCAGGAGGAATGCTTCAGCCCAGGAGTTCAAGACCCGCCTGGGAAACATAGTGAGATCTCATCTCTACAAAAAGAATTTCAAATGTTAGCGGGGCCTGGTGGCACGTGCCCATAGTCCCAGCTAACTCAGGAGGCTGAGGTGGGAGGACTACTTGAACCCAGGAGATCAAGGTTGCGGTGAGTCGTGATTGCTCCACTGCACTCCAGCCTGGGTGACAAAGGGAGACCCTCTCTTTAAAAAAAAAAAAAAAAAAGTGTTCTTACTATCCCTGGAAATATTTCCCTAAATAGCAACACATGTATGTTCAGAGTCATGTGTAAATTCTGCCCAGATATCTTTTTAGTCAGTTTACGACACACTCCCACTTTTAGGTCATGCAGAATTTTTAAAAATTTTATTTTTAAACAATTTTTTTATTTATTTCTGATCCCCACTTCCAACCCCTCATATATTCCAACCCAATATATAAGCTTTCATGTCATTGTATAGGTACGTTTTCTTAAGAAATGCATAATGCATATGGATCTCATTTGGTTTCTTACTTTTCTTGCTCAGTACTGCTTTTGAATGTATTTATATTGTTATATGTGTATCTAGATGACAAAATATTCTTGCAAGGTAATCGATAGTTTGCATTCATCTTATTTTACAAATCCATTCCCCTCGTAATATCAACATGGGTTGCCTCCAATTCCCTGTTGCCACCAAAAGTGCTGTAATGAAAATCTTCAAACACATCCCTTCAGGGACCTGTGGGAGCTACTCCGAAGTGGGATTGCTGGGCCCTTGACTATCTAAAGTCCAATTTTTCCTGTCATTTTGCACCACACAATTACTATATAATTTTATCCTCTTGTCAGCTGTGTGTGAGGGTTCTGTTGCTTCCTCCACATTCTCACAGTATTTGAAATTATCCACCTTTTGGGGCTTAAGCGGTCTGATGAAGGTAAAGTGGTATTTTATTTTTTATTTTGATTTGCATTTCTTTGATTGCTAATATGGTTGAGCATCTGCTGTGTTCATATTATCATTACAGATTTCTCCCTCAGTAACACACTGACTCATATCCTATACTTATTTTCTCCAGTGGGTTTTCCATCTTTTTCTTGTTAATTTGCAGGCATTCCTTGTATTTTCTAGATGTTATTTTCAGATAATGCAAATGTCGTCTCCCAGAGTGTTATCCATCTGTTAGCAGTATTTATGGTGCCTTTTGTTAAACAGAAATCCTTTAATATAGTCAAGCCTATAAATCTTCTACTTTGTGGTTTGTGCTTTGAGGGTCTTTCCAATATTATTGGAAATTGTCTCAAATTTTCTTCTCTTAATTTTATAGTTTTACCTCTTGAATATGGGCTTTAATCTCTGTGTAATTTATCTTAGTATATGATATAAGTATGGATCCAGCTTCATTTTTTTTTTATATTGTGTGAGACCATTTTCCCAACCCAACCTACTCCTGACTTGTGGTATCACATATGTCATACATGAAGTCTCCAGGTACATGTGAATCTATTGTTATAATCTCTGTTTTTTTCCAATTGATGTATTTGTTTATCTCTGCACTAGTACTACACTTTTTAAAATCACAATAATGTATAGCATGGCTTCATATCTGCTATAGCAAGGCCCATGTTTGCTCTTCTCTTTCAAAGTCAACCCAGCTACTTATGAACTTTTATTTTCTCATGAAAGTTTAGAATGTTTGTTGAGTTATTCAAAAATTCCTTTTGAAATTTTTACTGGAATTGTATTGAATTTGTAATATGATTGGCTTTGTGTCCCCACCCAAAGCTCATCTTCAGTTGTAATCCCCAGGTGTGATTAACCTGGCGGGAGGCCATTGAATCATGGGGGCAGTTTCCTCCATGCTTTTCTTGTGGTAGTGAGAGAGTTCTTGCAAGATCTGATGGTTTTATAATTGTTTGGTAGTTCCTCTCTTGCTGGCGGCTTTAGCTTTCCTGCCACCTTGTGAAGAAAGTGTCTGCTTTCCCTTCCGCCATGATTGTAAGTTTCCTGAGGCCTCCCCAGCTACGTGGAACGGAGTCAATTAAACCTCTTTTATTTATAAATTACCCCTTTTCAGGTGGTATCTTTATAGCAGTGTTAAAATAGACTACTACAATTTGAAAATGAATTTTGGGAGACAATGCTTTTATAAGGTTAGGTTGTTCCATCACAAATAAAGTATAAATATTTATTTATTCAGGTATTATTAAACACTCCCAGATTTTTATCTGCAAAGACAATTATAAATTCGGTTATTGCTGTTTTGTTCTCTATTTCAGAATGGTATTTTGTGAAGATAATGTTTGCCGGGATGGAAGAGATGCCACTGATTATACTTAATAGATTTTGGATCTGGTATCCTTTCAGAGTGTTCTTCTTTGTTCTAATAGTGTCTGCAGAAGATACTGTGTTATCTATGTAGATGAACTTATCACCTTTAAGGAACAAAGTTTGTCTTTTCTCTTTCAATCTTTTCCCTTTTATTTTTTTCATCTCTTACTTATGTATCTAGGAATTTATACTCTGTTAAATACCATGGTGATAATAGGCAATTCTATCTTGTTCTTGATCTAATCTTAAAAGCAACATATCATGTTTCTCCATCATGTAAGATGTTTGTATAGAGACTTCGTGAAGTGAAGGAAATTACTTTCTGGTTACAGTTTTCTAAGTGTTTTTTAATCACAAATAAGTATCCAGCTTTATTAAATGCTACGTTTTGTTTTTCACCTCTTAAGAAATTACACTTTTTTTCTTTAGTCCATTAATGTAGTATATTGATACTACATTACAGTATCCATATACCATATGATGAGTATAATGTGTATAGCATATGAGTATGATGAGTATATTGTAAGATTCTCTCAAGGGTAGAACCTCACAATACCATATTCACAATATGAAATGGGTATGGATCCAATTTCTTTTTCTATATTGTATGAGATCATTCTCCCAACCCAACCTACTCCTGATTTATAGTATCACATGTATGACATGTGTATATTGTGTCACATGTATGTGTGAATATACATACTCACACATGAGTATGTGTGAATATACATACTCACACATGAGTATGTGTGAATATACATACTCACACATGAGTATGTGTGACTGTATTGTGAGGTTCCCCTAAGGATGAAGCATTCTAATATTCCTAAAATCAACCTGAAGTATTTTTTAATATGATGCTGAATTCAGTTAGCTCATATTTCATTTTAGACTCAGATAGTTTACAAAATAGTGCTTCCCAATGTACCGAAGGCAAAAAGCAAATACAAAATTCATGTAAGCATGCATGATTTAGAGGCTGACCAAGTGGTAATCATGAGAGAAAAGTACTAGAACACAACCAATTTCCTTTCTTCCATGTTTTCTTTCTACCATGTGAGCAATTCTGCCACCTACCCTGCATCCAGGGAAACTTCCTCTTAAATATTTAAGCAGCAACTGTTGAAAATAAAATAAAATTAGCACCTGCTAAGGAATAAACAAATAGATTCTAAGCATTGTTTCACCACTCCAAAAGTTAAAAAAGAAAATCTCAAACTAAAAGCACATTTGAACTAATGCTGTGATGCCTACAGGCAGTCCTATCAGAAACCTGGTGGTGAGACTGTTTCCACTCTTAATGATCTATTGGCTCAAGATTGTGGAGTGGGGTGGGGGATGCAGTACAGAAAGGAATTAATCATGCTGCTATAAAGACACACGCACACGTATGTTTACTGCGGCACTATTCACAATAGCAAAGACTTGGAACCAACCCAATGTCCAACAATGATACACTGGATTAAGAAAATGTGGCACATATACACCGTGGAATACTATGCAGCCATAAAAAATGATGAGTTCATGTCCTTTGTACGGACATGGATGAAATTGGAAATCATCATTCTCAGTAAACTATCGCAAGAACAAAAAACCAAACACCACATATTCTCACTCATAGGTGGGAATTGAACAATGAGAACACATGGACACAGGAAGGGGAACATCACACTCTGAGGACTGTTATGGGGTGGGGAGAGGGGGGAGGGATAGCATTAGGAGATATACCTAATGCTAGATGACGAGTTAATGGGTGCAGTGCACCAGCATGGCACATGTATACATATGTAACTAACCTGCACATTGTGCACATGTACCCTAAAACTTAAAGTATAATAATAATAAAAAATAAAATTCAAAAAAGAATTAAAAGAGGAGTCTATTAGAAACATTTCAGCCTTGCACCTACCACCATCCTCTTTGACAAGAGGCGTAAATTGCTCCAGCTGGAATATGACTTTGCAAATAAAAACAGTATCATCAGTCATTGGAAGACAAACCTCAGCAAATGTACATTGAGTGACTGCCATGTGTAGAACACACATGAGATGCTTATGCTATAAAAAAGCATCTACTGAATAACTTCAGTAATGAGTTGCTGTTGAAATTTCTGGTGAGGTTTAAGCAAAAATCAGGAAACCATGACTGAGGCTGCAGAGAATCCTCATTCTCTTTGAGCAAGCTTTCCGTCATACACTGTAATAAAGTTTGATGTGAAAGGAAACCTCCAAGCAATAATTAATTAATGGTTTAATCAATTCACTTATATTTATTGAGCCCCTGATAAGTGCTGATCACTGAGACTATAAAGATGACACATAGTTCCTAATTCTTACTTTTATGAAATGTACAGTAGAGTGGAGGGACTAATATGGTTTGGATCTCTATCCCTGCCCAAATCTCATGTTGAATTTTAATCTCCCATGTTGGAGGTGGGACCTGGTGGGAGGTGACTGGATCATGGGGCAGATTTGCCCCTTGGTTCTGTTCTTGTGACAGTGAGTGAATTTTTGTGAGATCTGATTGTTTAAAAGTGTGTGGTACCTTCCCTGCCTTCTCTTTCTTCTGCTCTGGCCATGTGAAGTGCTGGCTCCCCCTTCACCTTCCACCATGATTCTAAGTTTCCTGAGGCCTTCTCAGAAGCCAAGCAGATGCCGTCATGCTTCCTGTACAGCCTGCAGAATCATGAGCCAATTAAACCTGTTTTTTTTAAAGTAAACTGTTCAGTCTCAGGCATTTCTTTATAGCACCTGTGAGAACTGACTAATACAGAAAATTGGTATTGAGAAGTGGGGCATTGCTATAAAGATACCTGAAAATGTGGAAGCAGCTTTGGAAATGGGTATAACAGACAGAGGTTGGGAGAGTATGGAACTGAAATCAGTATGTCCAACAGATATCTTCCCTCCTATATGCATTGCAGCCTTATTCACAATAGCTAAAATGGGTAAAAAACCTACATGTTCATCGATAGATGAATGGATAAAGAAAATGTGGCATGTATACACAATAGAAGACTATTTGACTATTTAACCTTAAAAAAGAACGAAATGCTGTCATTTGCAACAACATTAATGAACCTGAAGCACATTAACTGAAGTGAAATAAGTCAGGCACAGGAAGACAAATACTGCATAATCTCACTTATATGTGGTATCTTAAAACACGCATTCATAGAAGCAGACAGTAGAATGGTATTTACCAGGGGCTAGGGAGAGGGAGTGGCTAATGAAGAGAGATATTGGTCAAAGGGTACAAAGTGTCAATTAGAAAGGATAAATAAGTTTCAGAGATGTATTGTACAGCATGATGACTATAGTTAACAATTATACTTAAAAATTGTGAAGAAAGTAGATCTCAAATTTTTCTCACAACAGAAAAAAAAAGATGAGTATGTGAAGTGATGGTTATGTTAATTAGCTTGATTTAATCATTTCACCATGTATGCATACATCAAAATATTACATTGTATAGCACAAAGATATACAATTTTGTTTGTCAATTATACATTAACAGATCTGGGGGAAATTTTTAAATAAATGAGTAAATGAAGACTCTCTACATGTGTGTG
Organism: Homo sapiens; assembly: GCF_000001405.40. Taxonomy (NCBI): domain Eukaryota; kingdom Metazoa; phylum Chordata; class Mammalia; order Primates; family Hominidae; genus Homo; species Homo sapiens. The sequence continues at coordinate 117,550,402 of NC_000002.12, forward strand.
CATGTATAACGGTAAGGATGAAGAAAGTTCCAGGTAGAAGAAATATAACATGTAAAGTCTCAAAGGAAAAGGAGAAAGAGAGCTCACATGTGTTTGGGCAACTGTTAGTCATTATGTATGAATGAGGCATAAAGTACTTTATAAGACTCAAGAATTAAGGAAGAGCCTGTATAACAGGCTGCAGAAATTGGTCTTTTCCTGAAGGCAAAGGGGTGTCATTGAAGAAGATTAAGCATAAGGATGACATTAGCTGCAAGACTGCCTTCCATGACATTGAGCTTCTCATGAAGTCCATCACCCTAAAAAGAAACCCATCAGCTTCCTCCAGTTCAAGAAATGGCCAGCAACCAAAAACCCTCCACCCATATTGGACAGTCCTTCCTTTTTTGAAATCCCCAAACTGCTAGCTTGCCCTCTTGTAGCCAAACAAAGACTGCCAAATGTACTGAAGACAAATTGGAAGCCTCTCCTGCTTCCAAAAACTTCCAAAGTCACAAAACATGTAACATTTAGAGACTGACTCAGTGTTTCCTCTTTTATCCTATAAAACTGATTTTACGTTCTATGCCTTTGGAACTGCTGAAACAAAAGAGACAATAGATGGGTTTCCTTACAAGAAGTTTATGAACAAACAACCTGGGTTAATTTTATCTTGAACTTAGTTTTGTCTTTGACATCAGAGAGGACACAAAATAGAAGGCAGACTGGGGATGAACAAGAGGCTGGATTAAAGGCAAGAAGACAACTGAGGACTCCATTGCGGTAATCCAAGCAAGTGAGGGAAGGAGAGAGAAAGAAGAAGAGCAGAGAGGGAGGGAGAAAGGACAGAGGGGCCTAAGTCAAGGCAGTGGCAATAGGGGTTAAAAGATACAGAGAAATTGGAAAGGAACCAAAGGGGGAGAATTAAAACAAGTTTCTGATTTCTGAATCAGAGGTTTAACATTCCCTGAATCAATAGGGTAACCAGATTGTGGCCTATACCCAAATAATCCAATTAAGCTTTTAAAACAATGGTTGAGGAAAATACTATAGAGCATTTTCAAAAAAAAAAAAAAAAAAAACAGTAATATCAACTAGACCTGTGCAAAATACACCCACAAGATCTTTAAAGTAGATCCTTTAACATCAGAGCAAAAGTAAGAAAAGTCAGGCTTGAATCCATACTCTGGCCTTCATGCAGGAGGACTAGGGAGGGTGTCAAGTCAGGCCACCCGGAGTGGGGCTCAGGAATCATCTGCAGTCAGAGATAAGACTGGAGGCTACTGGAGTGGAAGATCCTGGAACTGTAAGGCTGCTCAGCCAACTTCCAGGACAGAATCTATTGACCAGGTCACATGTTATTTAGTGCTTCAAGATGAATCAGAAATGATGACACTTGAAGTTGGATTTTCTTTCTCTTCTGTTTCAGGGGATTCCCTTACAACTGTGCTCACATTACAATTCTGCTTATCTTATTTTCTGCCCAACTGGTTGCTTTTTTCCCAACTGGTTGCTGTCTCTCTTTGCCTCTAGCTTTCTGCCTCTATTTCTGTCTCTCTACTTCAACCTCTGAAATCTTACCTTGGTCCCTCCCTCTAAGAGGCATGTAAATGGAACAGGGACTGCAAAGGACTTCTCTTTGTTCTTAGCTCTCCCCTGAGGGCAAGCACATTTTTGCAACACAGGTTAGGCTCTCTTTTGCCTTTCCAGGAATGTGCACATACACGTGCATATACACACACATACACTCACACATTTGTGACTTTCTATTTACTTATGTCGCTCTTTAAAGATAAACTTCCGGAAAAGAACAATGCAATCATACTCAAATCTCTAGCACCCAGCACTTGATAACTAGGAGGAACTTAACCAATATTTATTGAACGAATGCTTAATAAATGTGTCCTCCAAAAAATTCTAAGATAAGAAAGAATATAAGACAGGCAGGCATTCCTGAAACAAGTACTATAATTGAGTGCTAAGTTATAAAAGTGATTATAGGAAGTGCAAACTACAAATCGATGTACCACAAATTGCACATCAGAGTGAACAGGTGTCATCAGGAAGCTCTGTGTTTAAGTGGCAAAGCACTAACGTAGACAGCCTGCGTCTTTGTATATGAGATATAGCTCTCAAAAAATATGTCAGCTAACTCAAAAATATTTGGCAAACTACAGTGCATTTAGAGATTAAGATAGACAAAGTCATCATTCACTATCATTTATCCCTGTTGCTTAAGCTCCGAGAGGGGAGGTAAGAACTATCTGTAAGTGCAGTTATGCAAGTGGTCAGTGCACATGTGAGCCTCCCTGCAAGGTTCAGACTCCTTACATAAACGGGAATAAACTGCCTCACCTTGTCCAAAAACATGCAAGTTTTCTTCAACCATCTTGGTCTAAGGAAAATTTCACAGACATGTTGTAGAGGCTCCCTCACAATCCATTTTCTGAAGATATCAGTTCTTTGACAATTTGAGAACATGGCACAAATTGGAAATCGGGCTGATGGATGGAAATGTAAATTTAAAATTTTAATGAGGAATCTTCCTTCTCACCTAAAAAGAGATGGTAAATATTTCATGTCCTGCTCAGCATGGCTTCAAGTGTCTGGTACCATTAGCAAGATACTCCTCATCTTCTCCAAAAAAAGCTAACACTGGTTTGTGATATTTCATAATATCAAATGTAGCCCAACTCTTCCACTTCATGCAGTGGACATGCAAATTTCCAGAGTAAAAACCACCACTGAATTATCTCAAGAATGTCTCATTTTGTTCAACTCTTTGGTCTGGTATTTTTGACTTATTAGAGGAAAGCTCCAATTAAATGAAATATGCAGAGAAGAGAAAAACAATTTGCTGAAATGGACTGGAAATTAATTAAAATTTTGCATTGAATTTTCAGCCAATGTTTTGGAAATCTATTTTCCTTGTACAGGCCTACTTTGGTCATAGTGACTCTTTTAAGCTCGGGACGGGCTAGCATTCCTGTAAGGAAGGGGACATAGCAAAAGGCAAGCATGGAAAGAGAAGGAAAACTGAAGCAACTTACAGGAGAATCAACAGAGGGCAAACCCTGTTCAGGGTTTGCTTGAATTAAGAACAACGTAAATCTCAAAACAGCTACATGAAGAAGGTGGCTTTGCAGAAGAAAAACAAAAGCAGTAGGAGTGTTAAGTACCAAGTCAGGTCACCTAAAGAATCCTATTCTCCAAGGCAAGAGCAAAGAGCACCTGGGTCCATGTTGGGAGGATGCAAAGTGAACAGCAATCAAATGTAAACAAGCTTCAGTCAGCTTATTGTTATGCAAGTCAGGATTCAATCCTATACACCGGTATCCTTGAGGGGAACCAAGGATCCATGAAATGAAAGAAACTCAAGGAAAAGGATCCTGTGCCGTCCACAAGTGTACTGCAAAAAACCTGAAGACCACAGAATTGACTCTAGAAGCAGTTAGCAAAGCGGTTAAGCCCACAATTCCTGCTGTCTAGCTGGGTGATCTTGGGGAAATTATTTACCCTTTCTAAATATTGGTCACCGAGTTTAACAGAATCCTACTCAGGTACTGTTAGTCTGACTCTCCCTAAAGACCTTCAAGGTGTTTGATATCTGATGTTGTTCCTAAATGATTTGTAGTTTTAGTCCTTTTTCTCATATATCTTCCTTATCAAAAAAAAAAAAAGCAATAACTATTACTGAAACTACTGCTTCTGAATGTATATCTACTTACACTATTTTCTGATTGTTTCTGGCAAGAGGAACGAAAGCCAACAGACACCTGGATATTCAATGAAAAGGCCGGGAGAGGATTTGAAGGGGACCAGACAGGCCTTCAAAAAAACGTTTAAAAAAGAACTGCTGTATGATCCAGCAATCCTACTTCTGGGCATATATCCAAAACAATTGAAGTTAATGTGTTGAAGAGAAGAGATATCTGAATTCCCATGTTCATTGCAGCATTATTCACAATAGCAAAGGTATGGAAGCAAGCTAAGTGTCTATCAACAGATAAAGAAAGAAAATGTGGTATATATACACAATGGAATATTATTCTGTTTTTAAATAGAAGGACATCATTCTTTTATTTTTATTTTTTTAAATTTTTATTTATTCTTTTTTTTTTCTTTTTTTTTTTTGAGACGGAGTCTCACTCTGTCACCCAGGCTGGAGTGCAGTGACACAATCTCGGCTCACCGCAAGCTCTGCCTCCTGAGTTCATGCCATTCTCCCGCCTCAGCCTCCAGAGTAGCTGGGACTAGAGGCACCTGCCATCAGGCCCAGTTAATTTTTATTTTTATTTTTTGTATTTTTAGTAGAGATGGGGTGCACCATGTTAGCCAGGATGGTCTCAATCTCCTGACCTTGTGATCCTCTCGCCTCGGCCTCCCAAAGTGCTGGGATTACAGGCGTGAGCCACCTCACCCAGCCAATAGAAGGAAATTCTATCATTTATGAAAACATGAATGAACCTGGAGGACATTATGCTAAGTGAAATAAGCCAGGGAAAGAAACACAAGTATGACATGTTCTCACTTATATGTGGAATCTAAAAAATTCAAACATATGGAAGCAGAGAGAGTAGAGTGGTAATTACCAGAGGCTGAGGGGTAGGAGGTGGATAGGGAAATGTAGGTTATAAGGTACATAGTTTCAGTTAGACAGAAGAAATAAGTCTGTGAGACCTATTGCATAGCAGAGTGACTACAATTAATAATGTATAGTATATTTCAAAATTGCTAAGAGCAGATTTCAAATATCTAACCACAAAAAATAATAAGTGAGATGATGGATATGTTAACTAGCTTGATTTAATCATTCCACATTGTATTCTTACATCCAAACATCACATTGTACCCCAGACATATTTACAATCATTACCTGTCAATTAAAAATAGTATTAATTCTAAAAGAAAGCAAATCAATTAAAAAGAAAAGAAAGCAAACCAGGGCAAAGCCTGTCTCCATTCTGTAACCTCCTTCCACCTCCCTCTAGCTGGCACCCCATCCCCTTCCAGATGTCCAGTACTTTCCTCCTACCTCACTTCTTTCTACCTACCTCACCTCAGGGAAACTAGGAAAATACCTCACAAAGGTCACTTTCAGCAGAGTGTGCAAGTCCAGGGCTTCTTTCACATCGGAATTGTGTGCTAAGCTTTATCTCTGATGAGCAATAAAAGGCCCTCTGTCCATTCAAGGGATTTTAAGTACAGAGGAAATGAAATAGAAGATTACAAGTGCCACATAAGTAAGTCACAGTCAATAATCAAAGATTGCTCTGCCTACAGCTAAAGCTGGCCTCAACTCAAGCTATGGAAAATAATTCAGTCTCCTTTTAATTAACCATTATCACTCACAGCCTAAAAATTATCACTCAGAGCATGAGATATTATTATAAACAGAAATGGAGACTATGTACTAATTCTATGTCACAGCCTGAAAGCTCCTTTTTTGGGAAAACCATGATATTAAGCTGTAATATCCTCGTTTGATCTGTTCTCCTCAAGTTGAAGCAACACAATTCTAACTGACTGAGGAATGCAGTAAAATGGTGCTTTCTCTAGTTTCAGCTCCTTCCTGTGATCCGAAGCTATAGAGGTCTCCACCTATTTTTTATTTACAAAACTCATTAACCAACAAACCAAACATGGTCTCCCATCCAGCTGACCTGAAAACCCTCCTGATTTCAACTTGATAAGAAACATTGAATTAATTAAATCTAAGCACGGGTTGTCCTGAACTGAGACAATGGCTCCCTCTGTGAGAACTGCAAACACAAACCTCAGAAGCTTTTTATGGCCAGGTTAGCATGAACAGCTGTCCCCTCAGCTGCCTTTCAATTAGTTGAGAAGGTGGAGGCTGCCTGCTAAGTCAGGTTTGGGATGCACTGAGGCTCTACCAGTGGATGTGGTGTATAATGAGCGGGGCCCATTGCCGAGCAGTTGGTTCTGCAGCACGCAGTTGAGGGAATCGAATACCACAGGGCTCCTGCCCCCATCTGCATCCCCTCTCTTCCTTGGCTTGCTGCATCCAATACCATTCCCATCAGCACAAAAAAAAAGAAATACACAATGAAAGATGAGACACACACCTGCCTGCTTTAACTCTGGGTTTTAAAAAGGGGCTCTCCTAACAGGGAGCCAAGGCATCGGAGTGACACAGAGAGGTCAGGCAAGTGAAGGCCATAGTCCTTGAAGGCCTGACCCCAAGAAGGGTACCCTTCATCCATGGTTTAGCCTTGGCAGATCACAGCCCTTCTCATTTTACAACCTGGGAGCCGGGTGATGATGCATTGAAAGGGTGGTGACTGTAAGAATAACAGTTCAAAGTGAGAGCATTAGAGCCAGGCTGCAGGTGCAGGGGAGTTAGAAAGGTGGGCCTGAATCTCAATGTATTTGGCACTTAGCTCGTAATTGGATAGAGAGATCCTCAACCCTGTTGAAGCAGAGATTACAATATTAGTACCAAGTATTGAGCATCTATTGTGTCCCAGATTTTTAAATATACTACATGTAGTTATGACTTAGGTATTAGTAATCCTTGTTTTATCAGATGAGGAAACTAGGGCTCAAAAGGTGAAGTAGCTCTCTCAAAGTCACACAGGGAGCAAGAGCTGAAGGAGGCCTTCAGACCCAGACCTGCCTGCATGTGATCTGTGTATGAGAGCAAACTGTCACAATCCTCAGCAAACACAAACTCATGGGCATTCTGAAGTCCAGAGAGAGGTCCCAGTGTTCTTGTCAACTCAACCTTCTAGAAGGTTTATTTGGGGATATGTGCTTTTAAAAGGAAGTAAACAGATGATGGCAGGATAAGAAAACAGGCTCTCTTCTGAGCCTAATTGCAATTAGCAAATAACCTCAGCCTCAAATTATGATGTATTTAGCACCAGAAATTAAATTCATTAATTATTGTGCAGCCAACACTGAAATCTTGCAGCAAGTCTATCCTCTGAATAAAATATTTTCAAATTAATAGTGAGATTATTCCTTCTTATTAACAATTTAATAGTTATGTGTTAACCATTTTTAATTAAGTAAAAAAGAAAAAGGTCAGTAAGAGAATTGGAAGATATTCAAATCAGGAGTACCCTGGGTTGGAAAGCAACAGAATTGAGACCTCTAGAAAGAGCTATCTTCTGTCTTCCAGGAGTTCAAGCATGAGACAGACAGTTGAGCCTATCCTTAGTCCAGTAAATTTGCCACTTTACAAATTTAAAACTTGAAATTTGCAAGTATATTTGTATGCCTATATTCTCATTCATGTATTAATTATCGTTCCCTTTCATTCAGTGATAAACACATGTGTATAGAGTGTGTCAGGCACTGTGCTAGACTCTGGGGATTCAAGGTACAACAAGACGTAGTGCTTGTCCACAGGAGATCAGTCTAGTCAGATAATAGGCACAAAAATTTAAAGTAGGTACACTATGTGGTAAGGATAGAGCTATGCAAAGAATGTTGTAAGAGCTTAGAGGAGGATTTGGGGGAGTAGACCGAGGTAAACCAGAAAAACCTCATGGAGGAGGTGATGTTTGAACCAGATCTTTAAAGATCATAACAGCCACTGCAAGGAAGAGGGAAGAAAGAAGAGGAAGTCACTTCAAAGAGACAGCAGAGTGTGAAAACATCCAGGTAGGTTAGAAGCAAGGTCATGTGCATCATGCGGCTCCTACAATCAGTTTGGTAGGCAAGCAATGAGACTGGGGGCAGAGAGCTAAGCAAAGACAGCATGGAGGGTCTTGCATTACTGAATGTTAATGAATCTTAACTTTATCTCATCAAACACTTTTCCATCATAATATTTGCCAGTCAGTAAACAAATTGGTAATTTACAACCAGGAGAGAGATGGTTCATAAGTGAGATATTACAGATAAAGTTTAAATAACTAAGGTTTTTTTATATGATTAACTGTTTTGATACACTACAAGTTCAAAGTTAGTCCTGTAATAACATTCATAATCCTCAGTTACTAACATACTGATATGTCTTCTTGAATGGGAGAAAAAGAGGAAGTTATAGCCAACAAGCCAAGAAGTGGGCACAACAGAACCAAGCCATTTATGGGAAGATGTGACATATGAACAGAGCTCATTATGCAACTTTGTGAAGTAAACGTTGCCAATGGACTATAGTAGTGGTGGAGAGTCCCTGAGGGGCTACAGCAGAGTTTTATCGGTGCGCTTTTCTTGATAAAGTTATGAATTGTCAGTTTGCCATCTCCACCCGCAATGCACTTCTCACCACCATGACCACTCCTCCAAAAGTGAATCTCAGCATCTAGAACAATACCTAGGTCTGAAAGATGTTTGATATATGTTGATTGTTTCTAGCACCAATCATCTGCTGTCTGGTGCGTGGCTTGTTATACAGCACCATATAATGGCAATAGATAACTGATTTAAGAAGTTGATACTGAAAGTGAGGTCTGATATGGCAATAACCTACAGTGTATGGAATTTGTTGTGGAAACAGACATTAGGGAGCAAATAAACTGTTATAGGAGGCTAAAAATGCTCAGGAGACCATTTTTAGGACGCTGGAAATATCACAAGAAACTGTTAGATAAGGCTGGCAAAATGGCAAGAAAGTCACTATAGGAAGACAGAAAAATAGTGACCCACGTTGTGGCACAGTGAAATATTTGGTAATCTCATATCCTTTGACTAAAGGAATTACATTCATAAGTAAGCCCAACCACAAAGACAGCTCAAATTAATAGCATCAGTTCCAGAACCAAATATCTGTGCAAAGCTGTCATCTCCCTTGGATGGCTGACTTGTTTAACAAGAAGGTCAAAATCCTTATAAACTTTCTGACACAGTACTTTGTGTAGCAAAATCTCTGGGATAAGGGTCTTTCAGGAAAAAAGGCATCCAGTCCTTGTCCTGTCACTATCTATGTTAAGACTTGCCCCCGACTTCTCTTTGCCCCAGCTATTTCATCTGTAACATGGGGATTAAGGAGATGAGTAGACCAGGAGAGAGTTGTTAATATTGCACTTACTTTATTTTATTTAACTGGAGTGCAGTGGCAAAATCTTGGCTCACTGCAACCTTTGCCTCCCAGGTTCAAGCGATTCTCCTGCCTCAGCCTCCCCAGTAGCTGGGACTACAGGCACAGGCCACCATGCCCGGCTAATTTTTGTATTTTTAGTAGAGATGGGATTTCACTGTGTTGGCCAGGCTGGTCTTGAGCTCCTGACCTCAGGTGATCTGCCGGCCTCGGCCTCCCAAAGTGCTGGGATTTACAGACATGAGCCACCGTGCCCGGCCTGAACTTAAATCTTTTCACCGACTGAGTATAAAAAGCAAACTGCAGCCAGCAACCAGATAAATTTGTCACTGACTAACAGAAGAAAGATTGGCTGTAATCTAGAAATAATTGCCTTGAATGAGATAACACACCAGCAAACAAAAGCTTACCTGTGCACAAAGAAAAATTTTTAAAAAATCAACATGGAATCTAACAAAAATTCTGAGATGGATACAGGAAAGAAACAAGTAAAAGCTAAAGACAGACTATTTCTGAAAGATAAGGAACATTTGAGGCAACAATTGCCTTCCACTTTCAAAAAGAATAAAAGACAAATGATACTTTATTTTTTAAAAAAATATCTAATACAAGAGATTACAGAATGGGTAAAATGGAGGCTGAGGAGCTAAGGAAGAAAATTAAGCAGAAGAAAAATATCATTGCAGAAATTTAGACTGAATTAAAAGAAAAAGTATACCATACAAAATGTCAAAGAAAGTAGAGAGAATCAAAAATGTGTAAGAAAAAAACAACAAAAAAAATAGAAATACAAAATAAAGATAATTGGTGTTTCCTAAAAGACAATAGAGTAAAAGAAAAAATAAACATCAAAGATACATGCTAATCATAACCAACTATATTTAGAACAAAAAAATTAAAAAGTTATTTTTTACCAGATAATAGAATTTTGTGTGTTTTTGTTAGTTTTCCCCTATTTAAATGTCATACTTTTTTACAATGTTAAAAAACTCTTCATGGTTATAAAAAGCAAAGTCTTAACTTGAAGCCTGAGCACCTTGCTCCAAGATGTTCTGAGGACTCTATCAAAAGCAAATCAGATCATTGTAAAATGACAGTGACTTCAATAAAAGTAGTCTTTGTTCAGTGCTGAGATAGCGTTCCTGGATCGGCCACGCAATTTCTTCTCTAAAATAATAAAGATTTTGAAATGTTATTGTCAAACTCAGTTTTTCTTCCAAAATAGATGCAGCTGATGCCCCTTTACTAACACCTATACCAAAAAGATTGTGCCAAAATTTCTAGAACCCATATTACCCTAGCATTTAGCACACAAATTTCTTAATTGTATCTTTTCTTCTCTCTAGAAGCAGAGATGAAAGCTTCAGCGGTCAGAGGCAGTGTTGTAAACTTCTCTTGCTTTTCTCACAGTGCCTAGCATAAACAAGGGACAGAAGTGGTTCTCTAAATCTTTCTGAATTAGATACTGGTCCATCTGGGAAGCAAATGCCAGTATCAAGCCAGTCACAAGTGTCTCTACTTCAAATACAGGACAACACGGTACTTTCTGATCCTACATGGAAGTAAAACTCTCTGGTCTTATCTAAATCCCCAAAAAGCCATCAGCTTTGTTTTACCTCAAGTATGAATAATAAAAAACAATGCATATTGCATGGTCCAATTCTGTTCCTTTGCAAAATACAATAAGTAAAGACCAATGACAATGGAGCAGCCTTGCTCTGCAAACCTTTTGATGGAATAGACTGAAACTATTAGGTGCAGTCATTAAGTTTCATACTCACAGAAGGCTCCTTCTCAAAAGGAGTTCAGGAGTAATCTGATGTCCTTACTTTTTCAATTTCAGGCAGGTGGGAGCTGGTGGGCTTCATTTGTCAGGGAACAAATTATACTTCAGTTCAAAGAAGAAAGCAATTTATTGTTTCAAGAGATAGTCTCACATGAAATTTATCCAGCTGTCCAAGGTAAAGGTGGAGGTTCTCACCCATACCAAGCAGCAGGAATGAACATGAAATGAGATGACACAAAGAGAAACCACAGGTTGACTGCAAGTATTAAACACCTGACCCCAAACAAGGGATTCAATACACAATAAAATAATTAAAATAATTTGTAGGATGGCCTCCTCCTTTGTACCCTCCTCAACCCAAAGTGGTCAAGGAGATTAGTAAGTGCTCTATACACATTCAGAAAGGTAAATGGATTTCTCAGAGTGGGAAAAACAGACCTTTCATGATTTCAGCATTTACTGAAGGACTATTTTGTGTAGTGTTTTTTTCCTGTAAGTTATGAGTCAGATGGACCTCCATTCGTGGCATCAGAAAAAAGTCTGTATATTTCTTGAGTGATTAGATGAATGGCTATAACCTCAGTTCTAATATTTCTTTCTAACCTAAAATACCCCCCTCCTATAAGCCACGTCATTAGCTCCCTTAGAATGTAATTCAAGTAGAAGTTCCTCAGGTAGTATCCCACATTATTCCCTTCTTTTCCCTTCTGTAGTCCTTTCAATCCCTCAGACACTTATAAAAATGAAGCATAAATTGTGATGACATTGTGCATTACCTATAAATATTCAAACCAAAAACAAAAGGTCTTAGTCAGCTCAGGCTGCCATTAAAAAAATACTTTAGACTGGGTAGCTTAAACAATAGAAATATATTTCTAAAAGGTTTGGAAGCTGGAGGTCCAAGATCAGGGTGCCAGCGTGGTCAGGTTCTGGTGAGGGCTTTTTCCTGGCTGGGAAATGCCTGCTTTCTCCACAGAGAGAGGAAGAGAGGGAGAGAGGGAAAGAATGAAGGAAAGAGAGAATGAGAGGAGAGAGAGAGAACGCTTGCTCTGTGTGTCTTACAAGGACACCAATGCCGTTGAATCAGGGCCATATCCTTATGACCTCATTTAACTTTAATTACCTCCTTATAGGCTCCATCTTTCAATATAGTCACATTAGGGGGTTAGGGCTTCAATGTATGAATTTTGAGAGGACACAATTAAATCCTTAGAAAATAGGAAATTTAGAATTCTATTTACACTTATATTTTGGAAAAGAAATATTCAATATACAAAATACAAACCTGCACATGAAAGAGTAGAGCAGGATGAGTCTTCACCAGAAAATGCAGGATGAAATGGTCATATATACTTGTGGGAATGCAAAGTGTGTCTTCACTTATTTATAGGCACTAATACCTTACAGGAAAGCATCAAGACTTAAAATCGTTATCCAACATTCAAAGGCATATTTATTTAACATTTACTTAGTTCACTTACTTATATTTTTCAATACCTATCTTATTTAAGACTCTAAGCTAGATGTTGAGAGAATAAAAAGATTAAATAAGACCCAGTCTGGGGACTTACACTATAAATGGAGAGAAGTGTATAAATGTTTGCAATGCTTGCAATAGAACATATAATTAACTAATTCAATAAATATGGTTTGTATACCATGATTTGCCTGGCACAATGCCAAGTATTGGAGCGATATGTAAAAACGTGTGGCAAACACCCTGAACTCAGGGAGTTCAGAGACTAGCCTAGGAATTTTAATACATGCGTAAGAGAGATACAAAGTACAGTTGAACTGAGTTGGAGGTTGGGGGTTGGAGGGAGATCAGTTATTTTATGGTATCAGAGAAGCCTTCATTAAAGAGGTTAAAATAATACTAAGCCTTGACTGTAAAAATGTAAAACAATCTCCATCACAAATTGGCTGGCCATTCACTCTTCCTAACTGCAGGCATAAACCAGTTTCCAGTCCTCAGCAGTGATGTCTGTATCTTTGTTGGCTACATATTCTTAAGTATGCCTGACCTATTTCCTACATCAGTCTCTAAGCTCCTATGGTCAAATCCTCTGAAATATTTATCAAAGTATTTTCATAAGCACAGATCCTACTGGGAGATTTTCAACATCTGTAGAGTGAGCAGATTATCAATTAAAACCAGAGTTTGCAAATTCATTTTTGGCAGAGTCACAGACTATATAATCTAAAGAACTATTGCACTAAAACAACTATATCCCAGATAAAATATTATTTTTAATGCATTACTAGGTCTTCAGGAAAAAATGGAAATCTCCAGGGCCCTCACACCTCTACCAAAGCTGAAAGCAGGTCTGGAAGTAATCAGCAGGCTTTTAGAATGGGGTTGCCTCAAGAGCAAACATTTTAGCAATACTAAAGCAATATCTTGGTACAGCAGCAAAATGGGGACCTGAGTTTGAAACACTCACAATAAAGTCAGAGACCATTAAAGAGGGCATTGTAGCTCCAAATTGTGAGAATCCCTTAGCAGAAGCCAATGGAATCTTCTGTGAAGAAAACCATGGACAATTTAGGCCCACATAGTTCCTAGAAAGTGAAATTAAATAAATATAATACAGTCAAATATTACAAAAATACAAGAATACAAGCCATCATGAGTGAGACTCCATAGAAACAGCCATCAATATACTTAGATCTCTAAGAACTCTGAATTCTTTAATTATCAAATATAGACCAGAATGCAATTATGAATATAACATATAAAAAAACAAAAATTTGAATCATAAAAATGAAGAAGAAATGAGAAATTATGAGCTGAGCATTCCAAATCTGAAAATCCAAAATTCAAAATACTCCAAATTCTAAAACATTTTGAGCGCCAACAAGATGCTTAAAGGAAATGTTCACTGGAGCCTTTCAAATTTCAAATATTTGGATTTGGGATGCTCATTTGATAAGCATGACACAAATATTCCAAAATTCAAAACACTTTTTGTCCAAAGTATTTCTGATAAGGGATACTCAACCTGTAATAGAAATGGCCAGGTATGTTTGTAATTGCTTCCAGAAATGAAACCATTGTTGGAAAAAAGTCTAAGTTGGGGTTAAATATCCAATTACACGTAAGGAAGACGAAAAAAGTAGAGTGATAGAACTGGCTAATAACACAACACAAAAGGATGGGAAGCAGAAATAAGAAGTGAAAATATATGGAAAACAGAATGAGAAGATCTTACAGCCAATGAATCAGCTTCCCAACATGAAAAAATAGAAAAAAAACAGGTAAGAGATGATATTTGAGAAGACAGTAATTGGGGATTAACACAAAACATAATGTATCCCAAGCAGAATAAATCAATCCATACCTAGACACATTATAGTCAAAACATGGAATATCAAGACAAAGAGAAGATATTAAAGTAGCCAGAGAGAAAAATAGGTAATACAAAGCTGGCAGCAAACTTCTCAACAACTATCAAAGCCAGAAAACAGTGCAATAATACCTTTTTCTTTAAAAAAAAAAAAAAAAAAAAAAAAAAAACTGTTATTTCAAGTTCAAGGGTACATGTGAAGGATGGGCAAGTTTGTTACATAGGTAAATGTATTTCATGAGGATGTTTTTGTGCAGATTATTTCACCCAGGTACTAAGCCTTGTATCTATTAGTTATTTTTTCTGATCCTTTCCCTCTTCTCACCCTCCATACTCCATTGTGCCCCAGTTTATGTTGTTCCCCTCTATGTGTCCATATGCTCTCATTTAGCTCCCACTTATAAGTAAGAACATGCAGTATTTGGTTTTCTGTTCCTGCATTAGTTTGCTAACGATAATGACCTCCAGTTGCATCCATGTCCCTGCAAAAAACATGATCTTGCTCTTTTTTGTGGCTGCATGGTATTCCATGGTGTATATGTACCACATTTTTTTACCCAGTTTATCATTGATGGGCATGTGGGTTGATTCCACGTCTTTGCTACTGTGAATAGTGTTGCAATGAACACAGGTCAAAGACACATGTGTGCATGTGTCTTTATAATATAATGACTTATATTCCTTTGGGCATATAACCAGTAATGAGATTGCTGGGTCGAATGGTATGTCCATATTTAGGTCTTTGAGTAATTGCCACACTGTCTTCCACAATGGTTGAACTAATTTTTACTCCCACTGACAGTGTAAAAGTGTTCATTTTTTTTTTCCACAACCTTGCAAGCATCTGGAACTTTTGGACTTTTTAATAATAGCCATTCTGATTTTGATGTTACAGTGTCAATTTTAGATCTTTCCTGCTTTCTTTTGTGGGCATTTAGTGCTATAAATTTTCCTCTAAACACTGCTTTAAATGTGTCCCAGAGATTCTGGTACATGTGTTTTAGTTCCCATTGGTTTCAAATAACATCTTTATTTCTGCCTTAATTTCATTATTTACCCAGTAGTCACTCAGGAGAAGGTTGTTCAGTTTCCATGTAGTTGTGCGGTTTTGAGTGAGTTTGTTAATCCTGGGTTCTAATTTGATTACACTGTGGTCTGAGAGACTGTTTGTTACGATTTCTGTTCTTTTGCATTTGCTGGGGAGTGTTTTACTTCCAATGATGTGGTCAATTTTAGAGTAAGTGTGATGAGGTGCTGAGAAGAATGTGTATTCTGTTGATTTGGGGTGGAGAGTTCTGTAGATGTCTATTAGGTCCGCTTGACCCAGAGCAGAGTTCAAGTCCTGAATATCCTTGTTAATTTTCTGTCTCATTGATCTGCCTAATATTGACAGTGGGGTGTTAAAGTCTCCCACTATTATTGTGTGGGAGTCTAAGTCTTTTTGTAGGTCTCTAAGAACTTGCTTTATGAATCTGGGTGCTCCTGTATTGGGTGCATATATATTTAGGATAGTTACCTCTTGTAACCATCAGGCCTGCCTTACAAGATGTCCTAAAGGAAGCACTAAATATCGAAAGGAAAAACCAATACCAGCCACTGCAAAAACATACCGAAATGTAAGCCTGCAGTAACCACAACAGCATGGTACTGGTACCAAAACAGAGATACAGACCAATGGAACAGACAGAGGCCTCAGAAATAACACCACACATCTACAACTATCTGATCTTTGACACACCTGACAAAAACAAGCATTGGGGAAAGGATTCCATATTTAATAAATGGTGTTGGGAAAACTGGCTAGCCATATGCAGAAAACTGAAACTGGACCTCTTCCTTACACCTTACACAAAAATTAACTTAAGATAGATTAAAGACTTAAACATAAGACCTAAAACCATAAAAGCCCTAGAAGAAAACCTAGGCAATACCATTCAGGACATAGGCATGGGCAAGGACTTCATGACTAAAACACCAAAAGCAATGGCAACAAAAGCCAAAATAGACAAATGGGATCTAATTAAACTTAAAGAGCTTCTACATGGCAAAAGAAACTACCAACAGAGTGAACAGACAACCTACAGAATGGGAAAAAAAAAAATTGCAATCTACTCATCTGACAAAGGGCTAATATCCAGAATCTACAAAGAACTTAAGCAAATTTACAAGGAAAAAAAAACAAGCAACCCTATCAAAAAGTGGGGGAAGGATATGAACAGACACTTCTCCAAAGAAGACATCTATGGCCATTTTCATGATATTGATTCTTCCTATCCATGAGCATGGAATGTTCTTCCATTTGTTTGTATCCTCTTTTATTTGATTGAGCAGTTGTTTGTAGTTCTCCTTGAAGGGGTCCTTCACATCTCTTGTAAGTTGGATTCCTAGGTATTTTATTCTCTTTGAAGCAATTGTGAATGGGAGTTCACTCATGATTTGGCTCTGTTTGTCTGTTGTTGGTGTATAAGAATGCTTGTGATTTTTGCACATTGATTTTGTATCTTGACACTTTGCTGAAGTTGCTTATCAGCTTAAGGAGATTTTGGGCTGAGATGGTGGGGTTCTCTAGATATACAATCATGTCATCTGCAAACAAGGACAATTTGACTTCCTCTTTTCCTAATTGAATACCCTTTATTTCTTTCTCCTGCCTGACTGCCCTGGCCAGAACTTCCAACATTATGTTGAATAGGAGTGGTGAGAGAGGGCATCCCTGTCTGGGCAAGGACTTCATGTCTAAAACACCAAAAGCAATGGCAACAAAGCCAAAATTGACAAATGGGATCTAATTAAACTAAAGAGCTTCTGCACAGCAAAAGAAACTACCATCAGAGTGAACAGGCAACCTACAGAATGGGAGAAAATTTTTGCAATCTACTCATCTGACAAAGGACTAATATCCAGAATCTATAAAGAACTCAAACAAATTTACAAGAAAAAAACAACCCCATCAACAAGTGGGCGAAGGATATGAACAGACACTTCTCAAAAGAAGACATTTATGCAACCAACAGACACATGAAAAAATGCTCATCATCACTGGCCATCAGAGAAATGCAAATCAAAACCACAATGAGATACCATCTCACACCAGTTAGAATGGTGATCATTAAAAAGTCAGGAAGAATGGCAATCATTAAAATGTCAGGGAACAACAGCTGCTGGAGAGGATGCGGAGAAATAGGAACACTTTTACACTGTTGGTGGGACTGTAAACTAGTTCAACCATTGTGGAAGACAGTGTGGCGATTCCTCAAGGATCTAGAAGTAGAAATACCATTTGACCCAGCCATCCCATTACTGGGTATATACCCAAAGGATTATAAATCATGCTGCTATAAAGACACATGCAAACTTATGTCTATTGAGGCACTATTCACAATAGCAAAGACTTGGAACCAACCCAAATGTCCAACAATGATAGACCGAATTAAGAAAATGTGGCACATATACACCATGGAATACTATGCAGCCATAAAAAATGATGAGTTCATGTCCTATGTAGGGACATGGATGAAGCTGGAAACCATCATTCTCAGCAAACTATCACAAGGACAAAAAACCAAACACCGCATGTTCTCACTCACATGTGGGAATTGAACAATGAGAACACTTGGACACAGGAGGGGGAACATCACACACCAGGGCCTATTGTGGGGTGGGAGCAGTGGGGAGGGATAGCATTAGGAGATATACCTAATATAAATGATGAGCTAATGGGTGCAGCACACCAACATGGCATATGTATACGTATGTAACAAACCTGCACATTGTGCACATGTACCATAGAACTTAAAGTATAATAAAAATATATATATTAAAAAGAAGACATTTATGCAGCCAACAAACATATGAAAAAAAGCTCATCATCAAGGGTCATTAGAGAAATGAAAATCAAAACCACAATGAGATGCTGTCTCATGCCAGTTAGAATGGTGATCACTAAGAAGTCAGGAAACAACAGATGTTGGAGAGGATGTGGAGAAATAGAAATGCTTTTACACTGTTGGTGGGAGTGTAAATTAGTTCAACCATTGTGGAAGACAGTATGGTGATTCCTCAAGGATCTAGAACTAGAAATATCATTTGGCCCAGCGATCCAATTACTGAGTATATACCCAAAGGATTATAAATCATGCTACTATAAAGACACATGCACACATATGTTTATTGCAGCACTATTCACAACAGCAAAGACTTGGAACCAATCCAAATGTCCATCAGTGATAGACTGGATTAAGAAAATGTGGCACATATAGGCCATGGAATACTATGCAGCCACAAAAAAGGATGAGTTCATATATTTTGCAGGGACATGGATGAAGCTGGAAACCATCATTCTCAGCAAACTATCACAAGAAAAGTAAACCAAACACTGCACGTTCTCACTCATAGGTGGGAATTGAACAATGAGAACACTTGGACACAGGGTGGGGAACATCACACACTGGGGCTTGTTGTGGGGTGGAGGGCTAGGGAAGGGATAGTATTAGGAGAAATACCTAATGTAGATGACAGGTTGATGGGTGCAGCAAACCACCGTGGCACGTGTATACCTATGTAACAAAACTGCACTTTCTGCACATGTACCCCAGACCTTAAAGTATAATAAAAAATAAAAAATCTAATATACACAAGGAAAAAAATAACATTTACTAGAATAAATAAAAACTATGGGTGTACTAGAAAGTCATCATATAAACTAAATAATAGTAATAATAGCCATTCTGATTGGTGTGAGATGGTACCTCATTGTGGTTTTGATTTGCATTTCTCTACTGATCAGTGATGTTTAGTTTTTTCTCATATGATTGTTGGCTGCATGTATGTCTTCTTTTGAGAAGTCTCTGTTCATATTCTTTGCCCATTGTTTAATGGGGTTGTTTGTTTTTTTCTTGTAAATTTGTTTAAGTTCTTTATAGATGCTGGATATTAGACCTGTGTCAGATACATAGTTTGCAAAATTTTTCTCCCATTCTCTTGGTTGTCTGTTTACTCTGTTGATAGTTTCTTTTGCTGTGCAGAAACTCTTTAGTTTGCACAGCAAATCCCATTTGCCGAGGTGTGTTTTGTGTCAAATTATGTGGTCAGTTTTATAGTATGTGTAATGT
The DNA here is from genome assembly GCF_000001405.40 of Homo sapiens. Classification (NCBI taxonomy): domain Eukaryota; kingdom Metazoa; phylum Chordata; class Mammalia; order Primates; family Hominidae; genus Homo; species Homo sapiens. Next base: position 117,569,635 of record NC_000002.12, read on the forward strand.
ATTGATGAGAAGAATGCATACTCTGTTGCTCTTGAGTGGAGAGTTCTGTAGATGTATATTAGCTTCATTTGATTCAGTGCTGAATTCAGGTCCTAAATATCTTTGTTAATTTTCTGTCTTGATGATGTGTTTAATACTGTCAGTGGGATGTTGAAGTCTCCCACTATTATCTGTGGGAATATAAACCTCTTTCAAAGTCTCTAAGAACTTTCTTTATGAATCTGGGTGCTTCTGTATTGGGTGCAAACCCTTTACCATTATGTAACGTACTTTCTTGTCTTTTTTTTTTTAATCTTTGTTGATTTGAAATCTGTTTTGTCTGAAATTAGAATTGCACCCCCTGCCTTTTTCTGTTTTTCATTTTCTTGGTAGATTTTTCTCCATCTCTTTATTTTGAGCCTGTGGGTGTCATTGCATGTGAGATGGGTCTCTTGGAGACAGCATATTAATGAGTCTTGGTTCTTTGTCCAGCTTGTCACTCTGTGCCTTTTAATTGGGGCATTTAGCCCATTCACATTCAAGATTAGTATTGATGTGTATGGATTTAATCTTATCATCATGTTAACTGGTTATTATGCAGATTTGTTTGTGTGGTTGCTTTATAATGTCACTGGTCTGTGTACTTCAGTGTGTTTTTGTAGTGGTTGGTAATGGTCTTTCCTTTTATGTTTAATGATGCCTTCAGGAGCTCTTGTAAGGTGGGTCTTGTGGTAATAAATTCTCTCAGCATTTGCTTATCTGAAAAATATCTTATTTCTCTTTCACTTGTGAAGATTAGTTTGGGCAGACATGAAATTCCGGGTTTGAATTTCTTTTATTTGAGAATGTTGAATATTTACCCCCCAATATCTGTTGGGTTGTAGGTTTCTGCTGAGAGGTCCTCTGTTAGTCTGATTGGCTTTCCTCATAGGTGACATAACGTTTTTGTCTAGCTGCCTTTTTCTCTCATTTCAACTTTGGAGAATCTGAGGATTATGTATCATGGGGATGATCTTATTATGAAGCAACTTCTCTGTATTTCCTGAATGTGAATTTTAGCTTCTCTAGCTAGGTTGGGGAAGTTCTCATGGATGATATTTTGAAATATGTTTCCCAAGTTGCTTACACTTGCCCCATCTCTTTCAGGGACACCAAAGAGTCATAGAATTGGTCTCTTTACATAATATATTTCTCAGAGGTTTTGTTTATTCCTTTTTATTCTTTTTTCTCTATTCTTATCTGACTGTCTTATTTCAGAAACCTGGTCTTCAAGCTCTGAGATTCTTTTCTCAGTTTAGTCTATTCTGCTATTAATACTCATGATTGCATTTTGAAATTCTTGTTGTGTGTTTTATCCTTTATCAGGTCAGTTATATAGTTTTCTATCTCGGCTATTTTGTCTGTCAGCCCCTGTATCATTTTATTGTGACTTAAATTCCTTGGATTGGGTTTCAATGATCATTGCATCTCAATGATCTTTGTTCCTGTTCATATTCTGAATTATATTTCTATTGTTTTAGCCATCTCAGCCCTGTTCAGTACCCTTGCTAGAGAGGTGGTACAGTTCTTTGGAGAAAGAAGGCACTCAGAGTTGTTGCATTGGTTCTTTCTCATCTTTGTAGGCTGATGTCTTTTCAATCTTTAACGTTACCATCCTTTGGATTTTTTTTCTTTTATCCTGTTTGATGACCTTGAGGGTTTGATTGGTATAAACTGGATTCACCTGACTGGCTTTGTTTCTAGAAAATTTTAGGGGGCCAACGCTCAGCTCTCAACTCCTGGATTGCATGCTCTAACTCTGGAGGACTTGTATTGGTCCCTAACTTTGTTCTCTGGCTCCTCAAGGTTAGGAATCCACTGTGCTTGGGGGACCGAGGTGCTCCCAGTCCCCTGATCACTACATTCTCATTGGTGATATCAGCTAAAGCATTTTATAGTGTGGTGGCAGTGGATCCATCCTCAATTGCACATGCTAGCAACAATAGCAGTGCAGTGGGTATGCACTCATCAGCTGTGGCAGAATGCAAGTAGGTGCTAGGGTGCCTTCCTCTGTGCAAGCATTCACCACAGTGGTGGAGGCAGCAGAGCTGAAGGGTGTGCAGTGGGGCTGTGCTGTCAACTGTGTGTGCAGTCATGCTGTGGTGCAGTTAGCACACAGTCAAGGCACTGGCAGACATGGGTCTATGTGCACTCTCTGTGAACCACAGACAGGGGTTCTCAGGAAACAGAAGGTTTCACTGTTCTCTGTACCTAGTTTTACTCCTGTAGTAGTGTTGGCGCAAGTGCATGTCACAGGCAGGGGTAGGACTGGTTGGCACTGTGCCCATCAAGGCTGCAACTGCAATGTCGGTCTAGGGGGAGAGGAGATAGGGTTCATTCTCACCACAGCAGTGGCAGGGCAGGGTGCACACAAACATGCATGTTGGTGGGGCAAGGAAGGCAAAACCTGCTCACACACACATGTACCAGCAATACAATGTGGGGGTTTGCTGTGATCCCAGGAGAAGCTACAGTATGGGGAAGGAGTGGGTGGTCTGGTGCATGGCTATAGGAGTTGCACTGCTGGAGTTCCCTACCAATCAGGCATGTCCACCAGTGCAGGAGCTATGATGTGGGCCCCCAGGGCACCCTAGATTGCCCTGCAACAGAAGGCCCTGAGAGGCCAGTAGACCAAGGGGTTCTCAGGCGGAACTAGCTCTGAATAATGGGCAAGACAGCCTTGCAGGGTTCAGGTCTGGAAGTTCCCCTAGGGCTAAAGTCTCCTATGGGAGCAATTTGAGCCTAGAGAGATGGGCTTCCCTGGCCATGCTCAACTACAGAGGATCCCACACCAAACCCCTTGGGCTCCACCTCAGCAGCAGCCCCACCACTTCTTTAAGCAGTTCACCTGCCAACTTGAGTGTCTGTTGTTGTTGAGAGGTTTCCTCCTGCCAGGATTGCAGAGGCCTGTAGTGACAGCAGGTTACTCCTTGCTGGTTCAACTCACTAATTGCCCCAGGATTATTGAGGGTCAAAAACAAGTCCTGTTGCATGGTAGCCCCATGCAGGGTTCTCAGCTTCCTCTCCTTTCAGCCGAGCTTCTGTGTCTTTCCTTCATCCACTCTTGGTGCTTTCCCTCTGAAGATCTATTAGGACTGTGCCAGTCTTCTTGGTCCCTCAGTGGCAACTGTTTCACCTGTCTGTGTCTAGTTGGTCATCTTGCCCTCCCCTCACGGTTGCTTTAATAATGTTTTAGAAGACTCAGTTCAGAAGGGTCAGGCCTGGTTAAAAGCACTGTGCAGAAGAAAGCACAAGCCCAAGCAGTTTCTGGAGGATATGTCATTATAAAGTTATTGTTAAAAAATAACAATAATGTCTAATCTGGGGTTTTAGAGAGCAGAAATAAAATACTAGACAACAGTAACATAAGTTGAGGAATCGGTAGGTAATCAGAGTTAAAATGTTCTGAAGTTATTATATTAAGGGAGTTGAGAAAAAGAGATGAGATTAGGAGAACAAAGAATTAGGTTTTGTTATGTCATAGAACTACACTGGATAGTGAGTTACTGTTATGCTTCATAACTTACATACATATTACATATTGTCTTTTGGTGGCATCAAAAACTATTTTTTAAAAAAGCTTATCTAGAGAAATATTTCCTTTCTGGAGCACAATACAGAGAACAAACAAATTCCCTTTGGTGTCCCCTCATTCTCCTTTCTGAACTCTTGCACTTCATCTATTTACCAGGAACATGGACTAATTCCATTAATGAAAAATGGAGGAGCCTCCTTTAGTTATACTTTTTTGTTGTTGTTTCCTACCTGATAACAGTATCCTCTAGATTAGAAGAAATCCAGTGAGATTTGTGCTTGCAAAACAGAAAATTAGCTACGTGAAAGCATTAACAAGTTTCAGCAGCTTGTAAGCAAAAGACAATTTCACAGACACAGGAATTAAAATCAGTGTGTGTATCAGTGTGTGGTGAAGGAAGACAGGAGGAACATTTCAGCTGTATTTATTAGCCAAGTAATATGTTGTGTGAGAAGGCAGTTGTGTGATATGTCTGTAAGAATTGTTGAGGTAAATATCCAGAAAATTGCAATACAATGTTAACACTTAGGAGTGAACATTTTATATAATGCTGTCATATAATACATATGAACAGGTGTGTTTGTGAATGTATTTAAGTATGGGCGTGTTGTGGAACTGTGTTCATCTCTGTGTCTGTGACTAGGTATATGTTTATACACAGGGGAAAATAGAGTGTTACATTAGAGATGCATTTCCCAGGAAGATGTGTGTTGTAAAGGATAATGTATATAAGAATTTTTTTGTATAGAAAGGTATTAGAGTATGTGTATGCATGTGTGCATTTGTGTGTGTATATGTTTGTGTGTAGTATTTTATTCCTTCTCCCAGTTTATCTTTTTAAATGACCAAATGTATTAGTCTGTTCTAATGCTGCTAATAAAGACATACCCAAGACTGGGTAATTTATAAAGGAAAGAGGTTTAATTGACTCACAATTCAGCATGGCTGGAGAGGCCTCAGGAAATGTACAAAGGGGAAGCAAACACGTCCTTCTTCACATGGTGGCAGAAGATAGAAGTGCCAAGCAAAAGGGGGGAAAGCCCCTTATAAAACCACCAGGTTTTATGAGAACTCACTCACTATTGTGAGAATAGCAGCATGGGAATAACCCCCATGATTCAATTATTTCCCTCTCACAACATGTGGGTACTATGGGAACTACAATTCTAGATAAGATTTGGGTAGGGACACAGCCAAGTCACATTATTGCACCCCGGTCCCTCCCAAATCTCATGTCCTCACATTTCAAAACACAATCGTGCTCTTCCAACAGTCTCCCAAAGTCTTAACTCATTCCAGCATTAACACAAAAGTCCAAAGTCTCATCTGAGACAAGTCCCTTCCACCTATGAGGCTGTACAATCAATAGCAAGTTAGTTACTTCCTAGTTACAATAAAGGTACAGGCATTCAGTAAATAGGTCTGTTCCAAATGGAAGAAATTGGCCAAAATGAAGGGGCTACAGGCCCCATGCAAGTCCCAAATCCAATAGGGCAGTCATTAAAACTTAAAGTTCCAAAATGATCTTCTTTGACTCCATGTCTCACATCTAGGAAATGCTGTTGCAAAAGGTGGTCTCCCATGGCCTTGGTTAGCTCCACCCTTCTGGCTTTGCAGGGTACAGCTCTCCCATGGCTGCTTTCATAGGATGGTGTTAAGTATCTGTGGCTTTTTCAGGTACATAGTGAAAGCTGTTGGTGCATCTTTTATCCTGGGGATTGGAGGACAGTGGCCCTCTTCTCAGAGTTCCACTTGAAAGTGCCCCAGTGGGGACTCTGTGTGGGTGCTCCCACCCCATATTTCCCTTCCACACTGCCCTGGCAGATGTTCTCCATGAGGATTCTGCCCTGCAGCACACTTTGGCCTAGACATCCAGGCATTTACATACATCCTCTGAAATCTAGGTGCAGGTTCCCAAACCTCAATTCTTGACTTCTGTGTACCTGCAGGCTCAACACCACTTAGAAGATGCCAACGTGTGGGGCTTCCACCGTCTGAAGCCACAGCCTGAGCTGCACCTTGGCCCCTTTTAGCCACAGCTGGAGCAGCTGGGTCACAGGGCACTAAGTCCCTAGGCTGCACAAAGCAGAAGGGCCCTTGGCCCATGAAACCATTTTTTCTCCTAGGCCTCTGGGCCTGTGATGGGAGGGGCTGCCACAAAGGTCTCTGAAATGCCCTGGAGACATTTTCCCCATTGTCTTGGTGATTAACATTCAGCTCCTTGTTACTTATGCAAATTTCTGCAGCCAGCTAGACTTTCTCCTCAGAAAAAAAAAATAGTTATTCTTTTCTATTGCATCATCAGACTACGAATTTTCCAAACTTTTATGCTCTGCTTCCTCTTGAATGGTTTGCCACTTAGAAATTTCTTCTGCCAGATTTAAAGTTCCACAGATCTCTAGGGCAGGGGCAAAATGCTGCTAGTCTTTTTACTAAAGTGTAATAAGAGTCACCTTCGCTCCAATTCCCAACAAGTTCCTCATCTCCATCTGAGACCACCTCAGCCTGAACTTTATTGTTCATATCACTGATTTTGACCAATATCATTTTGGCCAAAGCCATTCAACAAGTCTCTAGTAAGTTCCAAACTTGCCCACATCTTCCTGTCTTCTGAGCCCTCCAAGTCTTTAGGAAGTTCCAGACTTTCTCACATTTTCCTGTCTTCTTCTGAGCCCTTCAAACTGTTTCAACCTCTGCCTGCCTGTTACCCAGTTCCAACGTTGCTTCCACATTTTCAGGTATCTTTACAGCAGCCCCTCACTCTACTAATACCAATTTACTATCAGTCCATTCCCATGCTGCTAATAAAGACATACCCCTGAGACTGGGTAATTTATAAAGGAAAAAGGTTTAATTGACCTCAGTTCAGCATGCCTGGGGAGATCTCAAGAAACTTACAATTATGACAAAAGGCAAAGCAAACACTTGGTGGCAGGAAGGAGAGGTGCCAAGCAAAAGGGGGAAAAGCCCCTTATAAAACCATCAGGTCTCCTTCTTCACGTGGTGGCAGGAAGGAGAAGTGTTGAGCAAAAAATGAAAAAGCCCCTTATAAAACCATCAAGTCTTGTGAGAACTCACTCACTATCACAAGATCAGCAGCATGGGGGTAACCACCCCCATGATTCAATTACCTCCCACAGGTTCCCTCCCATGACACGTGGGGATTATGGGAAGTACAACTCAAGATGGCATTTAGGTGGGTACATAGCCAACCATATCACCAAACTACTTTTGATCAGAAATTTCACTGAAGGCAGCCAGGTGTTAGTGCCATTATCTCATTATCCTTCCAAACATGAAGGAAATAAAAGTTTTTATTGGACCAATAAGCACACTGAATAAAATTGATTCACTTAATATGCTTGGTAACTGCTCTGCCTCAGATAAATAATTTCCACAAGCAGCCAAACCTTCTTTTTTCCAGCACTTGGGCAAGAAGAAATATCCAAAGGTCAATTGCTTGCCTAAGACAGCCTGACATGTTAGTGACTTTTTTCATCACAAAGCTGATTTGAACTCGTATGTAATAAAAGACTAAATGTTCTATTACCTGGAAAGTAGAGAATGAATAATAATTTAGGTTTAAAATAACCCAATTATAAAATGACCAAAGGCTAGTTAAGTCTCTTCTAGGCCAGGAGGTAATTGCAGGTCAGTGATTACACATAAAGGAAGCATTTGGCCCCACCTAACCCCAGATGCTGAGGGGTGACTCCACCAACTCTTGGTTCTTTGTTTAAGGCTGCCCGGGCTGGGAGGCAAGACCAAGTGCATAAATGTCTCTGGCCCTGCCCACACCATATAGCTAAGCAGCAATCCCAGAAGCTTCAGTCAGGCTTGGAGCCCAATACATGGCCCTGCCTAACTCCAGATTCAAAACAACAGTACTGCCTAGCCAGAAAAGACAACATGCATCCCTGCCTGGCCAGAGACAACTGCAGAGTTCAGTTGGTAGCTCCATTTAATGTCAGAGTCCAGCCAGTGGTCTCACTGGACCATGGAGCACAGCCAGAAGTATCATTAAACCTCAGAGGACAAAAAGTAACCCAGCCATACTAGAGAACCCAACACTAAGGTCTGCCTATGAAGGATTGCTACCAGCTGACCCAACAAGAATCCCAGGCTAGACTAATATTAAAGGTGTATCACACCAAAGAACACCTTCAAAGGCCAGAAGAGGTAGTCATCTTTTCAAATGTTCAGGCATTAATGTAAGAACAGGATTATTAAAAATCCAGGAAATAGACACCTCCAAAAGAAACTAATAATGCTACAATAATTTTCTCTGGAAGAAATGGAGATCTATGAAACAGCTGACAAATAATGAGAATAATCCTCTTACAGGAATTCAGGAAACTCTAAGAATATATGGATAGAAAATCAAATAAAATTTAGAAAACAACTCATGAACAAAATAAAAAGTTTGGCAATAATAAACAATAATAAAAAACAGAAAACCTAGAGTTAAAAAAGTATAACTGAAACGAAAAATTCAGTACAAAGCTTCAAAAGCAGACTTGATCCCGTAGAAGAAAGAATTGGTGTCCTCAAAGATAGGAGATTAAAAATTATCCAACCAAGGGAGAAACAAATGAAGCAGGGAGGCCTACAGGAATTATGGGACAGCATCAAGCAAACTAATAATTGCACAATAAGAACTCAAAAAAAGGATAACAGAGAGAGAAAGGCCTAGAAAATATATTTAGAAAATAATGGCTAAAAATTTCCCAAATCTGGAGAAAGATGTGACTATCCAGGTATAAGAAACTCAAGTCACCAATCATATTCAATCCAAAGAGAAGTTTACCAAGATACATCACAATCAAATTATAAAAAATCAAAAACAAAGAAAGAATACTGAAAGTAGCAAGAGATAAGAACCATCACAATCAAGGTAACCCCAACACAGCTATCAGCAGATTTCTCAACAGCAAATCCTGCAGACCAGGAAAGAGTGAAATGATATATTTTAAATTTTAAAGAAAAAATATTTTCAAGCAAGAATTCTTTAACAGCATTACAAAATGGCAGTAATAAGTTCTTACCTATCAATAATTACCTAGAATACAAATGAATTAAATTTTTAAATAAAAAGACAGATAGTGGCTGAATAAATTTTTTAAAAGCTAGAACCAACTATATGCTAGGTATAAGTGATATGCTTAAATAGTAAGAACACACATAGAATAAAGTGAAGGGATAGAAAAAGATATTCCATGCAAATGGCAACCAAAAGAGAGCAGAGGTAGCTATTTTTATCTCAGATAAAATAAGATTTAAGTCAAAAACTATGAAAGAGACAAAATTTTATTACATAATGTTAAAGGGGTTAATTCATCAATAGGACATAACAACTGTACAATATATGCACCCAATATTGAAGCACCTAAATACATAAAGCAATTATTAAGTGATCTGGAAGGAAAGATAGACTGCAATACTATAATAGTGAAGGACTTCCAAAGAAAGTCCACACTTTCAAAAATGTACAAGTCATCTACATTGAAAATCAGTAAGAAAACGATAGATTCAATTTACACTTTTAACTAAATGGACCTAACAAACATATATGAAACACTCCATCCAACAGAAGCAGAATATACAGTCTTCTCAAGTACACACAGAACTTTCTCCAGGACAGATTATATATTAGGCCACAAAACAAACCATAATAAATTTAACAGAATCAAAAGCATATAAAGTATCTTTTTGGATCACAATAGCATGAAACTAGAAATCCATAACAGGAGAAAGCTTAGAAAGCACACAAATATTTGGAAATGAAACAATATACTCTTAAACAACCAATGGGTCACAGAATAAAAGCTGAATTAAAAATACCTTGGGCCAAATAAAAATGAAAACAACAAACTGAATATTACAGAGCACAGAAAAAAGGAGTTCTAAGATAGAAATTTATAGCAATAAACACCTATGTGGAAAAAGAAGGAAGATCTCAAATAAATCTAAATTATACTTCAAAGAACTAGAAAAAGAAGAATAAACTAAACCCAAATTTAGGGAAGGAAGGAAATAACAAAGATCAGATTCCATTCCAAGATGGCTGAATAGGAACAGCTCTGGTCTGCAGCTCCCAGCGTAATCGACGCAGAAGACAGGTGATTTCTGCATTTCCAAATGAGGTATCTGGTTCATCTCATTGGGACTGGTTGGACAGTGGGGGCAGCCCACAGAGGGCAAGCTGAAGCAGGGTGGGGCGTCACCTCACCTGGGAAGTGTAAGGGGTTGGGAGATTTCCCTTTCTAGCCAAGGGAAGCCATGACAGACTGTACCTGGAAAAACAGGACGCTCCCACCCAAATACTGTGCTTTTCCCAAGGTCTTAGCAACTGGCAGGCAAGGAGATTATCTCCCATGCCTGGCTCAGTAGGTCCCACGCCCAAGGAGCCTTGCTCACTGTTAGCGCAGCAGTCTGAGATCAAATGGCAAGATGGCAGCCTGGCTGAGGGAGGAGTGTCCACCATTGCTGAGGCTTGAGTAGGTAAACAAAGTGGCCAGGAAGCTGGAACTGGACAGAGCCCATCACAGCTCAGCAAGGCCTACTGCCTCTACAGACTCCACCTCTGTGGGCAGGGTATAGCTGAACAAAAGGCAGGAGACAATTTCTGCAGACTTAAGTGTCCCTGTCTGACAGCTCTGAAGAGAGCAGTGGCTCTCCCAGCACAGTGTTTGAGCTCTGAGAACAGACAGACTGCCTCCTCAAGTGGGTCCCTGACCCCCGTGTAGCCTAACTGGGAGACACCTCCCAGTAGGGGTCGATAGACACCTCATACAGGCAGATGCCCCTCTGGGACGAAGACTCCAGAGAAAAGATCAGGCAGCAATATTTGCTATTCTGCAATATTTGCAATTCTGCAGCCACTACTGGTGATACCCAGGCAAACAGGGTCTGGAGTGGACCCCCAGCAAACTCCAATAGACCTGCAGCTGAGGGACCTGGCTGTTAGTAGGAAAACTAACAAACAGAAAGGAATAGCAATAACAGCAACAAAAAAGACATCTGCACCAAAACCCCATCTGTAGGTCACCAACATCAAAGAGCAAAACTAGATAAAACCACAAAGATGGGGAGAAACCAGAGCAGAAAAGTGGAAAATTCTAAAAATCAGAGCGCCTCTTCTCCTCCAAAGGATCACAGCTCCTTGCCAGCAACAGAACAAAGCTGGACAGAGAATGACTTTGATGAGTTAACAGAAGTAGGCTTCAGAAGTTCAGTAATAACAAACTTCTCTGAGCTAAAGGAGCATGTTCTAACCCATCGCAAGGCAGCTAAAAACCTTGAAAAAAGGTTAGACAAATGGCTAACTGGAATAAACAGTGTGGAGAAGACCTTAAATGACCTGATGGAGCTGAAAACCATGGCACAAGAACTTTGTGACACATGCACAAGCTTCAATAGCCAATTCGATCAAGTGGAAGAAAAGGTATCAGTGATTGAAGAACAAATTAATGAAATAAAGCGAGAAGACAAGTTCAGAGAAAAAAGAGTAAAAAGAAACAGACAAAGCCTCCAAGAAATATGGGACTATGTGAAAAGACCAAATCTACGTCTGATTGGTGTACCTGAAAGTGATGGGGAGAATGGAACCAAGTTGGAAAACACTCTGCAGGATATTATCCAGGAGAACTTCCCCAGCCTAGCAAGGCAGGCCAACATTCAAATTCAGGAAATACAGAGAACACCACAAAGATACTCCTCAAGAGGAGCAACCTCAAGACACATAATTGTCAGATTCATCAAAGTTGAAATGAAGGAAAAAATGTTAAGGGCAGCCAGAGAGAAAGGTCGGGTTACCCACAAATGGAAGCCCATCAGACTAACAGTGGATCTCTCAGCAGAAACCCCACAAGCCAGAAGAGAGTGGGGGCCAATATTCAACATTCTTAAAGAAAAGAATTTTCACCCCAGAATTTCATATCCAGCGAAACTAAGCTTCATAAGTGAAGGAGAAATAAAATCCTTTACAGACAAGCAAACGCTGAGAGGTTTTGTTACCACCAGGCCTGCCTTACAAGAGCTCCTGAAGGAAGCACTAAACCATGGGAAGGAACAACTGGTACCAGCCACTGCAAAAACATGCCAAATTGTAAAGACCACCAATGCTATGAAGAAACTGCATCAATTAACGGGCAAAATAAGCAGCTAGCATCATAATGACAGAATCAAATTCACACATAACGATATTAACCTTAAATGTAAATGGGCTAAACGCTCCAATTAAAAGACATGGACTGGCAAATTGGATAAAAAGCCAAGACCCATTAGTGAGATGAGGAGACTCATCTCACGTGCAGAGACGCACATAGGCTCAAAATAAAGGGATCAAGGAAGATCTACCAAGCAAATGGAAAGCCAAAAAAAGCAGGAATTGTAATCCTAGTCTCTGATGAAACAGACTTTAAACTAACAAAGATCAAAAGAGACAAAGAAGGCCATTACCTAATGGTAAAGGGATCAATTCAACAAGAAGAGCTAACTATCCTAAATATATATGCACCCAATACAGGAGCACCCAGATTCATAAAGCAAGTCCTTAGAGACCTACAAACAGACTTAGACTCCCACACAATAATAATGAAAGACTTTAACACCCCACTGTCAATATTAGACAGAACAAGACAGAAGATTAACAAGGATATCCAGGACTTGAACTCAGCTCTGCACCAAGCAGACCTAATAAACATCTACAGAACTCTCCACCCCAAATCAACAGAATATATATGCTTCTCAGCACCATATCACACTTATTCTAAAATTGACCACATAATTGGAAGTAAAGCACTCCTCCACAAATGTAAAAGAAAAGAAATCACAACAAACTGTCTCCCAGACCACAGTGCAATCAAATTAGAGCTCAGGATTAAAGAACTCACTTAAAACTGCACAGCTACATGGAAACTGAACAACCTGCTCCTGAATGACTACTGGGTAAATAATGAAATCAAGGCAGAAATAAAGATGTTCTTTGAAACCAACGGAATAAAGACACAATGTACCAGAATCTCTGGGACACATTTAAAGAGGTGTGCAGAGGGAAATGTATAGCACTAAATGCCCTCAAGAGAAAGCAAGAAAGATCTAAAATCGACACCCTTACATCACAATTTAAAGAACTAGAGAAGTAAGGGCAAACAAATTCAAAAGCTAGTAGAAGGTAAGAAATAACTAAGATCAGAGCAGAACTGAAGGAGACAGAGACACAAAAAAATATAAGACAGCTCCCTTCTGTCCTTTTGACCTCTGTTGTGCTTATGCCAACCTTCACATTCCTAATTGCCGGATTTCTGAACAAATCTCTGTGACTATCAAATCAGCATTGCACCTTGATGTTTCCCATTATCATTTCACTGTGGCTAGTAAAACTCCTCACTCTTCTTACTCACAGTGACCTCAGGCCGAAATCATGATTTGTGGGCAAACATCATAGATAGGGCCCACTGGATCTCCCTCACAGAGACAATAAGAAAGACAGCCTCACTCGGCTACTCTGCTTCCACCCAAGAGAGTTTCTACTTCCCAGAGAGCAAAACTTGCTCCAGCCATAAAATGTGAATGAAGAAGTTGAATATTCCTTCAGCCAACATTTATAAATAACCACAAATTGGCAAAATGCATTATTTTAATGAATAAAGGTAGATTTTACAAGCAAAAAAAAATGCTTCAAAAAAATCAATGAATCTAGGAGCTGATTTTTTGAAAAGATAAACAAACTTGATAGACCACTAACAAGACTAATAAAGAAGAAAAGAGAGAAGAATCAAATAGATGCAATAAAAAATGAAAAAGGGGATATCGCCACCAATCCCACAGAAATACAAACTACCATCAGAGAATACTATAAACATCTCTACGCAAATAAACTGGAGAATCTAGAAGAAATGGATAAATTCCTGGACACATACACCCTTCCAAGACTAAACCAGGAAGAAGTTGAATCTCTGAATAGACCAATAACAGGCTCTGAAATTAAGGCAATAATTAATAGTCTACAAACCAAAAAAAGTCCAGGACCAGATGGATTCACAGCCAAATTCTACCAGAGATACAAAGAGGAGCTGGTACCATTCCTTCTGAAACTATTCCAATCGATAGAAAAAGAGGGAATCCTCCCTAACTCATTTTATGAGGCCAGCATCATCCTGATACCAAAATCTGGCAGAGACACAACAAAAAAAGAGAATTTTAGACCAATATCCCTGATGAACATCGATGAGAAAATCCTCAATATAATACTGGCAAACCAAACCCAGGAGCACATCAAAAAGCTTATCCACCATGATCAAGTAGGCTTCATCCCTGGGATGCAAGTCTCGTTCAACATATGCAAATCAATAAACGTAATCCATCACATAAACAGAATCAAAGACAAAAACCACATGATTATCTCCATAGATGCAGAAAAGGCCTTTGACAAAATTCAGCAGCCTTCAGGCTAAAAACTCTCAATAAACTAGGTATTAATGGAATGTATCTCAAAGTAATAAGAGCTATTTATGACAAACCCACAGCCAATATCATACCGAATGGGCAAAAACTGGAAGCATTCCCTTTGAAAACTGGCACAAGACAAGGATACCCTCTCTCACCGTTCCTGTTCAACATAGTGCTGGAAGTTCTGGCCAGGGCAATCAGGCAAAAGAAAGAAATAAAGGGTATTCAATTAGGAAATGGGGAAGTCAAATTGTCCTTGTTTGCAGATGACATGATTGTGTATTTAGAAAACCCCATCTTCTCAGCCCAAAATCTCCTTAAGCTGATAAGCAACTTCAGCAAAGTCTCAGGATACAAAATCAATGTACAAAAGTCACAAGCATTCCTATACACCAATCACAGACAGAGAGCCAAATCATGAGTGAACTCCCATTCAGAATTGCTTCAAAGAGAATAAAATACCTAGGAATCCAACTTACAAGAGATATGAAGGACCTCTTCAAGGAGAGCTACATACCACTGCTCATTGAAATAAAAGAGGACACAAACAAATGGAAGAACATTCCATGCTCATGGTTAGGAAGGATCAATATCGTGAAAATGGCCATACTGACCAAGGTAATTTATAGATTCAATGCCATCCCCATCAAGCTACCAATGACTTTCTTCACAGACAGAAAAAACTACTTTAAAGTTCATATGGAACCAAAAGAGAGCCTGCATTGCCAAGACAATCCTAAGCCAAAAGAACAAAGCTGGAGGCATCATGCTATCTGACTTCAGACTATACTACAAGGCTACAGTCACCAAAACAGCATAGTACTGGTACCAAAACAGATATAGACCAATGGAACAGAAGAGAGGATTCAGAAATAGCACCACACATCTATAACCATCTGATCTTTGACAAACCTGACAAAAACAAGAAATGGGGAAAGGATTCCCTATTTAATAAATGGTGCTGGGGAAACTGGCTAGCCATATGTATAATGCTGAAACTGGATCCCTTCCTTATACCTTATACAAAAAATTAATTCAAGATGGATTAAAGACTTAAATGTTAGATGTTGATGGGTGCAGCAAACCAACATGGCACATGTATACCTATGTAACAAACCTGCACGTTGTGCACATGTACCCTAGAACTTAAAGTATAATAAAAATATAAAATAAAATAAAAAAGAAATAACAAAGATCAAAGCAGAAATAAATGGACTAGAGATTAGAAAAACAGTAGAAAAAACATCAGTGAAATTGATTTCTTGAAAAAAAAATGAAAATTGATGAACCCTTAGTTACACTAACTAGAAAAAAAGAGAAAAGATTCAAATAAATTTATCAGAAATGAAAGAAGAGACATTACAACTGACAACACAGAAATACAAAGGATTATAAGAAACTCTAATTATATTGTCAACAAACTGAAAAATCTACAAAAAATACATAAACTCCTAGACCCATGCAACCTAAGGCTGAAACATGAAGACAAAGAACATCTGAACAAACCAATAACAAGTAAGGATATTGAATCAGTAATAAAAAGTCTCCCATTAAGGGAAACTAAGAACCAAATTACTACACTGCTGAATTCTAGCATGCATTTAAAATCGAACTAATAACACTTTTTCTCAAACTATTCCAAAAATTCAAAGGATGGAATATTTCCTAATGCATTTTACAAGGCCAGCATTATGGTGATTCCAAAGCCAAAAAAAACAAAACACTTTCAGAAAAGAAAATTACAGGTCAATGTCCCTGAGGAACATATATACAAATATCCTCAAAAAATACTAACAAATTGAAGCCAATAGCTCATTAAAATGATTATTCACCATGATCAAGTGGGATTTATCACTGTGAGGCAAAAATGTTTCAACATAAAAATGTGGAACACCACATTTTAAAAGTGGATAATAAAAATAATATTATCATCTCAATAGATGTATACAGCACGTTTGACAACATTCAATATGCTTTCATGATTAAAAAAAAACTTTCAACAGATAAGGCATAGAGGAATGTACATTAACATAATAAGGGCCATATATTGCAAACCTATAGCTAACATCATTCTCAACAATGAAAAGTTGAAAGCTTTTCCTCTAAGATAAGGGAAAAGACCAAGAATTCTTACTCTCACCACTTCAACATAGTACTAGAAAATGTAGCCAGAGCAATCAGACAAGAGGAAAAAATGGAAGGCATCCTAATAAGAAAGGAAGAAGTTAAAATGTC
The DNA here is from genome assembly GCF_000001405.40 of Homo sapiens. Lineage (NCBI taxonomy): Eukaryota > Metazoa > Chordata > Mammalia > Primates > Hominidae > Homo > Homo sapiens. Next base: position 117,585,875 of record NC_000002.12, read on the forward strand.
TATATTTGCTAGTGACATAATCATATACATACAAAACACTAAAGACTACCTGAAACTCTTAGAACTGATAAATGAAGTCAGTAAATGCAGGCCCCAGAACCAATGTACAAAATTAGTATCATTTCTATACACTAGTAATAAACAATATAAAAAGAAAGTAAGAAAATCTCATTTACAATTAGAAAATTAAATATTTAGGTGTAATTTTAACCAAGGAGGTAAAAGACCTGTATACTGAAAGTTGTAATACACTGATGAAAGAAAAATGAAGAAAACATAAATAAATTGAAATGTATCCCATGTTTATGGATTAGAAAAATCAAAATCTTGAAAATGTCCATACTTCCCAAAGCAAACCACAGTCAATGCAATTGCTATCAAAATTCCAGGTGGGCGTGGTGGCTCATGCCTGTAATCTCAGCACTTTGGGAGGCCAAGGCAGGTGGATTGCCTGAGCTCGGGAGTTTGCAACCAGCCTGGGCAACACGATGAAACCCTGTCTCTACTAAAATACAAAAATGTAGCCAGTGTGCGCCCATAGTCCCAGCTACTTTGGAGGCAGAAATTGCAGTGAGCCGAGATTGTGCCACTGCACTCCAGCCTGGGCAACAGAGCGAGACTCCATCTCAAACGAACAAACAAAAGATTCCAATGTCATTTTTCACAGAAAACAAAATATATTCTGAAATTTATATGAAACAAAAAAAAACCCTGAATAACCAAACTTAACAAAAATAACAAAAATGGAGGCATCACATCCTTAGTTTTCAAGTCATATTATAAAGTGAATATAATCAAAACATCATTGTACTGGCATTTAAAAAGACACATAGACCAACAGAACAAGATAGAAATCCCAGAAATAAACACATGCATTTGTAGTCAATTCACTTTTTATAAAATTGCCGAGAACACACAATGGGACAAGGACGGTCTCTTCAATAAACAACGTTGGGAAAACTGAATATCCACATGCAGAAGAATAATATTGGACATTTGTCTCACATTATATTTTAAAAAACTCAAAAGAGATTAAAAACTTAAATATAAAACCTGAAACTACTAGAAAAAAAACATAGGGGAAAATTTCACAACAGTAGTTTGGGCAACAACTTTTTAAACATAATTCCAAAACCACAAGCAACAAAAGTAAAAATAGACAAATAGGATGACATCAAACTAAAAAGCATCTACATAGCAGAGGAAACAATCAACAACTCCCATTCTTCCATTTCTTCACTTTGTTGTGAAGCAATAACCCACAGAATGGGAGAATGGAATAAGGAATTAATAACCAATGTATATAAGAAACTTATGTAACTCAATAGCAAGAAAACAAATAACCCAAGTAAAAAATGGACAACCGACCTAAACAGATATTTCTCACAAGAAGACATACAAATGGCCAGGAGGTACATGAAAACATACTCAGCATCACTAATCATTAGAAAAATGCAAATTAAAACCACAATAAGGTATCATCTAACACCTGTTAGAATGGTGATTATCAAATGGGCGTTTATTAACCAAAGGATATAAAATTTCAGTTAGGAGGAGTGAGTTTTTGAGATATATTGGAAGCATGGTTACTATAGCTAATAATAATGTATATTTCTAAATTGCTAAGACAGCAAATTTCAAATGTCTTACCACAAAAATGATAAGTGAGGTGACGGATGTGTTAATTAGCTTGATTTAATAATTTCACACTGTATACTTATATCAAAACTTCGCACCACACTCCACGAATATATACACATTATTTGTCAATTATTATTTGTTAATTTGTCAATTATGATTTGTCAATTAAAAAAATTTTAAAAAATCTTGGTTGATTACTATCCATATAATCATATCAAATCAATTTTAAAAATAGTACACTTAATCTTAATGTTAAAATTATACCCAATTTGTCTCTGTTATATTTCTAAAGAAGCTATGTAACAAAAAAGTTAAAACTTAACAAGTTAATTGGAAACCCTACCCAATCACCCACTAGCAGTTACTTAAGTTACTTATATATATTGGTTATTAATTCCATATTAACAACTTATGGAGTTGTTATTCAGATTGCTGTAAAACTGAAATAATAATCTCACCTAATTGATGAGATTTTCTGAGGATCAAATAAAATGACATATATGATGGCATTTGGAAACTCCAAAGGCCAATAAAAATGTCCATTGTTTTTATTATTAGCATTACTATATTTAGTCTATAGACAGGCAGATGCTGACTGGAAAATAATTCTGGTAATAGTATTCCAATGAACCAGTCTTTAGTGAGCATAGGTATTTCCATCTTGTGAATGTCACTGTTGTGACTAATGTCTAGTATAATAGCAAGGATGCTGCCAAAAAAGCTGTGTGCTCTGAAGGGCAATCTCAGTACCCACTCTGCAAAGCATAGAGACTGCATCCCTCAGGATAACTCCACCCCAGATGTGCACAAAGTTAGGAAGCATATTTCATGACTATTATGGGGGAAAATGTTGTGATATGGTTTTATAATGTCTTTAGAAGAAAAACCTCAAAAAATGAATATTATCTGAAAATAGAAAACTCATTTGCTGTGAAATTAAATATCACACTCTTCATATTGCAAAGCAGTAAATTGAAATTTTTCTCCATTGGAAATGAGAAAAATAGAGTGAGATTAACTGTGCTTTTAAAGTTTGAGTAAAACATGTAATTCTTTGTGACAAATCCTAGCAGAAATAACCTTTTTTAATCTAGATGGTTGTAAAAGGCCATATCTTTGTTTTCAGAGCTGTCTTGAGTGTGTCCCCTGATTTTGTGAAACAAATGCATAAAATCAGCTCCCTATTTCATTCTTCTCCTCAATCACTATGACTTTTTATCATTACGTCTGTCTCTCCCTTGACACATACTTCTCCTTTTCTGACTGTCCTGTACATTTAGACCACAGCTGCAAAAATAGATATCATCCAAGTATTTGTGCACTAAGCCCTCTAGCCATTAGACCCAGTAATCACCCTTCTCAAATAGACTGTTGAAATCATACACAAGGCTGCTTATTACTGTTTTCATCAGTCAGTGGCCACAGTGTAAGCCCACCTGGCCACCTTTCTGTTGTTCTGTCATCCCCAGTAATGCACTGTACCTCCTTGAACTCATCTGGCTCTCCACTCCTACCTTACTTCCCACACTCTTCCCTTGTGTTCTCAGGAATTTCCACCAAAGAAGTTACATAAGCTGGCAAAGTTCATAAATGTACCAAATCACACAATAAAGATTTAAACTCAAACTTTCTGATTCCAAAGCACCAGACTCTTAAACACAACTCATTGTAGTCTTCATGTACAGCAAATTCTCCAGTCTCCCAAACGACTTCTCAGAGCAATCCCTGTACCTATTCTCCTTCACTGGAACTTGGCTTTTGCCAAATATGTAACTTTTTCTTGCCTAGGGAGCTATTGTTCTCTCCCATCTCAGGTACAACAGTTCTCTTTTCTCCCCATTGCCTTTCCAGACAATTAAGCCTGCTCCTTTAAAATGCAGGCCATTCACTGATATGATCTATTTTTTATTTTATTTTATTTTATTTTATTTTATTTATTTCCATAGGTTTTTGAGAAACAGGTGGTATTTGGCTACATGAGTTAGTTCTTTAGTAGTGATTTGTGAGATTTTGGTGCACTCGTCACCCAAGCAGTATACATTGTACCCAATTTTAGTCTTTTATCCATCACCCTCCCCAACACTTTCCCCCAAGTCCCCAAAATCCATTGTATCATTATTCAGTCTTTGCATCCTCATAGCTTAGCTCCTACTTACAAGTGAGAAGATACCGTGTTTGGTGTTCCATTCCTGAGTTACCTCGCTTAGAATAATGGTCTCCAATAACATCCACCTTGCTGTGAATGCCATTATTTTCTTCCTTTTTATGGCTGAATACTATTTCATGGTATTTTATATATATATATAAAATGATTTATTTATCCACTTGTTGATTGATGGGCATTTGGGCTAGTTTCATATTGTTGCAATTGTGAATTATGCTGCTGTAAACATGCATATGCAAGTATCTTTTTCATATAATGATTTCTTCTTCTCTGGGCACATACCCCGTAGTGGGATTGCTGGATCAAATGTTAGTTCTACTTTTAGTTCTTTAAGGAATCTCCACACTGTTTTCCATAGTGGTTGTACTAGTTTACATTCCCACCAGCAGTGTAAAAGTGTTCTCTTTTCACTGCATCCCCGCCAAAGGCTATTATTATTATTTTTTTATGGCCATTCTTGCAGGAATAATGCAGTATCACATTGTGGTTTTGACTTGCATTGCCCTAATCATTAGTGATGTTGAGCATTTTTCCATATGTTTGTTGGCCATTTGTATAACTTCTTCTGAGAATTTTCTATTCATGTCCTTAGTCATTTTTGATGTGATTGTTTGTTTTTTTATTGCTAATTTGTTTGAGTTCCTCACGGATTCTGGATATTAGTCCTTTGCTGGATATGAAAATTTTCTCCGACTCTGTGGATTATCTGTCTACTCTGCTGATTGTTTCCCTTGCTGTGCAGAAACTTTTTCGTTTAATTAAGTCCCACCTATTTATCATTGTTTTTGTTGCATTTTCTTTTGGGTTATTGGTCATGAAGTCTTTGCATAAGCAAATGTCTACAAGGGCTTTTACGATGTTATCTTCTAGAATTTTTATGGTTTCAGGTCTTAGATTTAACTCTTTGATCCATCTTGAGTTGATTTTTGTATAAGGTGAGAGATGAGAATCCAGTTTCATTCTTCTACGTTTGGCTTGCTGATTATCCCGCACCATTTGTTGAATAGGATGTTCTTTCCCACTTTATGTTTTTGTTTGCTTTATCAAAGATTAGTTGGCTATAAGTACTGCAGTTTATTTCTGGGTTCTCTATTTTTATTCTCTTGGTCTATGTGCCAGTTCATGTTATTTTGGTGACTATGGCCTTATAGTAAAGTTTGAAGTTAGGTAATATGATGCCTCCAGATTTGTTCTTTTTGCTTAGCTTTGCTTTGGCTATGCAGGCTCTTTTATGGTTCCATATGAATTTTAGAACTGTATTTTCTAGTTCTGTGAAGAATTATGGTGGTATTTTGATGGGAATCACATTGATTGCAGATTGCTTTTGGCAGCATGGTCATTTTCACAATATTGATTCTACCCTTCCATGAGCATGGGATGTGTTCCTATTTGTTTGTGTCACATATGATTTCTTTCAGCAGTGTTTTGTAGTTTTCCTTGTATAGGTCTTTCACCTCCTTGGTTAGGTATATTCCTAAGTTTGCTTTTTTGTTATTGTTGTTGTTTTGCAGCTATTGTAAAAGGGATTGAGTTATTGATTTGATTCTCAGCTTGGTCGCTATTTGTGTATAGGAGAGCTACTGATTTGTGTACATTAATTTTGTACTCTCAATCTTTGCTGAATACATTTATCAGTTCTAGGAGCTTTTTGGAGGAGTCCTTAGGGTTTTCTACGTATTTGTGTCATCAGCAAACAACAACAATCAACTATTTGACTTCCTCTTTACCAGTGTGGATGCTCTTTATTTCTTTCTCTTGTCTGATTGCTCTGGCTAAGACTTCCAGTACTATGTTGAATAGTAGTGGTGAGAGTGCACATTGTTGTTTCATTCCACTTCTCAAAGAGAATGCTTTAACTTCATTCAGTATTATGTTGGCTGTAGGTTTCTCATAGATGGCTTTCATTACATTAAGGTATGTCCCTTGTATGCCAATTTTGCTGAGGGTTTTAACCACAAAGGGATGCTGAATTTTGTCCAATGCTTTTTCTGCATGTATTGACATGACCATCGATCACTGCATCCCTGATATGAAACCCACTTGATCATGGTTGATTATCTTTTTGATATGCTGTTTGATTTGGTTAGCTAATATTTTGTTAAGGATTTTTGCATCTATATTCATCAAAGTTTTTTTTCTACATCCTTTCCTGGTTTTGGTATTAGGGGGATATTGGCTTCATAGAATGATTTAGGGAGGATTCCCTCTTTCTCTACCTTGTGGAATAGTGTCAGTAAGATTGGTATCAACTTTTCTTTGAATGTCTGATAGAATTCAGCTGTGAATCTGTCTGGTCCTGGAGTTTTTATGGTTGGCAGTTTTTTTATTCCCATTTCTATCTCGCTGCTTGTTATTGATCTGTTCAGGGTTTCTAATTCTTCCTGGGTTAAGCTAGAAGGGTTATATATTTCCAGGAATTTATCCATCTTCTCTAGATTTTCTAGTTTACACATGTAAAGTTGTTCACAGTAGCCTTGAATGATCTTTTGTATTTCTGTGGTGTTGATTGTAATGTCTCCTGTTTTGTTTCTAAATGAGCTTATTTTGGATCTTTTCTCTTCTTTTCTTGGTTAATCTTGCTAATGGTCTATCAATTTTATTTATCTTTTCAAAGACTCAGCTTTTTGTTTTATTTATCTTTCGTATTTTTTTTTCAATTTCATTTAGTTCTGCTCTGATCTTGGTTATTTCTTTTCTTCTGCTGGGTTTGGTTTTGGTCTATTTTTGTTTCTCTAGTTCTTTGAGGTGTGACTTGAGATTTTCTGTGCTCTTTCAGACTTCTTGAGGTAGGCATTTAAGGCTATGAACTTTCCTCTTAATACTACCTTTTCTGTATTCCAGAGGTTTTAATAGCTTGTGTCACTATTACTGTCCAGTTGTAGGAATTAATTTCCATCTAGATTTCATTGTTGACCCAAAGTTCATTCAGGAGCAGGTTTCTTAATTTCCATGTATTTGCATGGTTTTGAAGGTTCCTTTTGGAGTCGATTTTCAATTGTATTCCACTGGGGTCAGAAAGAGTACTTGATATAATTTCAATTTTCTTAAATTTATTGAGACTTGTTTTATGGCCTATCATATGGTCTATCTTGGAGAATGTTCCATGCCCTGAAAATAGAATGTGTATTCTGTGGTTGTTGGGTAGAATGTTCTGTAAATATCTGTTAAGTCCATTTGTTGTAGGTTATAGTTTAAATCCATTGTTTCTTTGTTGACTTTCCGTCTTGATGACCCGTCTAGTACTGTCAGTGGAGTATTGAAGTCCCCCCTATTATTGTGTTGCTATCTCATTTCTTATGTCTAGTAGTAATTGTTTTATACATTTGAGAGCTCCAGTGTTAGGTACATATATATATATGACTGTGATACTTTCCTGTTGGACAAGCCCTTTTATCATTATATAAGGTCTTTGTCTTTTTTAACTGCTGCTGTTTTAAAGTTTGTTTTGTCTGAGGTAAGAATAGCTACTCCTGCTCACTTTTGTACCCATTTGCATGGAATATCTTTTTCCACCCCTTTACCTTAAGTTTATGTGAGCTCTTACGTGTTACATGAGTCTCTTAAAGGCAGCAGATATTTTGTTGGTGAATTCTTTCCCATTCTGCCATTCTGTATCTTTTAAGTGGAGCATTTAAGCCATTTATATTTAAAATTAGTATTATTATGTGAGGTACTTTTCTATTAGTCTTGCTATTTGTTGCCTGAATATCTTGTTTGTTTGTTTTACTATGTTGTTGTTTTGGCTTTTGTTGCCATTGCTTTTGGTGTTTCAGACATGAAGTCCTTGCCCATGCCTATGTCCTGAATGATAATGCCTAGGTTTTCTTCTACGGTTTTTAGGGTTTTAGGTCTAACGTTTAAGTCTTTAATCCATCTTGAATTAATTTTTGTATAAGGTGTAAGGAAGGGATCCAGTTTCAGCTTTCTACATATGGCTAGCCAGTTTTCCCAGCACCATTTATTAAGTAGGGAATCCTTTCCCCATTGCTTGTTTTTCTCAGGTTTCTCAAAGATCAGATAGTTGTAGATATGCGGTGATGTTTCTGAGGGCTCTGTTCTGTTCCATTGATCTATATCTCTGTTTTGGTACCAGTACCATGCTGTTTTGGTTACTGTAGGCTTGTAGTATAGTTTGAAGTCAGGTAGTGTGATGCCTCCAGCTTTGTTCTTTTGGCTTAGGATTGACTTGGCGATGCGGGCTCTTTTTTGGTTCCATATGAACTTTAAAGTAGTTTTTTCCAATTCTGTGAAGAAAGTCATTGGTAGCTTAATGGGGATGGCATTGAATCTGTAAATTACCATGGGCAGTATGGCCATTTTCATATTGACTCTTCCTACTCATGAGCATGGAATGTTCTTCCACTTGTTTGTATCCTCTTTTATTTCATTGAACAGTGGTTTGTAGTTCTCCTTGAAGAGGTCCTTCACATCCCTTGTAAGTTGGATTCCTAGGTATTCTATTCTTTTTGAAGCAATTGTGAATGGGAGTTCACTCATGATTTGGCTCTCTGTTTGTCTGTTATTGGTGTATAAGAATGCTTGTGATTTTTGTACATTGATTTGTATCCTGAGACTTTGCTGAAGTTGCTTATCAGCTTAAGGAGATTTTGGGCTGAGACAATGGGGTTTTCTAGATATACAATCATGTCATCTGCAAACAGGGACAATTTGACTTCCTCTTTTCCTAATTGAATACCCTTTATTTCCTTCTCCTGCCTAATTGCCCTGGCCAGAACTTCCAACACTATGTTGAATAGGAGTGGTGAGAGAGGGCATCCCTGTCTTGTGCCAGTTTTCAAAGGGAATGCTTCCAGGTTTTGCCCATTCAGTATGATATTGGCTGTGGGTTTGTCATAGATAGCTCTTATTATTTTGAAATATGTCCCATCAATACCTAATTTATTGAGAGTTTTTAGCATGAAGGGTTGTTGAATTTTGTCAAAGGCCTTTTCTGCACCTATTGAGATAATCATGTGGTTTTTGTCTTTGGTTCTGTTTATACGCTGGATTAGATTTATTGATTTGCGTATATTGAACCAGCCTTGCTTCCCAGGGACGAAGCCCACTTGATCATGGTGGATAAGCTTTTTGATGTGCTGCTGGATTCAGTTTGCTAGTATTTTATTGAGGATTTTTGCATCAATGTTCATCAAGGATATTGGTCTAAAATTCTCTTTTTTTGTTGTGTCTCTGCCCAGCTTTGGTATCAGGATGATGCTGGCCTCATAAAATGAGTTAGGGAGGATTCCCTCTTTTTCTATTGATTGGAATAGTTTCAGAAGGAATGGTACCAGTTCCTCCTTGTACCTCTGGTAGAATTCGGCTGTGAATCCATCTGGTCCTGGACTCTTTTTGGTTGGTAAGCTATTGATTATTGCCACAATTTCAGATCCTGTTATTGGTCTATTCAGAGATTCAACTTCTTCCTAGTTTAGTTTTGGGAGGGTGTATGTGTCGAGGAATTTATCCATTTCTTCTAGGTTTTCTAGTTTATTTGCATAGAGGTGTTTGTAGTATTCTCTGATGTTAGTTTGTATTTCTGTGGGATCGGTGGTGTTATCCCCTTTATCATTTTTTATTGTGTCTATTTGATTTTTCTCTCTTTTTTTCTTCATTAGTCTTTCTAGTAGTCTATCAATTTTGTGGGGTCCTATGAAATGTATGCTTTAAGGGAGTTCTGTTTTTATGTATTTCAAGGATTTGTTTCAAGATTTAGAGATCCTTGTAGCAGTTCTTGTAGTGCTGGCTTGATAGTGGCATATTCTTTCAGCATTTATTTGTCTTAAAAAGACTGTATTTTTCCTTTATTTGTGAAGCTTAGTTTTGTTTGAAACGAAATTCTTGGCTGATAATTGTTTTGTTTGAGGGGGCTGAGTTAGGGCTCCAATTCCTTCTAGCTTATAGGGCTTCTGCTGAGAAATCTGTTGTTAATTTGATAGCTTTTTCTTTATAAATTACTTCATGCTTTTGCCTCACAGCTCTTAATATTTTTTCCTTCATCTTGACTTTAGATAACCTGATGACTATGTGCCTAGGCAAGGATCTTTTTGTGATGAATTTCCCAGATGTTATTTGAGCTTCTTGTATTTGGATGTCTAGATCTCTAGCAATGCCAGGAAAATTTTCCTTGATTATTCTCCCAAATATGTTTCTCAAACTTTTAGATTTCTCTTCTTCCTCAGGAATGCCAATTATCTTCAGGTTTGGTTGTTTAACATAATCCCAAACTTCTGGGAGTGTTTGTTCATTTTTTAAAAATTTTTTCTTTGTCTTTGTTGGATTGGGTTAATTTAAAAACCTGTCTTCAAGCTCTGAAGTTCTTTCTTCTGATTGTTCAGTTCTATTGCTGAGACTTTCCAGTGCATTATACATTTCTCTAAGTGTGACCTTGATTTCCAGAAGTTTTTGTTGCTCTTTATTTATGCTATTTCACTGAAGATTTTCCCCATCATATATTGTATCTCTTTTTAATTTTATTAAATTGGATTTCACCTTTCTCTAGTGCCTTCTTGATTAACTAAATCAACTTTCTAAATTCTTTTTCTGGCAAATCAGTGGATTTCTTATTGGTTTGGACCCATTTCTGGTGAGCTAGTGTGATTTTTGCCAGGTGTTAAAGAACCTTGTTTTGTCATATTACCAGAAGTGTTTTGTTTCCTTCTCATTTGGGTAGGCTATGTCAGAGGGAAGATCTGGAGCTCAAGCGCTGCTCTTCAGATTATTTTGTCCCACGGGGTACTCCCTTGATGTAGTATTCTCCCTCTTTTCTCAGGGTTGTGACTTCCTAAAAGCTGAATTATAGTGACTGTTATTTCTCTTCTGAATCTAGCCACCCAGTGGGGATCCTGGGTTCTGGGCTGGTACTTGGAGGTGTCTGCACAGTCCTGTGATGTGCAGCATCTGTGGGTCGCTCAGGTGTGGATAGCAGCACCTGCTCTAATGGAAGCGGTAGGGGAGTGAAAGGGACCCTGTAAGGGTTTTTAGTTGTATTATTGTTGTTTATTGTACCAGTTTTGTGCTGGTTGGCCTCCTGCCAGGAGGTGACGCTTTCAAGGGAGCAACAGCTGTGGTAGCATAGGAAGAATCAGGTGGTGAGCAGGGCCCTAGAACTCACAAGAGAATATGACCTTTGTCTTCAGCTACCAGGGTGGGTACAGAAAGGCCATCAGGTAGGGGTAGGGTTAGGCATGCCTGAACTCAGATTCTCCTTGGGCATGGCTTGCTGTGGCTGCTGTGGTAGATGGGGTTGTGGTTCCCAGGTCAATGGAGTTATATTCCCAGGAGGATTATGGCTGCCTCTGCTGTGTCATTCAGGTTGCCAGGGAAGTGAGGGAAAACCAGAAGTTACAGGCCTCATTCAGCTCCCATGCAACCCAAAATGCCGGTCTCACTCTCACTGTGCCCCGCACCACAATAGCAACAAGTTAGTTTCCAGGCAGTGGGTGAATAGGGCTGAGAAATTGCCCCAGGCTACCAGCCTCCTGGCAACTGAGAAAGCAAGCAGGGCTTTTAGGTAGGTTTCCCTCCTCCTTGCCTGCCTGTGTCTGGACTCCAGATTCACCCCCTCCTCTGAGTTCTGTCTAAGAAACTTCAAGCACTGTTGGAATTGGTACAAAGTTCAGCTGGAGGTTTCCTTCTGCCTGTTGTCTTAGTTCCTCTGGAAGCCCTCCCCAAGGACTCCTCTCAGCAAAGTCAGAAATGGCTTCCCTGGGGACCGAGAGAGCCCACAGGACACTTCCCACTGCTTTCTCTACCCCTGTATTTCTCTCAGCTCTCTAAATTATCTCAGCTCCAGGTAAGGTCAAATCCTTCTCTCATGATCTGAACCTTCAGGTTCCCCAGTGAGGGTGTGTGTTCAGAGGTAGACAATCACCCTTTCCCACTGTCACACTTTGGGCACTCACAGTATTTAGGCTGTCTTCCAGGTCCTATAGGAGCAATCTGCTTCCTTCAAACAGTGTGTGGATTTTCTTGGCTTTCCTGGTATCTTCCTGCAATAGTTCTTGGAGCAAAAGTTCATGATGTAAATCTCCACACACTGCTCTATCCATCCCAGTGGGAACTGTAACTTAGTCCTGCCTCCTATCCAGCATTTTCCTCTTGTCCACTGTTATAATCTATTTATACTTCTTACTACCATCATCTACAGGCTTGCTGAGGCCTGATGAGAAACAGAAAGCTGAAGAATATAGCTATGGCTGCAAGAATATACTTAAATGGTCATAGGATGAACCCTTGGGTGATGATGAGGTGCCTCCAGACTGACAGTATAAAAGACAGAGAAATGTGAATTCTGCATTCTTCTATCCTAGCAGCTCTTCATTCTGCAAGTTGTGGATGCTACTATGCCTCTATCATGGCTCCACGAGCAACTAGGAAAACATCAAGATTCCCCAAAATCTCCTTCACACTCTCAATTTCAAATATTTTCTTTGCTAATTCAACAGAAACCAAAGTGAAAATACCCTTAGCTAAATCCAAGGCTTCATTCTAGCCAACTTCAAACCCAAATCACCCACTGTGGATTGGCCTAGCTAGTCTACTAGCTCAGTGTCCCTCCTCATGCAAGTCCTGACATCATCCTGGACCACTTGCGTCCCTATCATACAAAAAACATAGAAAACTCCCAAAAGTCTCAATTTCTTGACCTTTTTATCTCCAGTGACCAACTCCTTCATCACTCCTCTAGCTCCTTTTTCTGCACACCATTACCAGAACAGTTGAGTGATGCCAGAAATAAGCAGATTTGTGATTTTATAAATTCACATTGACCAACTTCAAATGAGCCCTTAAAATGCCACCCTGCTGGACAATACTGCTACCCTGCACTGGTGAACGCATATTCCTACTCTTCACAATGGTTATAATGAACCTTTTCTAATTCCTTCAAATCCCTTCCCTCACTGCTTCACTCCACCTACCTGCTCACCCTCAAAAGATGACACAACCACCTACCCCATAAAGAAAAAAAAAGACCTGAGACAAAGACTTCCAGCTCCATCAGGTTGGTGCAAAAGTAATTGCTGTTTTTAACCGTTACTTTGAATGGCAAATTAAAACTTCAATACATCTACACTCCTCCTCTCAAAGATCAGCCTCTCTACCTATGCTTTGGATAGCATGTCCACTCTTTGTCTCAGGAACATCCTGCCATTGGTAATTTGTCTCTCTATTTCAGATATAATCACCATCTCACTCCAAACTAATCTTCTTCATCAACAGTTACATATCCTCAAGCCCAACCTAGCTCCTTCTCAAAGCTACCTTTGGCTCCACATTTTACTCTCATATCACCCTGACTCTTTCCCCTTCAAAACCAAATTCCTTGAAGGAGTTTTCTATTCTTAACTTTCTCTGTTTCCTCATTAGACACTCACTCCTGACTAACTTCCATAGAAATTTTAAGGGCTACACTGACTCCCATGTCACTAGAGTTCAATCTAACTGATGTTTTTCATAAATCAAATTACTATTACTTCACCTCCTCCAAAGTTTTATTCAATTATTCAAGTAATATTTAATGATCCCTTACAAGGTTCCTCCCACTATCCTAGGCCCTGCGATATATCAGTGAACAAAACAGAGCAAATTTCTGGCCTCCAGTATTTCAGCAGTATGGAGGAAGATAGACAATATACAAATAAAACAAAGAAATATATATTAAGTGTCATGAGAATGAAATATACTGAAGTGGGATAAATAGGTTAAAAAGAGCTCAGATTAGAGGGATATCATGCTACGTTATATAAAACATGTGAGCACAGACTTAAAGAAATTGAGAATTTCTGAAGGAATCAGGAGGAGAAATTTGAGCAGAAAGATGATATAATTTGAAATATTATAAAATGACATTCTGTCTGTTACTAGGAAGCCAATATGAAAGCAAATATTTCAGGGAGGAGAGAAGTATTTGGACCAGGATAAAGGGAATATAGTGAGAAGTGATCAGGTTCCTTGACATATTTCAAAAAAAAAAAAAAGCCCGCAGAATTTACTGATAGCAAATGCGTAAGAGATGGGAGAAGGAGAAAAAAGAGACAAGCACAACTCAAACCCGATCATTTCTCACTATGTTACTTTATCCTGGTCCAAATACTGATCTCCTTCCTGGAATATTTGCTTTCATATTGGCTTCCTAGTAGCAGACAGCTTCATGACTAAAATACCAACAGCAATGGCAACAAAAGCCAAAATAGACAAATGGGATCTAATTAAACTAAAGAGCTTCTGTGCAGCAAAAGAAACTACCATCAAAGTGAACAGGCAACCTACAGAATGGGAGAAAATTTTTGCAATCTACCCATTTGACAAAGGACTAATATCCCAGAATCTACAAAGAACTCAAACAAATTTACAAGAAAAAAACAAACAACCCCATCAAAAACTGGGCAAAGGATATGAACAGACACTTCTCAAAAGAAGACATTTATGCAACCAATAGACACATGAAAAAATGCTCATCATCACTGGTCACCAGAGAAATGCAAATCAAAACCACAATGAGATACTATCTCATGCCAATTAGAATGGCAATCATTAAAAAGTCAGGAAATAACAGATGCTGGAGAGGATGTGGAGAAATAGGAACGCTTTTACACTGTTGGGGGGAGTGTAAATTGGTTCAACCATTGTGGAAGACAGTGTGGCAATTCCTCAAGGATCTAGAACTAGAATTACCATTTGGCCCAGCAATCCTTTACTGGGTATATGCCAATACTGGGTATATACCCAAGGGATTATAAATCATGCTACTATAAAGACACATGCACACGTATGTTTATTGCAGCACTATTCACAATAACAAAGACTTGGAACCAACACAATGTCCATCAGTGACAGACTGGATAAAGAAAATGTGGCACATATACACCATGGGATACTATGCAGCCATAAAAAAGGATGAGTTCATGTCCTTTGCAGGGACATGGATGAAGCTGGAAACCATCATTCTCAGCAAACTATCACAAGGACAGAAAACCAAACACCGCATGTTCTCACTCATAGGTGGGAATTGAACAATGAGATCACTTGGACACAGGGCAGGAAAAATCACACACCGGAGCCTGCCAGTGGGTGGGGGGCTGGGGGAGGGATAGCATTAGGAGAAATACCTAATGTAAATGATGAGTTGATGGGTGCAGCAAACCAACATGGCACATGTATACCCGTGTATCAAACCTGCATGTTGTGTGCATGTACCCTAGAACTTAAAGTATAATATAAATAAGAATAAAAAAATTAATAAAAGAAGTGCTACTTATTGAGATGGGGAAAGTTGTAGGTGAAGTAGATTTCTTGAGGGGAGGTGAAATCAATTTTGGACAAGCAGGTTTATCACGTAGGCAAATCATTTATTAAATTGATTTAAAATCTGTATTTCACAAAGCCTGACTGGATATAAAGCCACAGGTGTTACCAGCATTTAATGGGGTTTAAAACTATGGGGCCAAAATGAGATTATATGGGGATTGAGTGTACCTAGAGAAAAGAGGAGTTCCCAGGACCCAGCCTCTGTGCATTCCAACATTTAAAGGTCAGGAAGACAAAGAATCTATGGAGCAGCAGCAGCCAGTAAGTGGGAGGAGAGCCAAAAGAGAGGTGAGAGCCACACCTCAAGGGAGAAAGTGTTTCAGAAGGGCAAGTCAAATAAAATGAGAAGGAAGAATTTATTTGGGTTTGTCTACATGAAGTCCTATGTAGCCTTGACAAGAGCAGGTTCAGAGTCCAAAGGAGTAACAGAGATAAAACCTGACTGGAGTAGATTCAAAATAGGAGTGAAGGAGGTAAAGTAAATTGTTTCTAATACTGAGAAGTATTACATCATATTTGTATGCTTATGGAAATCATCCAAGGGAGAGGGAAAAATGATGATGGGTGCTTGCTTTAAAAGCAAGAGCCAAAGAAAGGGAATGGGATACAAGGTGGACAAGGAGGAGCTGGTTTTAGCTAGGGGGAGGGAGGGTTAATCCATTTAACAGAACAAAAGGCATAATCCACAGGAAAACATTCAAGCGGGTTGGTCATCTTGGTAGTGGGAACATGTAAGGGTCTGTCCTTAATGGCTACATCCCTTTCACTCGGCTCTGTGCTGCATCCCCTCTGGTTCTCCTCTTATGTCTCTGGCAGCTCCTCTGCCTCATTTATTTCCTTCCTATCTGAAGAACAGAGGCTCTGCACAGGGTCTTCTCTTCTGCTTTCATAATTTCTCCATTGGTGATATTACCTTAGCAATGTTTTCAATGCCACCTAAATACTTTTGACTCCCAAATTTATGTCTCCAGCCCTAACATCTCCTCTAAGCTTCAGGCCCATACATTTAATTAGTTTCTTGATATCTCCACTTAAATATCTCACAAGCATCTCAAACCCAACATTTCAAAAATACAACAATCTCCTCCCCTAGAAACCCAGAACTCTTCCACAGAGTTTTAGGGAGCCATTCACTGAGTTCCAAAAAACCAGGAACCTATGAATGAGTCATCCTTGACATTTCCTTTACACCTTACACTTAAACCACTGCCATTTTCTATATGTCTCTAAATATCTCTTGAAAGGAGCCCCCTGCTTCTCTCCATCTCCCCCATGCCCACCCAAGTCCAGGCCACCAACACCCATGCCCAGATGCCCAGTATTCACGCCTGCCTTGCTCTGATTAATTCTCCTCACAGACAGCAAGGAGATATTTTCAAAATTCAAATCTAATCATATCCCCAGACTCATTTCTCCCATATCAAAACAATTCATCTAAAAAATTAGCCAATCTAAAAGCTTTAAAATAGCTTCAAGACCTGGCATGGTCTGGCCCTTCCTGACTCTGAGACATTCACACCCCTCCCCCACCTTCCCCTAACCCTCCACTTCGTGGACTGCTGCAGCCTTCTTCCTGACCCTCCAAAATCTCAGAACAGACATCTCTTCCTAGGGGAACCTTTCCTGATTCATTTTGGTCCCAAATTGCTCAAATGTTCTTCATGTACCTGCTCTCAGCAACCCATACCTCTCCTAGCATTTATCATAGTACTCTAATTTTACGTGTATTAAACTCTATGAGGGCAGAAACTTTGTCTTTCATTTTTTATTTTCCATTGTAGTATCCCCAGCATCCAGCACCTTTGTCACATGTAAGGAGTTTTCAATATTTCTATAAATATATGGATGATGGGTAGTTGTTCCAAATTCTAACAATTGATTAAAAAAAGGGGGAAGACACAGACACAAAAGTACAGTACCTAGAATGCACATAAAGGGTAAAACAATTTAGCCTCATCAAGACAGACAGCCACACAGAGCTAGGCATACAGGGTATTCCCAGCCTGTAGCAAGATAATATTGTTCAAAACTTTAGCACTTTTAGTATTGTTGAGAATGGTTCAATCAAGGAAAATTTGCTGGGAGATGGAAACTCTGTGGGATAGTTCTTATTCTGCCACTAGCCAGCTGTGTAATTTTTAACAAGGAATTTCATCTCTCTGGCTCTTCACTCTCATCTCTGTGAAAGAAGAAGGCTGACCCGAGACAGTTTCCAGGTCAGAATACTACACCACTTGTCATCATTGACAAATAACTCGTGTAAGCAGAACTGTGATAAAGGAAAGGCCTCTGTCCTCTGAGAGGAGGTAGGTTTGAGCTGGACCATGAAGGAAAACATCAGATGTGTTAAGGGCAGAAAAGAAGCACATTCTAGAAGGAGTACAGGGTGAGAACACACATGGTATTTTGAGTGATAATTAGTAATATACTAAGCTTAAGAAAGACCCTCCATCCGCACCTGCTCTATTCCTTGCTGCTGTGATGCCCAGAACCCTGTCAGCCCCTCCAGCTGGAAGCTCCTCTCGGCAACTCTCTCCTGGGGACCTCAGGCCACCCTGTTTGCAACAGCCTTGCTTCCATTCCCCACTGCAAACCTCCAGAAACATGAGAAGGCCAGGGCTACACATGGATCGTACATGTGTCAGTAACACTGACACACGGCCATGCTGCACGGGAGCACAGACAGATAACAGAGCAATCTCGGTCTCCAGGGTCCCATGGAAAATGCCAGGAATTTGATTTCCATTCCTCCAACACAGAAGCCAGCCTGCACCTGGAGGCTCCACAGAGGCTGTTTAATAAGACGTTTGTTTACTTCCTTCCTGCTACCTCTGACAATATAATCCTTTCTGATTCTTTCCATGATTTGACTCTAAATGAAAAAGTATGATCTCACAGTTGGGGGGCAGGCAAGGAGCCTGTGACACCACTGGTAATCTGCCAGCACTCCAGCATTCAATCTGCAGGGATGGAATGAAGGCAGAAAATAAGTCCCTGGCAAAAATAAGCACTCCTCTGTCTGGGGCAGATTGCAACCTTCCAGAGACAGTAGGGGTGGAGGGGGAGAATTAGGCGGGTACTTAATCTTACCCATTTTCCCTTTTAAAAAAATCTAAATGCCCACTTTAATAAATTACAGTTTTCAATGAGCTTGAGATAATTTTAAAGCATCTTTTAAAAAAAATTTACAATTAAATGATTAGTCTATATCAAACCTAACTAGAGAAATTAAGTATAATTATGAACTTGGAGGACAAATTCAAGGTCAAGAGTGGACAAGGAAAATGTATGGGAAGCCAGCGGATGGAGAAGGAGGATAAGCAGGAAGAAATAGGGTGTTCTTAGAAGGTTGTTCATTCTGTCTCTACATTCCTGACTGCATCAGCATTCCTCATAGAGTAGGAAAAGGGAGTTTACAGTGCTGGAAGGACACATGCCCACCCCCTTCCTACCCCACCCCACACTCTTTAGAATTCTGCAAGTGCAGACTTTTTGCTTGACTGAACTCCACTTGCTTCATTTCACTTCCCAGCCCGGCATGGACCAGCAAGTGTTATTTACCACATGATGTCACTGTTCTAATTATGGGGGATATATCAATCAACAAAACAAAGACGCTGCCTTCATAGACCCTCAATTCAAGGGGGGAAAGTTTGGATAGTTAACAATAAATACATATGTTAGTACCGAACGACATGGTGTGTTCGAAGGTGTTAAGGGCTATGGATAGGGTCACCAGAAAAATTGGTCCTCTAAACTGGGCTATTTTGGGGAATAAAAGGAGGCTGTCTTGATAATTATACAGGAGCAGCAGGTAGGAACAGTAGGTCTCCTGGACAAATGGGGATGCAGGGCTACACTAGCCTTGGGAAAGGGAGAAGGCGCACAGAGTGAGGAGGTTCTGAAATGTGGGGTAGGCAGAGAAATCTTTTGCAATTTTTAATAGAGTGCTTAGGATACACTTCTGGAGGAGGTGATGCCTTACCTATCTGAGCCCCAGTTCCCTCGACTGTAAAAGGAAGGGCTTAGCCTAAAATAGTTTCCGAGGTTAAACTCAGTTCTGACATTCTACAATCAATGCTCCCTCCAGGAGTGATGGGCCACACTCTTCTGTGGTCTGGTGTAAGAATGGAGAGAAGGGGGTGTTTGGAATTGTTGAGGAACTCGTCAGAAAAGCCTGACGATCACGCTCATGAGTTGCAAAAGCCACTGAATGTACGTCATTACAATTGCACGGGAAAACATCATCCTGCGGTCCAGGCAGCTACGTACTGACTCACAAATCCATGTGATGCCCACAATTCTTAAGAGACAAGGTGTCACCCACTTCCATGGTGATTATTGTTCCTCAGGTTGACCTGTTTGTCCTTGTCATGATGGTTTGTAAAGCCGTATTTTAAGAAGGGTTTGGGGGAGATATCAGAAGGGATGAAAAAAGTTCAAGGAGTTTGGAGGTAGTTCTCATATTGTGAGAAGAGGATATTCGATATTGAGCACAATCAGCTAGGTGTAACAGAAGAGCATCTAGATGAAAATGTCCAGTGACAGTGGACATGCAAGTGCTCAGGAAAGTGGCAAAAGTTCACTCAGTGCAAGGGGTAAGAGCACCAACTTCAAAGTCAGGCAAAACTGGGTTCTGATTAGCCACAATTGAACTTCTATAAGCCTCAATTTGCTTACTTGTTAAATGATGGCAATACCAATTTGACTTGGATTCACTAAATAGGTATAAAATGCTTAACGTCGTATCCAGCATATACTAGTGTTCAGCATGTGGGAGCGAGGCAGCTGCTATTGTCTTACTTATTGAGCTGTTGGCTTAGAAGTGATAGTTGACACTGTAAGTGTGACTGGATTCAGGGAAAGAGAAGGCATAATGAAGAGCAGAGGATTTTTAGCAACCTTGGAAAACTCTTACATTTTGGAAGAGAAGAAAGCAGCAGCACAAGAGACGGAGACAAGCACAGGGCAAGAGACTACAGTTGGCAGAAATGTAGGAAGATAATTTGGAGTAGTGATACTTCAGAGAAGGTGACAGGCATCTCAAATGCAGCAGAAAGAAAGAAAACCACTGTCAATCACCATTAACATGGGAAGTCTACCGGTAATGGAAAAGCTCGATAGATGGGACCATTCAAAAGAGAACTGATGAAAGCTATTTTGAAAAGTAGATTAACTCAATAAGTTCATTTATTCAAGAGGAATGTTGGTAAAAGAGAAAAAGGATACTAGCTATAGTTGTAATTTCTGTGTTTAAAGGCAATGGTGAAGGAGAGATTAAATGGGCCAGAGAAAGAAGAGTTAATTTTGGGAGCTGAGATCTGTAAGACACTGGAAGGGATGCGGTCCAGGGCCTCAGTGGAGAAGTTACAATCTTCTCAGACTCTGTTTTTCTTGCCTGCTCTGCAAACATCTAGAAATGGAATTGTTTACCCCCACGATACCAGAGGAGGCCATGGGAACCTTGTAATCCTAGGGAATGTTTGTTTCCTGGATGAATGTAGCAATTATTCATTCTTCAGGAGACCTTACCCTTACGTGTGGATCCAGTTCTCAAGGTTCTTTGGAATCCTCCCAGACAGATTCAAGACAAAGAAAGGAATCCTCCAAACCTGCCCCTGGCATATCCCCATATTTGGAGCTTTCACTCTGGCCAAGTTGGTCTTTCTATCAGAGAACAAGTTTAGCATAAACTTGGACACCCCATGCCTTTGCCCAAATCCATCTCTTTGACTGGGATGCCCTGCTGACCTTGTGCCAAACAAAATCCTTCAAGACTTACTGGAATGTCACCTGCTCTGGCAGTTTTCCCCACATGTCCCAGCCTAGAGTCATCTCACTCCTCTGAATTTGTCCTTAGAATGTATTGTCTTGTATTGATAGTGATGTTTTCCCATGTGCAAGGCTAAAACTACACACAGCTAGGAAACTTTTGGGGCCACAGAAGGACAACCATTTCTGAAGGCTCTTAGAGAGAATATTAAAAGTTGTGTGGCCTCCTTGGTTCATTTAAGACTTTGTGCCTGAGCCTGGATAGAAGGGATACCCAAATGGATGTTCAGGTCTCAGTTAGATGTTGAAATATCTTCTTCATCAATAACTTCAGCAACTACTATGACTGTAAAGTAAATTATCCCCCAAATTTAGTGACCTAAAAAATAACAACATTTATTTTGCTGATCAATCTGCAAGTTGGGTCAGGCCTCATGGGAAAAGTTTGTCTCCAGTTCAGTCTGTGATAGCTGGGGTAGCTTGAAGGCCAGAGCTAGAATTGTCTTCTGAGAGCTCACATACTCACAGTTTGGTGTCTGGGCTAGAGAGGTTCCAACAGCATGGGCTGGAAGAGCTTAGCCTCCTCAAGTGATTCTGTCTCACTGTGCTCTCTCCATGGGGTCTCTCCAGGCACCGGTGACTCAGCATTTAAGTCAGGGTGGTTGGACTTCTTACACATTGGCTCAGAAATCTCAAGGTGCACGTTCCAAGAATGAGTGAGCCAGGGCACAGAGGGAGGGAAAGACATCTGCATCTTGGTGATGAAGTTCAACATTACATTGTGAGAAGAGCAAATGGGATGGAATAGATAGAAGGTGAAGATTTTTAGAAAATATTATCTGCCACAACTACCTTTTATCTTTAGCCAACAATTGATCTCTCCTCTTCTGATTCCACTTCCACTTTAACTACATTCTGGTTCTTGCAGGTCTTGATCTTTGCTTCAGTGTCCTGCTGACAGGTTTAAGGTATAAAAGCTAAAACCTGGGGTTAGATTGAAGCAAACACTACTCTGTTTCTTGCTATTTGTGTAACTTTAGATAAATACTCTTTTTGATCTATATCTCTTACCTGGACAAAAGTGGGAGTGAAACTGCCTTCCCACATCATTGTTCTCAATCAATAATACCTTCTTTCCAATTCCTATTGGTCTTCCACCTGGTCCACAGAGACCAGATACCTCCCTTCTGTGCCTGTCCTTCTGGACAGCCCCTTCCCTAGGCTGTCCAGGCCTTGTGAGAAAACAAAATAAAGCCTCCAATAAATACATATAAGTAAAGTACATTCACTTCACTAGCACTGCCTGCTCATGATAAACTACTTAATCATGTGCTAATGGTGAGCAGTGACTTTCCTGATGCCAGACATTGGAGGCTCTGGGTGCCCTCTGTGCCCCAGTGTTAATTACTTCCTTGACTAACTCCAAGAGACACTTACTAAATTTTGAGACTCTCTGCCTATGAAGGGGCACACACAACTATGGCTGATGTCTCTTTCACTTTTTGAATTACAGAATAAAAATGCCAGCCAAGGTAGAAAGAAAGAGTCTTGCTGAGGCAGGGGAAAAAAATAGACAGCAATGCGTTGAACCAGGACCCATCATTTAGGGAGCAGTAGAAGCTGTGAGATGCAGAGGCTGTGAGATACAGCTCTGCCTAACCGCAAGAGCCAAGTAGACCTGAATTCCAGTGAATCCTCACCCTGCACTTAGAAATACTGTGGTCCTGGGCTGCCTACTTAGCTTCCCTCAGCCTCAATTTCATCTGTAAAATGGAGTTAGTGATACCTACCTCGTAGATTTGTTGTAATAGTGATATATTTTTTTTTTTGAGACAGCATCTCACTCTGTCACCTAGGCTGGAGTGCAGTGGCGTGATCACTGCTCATTGCAGCCTTGACCTCCCCAGGCTCAGGTGATCCTCCCACCTCAGCCTCCCAAGTAGCTGGGACTATAAGCATGTGTCACCACACTGGGCTAATTTTTGTATTTTTTGTAGAGACAGAGTTTCACCAGGCTGCCCAGGCTGGTCTCTAACTCTTGGATTCAAGCAATCCGCCCACCTCAGCCCAACACTTTGTAATTTCAACAAAGTGTTGGAATTACAGGCTTGAGCCATCGCACCCAGCAATAATCTTTCAATATGCCTGATAAAGTGTGAGCAGTAAACGCCAGATACCACTACTAGTACTGGTACTACTGTTATTATCATTACTCAAAATAAAACATCAGTCTGGTTTGAAAATACCTCATTATTATTTAGTACCCAAGGCAGCCAACATCAGACCAAGGCAAAGGTAAATAATGAGATAGCAGAAAGTGATGACCCTTGAATTTGCTTAGTGATCCTAGTAGTGATGTCAAGGCATTCCTGTCAATGTTCTCTGATTATTCACTTATCTTTCCTAAGCTTTGTCACTTGAAAAGTTCTCCAAATCAAAAACCATAAACTAAATTTGAATCCCAGCTTTATTGCACTTCCTATCTGTCTGACTTCAAACAAAATAAAAAACACTTTATTTGATTTCTTGTTCTATGAAGTAGAAATAATACCTATATCTCCTGCTTGTTTAAGAAATTGCATGTAATGCCAGGTATAGTGGCTCATGCCTGTAATTCCAGGACTTTGGGAAGCTGAGGCAGGAGGGTTGCTTGAGGCCAGGTGTTTGAGACCAGTCTGGTCAACATGCAAGACCCTTGTCTCTGCTAGAAATAAAAAATAAAATAAAATCAGCTGGGCATGGTGGAACATGCCTGTAGTCCCAGCCACTCGGGAGGCTGAGGCAGGAGGTGGGAGGGTGGCTTGAGCCCAGGAGTTCAGGCTACAGTGAGCCATAATTGTGCCACTGCATTTCAGCCTCGGCTACACAGTGCAAACCTGACTCTAAGAAAGAAAAAAGGAAGAAAGAAAGAGCAAAAAGGAAGAGAGAGAGAGAAAGAAAGAGAAAGAAAGAAAGAAAGAAAGAAAGAGAGAGAGAGAGAGAGAGAGAGAAAGAAAGAAAGAAGGGAAGGATGGAAGGAAGGAGAGAGAAAGAAAGAAAGAAGAAAGAAAAAGAAAGAAGAAAGAAAGAAAGAGAAAGAAAGAAAGAAAAAGGGAGGGAGGAAGGAAGGAAGGGAGCGAGGGAGGGACGGAAGGAGGGAGGAAAAAGAAAGAAAAAAGAGAAAGAAAGAAAGAAGGAAGGAAGGAAGGAAGGAAAGAAAGAGAAAGAAAGAAAGAAAGAAAGAAAGAAAGAAAGAAAGAAAGAAAGAAAAAGAAAAAGGAAGGAAGGAAGGAAGAAAGAAAGAAAGAAAGAAAGAAAGAAAGAAAGAAAGAAAGAAAGAAAAAGGAAGGAAGGAAGGAAGGAAGAAAGAAAGAAAGAAAGAAAGAAAGAAAGAAAGAAAGAAAGAAAGAAAGAAAGAAAGAGAAAGAAAGAGGGAGGTTGGGGGGAAGGGAGGGAGAAATAAAAGAGAAAAGGAAAGGAAAGAGTACGTGTAGCATTCCTAAAATGCCTGGTTTGCAGTAGAAGCAACACAAATATCAAGGTATACTATCTCCTTGAACTCAGGAAATAGTGAAGCTTCTTCAGCCTAGGGAGGAAACATGTCCTGCATTCTGCACCCTCCACATACTGCTGTTGCCCACACCAAGTACACATAGATACACACACTTACACACACATATACACACCACACACATATGCACACATTCTCAAACACTAGAATGGGTGTCGGTTCTTCTCCATTGTCCCTTAGGTGATCCCTCTAAACCATCTTGGAAAAGAAAGCAATACATACCTTGTATAAAACATAACATAGAGGAGATTGCTCTGACTCTGTCACTGTGGTCACAGTATATTTTCCACCATGCTTTGTGAATTATGGGCCATGTTTTCAGGCTGCTGAAGGATTCACAAACCCAAGATGATCATCACAATTTTCTGGGAACTTCTATAAGAACACATACTTGGGTCCCACCACAGATCCACTGAATCAGAATACATAGGGCTGGCATCCTGAGAGCTATATTTTTAAAAGATCCCTGTATGAGTCTAATGATCCACCAGATCCAAGAACTACTTGTGGCCGGGCGCAGTGGCTCACGCCTGTAATCCCAACACTTTGGGAGGCCGAGGCGGGCAGATCACGAGGTCAGGAGATCGAGACCATCCTGGCTAACACGGTGAAACCCCGTCTCTACTAAAAATACAAAAAATGAGCCGGGCGAGGTGGCAGGCGCCTGTAGTCCCAGCTACTCGAGAGGCTGAGGCAGGAGAATGGCGTGAACCCCAGGGGGCGGAGCTTGCAGTGAGCTGAGATCGCACCACTGCACTCCAGCCTGGGCAACAGCGAGACTCTGTCTCACAAAAAAAAAAAAAAAAAAAAAGAACTACTTGTATGATTCTCATAATCATTCTGCAAGCTGGCTGCTGATGGAATAATTAATGCATTTATAAGACGAGGAATATGAGTCGGAGTAAGATTTGGCCAAGCAACAAGCCAGTGAGTGGTAGAGACAGGTCTAAAATGGCTTTTGGACTCCTAGTCCACCCCTGCTGTTCACCAGCTGTGTGACTATGCATATGTTACTTAGATTCTCTGAGCTTTCATTTCCCTGTATATAAAATACATACTCCTAACCCCTATAGAAATGTGGTAATAAAACGAGGTGATGTGCGGAAACATAATTGCACACTTGGTATACAAATAAGAGATGCTGTCACAATTTAAATTCAGGGCTAGAACTTCTCTAGCAGTTAGGATCTCAGTTCCCCATACAGACAACCAGGTAGACTGCCTCTGTAACTGCAAAGTGCTGGTGTGCCTATCCTTATTCCCCGTCTTCTGTAACTGCCCCCAAAACACAGAGCCCCTCTAGCAGCCATATTTGTACAGTTTGATTCCTCTGGCCACCACTGATCAGACCAGGAGTGAACATTTGCCCCAGAGTGTCTTCTAGGAGAAACTAGAATTGGAAGCAATTGATAGTCCCACTGAGTGACTAGAATTTGTGATATGGTTTCTAATGTGGCCACTTTCCACGCATTTGTGGACTGAAGGGCTGAGAAAGCCTTCTGCTGAGAAAGAAGAAACAGCCACACAGCATGAGAAGCAACAATGACAGGGCCAAATAAAAGTACTCCGTATAGCTTTCCATTTTCTGGTTCCAGTCCATTCCTGAGACCTCCGTTCATTCCTTAAAACACTTCATTATCCTTATAATAAATTCCCATTTTGTGCCTCAAGCTAGTTCAAATGAGTTTCTCTTACTGTAATCCAAAAACAGCTCTAAGCCATGCAGGTCCCCCAATCACTTTAACAAATGCTTCTGCCGATGAGGGAGACAGTACACAAGATACAAGTCAAGGCCAGGTGCCTTTGCCCTTCAGCAGTTCTACAGAAGTCAGGTCTTTCTTTCTCCATCCATTTGTTTCCCTTGGGAAACAGCAGCTCCTCTGAGGTTTCCCATATCTAGGGAGAGGAGGTGGAATGTTCTTGCCATCTGCAATGATGAGGACCAACATGTCTGAAATCTTCTTTCAAAAACCTCCAGGGTGGCTTCTTGGCATCCTGCAGTTGTTAAGCAAATCCAAAGGCAGAGAAAATAACCAGGAAACCGTGTTGAAACTTATGTGACTTCATGAAAGGCAAATCTATTCTAACTTCTGTTGTGGGCTTGAAAGCCAGTATTTTCCAAATCCCTGATAAGAAAGCTAAGAGCCACATTTTCGGTTGATCTAGAGTGAGTGTCCTATGTAGTGGCATTTTTATATTGGTATCATTCCTGGATCCATTTTATATTCCTAACCTTGCCTTGACTTTTTTTTTCTTTCTTATTTCTAATATGTTATTTTGCTGCATTTTAAGACTCCTTAAATCCTTTCTGGAACAAGAAGCAATATAACAAAATAAAAACAGATTTCCCCTTTGTTACCAGAAGAATTCTTCCACTTTTATGTTACACATAGGCATGTAAAATGATGGATAGTCAGAAATAAAATATTTAGGTTCAGTGTTCCATCAGTCACCATGAGGCATTTATTGTGCACTTCTTATGTGCAAGGAACTGTAAGGACTACAAATAAGTGTAACAAACAGCAGAAAAGAGGCATAGTCCACAGACAGGGCATGCATCTACGAAAGAAAAAATATTCAGGAATGCAAGGCCATAAATAAAAGCAATCTTTGTAGACTGGGATGGGCAGAGAAACTGATGTGAAGGTGGGAGGGCTTCAGTTGGATGCTGAGGAATATAGAGAATTCTAATATGAGGAAAGATAAAGAAAACTTAGAGCACACGAAAGGAGAGAATTAAAGTCACAGAGAATGGCATAGTGTGGGGTTCCCAGACTTGAGCATTAAAATCACCTAGAGCCCAGGCAGCTGGGCCCAACCTCCAGAGTTCCTGATTCCACAGGTCTGGGGTGGGGCCTAGAAAGGTGCATTCCTCAACAAGCTCCCAGGTGATTCCCTTGCTACTTGCTAAGGACCCATATTCTGAAAAACACTGACTTAACAAAGAGAGTTCTCCACGCAGCACTGAAGACAGGAGTGGCCCCTCAGCCCAGGTGAGATGGAGGTTCCTGTCACAAGAAGAGAAGTGGGGAAGGTTTGCTGGGTTCACTGCATGCCGCCCTCTGTGCAGAGAACCGGCCCCACGTGTCCCTGTGTCTTCCTTTGAGCTGCTCAGGACCTCCCCTCCCAGCTTCTCTCTCTGTCTTTAACTAAATTGTTCACGATTTGCAGCCATATGAAGGAGCCACAGTATATTAGCATTTTATTTCATTGGCTTTGCTCCTTGAGAGAAATCCCAAACCCACCCCAAGCCCAAACCAAACCATTTCCTCAGACAGTTTCATTCAGCCTTGCCCTACCTGTTCTCTTCCTGGGAAAGCCTAACATCTCTAGCAAATCCGCACTTAACTCACACACTATGTGCCTCATCCGACTATGACCACTGCTCTGCCTCTGGCCCTCACAGCAGTTGGGAACCCTGGACACAATTATCTCAGGGTATGCAATGATGGGCCAAGGCAAGCCTTCCTGCCTGCCTCAGGTGCTGTATCTCTAGTTAGACTGAGGGACATGTGATAGACTTGGGGGTCAGACAGACCAGGGCTTAAATCCTCTCAGTCTATCACACTTGCTACTTTGGTGATTTTGCAAAACCTCTGGATAGCACAGCCTCAGTTTCACCATATTGTATAGAAGATAAAACAATGCCATCATTATTTTAGGAATTTGAGATAAATAACGGGGCCTGATATAACATGTGCCCAATAATGGAAGCAATTTTTGTGACTATCCCATTGTTTACGGCCATGTCTTCATTATCTAACAGGTATTCATTAACTGCCCTCTCTGTGTAATGCTTGATATGTATTTCATTTGGCAAGATAAGATGTATGCAAATGATTATGATACAAGACGTCATAAAGTTAGCACCATGCAATGGTAGGACAATCATTACAAAGCTCAAAGGACATTTCATCTGTGGTCCTCATGGCAAATTTCAAGAAAGTGGTGCAAACTTACAGTATGTGTATGAAGACTCTGCCAACAACTGCGGATAGCTTTCCAACTGGATGGACTGACAAGAGAAGTGGTCCTGAAGAAAGACTGTGAAATTTTGTCTGGCAGATGTGAGTATCTGGTGGGACTTCAGAGGTCCCTTGGGTCCCTAGAGGACGCTTGGGAGAAAGGCTACGGATGGGTCTGATCCAAGAGGGCTTCCAGGAGTGGACACTCATATCCATGCATACATATTCATATTCATGCAAACGCACACACACATTTCCAAACACACATACTCATTTCCATGCATACACACTCATATCCAAACACACACACTCATTTCCATGCATACACACTCATACCCATACACACACACACACGCACACTCATACCCCCCCACACACACACCCATACTCACATACACACACACATTCTTATTAAAGAATCAGGGCCTAGGAAATGCCAGTTGATGCAACACAAGAAATAATTTAAAATGTCTTGGGTGGTCGTCTCAGAGACAAGAACCCATGGTCAATATTACAAATTAATCAATCAGGAAGCATTACATGGGGCTATGCACAGCTCAGGTGCTCTATGTGACACAATTGGACTGGCCTCTAGGTTCCTAGGGAAAACTTTCTCTCCAACTAACATGTAACAGCCTTTCAAATCCTGCCTGTTGGTTAAGACACTGAAAGCCCTGATTAAACTTCAAGACTTGCTGTGTTTGATTCCCTGGGGAGCAGACGCTGAGATGGAGATGTGCATGCAGGAAGTTGATTAGGCAGAGCCCTCAGGCTCCACACCTGTGGAAGGAAGAGAAGGAATCAGAATGGGCAGAGGGACAATTTGGGCTGCACTGCAGGTGCAAAAAGCCCTCAGCTGATTCCAGGGGAGCTCTGAAGCTAAGCTGGCTCTTCAGAGTTGTCCCACATTGAAACATGGGGCTCAAGCTTTTATATGTCCCTGTTGGTCAGTCAACTGATGCCAGGAAATGAGGCAAGAGTTTGGGCCAGGTGGCTCCCTTTAGCCAAGACATTTCCCAAAGGTGGCTGAGGGCTGCCTGGCAGCAGTCTTCTCACCACTGGGGTGTAAATCCTCACTCTTGAGTGGGTAGCTGTAGAGCACAGCCAGCATTCCCTGCATGTGTTAATGTGCAACTGTACTGGCCCTTTACTCTGAATCTGCTTCACCAGGGCAAGGCCAGGCAATAAAGAGATACTGACTGGGAGAGTGAAAATGACAAGAAAGTTAATAGCAGGGACCCCCATCCAGGCAAAGCTCACCTGGGTCAGGTAAAATAGGGGACCCTGGACCACCAGGGGGAAACTGAGAGCAATAGGGCCCTGGCAGAGGAGCAGGCACAAAGCAAGAAGGAAAGAAGACCACCATAATTAACCTTCACCAAGACGGGTAACTTAGTCAAGGACTGTTATAATAAATAATAACGTATCTAGGATTGTTTGCATACCTACTATGCACCTAGCACTGAGTTTTTCAGAAACATCACACCTTAGGACACCTCAGCAAGATTAGTATTATGAAGCCCATTTTATAGAAGAAGAAACTGAGATTCAGAAAGAAGATTCCTGCCAAGATTACAGAGCCTGGGTGTGGCAGGCCCATGATTAAGTCTTCCTGACTCCAAATCCATGCTGTTCTCACCTCAGAGCACCATGACTTTCCAGAGTCCCAGTATTCCAACGAGGTGTGTCAGGGCTCATCATGGAGTTTAAAAAGAAGGCCCAACGCCCACCCTGGCTTCAGCAAAGAAGCCTCTGCTTGTAGAAAGAGATTCAGTCAACATTCCATTGCGGATGAGAAAGACAGATATGCAGGCACCACTCTGCTTCTGCCAGTACTGCCTGAATCTATGAAGGCTCTTCCTTGTGGACCACTTTCAGTCCAAGCATACAATGCAGCACAGTGGTTAAGATCATGTCCTCTGAGGTCAGACCACATGGGCTCAAATTCCTACCCAAGGAGCTCTGTGAACTTCAGCAATTATTTAACTTCCCTGTGCCTCAGTTTCCTCATCTGTAAAATTGAGGTTATAACAGAATTATCTTCTTAAGTTGTTGTGTAAATTAATTAACACATGTAAAATGCTTAGAATATTCAGCAAATACTAAGCACTATATGACTGTTGTTTGATTTGGATGTGGAGGGGAATGAGAATGGGATGCTAGTAATGACTCCAAGGTTTGGGGGAGTCTTCAGTGCACAGATGGTCTTTAATGCATAGGACGGAATGCATCCACTTAGGGATTGAGAAGAGACAGGGAAGAAGATAAGAAGATGTCAAACTGAGCCCTGGGACCATCCCGCCCCCCTCACCTTTAAAGGTCAAGAAGAGGACTGGGGTCTAGTACAGGAGAGTGAGGAGGGGAAAACCAATGGAATAGGGAAGTCAGTGTCCTAGAAGCCATGAGAAGAAAATGCTTTAAGAAAGTTGTGAACAACCTTCAAATGCTGCCACAAAACTGATTAGGTAAGATAATGAAGGAAAGCTGACCACTGGATTTGGAAATATGGTAGTATTGATAAGCTTGACAAGAGCATCTTGGTAGAGAGTCAGGGACAAGGTCCTGCTGTGCATTATTTCATGGAAAAGGAGGAGCCGAGGAAGCACTAATTACTCTTTGAAAAGCTTTGCTGTAAAGCCAAATCAGGTGGAAGTGGGAAGTGATTGAAGATAATAGAGAATTATTGAAGATGGAAGATATTAAGGTATGCTATAGGCTCATAAGAATGACCCAGGAGAAAAAAAAAAATGATAAAGTGAGAGAGAGAAGGGCTGATGGCTCAAGCAATGCCCTTGGGTAGGGGAGAATGGATGGGATCTAGAGTGCAAGGAGACAGGCCAGGTTCATTTGTACCTGAGGGAGGACAAGGATGGGAGCATAGGTACAGCAGGTGGTAGAGTGGGTGAAAAACATGGGGCCAGGAGTCTTTCCTAACACAATATTGATTATCTCTTCTAATCAGGAAACTGATGGCCCAAGACCTTAGGAGAGTTTCTAAATCATACAGCTGGTTAACAGCAAAACCACTCTTATTTCCCCTATGAAATTATCCTACCACATCTCAACCCCATTGAAAATGTGTGTTACTCTTCCTGCAACTGGCTGGATTGTTCCTTACAGACTCATGGTTGTTGTTTTATTTGTTTTGTTTTGTTTTTACTGATCCTGGGTTTCTCTTGAACTCTTTGGTCATCTGCCAGCACTAATGTAATGAGAAGTTTGGAATTGTGCCCTGAATTTCCACTTGCAGAGATTTTTAAATCTCCCATTGACCATTTCAGAGGAAGAAGTATGTAAATTTAAAAAAATAGGATCCATTGGGTCCACCTGACGTTTCTTCATGATGGGGGCAGGTAACCCCTGACTTGGGACTGCAGTGCCCAACAGAGTGTCCTCCCCACAATGGATGTTTGTGGAAATCTATTGAACAACTCAGTGAACCATTTATATTATAAGCTGCTGGAACTTCTGTAACTGAGCCAATTCTCTCTCAGGCCTAATATTCATTCCAGTGTTTCTACTGTGAATGCAGCACACCTAAGGGCTGGTCCTTTTCAGATTTGTTTCTAGGCTGACAATTGAACAATAATTCACAGTCATCTACAAAATTCACAGTAATTTCAAATTACATAGGCCCAATTATTGGTGCCAAGCCCCAGGGGTTAACTGCTAGGTTACCATCAGAAAACAACAAGTTTAACCACAGGATGGCTAAACCAGGGTATCATAAAGACCGAGTCAGAAGCCTATATGGTGTGTATATTCCATGTGGCCCTTGAAGGGACTTCTGCTTGGCACAATGGAGACCAGCTAGATATGGAGAAGTGACCAGGTACATTCCAATCTCTGTCTATTCATAGGTTCCTGAGCCATTCTTGACCTCAGAAGGCTACCTACTAATCCCTGCTATCATTTTAATTGGTTGTCAAGCTGTGAATTCTCTGCCAGACTTCCCCCAATGCAGGCAGCCCTTCTTTCCTCAGGAGTCTAGGGAGCACGTTACCTTCTACCCCTGCTCACAGGAATGTGGTAGTGCCCAGGGCAAGAGAGGGGCTCACACCTGCTGCATGAAAGAGGGTATAAATGAGGATTTGAATCACAACATCAGATTTTTTCATCTTCTGATTTAAATGTTAACCTTCAATGAAAACATTGCAATGGTCAGGAATTTAACAAATTATTAGAAGAAAACTAGAGGAGTAAACTTGAGTTCTTTCCTCTCAAAAGGAAGATGATGTCATGGAATAACCAGTGAGAGTAATCAATGGGATGTTGTCAGAGTACAACAATATTTGTCCATGAGGTGGCTTGTGCTCTCTGCCATAGACAATGCTGAGCTTTGGGAGCCACACAAAATTTAAACCTAATCACAGCCCCACCTTTACTAGCCATGTGACCTTAAGCCAGTCACGTAACCTCTCTAAGCCTCATATTCCTTGACTGTAAAATAGTATCTATACTCCAGAGTAGTTGGGAAGATTAAATGAGATAAACATACAAGAGGATCAGCCTGGAGCCTGCCCCCTTCTGGAAGCTCACTCATCCTGAGCTCTTTCCTCCACACCATGATGGGTGATGAGCCACCAGTCACTCAGGAAATGTTAAGAACTTTTAAATCACCTACTGTGCCCACATATGTAGCCAGCACTTCAGGTGGTGAATGTATACGTAAATGCATTTTCCTAATGTTTCTTTCTGGCCTATTCAATTCTTGATGTAGCATTTCAATTTAACAGGCCAAGCTAATGGGAGTAGCTGGTTAACACACAAAAATTAGTGAATATCATTTCCGATGTCTAAATGCTGAAGAAAAAATAATATTTGAGGCACATTCTACTTTTTGCTAAAGAATGGAGTAAAATCAGTGTGGATAACATTGGGGCATCTATTGCCCTGGGAATACATGCTAATTTAAAACAGAGAGGAACAGAAAGGGATGAGTGATCTGCGACACTCAAACATCTGGATCCGGTAAGAAATTTCAAATCTGACTGTTTGTATTTTAAACCTTAGGGCAGGAATGATGTCTTTTTTAATCCGTACAGCCCCAAGGATGCTGTTGGCGCTCCACAAGCTGAAATAAAATAGTATTATTTATAGTTTGCCATGTACATTTTGTCAAGCCTCTTGAGTCTGATACATCCAGTTGGGATGACTCCTAGCAGCTACTTAGACACTAATTTCTAAGGATATGACAGAGTTTTCTTCTCCTTTCTTTCCAGAACTGGTTGCTGTGGGCATCCTCCAAGTATAAAGAAATCACTCACCATCCAGGGAGCCCTCCTGAATTATCAGAGGAGCTGCCAGTACTCCCAGCCCACTTTCTCTCGCCATGAATCTCCGTTGGTTGCTCTTCTAATAGCCATCTAGAAAAAGGTTTATGCATGTCTCTCATTCCCATAATATAAAAATTGCTAAACTAACTTATTGTGTATAACAATTAAACTAATATGCAATATCTAATTACTAGGTAACATGTAACTGCGAGCAGACTATCATGGTTCAAATCCCAGCTCTGCCGCTTATCAGCTATATGACTAGCAAGTCTTCCAACACTTTGTGCTTCATTTCTTTACGGATAAAAGTGGGACTTTATTATTACTTATTTTACAGCGTGGTTATAAAGAGTTGAATGGATTAATACATGTATAACATATTTAGAACAGTTCCTGGCACACAGTAAGGACCATTGAAGTATTGGCTATTTTTGTAAGAGCTGAAAGACACAGCTAATGTTCAGTGCAAAGCAAAGCACCCAAAACCCATTTGTAACGAAATAATTTAGTTAACCATATCAGTCACAGAAAACTCAGCCACACAATCTCTCCATTTGGCTTCCTTCTCTGACAAAAATAATGTCATCAAAACAACTACTGTCTAACACAAACCCAATGATAGTTGTCAACTGTAATGTAAAAACTGCCCATTCAGAAACCTGCCTTACTCCATTTTGAAAAAGTTGAACACGAACAGCTAAGTTTGTTGGAAAAAAAGGAAAAAAAAAGAATGCCTGTGATACTAACTTTTGAGGTCAGTTTATTTGAGTGAAGCACAGTAAGGCACTCAGAGCAATTCACAGAAGGGACATCACAGAGGCACTGCCTCTTCCCCACTCACTCATCCTTGCGCTTCAGCCAGGCCTAACTACTCACCGCCCTCCAATACACGCGGTGTCCTGTGCCGGTCATTCTTGTAAGCGATGCTCCATCCACCTAAACAGCCCAATCTCTCCCTACCACCTTGTCCTCTCTGGAAACTCTATTCAATTTGACTCAACAAATTTCTCCTCAAAATATCCCCTGATTTCCAAGCAAATTTGATACCTCTCTGCTTTATATTCTACAAAGCTCATCCTTTGAATTGCTTTCTTACAGTTTATTCTTTTGTCTCTCATTGCTATTAAACACTGAGATTCTTGAAGGCAAGGATTGTCCCTGATGTTTTTTTACATCCCTAACTTCTAGAAAAATGAAAGGTATGTAATAGAAAAGTGATAACTGCTTGATATTTTCATTAATTCAAATATCGGTAGGGGGAAGCCTTTTTTAAAAAAGAAATTAGAAGCATACCTGTATGCATAAAACATAGATCACCACTTAACAATTTCCTGAGGTTTTGACCTGCCAAGAGACTTCCCCAAGTCTCAGATCACCTTATTAACAAAATAAAACAAAAATGGGAAACGGAAAAACTCCTGTGAAGTGAGAGGCTGAGAATTCCAATATACTAAAATGTGTCCTGGTTCTAACTTAGGAACCCATTTCAGAAAATCAGAAATATCAGTTAGACACTGTTTTGATTCCTTCATTAAAGCCCAGATGAAGGGAAATCACCATCTACAAGTGAATCCTTGCACAGAAGACAACACATGATCAGAGGCTCTAGCTGGTGCACATTGGCAATGGGAGAAGGAAGGAGCAGAGAATGAAATTAATTTTTCTAAATTATTAATCTAGGCTAATAGATTAAACTATTAATCTAGGAATTTCAAGACAAAAAATAATCAGTTCTATGATTTATTTCATTCTGTACCTATATCTCACCCTCCTTGTCCAAAGTAATTTTCTGCCCCAAAATAATAAAACATTCAATATTAGTCACTTTATTTGTGCCAGAAAATCAGACTCATGTACTATATTCATATCAGAAAGAAGCATATATTACAGGAGTTAATCAAACACACTATATAAAATTCATCCCAGCAGCCCTTTGTCAGATTCAAACCTGGGTAGAAGTCAGTTCAAGAGTGTATATCAAGAGTGACACCTATAGA
The DNA here is from genome assembly GCF_000001405.40 of Homo sapiens. Lineage (NCBI taxonomy): Eukaryota > Metazoa > Chordata > Mammalia > Primates > Hominidae > Homo > Homo sapiens. The sequence goes on from NC_000002.12 coordinate 117,621,550, forward strand.
TGTATTAAGAAATGTGTTTATCATCTCACAGTAGAGAAGTAGGCTACATTATTTTTCAGTTTCATACCAAGTACCCCTATTATACTTTCATTATTTAAAGCATTTATTTACCACATATTTGCCCTTCTTTCATCTGTTTTCTTTCTTAAAACTGAAGTCTAAAGTGTCCAGAATGTCAAACACACAATGCATTTACATTTAAGTCAAACTCGTTTTCATACACAAAACAAAAAGCAGAAAATTAATCAGCTTATCCATTTTAACACAGGAAGAATGGAATGTCTCACCAAAGTTAATCTGCCTAAAGATAAACACAGTAAAGAAAACTGAACGTGAAAAAACGAATTAATCAATCCAGTGACAACTTTGAGGTGCTTGGTGAAAATAGAAGTTACTTGGCAAACATCCTCTTCAAAGTCAAAACCTTCAATCAGAATAAAGCAAGGCAGAGTGTAATCTCAACAGCTCATAGTGTGTCACTCAAACCATAAAGTCCTATGCAATTGAATTACAACATAGAAAATAGATTAATTTTGTATTAGCACTCTCTACACTTGCTCCAAAAACAACATCCAGGGATCTTAAGTTCTCTGAATAAATTTGATTATATTTATCTGTCCTGGTCAGAGCCCTGTAGCAACTCAGAGTAGGTGGCTTCACTTCCCACATCACACCAATCTCACAGTACAAACAGGATCAGAGTTCTGTAAATAAATAATGTCTACACAATAGCATAAAAATAGTTGAAAACAAAAAGTTTCAACAGAAATTTTCATAAAATAATATAAAGTTATGGTTTTAGATCATTTTCTCCCACTGAATTAATTAAAATAAACTTTGGTTTTAAAAAAACAAGCACAAAAATAAACACAAAAACCCAATCTTCACTGGAAGCAATCAAAATCAAAGGTAAACACTACTACTATCAAGTGCTATCCCCAGTTAATAGAAATAAAGAGGAAGCTACAGACGGTGGCCCACATCTGTAATCCCAACATTTTGGGAGGTCCAGGCGAGAGGACTGCTTGAGCCCAGGAGTTCAGGGCCAGCCTCAGCAATGAAGTGAGATCTTATCTCTACAAGAAAAAAAAAAAAAGCCAGGCATGGTGGCATGATGTCTGTACTCCCAGCTACTCGGGAGGCTGAAGCAGGAGGACCCCTTGAGCCTAGGAGTTCAAGGCTGCAGTGAACTATGATCCCACCACTGCACTCCAGCCTAGGCAACAGAGCAAGACCCTGTCTCTTAAAAAAAAGAAAGGAAGGAAGGAAGGAAGGAGGGAAGGAGGGAGGGAGGGAGGAAGGAAAGAAAGACAGAAAGAAAGAAAGAAAGAAAGAAAGAAAGAAAGAAAGAAAGAAAGAAAGAAAGAAAGAAAAGAAAGAAAAGAAAGAAAGAAGATAGAAGAGAGGAGAGGAGAGAGAGGAAGGAAGGAAGTATTCATTTTTTAGTTCACGTATGGCCATGCAAAAACATTAAAGTCTAAAAATGCTGGAACGAACACACTGAAAACTAATCAATATATTTTCTGGCAGACAAAGAACATTAATAGTAACAATAGCATTACGTAGGAGAGAAAAAAATACACTAAATCTGAAAACTTTGGTTCTAGTTTATTTTCGTTTTAACCTGGATGGACTTGGAAAAGATGAAAATCTTTGAATAAACCTCTAACTTTGTATTTCCTTACCTGTAAAAAAGAGTTCATAGGGAGGAGCCAAGATGGCCACATAGGAACAGCTCCTGTCTGCAGCTCCCAGCGTGAGCGACGAAGAAGACGGGTGATTTCAGCATTTCCATCTGAGGTACCGGGTTCATCTCACCAGGGAGTGCCAGACAGCGGGTGCAGGTCAGTGGGTGCGCACCCCGTGCGCGAGCCGAAGCAGGGCGAGGCATTGCCTCACTCAGGAAGCCCAAGGGGTAAGGGAGTTCCCTTTCCTAGTCAAAGAAAGGGGTGTCGGACGGCACCTGGAAAATCGGGTCACTCCCACCTGAATACTGCGCTTTTCCGACAGGCTTAAAAAAGGCTCATCACGAGATTATGTCCTGCACCTGGCTCGGAGGGTCCTACGCCCACGGAGTCTCGCTGATTGCTAGCACAGCAGTCTGAGATCAAACTGCAAGGCGGCAGCGAGGCTGGGGGAGGGGCGCCCGCCATTGCCCAGGCTTGATTCGGTAAACAAAGCAGCCTGGAAGCTCCAACTGGGTGGAGCCCACCACAGCTCAAGGAGGCCTGCCTGCCTCTGTAGGCTCCACCTCTGGGGGCAGGGCACAGACAAACAAAAACACAGCAGTAACCTCTGCAGACTTCAATGTCCCTGTCTGACAGCTTTGAAGAGAGCAGTGGTTCTCCCAGCATGCAGCTGGAGATCTGAGAACGGGCAGACTGCCTCCTCAGGTGGGTCCCTGACCCCTGACCCCCGAGCAGCCTAACTGGGAGGCACCCCCCAGCAGGGGCACACTGACACCTCACACTGCAGGGTACTCCAAAAGACCTGCAGCTGAGGGTCCTCTCTGTTAGAAGGAAAACTAACAAACAGAAAGGACATCCACACCAAAAACCCATCTGTACATCACCATCATCAAAGACCAAAAGTAGATAAAACCACAAAGATTGGGAAAAAACAGAACAGAAAAACTGGAAACTCTAAAACGCAGAGCGCCTCTCCTCCTCCAAAGGAATGTAGTTCCTCACCAGCAACGGAACAAAGCTGGATGGAGAATGACTTTGATGAGCTGAGAGAAGAAGGCTTCAGACAATCAAATTACTCTGAGCTACGGAAGGACATTCAAACCAAAGGCAAAGAAGTTGAAAACTTTGAAAAAAATTTAGAAGAATGTAAAACTAGAATAACCAATACAGAGAAGTGCTTAAAGGAGCTGATGGAGCTGAAAACCAAGGCTCGAGAACTATGTGAAGAATGCAGAAGCCTCAGGAGCCGATGCAATCAACTGGAAGAAAGGGTATCAGTGATGGAAGATGAAATGAATGAAATGAAGCGAGAAGGGAAGTTTAGAGAAAAAAGAATAAAAAGAAATGAGCAAAGCCTCCAAGAAATATGGGACTATGTGAAAGACCAAATCTACGTCCGATTGGTGTACCTGAAAGTGACGGGGAGAATGGAACCAAGTTGGAAAACACTCTGCAGGATACTATCCAGGAGAACTTCCCCAATCTAGCAAGGCAGGCCAACGTTCAGATTCAGGAAATACAGAGAACACCACAAAGATACTCCTCGAGAAGAGCAACTCCAAGACACATAATTGTCAGATTCACCAAAGTTGAAATGAAGGAAAAAATGTTAAGGGCAGCCAGAGAGAAAGGTCGGGTTACCCTCAAAGGGAAGCCCATCAGACTAACAGCGGATCTCTCGGCAGAAACCCTACAAGCCAGAAGAGAGTGGGGGCCAATATTCAACATTCTTAAAGAAAAGAATTTTCAACCCAGAATTTCATATCCAGCCAAACTAAGCTTCATAAGTGAAGGAGAAATAAAATACTTTACAGACAAGCAAATGCTGAGAGATTTTGTCACCACCAGGCCTGCCCTAAAAGAGCTCCTGAAGGAAGTGCTAAACATGGAAAGGAACAACCGGTACCAGCCGCTGCAAAATCATGCCAAAATGTAAAGACCATCCAGACTAGGAAGAAACTGCATCAACTAATGAGCAAAATAACCAGCTAACATCATCATGACAGGATCAAATTCACACATAACAATATTAACTTTAAATGTAAATGGAATAAATGCTCCAATTAAAAGACACAGACTGGCAAACTGGATAAAGAGTCAACACCCATCAGTGTGCTGTATTGAGGAAACCCATCTCACGTGCAGAGACACACATAGGCTCACAATAAAAGGATGGAGGAAGATCTACCAAGCAAATGGAAAACAAAAAAAGGCAGGGGTTGCAATCCTAGTCTCTGATAAAACAGATTTGAAACCAATAAAGATCAAAAGAGACAAAGAAGGCCATTACATAATGGTAAAGGGATCAATTCAACAAGAAGAGCTAATTATCCTAAATATATATGCACCCAATACAGGAGCACCCAGATTCATAAAGCAAGTCCTGAGTGACCTACAAAGAGACTTAGACTCCCACACATTAATAATGGGAGACTTTAACACCCCACTGTCAACATTAGACAGATCAACGAGACAGAAAGTCAAGAAGGATACCCAGGAATTGAACTCAGCTCTGCACCAAGTGGACCTAATAGACATCTACAGAACTCTCCACCCCAAATCAACAGAATATACATTTTTTTCAGCACCACACCACACCTATTCCAAAATTGACCACATACTTGGAAGTAAGCTCTCCTCAGCAAATGTAAAAGAACTGAAATTATAACAAACTATCTCTCAGACCACAGTGCAATCAAACTAGAACTCAGGGTTAAGATTCTCACTCAAAACCACTCAACTACATGGAAACTGAACAACCTGCTCCTGAATGACTACTGGGTACATAACGAAATGAAGGCAGAAATAAAGATGTTCTTTGAAACCAACGAGAACAAAGACACAACATACCAGAATCTCTGGGACACATTCAAAGCAGTGTGTAGAGGGAAATTTATAGCACTAAATGCCCACAACAGAAAGCAGGAAAGATCCAAAATTGACACCCTAACATCACAATTAAAAGAACTAGAAAAGCAAGAGCAAACATATTCAAAAGCTAGCAGAAGGCAAGAAATAACTAAAATCAGAGCAGAACTGAAGGAAATAGAGACACAAAAAACCCTTCAAAAAATTAATGAATCCAGGAGCTGGTTTTTTGAAAGGATCAACAAAATTGATAGACCACTAGCAAGACTAATAAAGAAAAAAAGACAAAAGAATCAAATGGACACAATAAAAAATGATAAAGGGGATATCACCACCGATCCCACAGAAATACAAACTACCGTCAGAGAATACTACAAACACCTCTATACAAATAAACTAGAAAATCTAGAAGAAATGGATAAATTCCTCGACACATACACTCTCCCAAGACTAAACCAGGAAGAAGTTGAATCTCTGAATAGACCAATAACAGGAGCTGAAATTGTGGCAATAATCAATAGCTTACCAACCAAAAAGAGTCCAGGACCAGATGGATTCACAGCCGAATTCTACCAGAGGTACAAGGAGGAACTGGTACCATTCCTTCTGAAACTATTCCAATCAATAGAAAAAGGGAATCCTCCCTAACTCATTTTATGAGGCCAGCATCATTCTGATACCAAAGCCTGGCAGAGACACAACCAAAGAAGAGAATTTTAGACCAATATCCTTGATGAACATTGATGCAAAAATCCTCAATAAAATACTGGCAAACCAAATCCAGCAGCACATCAAAAAGATTATCCACCATGATCAAGTGGGCTTCATCCCTGGGATGCAAGGCTGGTTCAATATACGCAAATCAATAAATGTAATCCAGCATATAAACAGAGCCAAAGACAAAAACCACATGATTATGTCAATAGATGCAGAAAAGGCCTTTGACAAAATTCAACAACCCTTCATGCTAAAAACTCTCAATAAATTAGGTATTGATGGGATGTATTTCAAAATAATAAGAGCTATCTATGACAAACCCACAGCCGATATCATACTGAATGGGCAAAACCTGGAAGCATTCCCTTTGAAAACTGGCACAAGATAGGGATGCCCTCTCTCACCACTCCTATTCAACATAGTGTTGGAAGTTCTGGCCAGGGCAATTAGGCGGGAGAAGGAAATAAAGGGTATTCAATTAGGAAAAGAGGAAGTCAAATTGTCCCTGTTTGCAGACCACATGATTGTATATCTAGAAAACCCCATTGTCTCAGCCCAAAATCTCCTTAAGCTGATAAGCAACTTCAGCAAAGTCTCAGGATACAAAATCAATGTACAAAAATCACAAGCATTCTTATACACCAACAACAGACAAACAGAGAGCCAAATCATGAGTGAACTCCCATTCACAATTGCTTCAAAGAGAATAAAATACCTAGGAATCCAACTTACAAGGGATGTGAAGGACCTCTTCAGGGAGAACTACAAACCACTGCTCAAGGAAATAAAAGAGGATACAAACAAATGGAAGAACATTCCATGCTCATGGGTAGGAAGAATCAATATCGTGAAAGTGGCCATACTGCCCAAGGTAATTTACAGTTTCAATGCCATCCCCATCAAGATACCAATGCCTTTCTTCACAGAATTGGAAAAAACTACTTTAAAGTTCATATGGAACCAAAAAAGAGCCCGCATCGCCAAGTCAATCCTAAGCCAAAAGAACAAAGCTGGAGCCATCACACTACCTGACTTCAAACTATACTACAAGCCTACAGTAACCAAAACAGCATGGTACTCATACCAAAACAGAGATAATAGATCAATGGAACAGAACAGAGCCCTCAGAAATAACGCCGCATATCTACAACTATCTGATATTTGACAAACCTGAGAAAAACAAGCAATGGGGAAAGGATTCCCTATTTAATAAATGGTGCTGGGAAAACTGGCTAGCCATATGTAGAAAGCTGAAACTGGATCCCTTCCTTACAACTTATACAAAAATCAATTCAAGATGGATTAAAGACTTAAACGTTAGACCTAAAACCATAAAAACCCTAGAAGAAAACCTAGGCAATACCATTCAGGGCATAGGCATGGGCAAGGACTTCATGTCTAAAACACCAAAAGCAATGGCAACAAAAGACAAAATTGACAAATGGGATCTCATTAAACTAAAGAGCTTCTGCACAGCAAAAGAAACTACCATCAGAGTGAACAGGCAACCTACAAAATGGGAGAAAATTTTTGCAACCTACTCATCTGACAAAGAGCTAATATCCAGAATCTACAATGAACTCAAACAAATTTACAAGAAAAAAACAAACAACCCCATCAAAAAGTGGGCGAGGGACATGAACAGACACTTCTCAAAAGAAGACATTTATGTAGCCAAAAAACACATGAAAAAATGCTCATCATCACTGGCCATCAGAGAAATGCAAATCAAAACCACAATGAGATACCATCTCACACCACTTAGAATGGTGATCATTAAAAAGTCAGGAAACAACAGGTGCTGGAGAGGATGTGGAGAAATAGGAACACTTTTACACTGTTGGTGGGACTGTAAACTAGTTCAACCATTGTGGAAGTCATTGTGGCGATTCCTCAGGGATCTAGAACTAGAAATACCATTTGACCCAGCCATCCCATTACTGGGTATATACCCAAAGGACTATAAATCATGCTGCTATAAAGACACATGCACACGTATGTTTATTGTGGCACTATTCCCAATAGCAAAGACTTGGAACCAACCCAAATGTCCAACAATCATAGACTGGATTAAGAAAATATGGCACATATACACCATGGAATACTATGCAGCCATAAAAAATGATGAGTTCATGTCCTTTGTAGGGACATGGATGAAATTGGAAATCATCATTCTCAGTAAACTATCACAAGAACAAAAAACCAAACACCGCATATTCTCATTCATAGTGGGAATTGAACAATGAGATCACATGGACACAGGAAGGGGAACATCACACTCTGGAACTGTTGTGGGGTGGGGGGAGAGGGGAGGGATAGCATTAGGAGATATACCTAATGCTAGATGACGAGTTAGTGGGTGCAGCGCACCAGCATGGCACATGTATACATATGTAACTAACCTGCACAATGTGCACATGTACCCTAAAACTTAAAGTATAATAATAAAAGAAAGAAAAAAAAAAGTTCATAGCTGACCCCATTTAACTCTAAGGATATAAACAGCCTTAGAAGTCATCATCATCACCACCATCATATTCATTATTCCCTCACCACCACTACCATTAGATAAATTATGGTCTGAGTCTATTTACACAATGTTATTATTTGTTACTCAATTCAACATGAATGTCAAAGACTTAATGGCCTAATTTCATCTTTAAAACATGGCCTGGAAAAAATTAACAGTACTAAACATTTTTGGTTTGAGCTAGAATTTGTGTAAGAACAGGCACATTATATTGTCCAGTTGACCCCTGTACCAGATTTATATAGTAATATTCATTTATCTTTTCTTCCAATTACCAAAGTAATAGGATTAATTCATGAGTAGACAATTTGGAAACTTTTGAAAAATGTAAAGAAGAAAATTCATTCCCACCTCAACCAATACCATCACCCTGAAAAACAGTGCTGTTAGCAAGTTGATGTCATTGTTAATAGATTTTATTTCATTTTTGTGATGTTGGGAAGGATGTAAGAATTATACATATTTTCCAAGAGCTGCTTTTGGATTAACCAGTTATATTGTTGTTTTGTTTTATTTTCATTAAGCTGTGCTCTTGTGGCTGTAGAATATAAGTGACCTGAAGTGTTTAAATAAAACCTTTAACACAAGCTATATTCATTCTCAAATAAAAGAAGGTAAAGAGGCAAAGGATTCCAAGTGACTGAATCCGATTCCATTTTTATCTTGGAAACATAAAAATAAGCTACATGGTATTTTTAAATATACTCGCACTGAGAATTTAAAATTACAACCTCCAGTGGAAGTAAGGTATGTGCTCTAATAAGCAAGCTCTACAGAGCTGTTCCCGTGAAAGCACTCAGAACAAGGGTCATCAAGGATGCCACATGCCTGAGGTTGTCCCTTTTTGCCCATCCTTTTGATAAAAGTCACCCTCCCACTGGCAGCAGAAATCAAGATGTGGGGAAGAACCAGAGAGCAGGAGATGCTTTTGCAGACCATTGGAAACACCCAAGCATAAGGTCAGGCAAGCGTGAAGCAGGCTGACCCCTCAGAGTTGTCAGGCCTTCTCAGTGAGGCCTTCCCTGACCGTCCACATAGAGGCCCTCCTTGCTTGCATCCCCTTAGCTCCCTGTGCTTACTTCTGCGGAAGCATCCATTGCACTGAACCTGCACACACTTGCTTATATGGTCTCTATCCCCCTTCTCTGTATCTCTTACAAACACCCACCCCTCAAGAAAATCTGATGAGTAAATTAATGAACAAATGAAGTTTGCCTGTTTCATGGCTTTATCATAGCCATTCACAAAAATCAGTTCTATGTTAAATACACACACACACACACACACACATACAAGCTTTTTAAATCTTCAGAGAAATCCCTTGAGAAGATGCAAACATCATCCACCTGACTTCCCCAGAGTCCCAGCAATCACAACAGTCTCTCTCAATCTTCCTTCTTTTTCTCTCCGCAGGCTGCTTCTTTGCTCTCTCAAAATTCCAACCACCCTGCTGGCCCATTTGAGCATTATAGGAACTGCTCCAATCTTTTCTTAATGAATATCAATTTATGTTTGCTCCATATTCATTCCAAAGTTAAACTGATTACTTAGATCGGCACAACAAAAGTCCAGGCTCGGTAGCCTCCTGAGAGCAAAGAATCCCTCTTTCTCAGAGCAGCCTTGAGGGAAGGGTATAAATACCGAAACATTAATATTGTTATCCTTGTCACATAAAAAAAATGAATTAATGATTTCCTGGATCCTCTCTGAGGATGACCTCAATGCCTCCATCTTGTGATCTTTTCATCTTATTACCATTTCTTCCCTAAAGTCTTCCCTCCTTAGATTCAGGAACTGTCATCTGTAAGTAATGGGCCATGTACACAGACCCTGTTTCTGTGATATACACAGTTGGGGGAATATTTCCACCCCACCCCCGTGTCTCCACAGGGTGCTCAATGCCTGTGTGTCATCCCTAAGCAATTTTCATCAACTCGCTCAGAACTTGCCTGAGGAGAATGGGGGCTGGAGCGGAACTGTCTCTTTAATGGGATTTTAATGTGATCTTCGGCAAACTAATCTTATTTAGATATCATAGGAAGCCATGTAATCTCATCTGGGCACTCTTATTTCCTACAGAAAAAGGAAAGATTTATAATTCATTTTCAGCAACAGGAACACTTTAATAAAATCTGCTTCAGAAGGTTAAATGATCAGACAAACAGCTGCAGCCCCAAGACCCTATATCCATCTCATTGATTGGAGCAACCATGACAACAAAATGACCACTCCAAAAGTTGTTTAAATTAAATCTATGCTAAGAGCTTATGCTACTGTCATATGCCTCTTTTCTTGCCAGTGTTTTAGAGTCATGCACTTAAGTGTTGAGGGAGGGTATGATGAAATGAGGCAGTGACTGAGAGGACTGGGTCCCTGCCATAGTTCTGCTACCTGGAAACTGGTGCCACCTTGAATTTAAGCTTCGGTTTCATTACTAAAAATAATGAAGCAACTACCCAGATTAAGACCAATGGTAGGCTCATGAGCAGGTGCTCCTTCAGAACTGTATATTTCAAATGTCAGCCCAAAGCATGGATAGAGGAGAGGCTGGAGACCATCATGAAGCAAAAGCACAGAGGAGGAAGACAGAGGTGATTGTGCCATTCTCTCTATTATTGACTCTAGCAGTCCAGCTTCAGTCCAAGCATGTATAATTCACTGGGATTCTCATTCTGGGAAATGCAATCTTCTCCATCTCAGACAGAGATGTTTTAATGCCTCACAGATTGGCTTCCTAGAAACCCCTCTAAGCATTATATCCTTAATCCAGCCATGCCTACTTCAAAAAATGCACTGGAACATCTAGAAAATTACTATTCATCAAGTTGAACAAATTAGAAATCTGTGAGTTATCTCTACTCCAGACCTTTCTTCTGTATGTAAATTTCTCTTACTCCAAAGTTTGAGCTCCTTCCAAAAAAAATGGGGGCTTGTCCATCAGTCTCCCCATGCAGCTAGCACAGAACCTGGCATATAATAAAGATTTGTGCTGAATGAATGTTTGTTGGGCAAGATAATGAATCTATATGTCATGCCTATGAGCTACAGGTCCCGGGGGTCTGTAGATATTATCTTCTTTAGTTCTCACCCCCCAAAAAAACCCACAAAATAGGCATTGTTTCCTTTTTAGAGACTAATAAAACTAAAGCTTAGAAAATGTGATTTGTCCAACATGCAAGTTGACATTTAAATTCTGAATTCTCTGATTCCAAAGTTAGGTTTTTTTCATTGTATCATGATTTCTCATGAGTTTCTATATAAACTATGAGTTAGTATTAATATTAGTTGATCAAAAGTATAAGCCATTGGTTTCTTTTAAAAATAAGTTAGTTCTTAAACACTCTAAACTTGCTTAAACACCAGAAAGTAAACAATTAATTGTCAAGACTGAACCCCTTTGCTGGGGGATTAAATCAGTCATATCTGCTGAGGTGTCTTCTCCCCCAGATCTTGCTCTGTCGCCCAGGCTGGAGTGCAATGGCACACTCTTAGCTCACTGCAGCCTTGACCTCCTGGGCTCAAGCCATCCTACCACCTCAGCCTCCCTAGTCGTGGGGACTGCAGGTGTAAACCACCACACCCTGCTAATTTTTGTAATTTTTGTAGAGAAGGAGTTTCACTATGTTTCCCAGGTTTGTCTTGAAATCCTAGGCTCAAGCAATCCGCCCACCTCAGACTCCCAAAGTACTGGGATTTATAGGCATGAGCCTCCGCACCCAGCCTCATCTCAATTTTTCTAAGAAAAACCTTTGTCCAAGGGAGAGCCAACCTTGTATGAGGTAAATATGGGCCACCACCCACATATATGGTAAGATTTAAAGTAAACTTCTACTTGCTCTCAAAATATAGATACCACTCTGTCTTAGCTCAGGTCTCTAGAAACAGATTCTGAGGGGAGATTTGTAGGGAGTGTTAGGGAAGCATGTTCAGAAACAACACCTGTAAGGGAGTGAGGGAAGAAGGGCTGGGCAGAGAGAGGAGTCAAATCATGATGCTGTTGCAAGAGAGGCTTCAGCTGACCCTGCAGAGAGCTCTAGATCTCAGGGAGCCCTTCTGAGTTGTCCCCAGTTGAGGTCGGGAGGTTAGACCTTTATACCTCAGCACCCACCAGTGATAGATGCAGGTAGGTCCCTGGGAGGGGTATGAACTTGGTGAAGGGAGTTCCAGAAGAGCTTCACAACTTAGGGCCATCAACCGTTGACATTCTCAGCAACTGAGGAGTGAGTCTCTATAAAGGGGCTAAGGAAAGCAGGTCTGGGCAGTGTAGCATCACTACGTCACTATATACGGATTCACTTGCTTCGTCTGTAAGTTCACCCCATTTGGAAACAGCTCCTCTGGGATTCAGGCTGGCTCTGAAACTTCAGGAGGAAAGTTTGTGGGATGAACTACATCCCTGCTGCCCCAGCTGTTCTCAAAGTCACAAGTGGTGCTCATTGTCTCTTTTCTCCTGCTTATTCTAGATTTGCATCTCCACCAGTTAGCACTCAGCTGGTGCAGGTGGCTCATATAGTGAGGTGACTGAGACCTTGTCCCTGGAAGTTCTTAGCCCCTAGTCACCATGCCTTCCTCAAGCTCTGTGCTTAACTATTTATATCAAACTGGGCAGCTGTTTGCCAAGAGATGCCCCAGGGGCCGCCTGGGTGACAAATCATTTACCCTGTCCCCATCATAGAACAGCAGTTGTGCCTCCTCCTGAAATCACAGTCAATTATCCCTGCAAGGTAATAAATCTTTTATTTGCCCACTGCTTTCTTGACATGAGGAGCTCAAAGTAGGTAGGCAGCAACCTTAGACTAGAGCTTAATAAAACTCTCTCTGCATCCTCTTCTGGAAGCATTCCCTTTCTGAGAACCAAGACCTCTGGACTTCTAAAGTAAGAAGACAACCAGCATAAACTCTCAAAAAGGGTCACTAAGAGTGTCCATAAATAGGACCACTTCTACTCTACCCATTGTTTCTCAGACCTTTGTAATATTTCTAAGAGTTGTTTATTTAGAGCATAAGTTGCATCCTCCTAGTGATGCTGCAGCTGCATTGAAAGTTGTTACATCATTCTATCAAGCTGGAAGCTTCTGGGTGGTGTGCCATATGATATGAACAGAGAACCCCAAGATCATGTGTCCACTGCCTCACCTCCTTTGCTACAGTAATGTGAGCCCCTCATCTTGAGTAATATTGTCAGAATCCTTTGTCAATGGAGCATACAGGGTAAACGCTTAGATGCTAATGTTGGCTGAGGCATTGCATGCAGGAAAGGTAAACCCATACCCAGAATATACATTGATTCAGTCAAGACAAATCACTGCTCTTCCAGGGTGGAAAGATTCCAACATAATCAATTTCCCACCAAATGGCTGGTTGCCCTCCTCAAGAGATGATGCTATTGCAAGGGCTCAGGATGCATCTCTGTTGCAGGAAGTTTAAACACTCACCAGCAGTACAGTTAGATCAGACTTGGTGGAGGAAGCCCATGCTGGCTGACATCAACTAGCCATGAATTCTCTCTCTTTGCCTGTTTAGTGCCTCTTCTATGCTGGATGCTCACCAGTAGAGTTAATATGGCTTACAAAGATCACCCTGTGTGCCCACTCTGACAGTTCCATCCACAGGTCTTTACGTCCCCAGTTTTTCAGTCTTTCTTATTCTGGCCCCCTGACCTACCAGCCGAACATTCACCACCACCTAAGAAAATATAGATATACATATATATATATATATATATATATATATATATATATATATATATATATATACACACACACATATATATGTTCTTATGAAGGGCCAAGCATATTTCCAAACAAAGTGGATGATCAGGTGCCCACACCCAAATCGTTGCCCCTGAAAAGCTTTCCCATTTCTTCTATTTTCAGGGCAACCCCTGAATGGAATTAAAATGTAGCATTCATTCATTTTTAGCTGGCCCCCACATACTAAGCCAACCTATCTGTGAAAGAAACTTAGCCTTTCTCTCCTCTGTCAACTGATCCAAAGAGACCTTTTAAGTTACCATATGTAAGGGCTGAGGGAAAGGCATTGGTGCAATAAAGATGGATGACCCTAGGCCACTGGCTCATGCAGCTTACTTGAGCCCTCTGGCTCTGCTCATCCCCAAACCTGGATGTGCCACTTTTATCTCATAAAGCATTGCTGCTGAGCCTGCCCAGACTTATAACTTGACAAATAAGACAGAGCCCAGCCCTTAATGAGCAGCTCTGGCTACAGGCTCATTTGATGTCTCGTGTTCAGACATCCCATTTTTACCAGGGCCCCGCAGCATGCCAGACTTGTTTTTTGAATGCTACATACTACTCTGCTACAGATGGCATGGCCTTATTCCAGAATCCTCGGTATCTATATTTTGTTTCTCCTGTTGGGGCTTGTCATAAACTCTACATGGCACTTTCTCCCACCACAGTAACCTACAGTCTGTCCAATTTTATGGCTGAGGCAACGGGGCTGTTTGCACTGCAGGACAGACCTGCTGCAGAGCCCTTTCCTATTCTGAACCTATTCAGAGCTTATAACTCTCCATGTCAGCCAGTAAATAGGTCAGGTTGGCATTTCCAACTATGGAAAATGCTGCTTCCAAACTCCAAAGAGACCCAGAAAGTGTTAGTGGTGGGAGACATGTGATGAAATAATTTGTCTTTTACTTTCCATGGAATGTCCCAGCATGTGCCAGACCACTAGATACTAAACATTTCTGTTGTGACAGATCTATGAATCTCTATAGAGTTTTACCTTCCACCCTCTGAAGCATGTGTCTTACCAAACCCTCCAATATACTTGCTTCTTTTTGCTTATCCGGTGCAACTAACATGTTTTCTTCAATGTAGTAAACTAATATGGTGATTTTAAAAATGTTTAGATGATCTAGATCCCTTCAGATTATGTTATGTCAGAAGACATCTTCTAAATATATACTGTTATCTCCACCACAACCACCATGTGATATGGTTTGGCTGTGTCCCCAACCAAATCTCATCCTGAATTCCCATGTGTTGTGGGAGGGACCTGGTGGGAGGTAACTGAATCATGGGGGCAAGTCTTTCCCATGCTGTTTTCATGATAGTGAATAAATCTCATGAGATCTGATGGTTTTAAAAAGAGGAGTCCCCCTGCACATGCTCATTCTCTCTTTGCCTGCTGCCACCCATGTAAGACAGGACTTGCTTCTCCTTGCCTTCTGCCATGATTGTGAGGCTTCCCCAGCAACATGAAACTGTAAGCCCAATTAAACCTTTTTCTTTTGTAAATTGCACAGTCTCAGGTAGGCCTTTATCAGCGCCTTGAAAACAGGCTAATACAGTAAATTGGTACCAGTAGAGTGGGGTTGCTGAGAAGATACCCAAAAATGTGAAAGTAACTTTGAAACTGGATAACAGGCAGAGGTTGGAACATTTTGGAGGGCTCAGGAGAAGACAGGAAAATGTGGGAAAGTTTAGAACTTCCTAGATACTTGTTGAATGGCTTTGCCCAAAATGCTGATAGTGATATGGACAATAAGGTCCAGACTGAGGTGGTCTCAGATGTTGCTGATGAACTTGTTGGGAACTGGAGCAAAAGTGACTCTTGATATGTTTTAGCAAAGAGACTGCAGCATTTTGCCCCTGCCCTAGAGATTTGTGGAACTTTGAACTTGGGAAAGATATTTTAGGGTATCTTGCAGAAGAAATTTCTAAACAGCAAAGCATTCAAGAGGTGACTTGAGTGCTGTTAAAAAGCCTTCAGTTTTAAAAGGGAAACAGAGCACAAAAGTTTGAAAAATTTGCAACCTGAAAATGTGACAGAAAATCCCATTTTCTGAGGAGAAATTCAAGCTAGCTGCAGAAATTTGCATAAGTAACGAGGAGCCCAATGTTAATCCCCAAGACAATGGGAAAAATGTCTCCAGAGCATGTCAGAGGTCTTCACAGCAGCCCCTCTCATCACAGGCCTGGAGGCCTAGGAGGAAAATACAGTTTTGTCATCTGGGCCCAGGGTCCCCATACTGTGTGCAGCCTAGGGACTTGGTGCCCTGTGTCCCAGCTGCTACAGCCATGGCTGAAAGGGCTCAACAGAGAGCTCAGGCTATGGCTTCAGAGGGCACAAGCCCCAAGCCTTGGCAGCTTCTATGTGGTGTTGAGCCTGTGACTGCACAGAAGTCAAGAATTGAGGCTTGAGAACCTCCATCTAGATTTCAGAAGATGTGTGGAAACACCTGGATGTCCAGGCAGAAGTTTGCTGCAGGGGCAGGACTCTCATGGAGAACCTCTTCTAGGGCAGTGCAGGAGGGAAATTTGGGGTCAGAGCCCCCAACACAGAGTCCCTACTGGGGCACTACTTAGTGGAGCTGTGAGAAGAGGGCCACCCTCCTCCAGACCCCAGAATGGTAGATCCACTGACAGCTTGCACCATGTGCCTGGCAAAGCCTCAGACACTCAACACCAGCCAGTGAAAGGAGCCAGGAGGAAGGCTGTATCCTGCAAAGCTACAGGGGCAAAGCGGCTCTAGACCATGGGAACCCACCTTTTGCATCAGCGTGACCTGGATGTGAGACATAAAGTCAAAGATCACTTTGGAGTTTTAAGATTTGACTACCCCGCTGGATTTTGGACTTGCATGAAGACTGTAGCCCCTTTGTTTTGGCCAATTTCTCCCATTTGGAATGGCAGTATTTACCCAATGCCTATGCCCCCATCGTATGTAGGAAGTAACTAACCAGATTTTGATTTTACAGGATTATAAGTGGAAGAAACTTACCTTGTCTCAGGTAAGACTTTGGACTGTGGACTTTTGAGTTAATGCTGAAATGAGTTAAGACTTTGGGGGACTATTGGGGAGGGATGATTGGATTTGAAATGTGAGGGCATGAAATTTGGGAGGGGTTGGGGCAGAATGATGGTTTGCCTGTGTCCCGACCGAAATCTCATCTCAAATTCCCACATGTTGTGGGAGGGACCCAGTGGGAGGTAATTGAATCATGGGGGGCAAGTCTTTCCTGTGCTGTTCTCATGATAGTGAATAAGTCTCACAAGATCTGATGATTTTAAAAAGAGGAGTTCTCCTGCACAAGCTCATTCTCTCTTTGCCTGCTGCCATCCCTGTAAGACGTGACTTGCTCCTCCTTGCCTTCTGCCATAATTGTGAGGCTTCCCCAGCCACTGAAACTGTAAGTCAAATTGAACCTCTTTCTCATGTAAATTGCCTAGTCTCGGGTATGTCTTTATCAACAGTGTGAAAAAGGACTAATATAGCATGTGAATGAGAGCTATTTCTGAGTCTCCTTAATAGGCATGAAGAGTACATTTGCCAGGCAGATAGTTACATAATATGCCCCTGAAGCTATGCAAATGTATAGGACCCAGCAGAGCAGCTGCAATCAAGGTAACTGCTGGACTGGATTCAGAGTTTGCCATCTTTTGCCAAGATTCATCTGGTTTCAGTAGAGGCCGGCCACACAGGTGATCTAAGAAATGAGAACCAACATCCCTGTCTCCTTGAAGTCTTTCATGGTAACACCATTCTCTACCATTTCCTTTAGGATATGGTATCGTTTTCTATTATCATGTTTGGAAGAGGTAAAAAATTTCAAAGAGTCCCTCTTGGTCCCCCACTATAATAGATCTTTCCTCCATAGTCCAAGAAAGGAATATGAAATTTCTACCAATGGCCAGGTATGTCCACTCCAGTTACACATTCAGAGGACCAACGAAATGACCATTAGGTGAGTTCCTAGGCCCAATGTGAGATAAACTATGTCAGGACCCACCTATTATCTGTCCCCAACATGTGGCCACTCTAACAGGGAATCTTAATGATGTTTCTGTTCTTGTATCAATGTGAACTTTAACCCTGTATCTAAGAGTTCTCAAAATATCCAGATAGTTCCCTTTTCCTAGTATACAATGACCCAGGCAAACAGCTGTAGGTTTCTTTGGTGAATAACAGGTATATCATCATCATATACACTTTCCTACTGTAGACCTGACTTCTCCTTCATTCAATGAATTCAGGGGTTCAGAATTGGCTCACATCTACAAATGGCAAGTATTTGTGACATTTTATTTTTCAGGCTGCCTTCAGCCTCCTGATTATCCACCCTTGATTTATTTTGATTTATTTAGATTAAACCAAAGCCTTATTGGCTGCCCACCTCTCTTGTCCCTAGGGACACCATGTTCTATTAATCATCTCTATAGCACTCTGTGGGTTGTGCCCCCTGGCTGCCATTCCAACCCTGCCACTCATTACATTAATTCCACCCACTTTGCTTCTGATTAAGTGTCACCACCCAGACTGTTATTTCGGGATCTGATCATCCCCATTGCAGTCAAGGAGCTCAGTTCTGTAACAGCATCTTCTACTGTCAGTCCTGACAGCAAAGCACAGCCACCACTGGGCTCAGGGCTGCTGGTTGTCCTCTCCCCATTGCAGCTCATACTGCTTTGGAAAGTGGAGTGTCCTACAGGCCCTCCTAAAGATACAGTCAGGTTTCCTCCTTCAACAGTGTATTCACTCTAACATGCCCACTTTTTCTGAGGTTTTTTATTCTTTCTTCTATTGTCTGCCACAGCAATGCTGGCATTTCCACTTGCCATTGCTTCCTCTAAGCTTCCAAGAGTCATCCCAGCAGCTTGAGAGTACAGTCTCCCAGGGTTGTGTTCTATATCATAGGCGAGTTAAATCCTGTGTCACTGGAGAGGGCTCTCATTTAGATGAATTCTCCTTATCCAACTTTATGTTTTAACACTCCTTGATTCTGCTTCCTCAGGATCCAAACCCACATATGTATCCTGGCTCTGCAGGTATGTAATGGTTAAGTCCTGCAGCTCCTCTGGAAGAGTCCCTATTTTTTTCTCAGCAGAATCAGCACCCCATGGGCCAAGTTATGTTGCAGTTTGACAACATTTATTGGTCTAGCAGCCAAGAGGAGCAGTGGGGTTTCAACTCGAAGCCAGCACCTGGTATTGATCAGGTAGAGGCCTCTGCATTGTCTTCAAGCAAGGGGGGAATACCAGCCATTAATAGGAAGGAGAGAGCCAGCGAGTGCGGGGAGATGGGCAGATTTAAGCTTCTTGTGTGTGCTGGCCCAGATGTCACGATCCCAAGTCTCAGGGGCTCACTCAATCCAAACCAGCCTGTGCTTCAGGCTTTGGCACAGAAAATTTGACCAGACTTAGAATATACCCTTCTATGAAGTTCTAATACCCTAGGCCTGATCCTCTGCACTATGTGCTCTCCAGCTATGAACACTTAGAGTCTCTTTCTGTGCTGCCAAGGAGGCCTTCGCATTCTCCACTTCTCCCTAAATTAGTGATTAATCACTTTCAGCTTTTTATTTTTCATTGTCTTTCTCCAATGCATTGATAGTGTCAGCCATCTGATTCTACAGTACTTATATTCACTACTTCTCCTGTACCTGCCAAACATCTGATAAATTGCACAAGTTGATGTATTCCCTTCCACTGATGTCTTATTCCAGTTTTAAACATTCTACTTACTGCAGCCCAGGGAGTGACCTAGCATTGCTCATGGGCTCCTCCTTGCCAGCAAGCTAGTGGGTGATATAGCTCCAAAACCTCATTGGAGAGACTGCATCCTAGGAACACTTCTATCACCAACTGTGTTAGGTCAGAGGTTTTCATGCAGGAGTTTTGTTGTGTATGTTGAGAGTGGGATTGGTGGATCAGCAACACAACTTCATAAGGAATGGGGGAATCCAGTTGGGCAGAGAGAGAAGTTGAACTGCAATGCACTCATCACAGAAACTTTAGCCAAACTCACAGGGAACTCTGCAACTGCAAAGGGGGTGCCTTTCAGAGATTCCCCACGTACAGCAAGGGGCGCTGGTCTTTATAGCCTTTGTACTCCTATTTCACTAGTCATTGAACGTGCTTGGCCCCCAGGAAAAGGACACAAACTTGGGCAAGGCAGCCCTTGTGGTTCTTGGAGAGGGATGCAGCTGTGAGCCATCAGCAGCCAACACTGAGCAGCTGGAGAATGAATTCTTCCATGTGGAATAGAGAACCAGGGCAATGCACTGCCACATCCACCACACCTTCCTTTGCAGCAAAACATTGAAAAGTATTCTTCAAATGCAAAGGATGATGAAACAAGGCATTTGATGACTGATAACCATTAACACCCTAAATCACAGTGGTTTATGGTATTAAACCCAGCAAAGAACAAGGACCTAAGAGAGTCACCTGACAAATTTCCATGAGAAGAGAGATAAGGAACATTATGGGCCTTGTAGCAAAGTCTTTATTTAGAGTACTCCAGCATGGAGAGCTGCTCAGCCAAGGGATGGGTATGAAGAGCCCAGGGATCCCAGAAAGAAAAGGATAGGGAAGAAGAAGAGAAAGAGATAAACAAAAAAAAAAAAGAGGTAGGCAAGCTGTCCAACATGGCAAGCCTTGTAACAAGCTTTAAGTCTTTTCTCTTATATTACATATCCTCACTTATGGCCAAAAAAAATCCCTGAAGATTAGTATCCATGAATTTATTTCTCTTCTTGAGGGGATTCAGAAAAGAAAAGTAAACAAAACAAGTTTATTCTGCAAACAAATGTCTTATATGACTTACTCCCTGATGTATTGGGGCCAAACTTACTCCAGATAAACACTTCTTCATTTTTATGTGTTTCCATCACTTTGTGTATGTCAGTAAATCTTACTGGAACCCAGTTAGTTCCAGCTCTGGCAATGCAGGGACACAGGGGCTGCCCCGAGGGTCTTACCACCTAGGAGGAAAGATGCCACGTGAACAAATAAATGACAGCAGGTGAGGTAAGGGCTGCACCGGGTAAGCACACAGCCATGGGAGCAGAGGATTAGTGGGGACTTCTGTGCAGGGTGATGGAGGGAGAGCCCTGAGCCACAATGTGTATGGTAACTGAACCAACCAAGTTTGCTGGATAAATCTGCCACTTTCTGTTTTTCTTTCCACTCTGCTGTGTTGAGCCACTTCAAGAACAGTGCTACACTTGGCTTCAAACATCTCTTCTGAATATTTATTTCTAATATGGGAACATGAACACCTGAAGAGTATAATAAACCTTGCCAAATACAAGTGTTCTTTACATAAAATCCTAATATAAATAGCTTACCTCTATTTATGTATTTTCGATGACAATAATAATTTTTATTTAGTTCAACTCAGATCTCAAGTAACCCAAGTTGGGAAAATAAAGGAGACAGAAAACCCTGGACCTGTGAAATGAAAATTAAGGAAGATAAAATGGATGGCAGTACTAAATTAGAAATTTTTTTGTTACAGCTTTGGAAAAATCTGAAGCAATTAAACCTAAACCATATAGCTTCACTCCTGCACGTTTTAGATTGGCTGGAGCTAAAATACACATTAGAGCCTAACAGAGCCAGGTTCAAGTGTTCTACCATTTTCAAACACATTCTCGAATGAAACTTGAGAAAAGCTCTATGGAAATTTGCAAATATATGTTATTCAAAGGACAAGGTTTCTGTGTCAGCTAGGAAGCCCATCACCTGCAAGTAACAGAAATCAGACCAAATGATTTCAACAAATAAGTGTCTCTTTTTCCCTTAGCACATAGATGTAAGATAACTGCTGCAGCCCCTGCCATCAGGTCCTTATTCCCAGCAGAAGAGTGAAGGGTTGTACTAGCCAACCAATTCCTTTTTGTCAGAAAAGCAAACGATTCCCAAGAAGTGCCCAAGACAGAATTCTATATTCGTTCCTGTGCCAGAATTAGGCTCCATAGCCATCCACAATTACAAAGAAGTCTCAGGTAAAGAAAAATTGGTTGCCTGGTCTCTATATTGAGAGGTACTAAAGGAGAATCGGAAAGATAATGGGTTGGAAAAAGCCAATTAAGGATATTAGCCACGAATTTTATGGATTGTGTTGAGCCATGTAATATTATGGTAGAATTTTGAGAAACGCCTACTTAACTGTAGGCAACTAAGCTGTTTAAATAAAGGTTATAAAATGTTTTTCATTTCAAATATTCAAGCTATTGAACATCTCTAGGAACACAATGGGATCTTAGAGTATGAAAGTTTGTAGGAGGGACCAAACATATGTGTATTGTGTATATATATATAAATATATATATAATATTATATATATAATATATATAATATAATATATTATATATATAATATTATATATATAATATATAATATTATATATATAAATATTATATATATAAATATATATAATATTTATAAATAAAATATATATATATTATATATATAAATATATATAATATTATATATATATAATATTTATATATATATATATTCTGCATATTATGATATTTGGACATCTTTAAAAATCCTTTCCAGCTGGAGCGAGACTGCCCCTCCCAGAGCTAGCCAATTCTTAACGACAACAAAGAGCCCAACAAGGAATGTGCCTTTGCTCAGCAAACTAATCAACCAGAGCCAGATCTCTTCTGTCTATCTGGCTCATGCACCCCTTGAGACAATACTCCTCTACCTTAATCATCCCAAAGCTACCAGGGGCCACCCATATAGCTTAGAGCCCACTGCAAGTATTCAAGCTAGTCAGTCCTAAACTGTTCACCGTGCCCTGCCTTGCTTTTCCCACAGTAACCCCAATGAAGGCTCTGCCCTAATGCTTTCTCCTGGCTCCTGTCTTCTACCTCCTGAACACCCTTGTGTCTTTCCCATGTGTCCCTGACTGGCAGGCCATGCCTCCTGTCTTTAGGACCCATAAGTATGATAGACTTGGTTTTCCTGAGCTTTTCCTCTGTCTCCCCTTGTGGCCACACCTGACTGACCATCTCATAACAGAATACAAACCGATACAGAAAAGAATTACCAACTCTGGGGATATATACATAATGCATTATAAAAATTAAGTGGCTTAATCATAAAATTGCTAGAGAGAGACCCTAAACCATTTCTAGAGAAATAGGGAAAGCAAATGGAATTAATTGTACATTATCAAGCAATGCTACTTTGTACAAAACTTTCTGGTCATAAGACTCTATCCTAACGGAACTGGAGCCCAGAGATATTAATATCAAGTTTAAGCCTTATAAGGTAAACTTATTACTGTGCTGCGTTTGAATTCTGCTGCAAATATAGTATTTTAATTACAAGGAGAATGATTGGCTTTTAGCAGTATGCATTGTAAGAATTGATGAGCTAGCACATGCCTTGGCTGCACCAATGCCTGCTGCTGCTCTTGGTGAGAGTCATTAACCACATGCACATAGCCCCCAAAAAAGTGAAACTCCTTCTGCGATGCCTTAGAAAGCTCTCCCAGAATGCTTTCTGAGACAGCTTGAATAATAAGACACACACCTGGACCTATGTAGTTGCAGTCACACCTGCTAGAATCTGCAGCCAGAACTACTGTTCTCTGACTGCATCGGTCTGACTGACCCATGGCAACTCAGTGACTCATGGAAGCCTAGACAATGTCAATCCATTTCCATCAATCACCAGGATTTGCCTTACACTGTCTAGATTTATGAAAGCTTTAACCCTTGACTTTGCTCATTTAATATTGCCCCCAAGCAATTTTAAAGCTTTATTTTGTTTTCTCAGCAATATTCCCACTTGTTTAAAGCACTGCTTCCCAAAGTCTCTGTGGATAAGGACTGATTATTTATTTGTTTTGAGTCTACCTTGGACTGATACATGGTCCTACTAAACACAAATAGACACACACCACATGAACTCAACAACATCCATGCTGGTGCATATCCCATTTAACGAGACGAGTCCACTGGTCATGCACATGGACATCAGCAACATCACATCACTGTGAAAGTTTCTAAACACTCAATTTCTGTATGCATCTCATGTGAACAAACAGGTCACATAATGGCCCAGGGAGTAGCACTGGTTTACAGAAAAGGAACCCACTTATAGTTTCTCTTCAGAACTGTCATTTGGTCTTTAACCAGATAACAATAATGAGATCATTGACATTCCCTTAATTTTGTCTATTGGATCCATTTTTTTGTTTTATGAACACTAAAATATCTCTGAAGCTTTCCTCTTAAGAGCAGCCTCTTAAAACTTTTAAATTCTTCATCTTTTAATTTTCTTACACTCAAATATAACCCCTCAGAGTAGTGAAAGAATCTCCTAACTCTATCTACACAAAGAATATTCCAGAATTATGATTAACCACCAATCCACTGAGACTCTCTATTAGTTAGCAGCTTCCAAAGAGGAAACTTGTTGATACAAACCAAAGGCTGACTGAATATTATGGGTGTATGGATCAATTCATACAGCTGTAAAAAGCATTCTGATGCAGGTTCTGTAGATAATTTGCAATTGGAAATCCATTAGCAGCATAAATGGAGATGAATAATGTTAAAATGCGCTGACCAGGCGTGTCAAAATAAGGATGTGACATGCATTCAGAAAGTGAGGAAAAATACTTGCTGTAAAGCGATTGGATTTTTTTCTCCCCTCTACTAAAAGAAATTGAAGATAATTTAAATTGTCCTGAGACAAATCTGTTAACAGGGATACTAAAAAGATGAATGAAAGTAGAGAAAGAAGTATATGGTATTAACAACAGGAGCTTAAAAAAAGGAGTGTGAATGTTCAGGCTACAAATAAGCATCCCATACATTTCAGAGGCGGTTTCAACCAGGACTCAGGAATAAGTACAAAGTGAAATACTAATATTGAAAAACCAGGCTAAGCCAAAGGAATGGACAAAAATAATAGTGTCCCATTACCAGAATTAAAATTTGTTCAGAAAGATGTTGAGTTAAAATTTGTTTTCCTTCCAAAGAATGTTATATAATTAGAATGAGGGTATGTTTGCCATATCTGTACCCATGATTGTTCTCTGGTGATCCCATCAAGGAAGAAAGATGCTGGGTAGAACTGCAATATTGTGCATTAGGGAAGTGACATTCATACTGCTGTCTTCATTTCAATTCTTTCTGTGACACTTACCGTTCTGGGAATCTGATTTTCACATCATAATATGAATATTCAAAATACTACTTTACATATCACATATGGTTTGGATTTGAGTGATTTCTTCCCAAGCTGGAGGGATTTCTCTCAAGCAAATCTATGTATTTTCTTTTAAACATTTTTACTGTTTAGAAATGTTTAGAAAGAAATTCTAAGTATCCTGAGGAAAAGTCTCAAATAGATATGAACATTTTTTTCCCCTCTCAGATTTTTGAAATAGCCAATCTAATTTTTTCCAAACTTTGAAAATTAATTCACTTAAGCCTATGGGTACTATATAATGTGTTATTAAAATAATGCTATAATTCAGTTAATTAACTCAAATGCTCAGAGCATGAGAGATTCTAGTTAACTTGAATTTTCTAGATAATTGAAGCTTTTCCTTAAAATCTCTGCTTTTGCCCATCTCTTAAAGTACTTTGAAATCATAATTGAAAAAAAATCATAATTGAATATCAACTCAAATTGTACAGAAATATAGATTTATAAAAAGATTTGAATTTACCATGAGAAATAGTCCAGGTATTTTTCCATAGTCCCTATGTATGTTTAAATATATCTACATTATATCCTATAGAATTGTAACTGGAAGCTTGAAGTTGGGGGTAACCTGCAACTTAGTCCTTGTAAACTGCTGGATATTCTGAAAGGTGCTTTCATACATCAACTCATTTATTATCCCAGATAACCTTCAAGAGAAATTATCCCCATTTTATATATGAGAAAATCAAGGCCACACAGGTTAATAAATTTTCCAAAAATTACACAGTCAGCAGTTGGCAAAACAGAAACTCTAACTCAGATCTGTCTCATTCCAAACTCATGCTCTTTCCATAAAACCACAGTGACCTAGGATCTAAGCTTAGTTCCACTATAATTGGGCTGTAAAGCTTGGGATATATTTTACCTCTACTGGCTCAGTTCCTGAATCTATAAAATTAGAGTGTTGATCTCGGTAGCAGAAACTGCTAGTTGCCCTCCTGATATTTACAATCTTGTTTCTTTTTTTCATTGTAAAGGATCCTCAATTCTCAGCTAGGCACATGATATAAAGGCCATGTTCCCTTGCAGATAGACATGACCATGTGGCTAGGGCACATAACTAATTACCAATGGGATGTGAGCAGAGGTGATGAGTATAATTTCTGGTCATATTCTAAAAAAACTAGCCATGCCCACCTTTACTCCTTCTTGAGAGCTGGAATGCAAAGGAGGTAGTAAAAGTACCAGGCCACACTAACAAACACAATATCCTGGAGTTGGTGGGAAGAAAAGAAGGAGGGCCTGTGTCCCTGAAAACAAGGAATGCTAAAGCTGTCTGTACTGCTTGCTTACCTTGGGAATAACATGTGAGAGAGAAACAAATCTGTCTTGTGCACGCTATTGTTTTGGCTCTCTATCACATGTGAATCTAATCCTAACCAGCACCTGCCTCTCCCAACACTAGATCCTATAATTCCACATGCTTGAGAGCAGAATTTTTATGAATAGGAAGTGTGGCATGTTTGACAATTAGAAAAATAAGTAAATAGAGAATAATTATTTTTGTTGGGGGTGGAGAAGTCATTTGATTCTTCCCCTGAACATAGCAAATAGAAATAAAACTTTATAGACTGCTTTCGTTTCATCAAAATTTTACTCTACTCATTTATATGATTTTCTGCAAAGTTAGAATGATTGATTTTCTCTTGTCTATAAAGGGTATAAGGGGTGCTTTTTGAAAGTATCAAGTGATGTAATTACTGAAGGCTTTCTTGTGGGTCATTTATTACAAGGTTCAGAAAGCGGAAGGATTTTAGTTAAGATTCTATAACCCATTAGAGGCAGAATGAAAATGAAAATGCAAGTCGTATGTTTTCACCTGCATCTGCTTTTTTATTCCAAATATTTTATATCTAAGTATAAAAACAATTATGTTCTAGCTATTCCATGTATGTGAATTTAAGACACACACAAACACACACCATTAAGAAATAAAATGCTCCATAACCAGAATTCCAAAGTCATAGACTCAAGGATCTAATTGGAAAGCAAAGAAAATCAATCTTCCATAATAGAGAAGCTGAGAAAATAGGGAGAATAGAACATGGCCAGGGGAGGGTGGCTAAATTACAAAAGCAGCATTTGATTTGACCAGCATGAGATTTGGAATGGTTGTATGATGGCAATTGAGTTCTCCTAGACAGAAAAAATTGAGTTGGAAATCATGCCAAGAAGAAATGATTGTCTTCCTTCTGTTGGCAGAAGCAACTCCAGGAGGGAATGAATTTCTCACAAAGCATAACTTGAACCAAACCATCAGTCAAGGTAAATGCAGAGTAGAAACCCAACTCAACAGCTCTATTGAAACAGATGGGCTCTGCTATCCTGTTTGACTGAAAGCTACAGCTCCCAGACTTGGGGAAGCATTCTGTGTTACAGGTGGGGCAGATTGAGAGCCCACTCCTCTCTAGGGGGCTGAAGCCTCATGCTTTCATAATACCATTGCCAAGATGGTCATTCATTCCATTCATTCATTCATTCACCAAGTATTTACTGAGTACTTACTCTGTACCATGCACTGTTCTGGGAGCTGGAGATGTAGCTGGAAAAAAAAACAGGCACGTCACTGTTCTTATCAAGTTTACATTATTTTGGGGGAAGAGAGAGATAATAGTCAAGTAAATACATAGTATGTCAGGTGCCAAAAAAATGCTATGAAGAAAATTAAGCAAAGAAGAGAAATAAAAACATATTGAGAGGGTGGGATGCAAGTTCATGTGAGGTAGTCAGAAAAGGCATCTCTAAAAAATGATATTGAGGCAATAACTGCAGGAAGATATTGAGATTAACACCAACACACTGGATACATTTTCTTTCATGCCAATAGAAACACAAGTTATGGAGGAAGGAGCCAAGATGGCCGAATAGGAACAGCTTCGGTCTACAGCTCCCAGTGTGAGCGACGCATAAGGCAGTGATTTCTGCATTTCCATCTGAGGTACCGGGTTCATCTCACTAGGGAGTGCCAGACAGTGGGCGCAGGCCAGTGGGTGCATGCACCGTGCGCGAGCCTAAGCAGGGCGAGGCATAGCCTCACTTGGGAAGCGCAAGGGGTCGGGGAGTTCCCTTTCCGAGTCAAACAAAGGGGTGACGGAAGCACCTGGAAAATTGGGTCACTCCCACCTGAATACTGCGCTTTTCCGAAGGGCTTAAAAAAGGCACGCCACGAGATTATATCCCGCACCTGGCTCGGAGGGTCCTACGCCCACGGAATCTCGCTGATTGCTAGCACAGCAGTCTGAGATCAAACTGCAAGGCGGCAGCGAGGCTGGGGGAGGGGCGCCCGCCATTGCCCAGGCTTGATTCGGTAAACAAAGCAGCCTGGAAGCTCCAACTGGGTGGAGCCCACCACAGCTCAAGGAGGCCTGCCTGCCTCTGTAGGCTCCACCTCTGGGGGCAGGGCACAGACAAACAAAAAGACAGCAGTAACCTCTGCAGACTTCAATGTCCCTGTCTGACAGCTTTGAAGAGAGCAGTGGTTCTCCCAGCACGCAGCTGGAGATCTGAGAACCGGCAGACTGCCTCCTCAAGTGGGTCCCTGACCCCTGACCCCCGAGCAGCCTAACTGGGAGGCAACCCCCAGCAGGGGCACACTGACACCTCACACGGCAGGGTACTCCAACAGACCTGCAGCTGAGGGTCCTGTCTGTTAGAAGGAAAACTAACAAACAGAAAGGACATCCACACCAAAAACCCATCTGTACATCACCATCATCAAAGACCAAAAGTAGATAAAACCACAAAGATGGGGAAAAAACAGAACAGAAAAACTGGAAACTCTAAAACGCAGAGCGCCTCTCCTCCTCCAAAGGAACGCAGTTCCTCACCAGCAACGGAACAAAGCTGGATGGAGAATGACTTTGACGAGCTGAGAGAAGAAGGCTTCAGACGATCAAATTACTCTGAGCTATGGGAGGACATTCAAACCAAAGGCAAAGAAGTTGAAAACTTTGAAAAAAATTTAGAAGAATTTATAACTAGAATAACCAATACAGAGAAGTGCTTAAAGGAGCTGGTGGAGCTGAAAACCAAGGCTCGAGAACTACGTGAAGAATGCAGAAGCCTCAGGAGCCGATGCAATCAACTGGAAGAAAGGGCGATGGAAGATGAAATGAATGAAATGAAGCGAGAAGGGAAGTTTAGAGAAAAAAGAATAAAAAGAAATGAGGAAAGCCTCCAAGAAATATGGGACTATGTGAAAAGACCAAATCTACGTCTGATTGGTGTACCTGAAAGTGATGGGGAGAATGGAACCAAGTTGGAAAACACTCTGCAGGATATTATCCAGGAGAACTTCCCCAATCTAGCAAGGCAGGCCAACGTTCGGATTCAGGAAATGCAGAGAACGCCACAAAGATACTCCTCGAGAAGAGCAACTCCAAGACACATAATTGTGAGATTCACCAAAGTTGAAATGAAGGAAAAAATGTTAAGGGCAGCCAGAGAGAAAGGTTGGGTTACCCTCAAAGGGAAGCCCATCAGACTAACAGCGGATCTCTTGGCAGAAACCGTACAAGCCAGAAGAGAGTGGGGGCCAATATTCAACATTCTTAAAGAAAAGAATTTTCAGCCCAGAATTTCATATCCAGCCAAACTAAGCTTCATAAGCGAAGGAGAAATAAAATACTTTACAGATAAGCAAATGCTGAGAGATTTTGTCACCACCAGGCCTGCCCTAAAAGAGCTCCTGAAGGAAGCGCTAAACATGGAAAGGAACAACCGGTACCAGCCGCTGCAAAATCATGCCAAAATGTAAAGACCATCCAGACTAGGAAGAAACTGCATCAACTAACGAGCAAAATAACCAGCTAACATCATCATGACAGGATCAAATTCACACATAACAATATTAACTTTAAAAGTAAATGGAATAAATGCTCCAATTAAAAGACACAGACAGGCAAATTGGAAAAAGAGTCAAGACCCATCAGTGTGCTGTATTCAGGAAACCCATCTCACTTGCAGAGACACACATAGGCTCAAAATAAAAGGATGGAGGAAGATCTACCAAGCAAATGGAAAACAAAAAAAGGCAGGGGTTGCAATCCTAGTCTCTGATAAAACAGACTTTAAATCAACAAAGATCAAAAGAGACAAAGAAGGCCATTACATAATGGTAAAGGGATCAATTCAACAAGAAGAGCTAACTATCCTAAATAGATATGCACCCAATACAGGAGCACCCAGATTCATAAAGCAAGTCCTGAGCGACCTACAAAGAGACTTAGACCCCCACACATTAATAATGGGAGACTGAGACTTTAACACCCCACTGTCAACATTAGACAGATCAATGAGACAGAAAGTCAAGAAGGATACCCAGGAATTGAACTCAGCTCTGCACCAAGTGGACCTAATAGACATCTACAGAACTCTCCACCCCAAATCAACAGAATATACATTTTTTCAGCACCACACCACACCTATTCCAAAATTGACCACATACTTGGAAGTAAAGCTCTCCTCAGCAAATGTAAAAGAACAGAAATTATAACAAACTATCTCTCAGACCACAGTGCAATCAAACTAGAACTCAGGATTAAGAATCTCACTCAAAACCGCTCACCTACATGGAAACTGAACAACCTGCTCCTGAGTGACTACTGGGTACATAAGGAAATTAAGGCAGAAATAAAGATGTTCTTTGAAACCAACAAAAACAAAGACACAACATACCAGAATCTCTGGGACGCATTCAAAGCAGTGTGTAGAGGGAAATTTATAGCACTAAATGCCCACAAGAGAAAGCAGGAAAGATCCAAAATTGACACCCTAACATCACAATTAAAAGAACTAGAAAACCAAAAGCAAACACATTCAAAAGCTAGCAGAAGGCAAGAAATAACTAAAATCAGAGCAGAACTGAAGGAAATAGCGACCCAAAAAAACACTTCAAAAAATTAATGAATCCAGGAGCTGGTTTTTTGAAAGGATCAACAAAATAGATACACCACTAGCAAGACTAATAAAGAAAAAAAGAGAGAAGAATCAAATAGACACAATAAAAACTGATAAAGGGGATATCACCACCAATCCCACAGAAATACAAACTACCATCAGAGAATACTACAAACACCTCTACGCAAATAAACTAGAAAATCTAGAAGAAATGGATAAATTCCTCAACACATACACTCTCCCAAGACTAAACCAGGAAGAAGCTGAATCTCTGAATAGACCAATAACAGGAGCTGAAATTGTGGCAATAATCAATAGCTTACCAACCAAAAAGAGTCCAGGACCAGATGGATTCACAGCCGAATTCTACCAGAGTTACAAGGAGGAACTGGCACCATTCCTTCTGAAACTATTCCAATCAATAGAAAAAGGGAATCCTCCCTAACTCATTTTATGAGGCCAGCATCATTTTGATACCAAAGCCAGGCAGAGACACAACCAAAAAAGAGAATTTTAGGCCAATATCCTTGATGATCATTGATGCAAAAATCCTCAATAAAATACTGGCAAACCGAATCCAGCAGCACATCGAAAAGATTATCCACCATGATCAAGTGGGCTTCATCCCTGGGATGCAAGGCTGGTTCAATATACGCAAATCAATAAATGTAATCCAGCATATAAACAGAGCCAAAGACAAAAACTGCATGATTATCTCAATAGATGCAGAAAAGGCCTTTGACAAAATTCAACAACCCTTCATGCTAAAAACTCTCAATAAATTAGGTATTGATGGGACGTATTTCAAAATAATAAGAGCTATCTATGACAAACCCACAACCAATATCATACTGAATGGGCAAAACCTGGAAGCATTCCCTTTGAAAACTGGCACAAGACAGGGATGCCCTCTCTCACCACTCCTATTCAACATAGTGTTGGAAGTTCTGGCCAGGGCAATTAGGCGGGAGAAGGAAATAAAGGGTATTCAATTAGGAAAAGAGGAAGTCAAATTGTCCCTGTTTGCAGACCACATGATTGTATATCTAGAAAACCCCATTGTCTCAGCCCAAAATCTCCTTAAGCTGATAAGCAACTTCAGCAAAGTCTCAGGATACAAAATCAATGTACAAAAATCACAAGCATTCTTATACACCAACAACAGACAAACAGAGAGCCAAATCATGAGTGAACTCCCATTCACAATTGCTTCAAAGAGAATAAAATACCTAGGAATCCACCTTACAAGGGATGTGAAGGACCTCTTTAAGGAGAACTACAAACCACTGCTTAAGGAAATAAAAGAGGATACAAACAAATGGAAGAACATTCCATGCTAATGGATAGGAAGAATCAATATCGTGAAAATGGCCATACTGCCCAAGGTAATTTACAGATTCAATGCCATCCCCATCAAGCTACCAATGCCTTTCTTCACAGAATTGGAAAAAACTACTTTAAAGTTCATATGGAACCAAAAGAGAGCCCGCATCGCCAAGTCAATCCTAAGCCAAAAGAACAAAGCTGGAGGCATCACACTACCTGACTTCAAACTATACTACAAGCCTACAGTAACCAAAACAGCATGGTACTGGTACCAAAACAGAAATATAGATCAATGGAACAGAACAGAGCCCTCAGAAATAACACCGCATATCTACAACCATCTGATCTTTGACAAACCTGAGAAAAACAAGCAATGGGGAAAGGATTCCCTATTTAGTAAATGGTGCTGGGAAAACTGGCTAGCCATATGTAGAAAGCTGAAACTGGATCCCTTCCTTACACCTTATACAAAAATCAATTCAAGATGGATTAAAGACTTAAACGTTAGACCTAAAACCATAAAAACCCTAGAAGAAAACCTAGGTATTACCATTCAGGACATAGGCATGGGCAAGGACTTCATGTCTAAAACACCAAAAGCAATGGCAACAAAAGCCAAAATTGACAAATGGGATCTCATTAAACTAAAGAGCTTCTGCACAGCAAAAGAAACTACCATCAGAGTGAACAGGCAACCTACAAAATGGGAGAAAATTTTCGCAACCTACTCATCTGACAAAGGGCTAATATCCAGAATCTACAATGAACTCAAACAAATTTACAGGAAAAAAACAAACAACCCCATCAAAAAGTGGGCGAAGGACATGAACAGACACTTCTCAAAAGAAGACATTTATGCAGCCAAGAAACACATGAAAAAATGCTCATCATCACTGGCCATCAGAGAAATGCAAATCAAAACCACAATGAGATATCATCTCACACCAGTTAGAATGGCAATCATTAAAAAGTCAGGAAACAACAGGTGCTGGAGAGGATGTGGAGAAATAGGAAAACTTTTACACTGTTGGTGAGACTGTAAACTAGTTCAACCATTGTGGAAGTCATTGTGGCGATTCCTCAGGGATCTAGAACTGGAAATACCATTTGACCCAGCCATCCCATTACTGGGTATATACCCAAAGGACTATAAATCATGCTGCTATAAAGACACATACACACGTATGTTTATTGCGGCATTATTCACAATAGCAAAGACTTGGAACCAACCCAGATGTCCAACAATGATAGACTGGATTAAGAAAATGTGGCACATATACACCATGGAATACTATGCAGCCATAAAAAATGATGAGTTCATGTCCTTTGTAGGGACATGGATGAAACTGGAAATCATCATTCTCAGTAAACTATCGCAAGAAAAAAAAACCAAACACCGCATATTCTCACTCATAGGTGGGAAATGAACAATGAGAACACATGGACACAGGAAGGGGAATATCACACTCTGGAGACTGTTGTAGGGTGGGGGGAGGGTGGAGGGATAGCATTGGGAGATATACCTAATGCTAGATGATGAGTTAGTGGGTGCAGTGCACCAGCATGGCACATGTATACATATGTAACAAACCTGCACAAGGTGCACATGTACCCTAAAACTTAAAGTATAATAATAATAATTTAAAAAAAAAAAGAAACACAAGTTATGGACCCATCGACAAAATGGCTTTGTCTTCTACCTGTCCCACTGAGTCACTTAGAATTCTAGGCTCGCTCTCCTGGGAGAAAGTTACACAGCCTTTTCTGTATCCAGTGGGAAACATATTTTTTTACCCATAGCAGAAAAGAAAAGACATCCTTCCGAGACCGTAAAGCAAAGCAGAAGTGCCTGGTGTGTTCAAGGAACAGCAAGATGGCCAGAGTGGCTGGAGCTGAGGGAAGAAGGTGGAGAGGGAGGAGAAGAGAGAGTGGAGCCAGGTGAGAAGGGACATTGGGGGCTCACAGTAAGAATGTGGATGTTACTCAGACAGGGATAAACTGGGGCACATTGAAGAGAGAGAAAGAATGATCCCCCTTCATTCTAGAAGAATTACTCTGGCTATGGAGTAGAGGACAGGCTAAGTGGGCAAGAGTAGAAAGTGGGACCCCAGTTAGGGACCATCACAACATCCAGGCGGGAGGTGACAGCAGATGAAACGATGGAAATTACAGCGGGGGTTGGGGGTGAAAGGCAATTGGATTCTGGACATATTTCCTAAATAAAGCTGACTTTATATTCTGGGCAGGAAAGAAAGGAAACTCCAGGGTTCTTTCTTGGCCTGACTGCCCGGTAGATAGATAGTTGTCATTTACTGAAATGAAGAGGTTGGTGGAGAAAAGCGGTTTAAAGGTGAGAATTATCCACTCAGTTTTGGATATTTTAGGTTTGAGGCACCTATAAGACATCAAAGTGGAGACATAAAGCAAATAACCAGATAGTCACATTTGGAGTTCAAAGAAAAGATTAAAGAAGGATCTTTCAGAGGAGAGACAATTTAGATAGCCAGTCAGATTGTGTAACTAATGGGTAAGAAAAGCTAGGAAGCTAGTGTGGAAAGAGAAGAAGTTTGAAGACTGAAGTTTGAAGGTTATTGTAATGACAAACGTTTCAGACTTCTAGTTGCCTTTCCAATACTACTTTTCACTTCTTCCTAATAAAAGAACCTTGATATTATTAAAAAGCAGGAGTTATACCCCAGATCTACAGAATTTAGCACACGGAGTGGTATAGAGAAAAGTATTTGGAATATAAGGTCAAACAGACCTGGATTTGAATCCCTCCTCTGCCACTAAGCAGCTGTGTTCTTAGGTGAGTTTCTTAACCTCCCAGAGCCTCCTCATTTGTGTAACTCTGCCCCATGGGGTTGCTGAGAAAATGCAATAATACATATGCGGGAACACACAGGTTAGTTGCCCTGTAAGGTTAGCTACCTCAATCCTTAATTATGCTTTCTCCCATGTATTTTTAACTAGGAGCCTTCTAGGTTCATTGTACAATGCAATGATGCAGGAGAAAAAGCAGAAAAAAGTGTTACTGTCTGCATGAACATATGAAATCTCCATGTACCAAAAAGGATTATTTTTATGGCTTCATGTTTTTTTAACTGATCTGGTCAAATAAAGATAAGTTCAGTTCTTTCTCTATTCATCTTTAGAGGAAACTAGGGCAGGGACTTTGCCCTTTTTAATGTTTCATTAAGCAAGATATGTGCCTGCCTTATACAACCTCTGTAATAACTGCAGTGCCACTCGGGCTGGAGGAAGATTTCATCCCACCTGAGCACACTCGCATCTATATTCTTTCCCCAGGCGAAGACCTGCCTCATACATTCATCACCTGAACCCGTGGCAAGTGATTTCCTCAGCCTTTATCATGTCACCTCCCAGCCCTGTGCCAGCATATGGTCTATTATGTGCAAATGATTAAACAGATTTTCTGCCATGGGTAAAAATATATTTCCCACTGGATACAGAAAAGGCTCTGTAACTTTCTCCCAGAAGAGCAAGCCTAGAATTCTAAGTGACTCAATGAGACAGGTAGAAGACAAAGCCATTTTGCCAATGGGTCCATAATTTGTGTTTCTATTGGCCTAAAAGAAAATGTATGCATTGTGTGATTCTCCTGAACAAAATGGAGGTCAGAGGACTGCATTCAGAAATAATTATCTTAAACCTCAGAGGCTTGTACATATTGTCTTTCTCCCTGGGATGCCCTCTTCTTCCTGTTTACCCAGGTATCTTTCACACTTGCTGCGATACTCAGTTCCTGTTACCTGTTCCGGGTAATGAAGATATGGACGACACTCTCTCCCTTGGCTGAGTGAACAGTGTCTCCTGTGACTTTCAAAACTTCCAGGGCTTATCATTATCAAAACATTTATCATACTGCATTATAATTTTGCATTTACTTGTCTATTTTACAGACAAACACCCCATGTGTTCCCTGAGGGTTCTTTTTATCTCTCAAACTTCAGTGCCTAGCACACAGTAAATATTCAGTTAACAGTAGGATAATTCTTCTTCGATTCAATAAAATTTCTTTTTAACTACAATTTTAATATAACATTGCCAACACTCAAGAATTTTTCCGTTATTAAATATTTCTGAAACGCATATATTTTATATGTTATGCATAAACACATACATGCAAACTACAGAAAAATACCCCAAAATGGTACAGCAATTCTAGAAGGTGGAGATATTTTCCTGTTTCTTTGATTTTGCTGAATTTACCTTAAGTTCAACAATAAACCTACTACTTTCAACATTTAAAAAATAATAATGAACTTAAGGTATTTTATTCTATTTAATGACAACAACAAGCTACATCAGACCACTAGTAGATATCTGTCTGGAGACATATTGTCTAGTAACTATATGACTTTTTGCAATTTTCTCAATCTCTTAGAGAGTCTGTTTCATCTGTAAAATTAACCAGATCAAATGAGTTGTTAAGTGGATTAAATAAAACCACTTATACAAAATGCCTTCAGTAATACCTGATACAGAGCAGGTACTGAATTGAAGAAGGAAGTTAGCTGTGTTGCTGCTTCTAGAAATGAAGCTTATAGTCAGAACACAAAACTTTCTCTTTGGTAAAGATAGGGAAGCACCTGCTGCAAGTTACTAAGGTAGCTTGAATTTCTCAGCAGAACATGGAGCTGCCCCAGACCAGCTTCTACAGAGACAGTCATGAGATGGAGAATGACATCCTGGGTGTCATGATGACCCCAGGTGTGTGTGAGACCCCTGGTCAGAAGAACATATGTTGAGGACCTTGGCTAAACAGCTTCTGAAAGTTCATCCTCAATGTTCTATATCTCTACAGAACAAATTAAGTGCAAGGCTGGGTTTAAGTGGGAAGAGAGTAAGGTTTAAATGCCGACCAATCTAGGTTTGAACCTCACACCTGGTACTGATTTACTTTGCAGAACCTTGGTCAAAACATTTTTTTTGGACCTAAGTTCCCCCAGAACTGTGAAAGAGAGTGATATGACCCGCCTTACAGAGTTCTCTGAAGAATTAGACACAAAGTATGAGGAGGCACATTGTAGGTGTCTGGAGTAGCTATTATTAACATTTCAGCCATGCACAATGCAAATATCTGAAAGGTCAGCCAGGTAGCCCAGATGGAGGAAGGAGGCCAAGTAGATCCCGCAGTAAAGAAGCAATTGAATGTCCATCTACGTGAAGCAATCAGACAAATGTAGCCATCCTGGAATCCAAGGCAGATGGCCAGTGCTGCTTCTGTTTCAAAAGAAAAGACAGAAATCTGGATTTTGTCAGGTATTGATTCAAGTTTTAAAATCAAGAAATATTGTATAGATTGAATAAATCCGTTGTGTGAGCAAGAACCAGCCCATGCATGGCTAGCTTGCAACCTAATTTAATCTCTAACTGGAGAAATTAAGAGGAAACAAATCTACTAAGACTAAACAAGACTAGAATGAAAATGTTCCACCCCAGATGATTTCCTTGGCCCCATGGTCACCCGCTGGTCCTCTGAGCCTTTCTTGGACCCCACCCAGGGATGCAGCAGAAAGACTTCCTTATACTCTGCCTTGGGAAGGGGTTGAAGCATCTCTGCAGCTATCTCTCTAGTGGCCATAGCAGGGGAGAATTCTATCGATGTCATTATTCATACATTATTCTTATTTAAGCAGGTATTTCCACAATAGCTGTATTTTTTTTTTTTTTTTTTTTTTTTTTTTAGGCAAGATCTCACTCTGTCACCCAGGCTGGAGTGCAGTGGCACCATCTCGGCTTACCGTAGCCTTGAACTCCCTGGCTCAAACAATCCTCCTGTCTCAGCCTTCTGAGTCACTGGGACTACAGGCACATGCCACCATGCCTGGCTAATTTTTCTATTTTTTGTAGAGACATTTCTCTATGTTGCCCAGACTGGTCACTACTTCCTGGGCTCAAGTGATACACTTGCCTCAGCCTTCCAGAGTGCTGGGATTACAGGCGTGAGCCACTGAGCCCCACCAATAGCTGTGCTTTAGAATCACCTGGAGAACTTTTTAAAAATTACCATTTGCCCTGGCCCCTCCCAAAACCAATTTAATTAGAATATCTGGGGGTGGGGACTCCCTGCTCCAGTAGTTTGCTAAAGATCTTCAGATAATTCTAATGTGTAGCTATGGTTGATAACTACTCTACCAAAGCTTTGTAGTCCTAGAAATCCCCCTGCTGAAATGCAAAAAATCTTAGTGAAAGTAAAAAATAAAGCTATTACTGGTCATTAATATTTCTAGAATGGATTAGTTTGTGAGATAATTTTAAACCTGGCTGGGTAGCTAGAGTGAGGAGAGGTTTTTGGAGTGTGAAGGCACTGCCCATAGAAGACGAGAGGGACTAGGGAAGAGGGATGAGGTTCTGAGTATCAGGGATCAGGACCAGGGATTCACAAGAACATATCATGGCCAAGTTCACACTTGAGGTTAGCTCGCCCACCGCACTGGAGGCTGTCTCCCAGGATGAATGAGGAATTTACCTCCTCACCCATGTTCAACCACACAGAGGGCTGGAACCACAAGGCACTACAAGATTATAGAGGAACCTACAGGACGTTAGGTGATGTGAAATAAGACAAGTACTGCATGATCTCACTGATAGGTGGAATGTAACATCTTTGAACTCATACAAGCAGACAATGGAATGGTGGTTGCCAGGACCTGGGAGGAGAGAAAATGAGAAGCTGCTGGTCAAAGGGTACAAAGTTTGTTATGCAGGTTGAACACATTCGGGAGATGCAATCATATACAGCATAGTGATTATGGTTAACAATATTGCACTGCATACTTAAATGTGCTAAGAGGATATCTCTTAAGTGTTCTCATCACAAAAATATAGAGAAAGAAAGACAAAGAATATGGTAACTATGTGAGGTGACAGGATGTTAATTAGCTTGATTGTTCTTCACAATGTATACATATATCAACATATCAGATGGTACACTTCAAATATATTAAGTTTTTATTTGTCAATTATAACTGAATAAAGCTGGAGAAAAAAAAAAAAAACAAAAACAAAACCCCACCTGCTGGGGAAGGGGAACCCAACTTCTAATTCAATGCAAACACACACAAAGGACACTCACATAGCTGTTTCAAAACAAACAAACAAAAAGTTGCCTTATGGGCAACGGCACATCCAAGTCAGATCTATGGGAAGTCCAAAGGACTAACAGCTGATGCTTGGGTTCCAGCCTCCTTCTTGTTCCTCAGTAACTGGATACCCTACACAAAGACATTTAGTTTCTCCGGACCTCACTGTTTTGAATGGAAGAGCTGCATTTCAATTTTGAATCACCCTCCATTTCTGGCATTCTGTTGTTCCCGGGAAGGTAAGGCATGCTTAAGGTCAAGGGGTCTGACACTGACCCTCAGCACACCCTCCTCAGATTGCCTATTTGGTTACATAGCAACAGGCCATTCAGGCCAATCCCTCAAGCTCCTTTTTCCCAGCTGAAAAATCCTAGCACTTGAAACTTCCCTGTTATGTTCCATCACCTCTTTTCTGTAGGAGGTTATTAGGGCTTTCATTTCAGCATGTCACTTGGAATCACTGGGAAATAGTGGTTTTTAAAAAGGAGCCACACCTTCCAGAAACAAGACAGATACGAATATAAGCCAGAGTGAGGGGAGAAGTTAAATCCTATTTGCACAGATGTTCTTAACCGAGAGCTCTCTGGCTTTCATAAAATAAGCAAAACCCACCTCTGAGATTTAGCCTACACCATTCTGTTTTGCTGCTGCACTCAAATTGTCTGATGCTTCTCAGCCGGCAGGGAAGCCCAATGGGGGATGCGGCAGTGCAGGCCTGATGTGAGGGAAGTGTGGGCGAGGGGTGAGCAGGAACACTTCCCACCCACAGCTGTGCAGGGGCCAGCAGGAAATTTAAGATTATTTCAGGAGACACTGTGAGGGTCAGAGCCAGGCAAACAGCCAAATGAATTGTCAAAGTGAGTGGAACCTCCTTTTGAGAATCAGAACCTGATGAATTGAGCAGAGGGCCTGGGGACCCGAGGGAAGAGGGCAGGGGACCATAGGATCCAACAGGCAGGTGGTCAGGTGATATGGACGAGCATAAATGTAGACAGCGGAACTCCGGAGTGCTGAAAGTGGCTTGCAGTGTGAGTGGGTCACATCACATTAACAGCCCTAGATGAAACAGACACAAATGACTAGCAGTTTCGATAAAAACAAGGAAAACTGTTTTTCTTTCTTTAAAATCTTTATTAAATCAAATTAAGCTGGGTTCCTGTGGCTGTGATTTATTGCACTTGGAAAAGCCAGAACAACCAAATGACATATTTTCTTTTGCTCCTGGCAAGTAATTAGCCTCTGTCTTGCTAAAGGGCCTGTCAGTAGCCCTGACGAGGAGAAAGCAAACCCAGCTTCTGAGAAGTGCTGGGTTTTTGGCTTTACTCACTTTCTCCTTTCTTCTAGTCCACTGCCTCTTCTCAGGAAGATGGGAAAGGAGGACTGGATGTGACAATGTGGCCGTCACTGATGCAAGATTGGAACCGGTGTGTTGAAGGAAAAAAGGGGCACATCCCACCCAGGAGGAAGTTCTGCATAATAATCAATGGTAATACAAGGCCTAAATCACCTCTGTTAATCCTTGCAGCCACCCTGAAAACCTAGCACCAGTTTACAGGGAAAGAAACATAAACTTGCAGAGATTAAGCAACTTGCCCAAGGCCAGGCAGGTCCAGGCAGGTCCTGGGGGTCATGATTTAAAACCAATTCTGCCTGCCTCTCCAGCCCATTCTGATGCCATTGCACAGTGCTTTAAAGTGGACTAGGGTTAGGTGGTATCTTACATAGTGCCTGGAATAGAACAGATGTTTCATAAATGTTAAATTCCTCTCTCCTTCTCTTCTCAGTGATAACAATAATTGCTAAAATATCATATGTATATAATGCATGCACATTT
Organism: Homo sapiens; assembly: GCF_000001405.40. Taxonomy (NCBI): domain Eukaryota; kingdom Metazoa; phylum Chordata; class Mammalia; order Primates; family Hominidae; genus Homo; species Homo sapiens. Next base: position 117,662,511 of record NC_000002.12, read on the forward strand.
GTTTTATAAAATTGGATATGTAGAAGAAATTAGAAGAAAATTAAAAAGCACAGGTAGTCCTGTTACTCAGAAATAACCACAATTACAATTTTGGTTTATTTTCCTTGGACTAGAATGCATTAGTACACACATTCAATTTCATTTCACACAATTGGAGTTTGTCTGTATGCAGTGTGCCTTTTAAAACTTAAAAATATACTAAATATATTTTGATAAATGATTACACATCCTTTGAAACTGCGTACTATTCCACCATAGAGGTGTGCTATAATTTATGCTTGGACATTTTGATTAAAAGCCTGCAATAGGCTGGGCGCGACGGCTCATGCCTGTAATCCCAGCACTTTGGGAGGCCGAGGCAGACGGATCATGAGGTCAGGAGATCAAGACCATCCTGGCTAACATGGTGAAACCCTGTCTCTACTAAACAAAATACAAAAATTAGCCGGGCGTGGTGGTGGGCGCCTGTAGTCCCAGCTACTGGAGAGGCTGAGGCAGGAGAATGGCGTGAACCCAGGAGGCGGAGCTTGCAGTGAGCCGAGATCGCACCACTGCACTCCAGCCTGGGCGACAGAGCGAGACTCCGTCTCAAAAAAAAAAAAAAAAAAAAGCCTGCAATAAGCCATTTTATACATGCAAAGATATTAAGTACATCAGTGATTCTCAACCATGGATGATTCCCTCCACCAGGGTTCATTTGGTAATGTCTGGAGACATTTTTGGTCTTTACAACTTGGGGGATGCACCTGTCATCCAGTGGGTAGAGGTCAGGGGTGCTGCGTAATGTTCCGCAGTGCATAGGACAGTCCCCCACAAGAAATAACTACATGGTGAGAAATGTCAAAAGTGCTAAGCGTGGGAAACCCTGCAATAAATGAAGTCAATGTATGATAGTATAAAAGTGAGTGCAAGCATTCCTGTAGTGGTTATTTCTCCAGAGTATAAACATATGTAGCTAAATTAATATTTTTTCTCTTGATTCCCTGATGCAGCAATTCCTCTCACTGTCTAAATGAAAGAAAATGCCCAGAAAGAGCCAATGGCTAGTCTCTTGTCGGAACATCAGAATAGAGTCTGAGTCCCTTGAGTGTGCGTGTGCTAACCACATCTCCCCTAAGTTCCCTCCCTTCCCCAGAAACTAGGCTTCTGCTGAATCACTCACTCCTTCCAACCCCCACTGATTAACCTCTGCCTTGATAGGTTAAAAAACATCCCAGGGTACTGAATGCACTTGTATGATATTTGGAAGGCAGAAGAAGGATAACATTTTCTCTCCCTCGGGAGAGCCACAGAACCACAGCAACGTGGAGACCACTCCATGAGTTGTCAGCAGCTTCGTGGGTGTAAAGTGGTGGCTGTGCCATGGGTGGCAGCAGTGCCTGGGTGGTCTGGCATTGGCACTGCTAGTGGTGGCCTTCTGATTCCCAGCTCTCTTGCTGGGGAAGCGGCCGATGCTGCCACCTTGTCCCAGGAACCATTCCCATTCCTGGAGGCCAAGCCTAGAGGCACTCCTCCAATTCTTCCAACAATTTCATCAGCTCCTAATTCCCTGTTAAATTCCTTTTCATAACCCGGGTGATTTCTATTTCTACCACAGATCCTGGATCCATACACTCACCCTTAACCCAAAGCCCATCAGATCCTGATAGTGAGCACCTCTGTTAAATGAGAGCATGACTCAACAATGGCTCTCATTGTGGTCCCCAGGCCAGCAGCATCAGCATCACCTGGAAACTTGTTAGAAATGCAGATTCTCAGACCAGCTGACTCCACCTCTGAGAGTGAGACCCAGAGATCTATCTCTTCACAAGTACTCCAGGTAATTCTGATGCATAGTAAAGTTTGAAAAGCTATGAGTTAAAAGAAACATAGTACAAAAATATTTTTCTTCTATCTGCTGTCTTAACTGTGTGCCTTCCTCCTTTTGCATAGACCACAAATGCAGAATCTATGATCACAAACAAGGAGGATGAGCTGAAGTTGACTGAATACATCTCCTGCTCTGGCTGAGGATGGATGGGAGTGGGGTGAAACTAGCTGCTCACTCCAGAAGAACCTAAAGCATGTCACACAGTCAAGGACACTTTTCTCTGTAGGCCCTCTGGATGGAAAAGAAGGGTCGACACCAAAAGCATGTGCTGGGAGGTATGTAAGGTTGAAGTTCAAAGGTCAAATCCAAATATGCTCAACGAGATACTCTGGTTGAACCACAGGAGCTGAGGCCCTGAACCACAGGACCCAGGAAGGTGCAGAGTGAGCAGCAATAGGCATAGTTGATCAGCATGTGGCCTGGAAATTTTCCGGAAGGAAAGCACAATTTTCTTCAACTATTTTTATCACGTTCCCAGGGCCTGGCCTATTTGATGCAAGAGATAAAAGAGCACGCAAGGTGGACATGGTCCCTGACTCCCCGACAAGGGCCTAGAATCTACTAGACAAGGCTGACCATTAAAGAACTTAGCCAGCACCTCAGACTCATCTTTCCAGCTTGCCACCAGGAAAGAAATAACTTTTCTCAAGTCAGTCAAGGGCAAAAAGAAAATGTCATTGGCCTAGCTTGGGTCATATGCCCACCTCTTAGAAGAATTAGTAAAGTCAGATGGGTAATCCAGCTTGGGTAACATGCCCACCCCTGTGGATGGGAGAGAGAGAGGAGAGAGGGGTGATGCTTTCGCAGCCTGTCTGAGAAGCACAAGAATGAGGGGTGACTAAACCAGAGAAAGGCAATGGGGCAGTGGGGAAACGTTCACAACAGACAGACTATTAAGTTCTCACAAGTCACCTGTGTTAATGCATCTGTCTTGCTTTGGAGATTTAAGAGGATGATGACTCTCTCTGAATTCAGATAGGACTTGACCCCTTGAAAACTGTAATTCTCTACTTTTTTTGAAAGCTAAATAAGGTTGGGCACAGTGGCTCATGCCTGTAATCCCAGCATTTTGGGAGGCCAGGGAAGGTGGATCACAAGGTCAAGAGATCGAGACCATCCTGGCCAACACAGTGAAAGCCAATCTCTACTAAAATACAAAAATTTAACCGGGCTTGGTGGCGCATGCCTGTAGTCCCAGCTACTCGGGAGGCTGAGGCAGGGGAATTGCTTGAACCCGGGAGGCGGAAGTTGCAGTGAGCCGAGATTGCACCACCGCACTCCAGCCTGGCAACAGAGCAAGACTCCATCTCAAAAAAAAAAACCTAGAAGACAAGTGTCCTAAGGTGATGTTGGACCATGCAGAACAAGATGATTTCAGTTTAGGCACTGAGAAGCATGTAGAGGACAGCAGCTCTAATGTCTGAAGGTGGCCCCTAGAAACCCAGCCCAACGGAAATCCGAGTACTAACGATGATAAAAATAATGCTAATAACAATAATAACAATAGCAAGAGAGAACTCTTGGCTCTTACATTATACCCGAAACTGTTCTAAGGGCTTTGCATTTATAAACTAATTTAATCTCTACAGCAACCCTACAAGGTAGATACCAGAGTATAATTCCCCCAAGTGAGTTTAAGTAACTTGCCCAAAGTGAGTGATCCAAATCCAGGCAGTCTCGCTTCAGAACTCACACTTTTCAGCACTATACTACACTCCATGGTAGAAAATAATCTGGAATCATTAGTGTGAACCTGAATTTACCTAATGGTGGGGTTGTTGTTGTAATTAAGAACTTAGAAAGCAATAAAAAGCACCTCCTCCCTGTCCCACGCATAGTCATAGATGCCACCTTTCAAATGGAGAAATGTCAGTAGCCAGAAGCAGATGATGGATTTTTTAAACAGGACACACGATGCATATATTATAAGAAAAATAGCAATAAATTTAACTACATCAAAATTTAACACTTTTACATAATCAATGACATTATAAACAAAATTCAAAGACAAGTCACAGACCAGGAGAAGCATGGTGAATGCTCACAACCAACAAAGGATTAAAAACCTGAATATTTTAAGAACTCCTACAGATTAATAAGGGAAAGATAAATAACCCAAGAGAGAAAAATAGGCAAAAACTATGAAAAGGCATTTCACAGAAGCAGAAACCCGGAGGGTCAATATCCATGAAAAGATTGTCAACTTCATGAATAGTCGGGAAACAAGTGAAACACCAATGAGATACCATTTCACTTCCATCCAATTAACAACAAAGTTCAAGATCAACATGGCCTGGTGGCAGCAAGAATGCAGAGAAATAGGAGCCTCTTATGCTGCTGGTGTGACAGTGCACACGCAGACATCTTTTAAAAACAACTGACAATACCTGGTAAAGGGGAAGCATCCACTTCTATGTATCTGTCCTAAAATCACTCGCATGTGTACACAAGAAAACAGCCACAGAATGTGTGGCAGCATTGTTTGTAGTCATAGGAAATTTCAAACAAGTGTACTTTGCAAATCATAGGACAGTCATAAATTATTTGTGACATATTCCAATAATGGAAAACTCCACTGCAGTTGGAATGAATGAAGGGAATCAAGATGCATCAAAATGAATAGAAATAAAAATATATTGTGTTGGACAAAAGGCAAGTTAGACCATCATTATGTGAAGGGTTTGAAGCTAATTTTGTACATTTTAATTTATACACACTATACACAGTATAAACGTTAATGTTAGACATACGGTATATAAATGTTAGTTTATATTTATGTAAATATATAGTTTATTTTTGACTAAGTATAATATTTAAATGTAAAGCTTATGCAGTACATAAACAACTTTTTGTAATGTGTAATATATAAATTATATTTATATTAAGTGTAAAATTTAATTTATATACAGTATGAGTTTATGTCTTTTAAGTTTATGTGCTATGTGCATATGAATATATAATAAAACTGTGAAATACATGTAGAACAGTAACAAGCTTCACCACAGTGCTTGCCTCTGAGGGAGGATTGGGACTGGGAGGGATACACAAGGAATTTTAACTATATTTATGTTTTACTTCTTTAAAAAACAATAAATCTGGGTGGCAGGCACATGGATGATTGTTATAGTTTTATTTCTAATGTTTTATTCTTTAAAGTTTTGCAGAACAAAAATATATATTAATGCCTCCAAGTTTCACTCTTGTGAGAGAAGCAAGGGCTAGGTTGATTCTGAGGGCAGCAACTGGGTGGTGTCTTTACCTCAGAGTCCGACACAGGACTGGCTGTGAAGGGGTCAGTGCTTGCTGGAGGAGTTTCCTAAGGACCTGTCTGGTTAGAGATGTAAAGAAGACTTTCAGAACCTTCTCCAGTGCAGCTCTCAGAGGAGATCCATGGCTCTTGGAGCCTGGGAAATGTCAAAACCACCAATGCAGGGAGGATCTTTCTGAACAACAGGAGATAATTCAAAATCCATATTAATTTGGCCTAGGAAAATGTACCTGTGCCCTCTTTAAGGCTAGGATGTCTGGTGTCCTGAGAAGTCATATTGCAGTCAAATTCCCAAGCGAAGAGCTGGTTCAATCGAGAAGAGTTAGCAGGTGAGGCAGCTCCCTGCCCTCTCCCTTCCACGGTCTTCTTCCCCTCCAGGCCATGCCGGGAACAGACAGCTCCATCTCTCAGGCAAAGACACACCAGGGTCCCTCTAGACCTGGTTCCTGGGGCCTTGGGCAGGTCACTTGCCTCTCTGAGCTGCTATTTCTGCATCTGTGAAATTAAGGTATTAGACATGACAATTTCTTAGTTTTATTCAGTTCCATGAAACACATGAGTGTGTACGTGCATACATCTGTGCATGTGCACACATAGATACACATGACCTCTCTCCAGAGCTGCTTTGTCTCCCTGTTTCATACAATTATGTTAGGATCATTCATTCCCTTATGATTCTTGCTAATAATGTTGCTAAGGGAATTTAAAATGAGCTGAATAGTGAAGGGATAGGGTAAATAGTGAAGGGAATTTAAAATGAGCTGAAGTTAAGGGATAGGGTAAGGGAGTCATTCAAGCACATTCTTCCACCGTAATACCTAAAGAAGGGTCAACATTGATTATGCGTCGTTGTGTAGAGAAGCCCTATCCTTTCCTAGGTCTGTGACCCTATTGTTCAACCATTCTGTGCCTCCATTTCCTCTTGTGTTAAAGTAATATAACATCACTCTCCTCTCATTGTTGAAGGAAGAACAAAATGAGATAATGTCTATAAAATCATTTCTAGAGCCTCCAAAATAGGAAGTATTCAATATTTAGTAAATGATCATATCTATATATTTACGTCTGAGGTGGGTGTTTATCTACATGTATTTATGTCTATATGCCAGTGTTTATCTGTATATATTCATATCCATTTCTCCAAGTAGTCTTGAATTTGCCCTAGATTTATCAAGCGAAGGTTTCCAGGCTGCATTTCTGACACGAGGCAAGTGAGTACTTGGCACGGTTTTTGGTTTTCACAGCAACAGCAGTTTCAGTATCCCCACGACAGCGCCAGGGGAGGCTTCTACATCAATGTTCTTCTAGTTGGCTTTTTGAAATGTCTGGGCCTCCCCTGTTATGCTTATAAGATGCTCATGGTGGTGTGCTTGGGGCGAAAACGCCCAAGGGAGAAGATCACCTATCATTTTCCTTTCCTCACATCCTCATTGATAATCAGTATCTACCCCAGGAGTCCTACCTGACTTCATGGAGTCCCAAAGTCCCATGAGCCAGGTCCCAGACACAGACTCTTCTTTAGCCTAAACCTCTCTGACCCCTATGTCCATGGTTGATTCATTTACCCAGAGCTTTCAGTTGTACTCTTTATAAAGAAAGTCTCAGTCCAAAGTTGAGCTGTGCACTAAATGCAACATTTTATTTTTATATAATTTAATTTCACTCCTTTATTTGACTCTTTATTCCACAAGGGTAGAAAACGGATTTCAGTGAACTTAAAAGTGTCCCTCTTCCAGGCATTTTTCCCAGCTAACAAGCCCTTAGCCTGTGCTCTCAGAGTCATACCTTACTGCCCTCTCTGGGCCCTCAAGTGTATTAAGCAAAGCTCTGTTGCTTCTAGGCCAGCCTAGTTCCCAGGGACTCCTGAATTCTCATTAGTTTGTTCCCCTGCCCTGTCCCCTGCATCCTCATTCCTCTCCTGCGAGCATGCTCCCCATCAATCACTTGAAGAATCCCAGTTTCAGGCCCTAGGGAAGCCAACCTAAAATAGTGCCCATGTGAGCACTATTCTCATGTGAGATACTCATGTGAGACCCTTTTCTTTGACTAACCATGTGTTGTCCTCCCCTCTGGGTCTTGCCTTCTACAAGACAGCTCACCAAGGAGAGCAGTCTGATCCTCTCTTCTCTTGTGTCCCAAAAGTTTATCTTGGGTCTTCCTTGACCACTCTCCCTCTTTAGTCTCTAAAACCTATTTCAGAGACTCGCCTTCTTCCTATGTCCCATTGCCTCCCTCTCTATTCTCTTTCCCTTGGCCTAGGGTATCATTTTCCAGTCTGAAAACTGAGGAAATACTAGGAAGAAAGACAATTGACTAATATTCTAAACATTTCACTCCACCACAAATGTTGTTATGTGTATTCATGTATGTGCCCAGGTGCATATATGTGAAAGTGGAGGAGGAGGTGGACTTTTCATCAGAGTTATTAATTCTTTTGTCACATACAGTGCTTGAGTTCCTCCTGAGTACCAGGCACCATGCTAGGCACTGGGGAGATAGAGACAAATAAGACAAGGTCCCTGCTCTTTAGCTGCTCCCAGTCTAGTGAGAGGGGGCAACCAGGAAAAAATAATAATTGCAATGCAATATTACAAATGCAATAAAGAGATACTCAACCATTATATACTCTGGGGAGATCAAGGAGGGAGGGAGCAATTCACTGGCAGGTAGGGGTAGTAAGAAGAGGGTGATTCAAAAGGTCTTTCCAGAAGAGACGCTGAAAAACCCACCTAACCAAAAGTATCTCATCCTTCTCCTCCTCGCAGCTCTCCTCCTCGCAGGCACTGCCAGTCATACTCATGAAATTCCACTGGCATTTTCCCACTAAGGTTGTTACTTAAGCAAGTCCTAAAAATAAAATGAATGGTTAACAGAATGAAGGCATTATGTTATCAAGAAACAGTAACACATTAGCCTACAAATAAACTAGGAAGTGTTATTTGTAATTAATTATTAATATGACCCACTTTCATGCAGTTGACTGGAAGTTTAAGGAGGGCCAGGTCCTAACTGAAGAGAAACAGAGGGAAGGCTTGAGCATTGGCGTTATTTTAGGTTGGCTTCCCTAGGGCCTGAAACAGGGATTCTTCAAGTGATTGATGGGGAGCATGCTCTCAGGAGAGGAATGAGGAATGAGGACGCAGGGACCAGGGCAGGGGAATAAGCTAAAAAGAATGTGGTCTCAGCTGGAAACACACTTCTGTCAGATCGGGCATTGGTCCCACCATGAGGCAAGAAAAGAATAGGGGAGGGGCGAGTGCAAGGCTACTCCCAGATGAGTAGGTTCTCAAGGCTGAGAGGGAGATGGCAGGTAGTGGTGATTGTATTGAAATACTGTGGGTTTGGTCTAGGTCCTGTTGCTCACTGCACAGAAAACCAATCACTGAGACAATGAGTATTGCCAGGTAAAAAGGCTTTATTCAGGTGCAGCAGCTGAGTATATTGGAGATGAGTCTCTAATCCACCTCCCCAAGTGACTAAAATTAGGGGTTTATATTGCAGGGAAGAAATGTAACTGTGTGAGAAAACAGGATTTAGGGAGGGGTAAGGAAGAGGAGTTGGTCAATAGGCAGCAGAGAGTGGTTAGGCAATTAGGACAGATGAGGGTCTGGGATCTCACTGTCCAGATGTGGTGATCCGGTGAGTTTCTATTCCTTGATACTATCTGGGATGTCTGATGTTGGTTTCTTGAGAAAGGAACTCAGATAAGACAAATGTAACTTTCTCAAGTTTTAAGACTGAGAGGGTCAATTTCTATGTTTATTTTTCAAAAACCCATAAATATCAGTTCTATGGGACACTTGGGCCAGTTTCAGAGATCAGCGGGCCCATCAGCAGGGAATGAGCACACCATCAGGTGTCTGTGCCAGGCACCCACAGCACCCTCTTCAGACAGGGTAGCTCCAGACAAGAACTCGGTGGGAGACCAGGAAGTTAAAAAAGAGAAGAGGCCAGAAAAGAGAAGAGAAGACTTAATGTCACAGCACAGAGTGAATTTCTGTGCATGTATATGCGTGATGACTCACTCATCAACCTGGGAGATTCTAAGGCCAGTTCCTAATAGACACTGTCATTTCTCCTCTGGTAGCTCTCTGAAGGAAGAAAGTATGTCCTTCTCCTTGTCCTGCATTCCCCTGGTACTCAGCATAGAAAAACCTTAGATAAGAAAATGAACAAAGTTCTTAAGAGAAACCTCACCAAAGAAGGTATAACACCGATGTAAATAAGCTATGAAAATATTCTCTGTATCATGTGTCATTAGGGTAATATAAATTAAAACACCAATAGGATACCACTACACACCTTTCAAAATGGCTGACATCCAGATCACTGACACCACCAAATGCTGACGAGGACATGGAGCAACAGAAACTGTCATTTATTGCTGATGTGAATGTAAAGTGGTACAGCCACTTTTGAAGACAGTTTCATGGTTTCTTGCAAAACTAAACATACCTTACCATACAATCCAGCAGAGTGAACACTAATGTAAACAATGGATTTGGGGTAGTATTAATGTGCCAATGTATGTTCACCAGTTACTCCAAATGTACCACTCTGGTGGGGGATGTTGATAATGGGGGAGGCTATGAATGTATGGCGCTGAAGAGCATATGGAAAGTCTCTGTACCTTCCACTCAGTTTTGCTGTGAACATCAAATTGCTCTAAAAGTCTATTAAAAATAAAGCAAAAGTTTATAGTAATAAAATAAAAAAGAAAACCCATAGACTCAAGTGGGAGGGTTCCCTAAAGCCTGAAACTACCTTCACTCAACTGTGAGCTGCAAGATCTTAGCTCTCTAGGTCACAAAGAACCATCCGCAGACTCCGCATCTACTCCTGGTCCTAGAGTCTCCTCTTTAATCTGCAATGATGCTGGCACAGCCTGAAGCACAACCCTCACTTCCAGGTGGTTCTCCGTACGTTCTCCTCAGCAGAGCTGAGCTTGCAGAGCTGCTCAGCAACAGATCAGGCTGCCCAGTGTTCGGCTGGAGAGAACCACTACCATGTTGGGAGACTGGTTTTAGCCTTGGCCTTGGCCAAGCATCACTGGAGAAAAGCTGAAGCAAATGTAGCACTCAGCTCTTCAGAATTCTCAGAGAAAAATTGATGTACACAAGCAAACCCCCCAAAATCATTAAGAACCATGGTTCACAAAATAGGCCCCACCCACGCCTGATTTTCCTGGAGCTAGACCAAGGTCTTTTATTCTAAAACAAAATATTAGCCAGTTGCTAAATGAAGCAAACTGCCAAATTCAAATACATTAATGATTGAATTTTCTCTATTTATATCTTTTTTCCATTACATTTCCCTATACCTCTGTTGCCTGTTTGTTTGCTGGCAAATGCTCCTAGACAACAAAATGCATAAAGCAAGTACCAACTAGCTATTAATAGAAAACCAAGGAAAGGCCAATTAAGTTTGGCTCATGCTCATTGAATGTGTAATTAGGGTTCTGATTTTATATTCTATACAGAGAGTGTTAAAATAATAACTGCCATCTTTAGCCCTACTATGCCTTAGGCCTCAAGCTGCTGGATGCGTTAACTCTAGTATTCTCAGTGTAATTTAAATATTGATGTCCCTGTTTTATAAATAAGTACTTAAATAGATAAACTGAGACACAAATGGTCTCAAGTTAACAAAATATGTACACAAAAAATAATTTATATGTACAAAAAATATTAATTGCCATGAGTGTATATAACAGAGAGGTCTGAATTAGCCTTGAAGGTCAGCTAAGGTGTCTCTGAGGAAACATTTGAGGTGAGAGTTGAAGAAGGAGCAGGCAACAGGGGAAGGGAGCAAAGGAAATCTGCATTTGCAAAGGCCCTGAGCTAAATGGCGCAGCTGCTTTGGAAAACAGCACCAGGAATTTCCTCAAAAGGTTAAACATAGAGTTAGCATGCAACTCAGCAACTCTACTCCAGCCTGTCCAACCAAGAGAAATGTCTACACAAAACCTTGGACACAAATGTTCATACAGCATCATTCATAATTCAGTCCACCCACATGTTCATCAATGGATTAGTAGATAAACAAAATATGGTATGTCCTTATAAAGGAATATTATTCATCAACAAAAAGGAGTGAAGACTGATACATGCTACAACCTTGAATAGATGAACCTTGAAAATATTATGCTAAGTGAAAGAAGCAGTCACACACCACAAAAAACCATTTTTATGAACTGTCCAGGATAGGCAAATCTATAGAGACAGAAAGTGGAGTAGTTATTGCCAGGGCTGTGGGGCAGAAGGAAATAGGGAGGGATTGCTAAAGGCATAAGATTTTGTGGGAAGGATGAAAATGTTCTAAAATAGGTTGTGGTGACACTTGCACAAGTCTGTGAATACACCGAACACTATTGAATTGTATACTTTAAGTGGATGAATCGTATGGCATGTGAATACCTTAATAAAGCTGTTATAAAACAAACAGCAGCCTATGCTGTGGCCAGAAGAGGAGTCAGCATGGTGATTCCTTGATGAGAGAGCTGTTGGGTCTCCGGGTCCTTGCCCCTGGTCTCCTCTGCCTACGTCACACCCTGATCCCTGTGGCTCCACGGGTTCATCAGGACAGTGTTCACCACCTCCTCCTACAACCACACCAGTCCACCCTTTCCAATTCTCTCCCCTTCCCAGGAGTGGCTACTGGAAAATGAATTTTACTTGGCACCGAAAGAGAAAGTGCCCAGTTGAAAAAGGAGGAAGTGAGCTCAGGGCTGAGGTTGGATGAAAGAACATCATAACTTTATAATTTTGCTCTTGCTGGATCAGAGTGGTTGTGTGGTTTGCTCCCTGCTCAGTAGGTAGATGGTAGAAATGCACTGTCCTGAATGGAGAATGGTGACAATGGGGCCATGAAACAAATAGCAAGCTTCCGGTAAAGCCTTCTCTGCAAGACAATTTTATCAAACTATTAAGATATCACAGGAGAGAGAGAAAGAGACATCGAGAGAGAGAGAATGTGAACAAAAGTACTGGGCAGAGACAGTCCCAATGCAACACAGTAAACACTTTCTAGAAAACTTTGTTTCCTGTACATACAACCCAGTCAGGGTAGTTTTTATTCCCAGTCTTCCTCTTTTCTAAGTAAGAAGAAAGTCACCTTCTTGATGTTTTCCTCCAAATGTTAGCACTTAATGGTGTTGGTATGCCAAGAAGACTAGAGGAAGGCACACTCCCAAGTAGCTTCAGGATGTCTGAGGAAATAAATAAATAAATAAATGGCAAATCTAAGCAAGTGAGAGAAAAAAAAAGTACCTAAAGAAATGAAAGTAACCCTAAGAGAGGAACCAGAACTGTTATACGTGGAGAAGGAAGAGGTAGCCTAGGGCTCCAAGCAAACTTGAAGGCAGGTACAGTGCTAACCAGCCTGAAATTTCTCACCCAAAGGTTTATTCCTTTCTTGAAATTTCTATCACTAGTATCAGTTTGGAGGTTAAAACTCCTTTAAACTCAATGAAAAAGAACTCACGCATTGCACATTACTCGTCATCCTGTATGCAAACACAGAGTAGTCATCATGACATATTCAAATTGCTTCCCACATTACTTTCCTTAATATTCTGCACTGCCACTTTAGTTATTACTGCTGCAGCTACATTAGCTAAATTGGGCAGTCCAAATGCAACACCTTGACCACCTCCCCAAAAAATAAACTACCATTCACTCTCTTCACATTCAGTAATGACTTGCAATGTCCTTTTCCCTTTCTCTGCTCACAACTCTGCCAACAGCATTTCTTAATGCAAACAGTAAAAACTGAATTACAAGCGTGATCCAATTTTACTTGACATAATTAGTGGATTAGACATCAGAGAAAATCCACTTATTTTCATCCTGCTTTCCACCTCCCCCGCCACTCCACACTTAGCAATAAAGGTTCCAAGAGTACAAAGTGAGAAAGAGTTTTATTCTAAAGGACACTTACAGCTATCAAATTAGTTTCTAAATGACTCCAAGTATGACCCTTTCTCCGTCGGATTTTTTTTCTAAGAAAGCAAAGATGAGGATCTGAACTACAGGTCCTGAGTCAAAAGTCAATAACTGAAGGCTGCAAAATTTTGGCACGAGATTTTGGAACAAACTCTTGGTAACCGCAACAACAGCAACAAAAACAAAACCACTCAGGTTTGTCTCAGCTTGGCTTCTGGTGTCAGAGCGCTTTGGGTTTGATTCTTGGCTCTGCCAGCTACGTAATCTTGGTCAGGTCACTTGACTTTTCTGTATCTATTACCTTATCTCTAAAACAGGCATGGTTGTGAAGTTAAATGGGATAATGCCTCTAAAGTCCTCAGAACAGTGTCTGACATTGAGCAAAGGTCAAAATGGGTTGCATTAATGCACTATGCCTACAGCCCAGCACAAGTTCAGCCCATCCCACACATGCAGCAGGGATCGGGGATCAGGACTGTGAGAAAGGCCGGGACCCAACTGGTGCAGCTCAGGTGGTTCATGAGCACGCGGTCCATCCACCCAGCCCTGCTTTGTCAGTGACTCTTCTGATTATTGCCACAAATAGATGCCAAAAGTGGCTCATTCCGATATGGCAAAGACTTTGCTGAAGAAACAAAGAGAAGCCACTTAATGCCTATGGACACAATGCAGAGCAGAAGCAAGAGCAGTGGGGAGGGTGAGAACAGGGAGAGACACAAACTTCTCAAATTTGCTCCTTTATCTCTTTCCTCCCAAATGTCTATGTCAGAGTGAATGAAAATGTCAGCTGTTGAGTTGACAGGCACTCCTGTCACCAAAAAGCAACAAAGGTTGGGTAGCTCTCCTGTTACCTAGACATCATAGTATGATTGCTGTCATAATAAGTGCATTTTCTCATGTCAGGACAACCCTTTGAGTACCAATATTACTCTTGCCTTACAAATGAAGAAACTGAAGTTCAGAGAACTTGGGTTAATGTCCAAGGTTGCACATCTTTCAAGTGACAGAATAGGAACTGAAAACACAAATCTGTTAGCTTCAGAGCACATACTCCTCACTATGAGGCCATGTCTCTTCAACTCTCTGAAGGTTGGGATAGGCATCAAGAATGGGATTTGGGGCTGGACGCGGTGGCTCACGCCTGTAATCCCAGCACTTTGGGAGGCCGAGGCAGGCAGATCACGAGGTCAGGAGATCAAGACCATCCTGGCTAACATGGTGAAACCCCATCTCTACTAAAAATACAAAAAATTAGCTAGGCATGGTGGCAGCGCCTGTAGTTCCAGCTATTCAAGAGGCTGAGGCAGGAGAATGGGGTGAACCCAGGAGGCGGAGGTTGCAGTGAGCCAAGATCATGCCACTGCACTCCAGCCTGGGCGACAGAGCGAGACTCCATCTCAAATAATAATCATAATAATAAAAGAATGGGATTTGAAGAGTTGGAGCTGACTGAGCAGTGGGTAGTGCCTCCATCAGTTCTGCAAGGAAGGGCCAGAGACCCCAGGATAGAGTGTAATAAGAAGTGCCACCCAGGTAAAACAGAGAGGATTTCTTTCCAGTGAACTCAAGAATCTGTTTCAAAAACACTGTGAATGGATGTCATACCTCAGCTCAAACCAGTCCCTTCTCTGCCAAAACAAGCACAAACAGCAGTGCCTTCATTCAGCTTGACCTTGGGTTCAGCATAGGGTAGACACTTGGAAAATGGGTGACGAGGTAAATTGCTAGAATGGAATTTTTTCTGTATAATCCTTTTCAACAAATGCTCTTTGCCTACATGAGACACCATGCTCAGTGCTGCAGGGGTATGTAGGTCTGAGATACCATTCCTTACTTCAGAAAGCTTACAGTCTAGTGAGACTCCATGGCAGAATGTTGAGTTTCCCGAAATACAAGCTTGGAGGAGGATGCAATCTGCTGAAGTTAGGGAGATGCCTAACAGATTGGATGGGAGTGGTGGCACTTGGTAATGGTCAGCAAAGATGTCAAGGCTCTTGGCTCCTTTCTGTATACTAACAGCCAGCCCTTAAAGGCAAGTAGGGTGTCAACAACACAAAGTGACAGCAGTGTTCTAAGCAGAGAGAATACCATGTTTAAAGAAACAAACAAACAATCCCAGGAAACACAGCAAGACCCTATCCCTACAAATATAATAAATAAAGATTAGCCAGGCATGGTGGCACATGCTTGTAGTCCCAGATACTCAGGAGGCTGAGGCAGGAAGATTACCTGAGTCCAGGAGATTTGAGGCTGCAGTGAGCCATGACCACACCACTGAACTCCAGCCTGTGACAAATCAACACTCTATATCTAAAAAAGAAGAAACCGAACAGAATCTCATAAAGGAAACTTCTGACCATTGAAAACAGAGATTGGAAGAAATTTAGGAAGTGTTTTACCAGCATTGGCTCCAGGAAACACATCCGTACAGACTGACAGATATTTCTGGACCTTGCTTTGATCCAAAATGTACCAGTCTTCTCATCTTATTTTTTGTTTCTTTGGGTGGCATCCTTACTGGGAAGAGAGAGTTCTTGTAAATATTAAATTGCCTTTGTAAGAACATGAGCTTTGAAATCAGACAGACGTTGGCTCAAATCCACCCTCCCCACTTACCAGCTCTCTAACCTCTCTACATCTCAGGCTGTCCCTTCTGGGAGATGAGGTTGTTATAAGGAATAATAAAACTGCCTGCAAATGCCTAACACTGACACGGCACAAAGCAGGGGGTTGGAAAGTGTTCATTCTCCAGTTGTTCTGCTAATAATGGGTTTCTCTGCATTTTAGCCAGGCAGAAGTTTTTTCCCAGGACCTGGGTTTGAGACCTAGAATTATGGGAGAACTCATCTCAAGTTAATTAGAGGAAATGAAACTCAAAATCTTTGGTCTATACGTTATATTACCCGCTTTTCTCATTCCTCGAGAAATGCACCTAACTCTACACATGTGAAGCTGAGAAAGGAAAAATTATCAGAGAAAGTGGTTCCAGCAAATCTGATTTGCTGGAAGAAAACTACGTCTTCCTTCTTTAATAATAGAGCAAAAATTTAACAAAGATTTTTTTCAAATACAATCAATATTACTATTAGGAAAGTTACCATTCAAATAAACAAACAAAAAAGATGACTTGACTGACACTTTTAAGTTGATTCAGAATCATTTAGATAGAGATTGGCAACTTTCTTCAGTAAAAGTTCAGATAGTAAATATTTTAGGCTTGAGGGCCATACAGTCTCTGTCATAAGCACTTGACTATACCACCGTAGTGTAAAAACAACCACAGACAACACATAAACAAATGAGCTTCCTTGTGTTGCAATAAAACTTTATTTGTGGACACTTAAATTTGAATTTTATATAATTTGTACATATCAGAAAATATTCTTCTTTTTTTTATTTTTTCCCCAACTATTTAAAAATGTAAAAAATGTTCTTAGCTCACAAGGCTGTATAAAAACAGGCAGTAAATGGGAATTGGTTCATGATATTTTGCTTTGTTGACCCTGACTTAGATACTTAGGCCTTAAAGGACACTTAGCCCTTAAGGGAATCTCAGGAGACATCTTGTCCAAGACCTAGATGTTCTGGTTGAGGATCACACCCATGGAGAGACAGTTGATTTGTTCAAGATCAGCTGAGTCTCTCAAGACCAACATCACAGGCTCAACGCTAAGAATATAGCTGTTAAATGTCAGGTAATTATTGGATCAAAATTGGAGAAACCCCTTTTTCTTCAACTTGTGTTTGTTGCATTCAATGTCTGTCCAATAGTCAGTTTAACAGATTCCCCCGCTCTCTGCAGTTTTAAGTTTACTCTGTCGTTTTATAACTTGGTCACGAGACAGATGGGTGAAAGATTCTCAGAAGTGAAATATGATGAGCAATTTTGTGTCACAACACAGAGCAGAATGATGTGCTCTCTACCTGAATGTTATTAGGAGGCATTCGGAAACATTGAAATGTGCCTCCAACCTTAGGACGCTATAAAAGACAACACTGTAATTTCACCTTCACACGCAACTACCAAAGGAAATAAAAACTATAAAATGTAGAGAGCGATTTTCTCTTTTAAAAATTGCTTTACATATTTTAACTCTTGTATTTCCCTTGGGGGTTAGATATTTCAGTCACATAGTTACCCAATTAAAATGAAGACTCTCTGCTTTATCCTTTAGGTGAGGACAGCTGCCAGCTGCTGAGTTTTATAAAGTCTTTAATCTTGTCCATAAATATTTAACAAGAATCAGTTGGTACACAAGCAGAAGTAAAAAGTAAGAAATCAAAGAAAGGATCTTGGAAATAACCTCTATATTTTGTGAAAGCTGCCTAAAACAAAGGCAGGATGACCAATTTTCTCTTTTTTCTGTTAAAATCTTAAATATTTCTGAGTATTTTAATCACTCTTTTAGGCTGCTTGTCTTCACAATGTGCAAAAATAGCCAGATTATAAAATGATATTAAATGTGACTATCTGTGCCCTTTTCTCTAGCATCCTGCCATTTGTTTCTGAGAGAGCCTCTCATGTTTCCATAGAAACCCACACAGAGAATCTCTAAGAACTTTAGCAACATTTGATGATACAGACCCCTCTTCTATTTGCATACACACACACACACACAGAGAGAGAGAGAGAGAGAGAGAGATACACAGGCATATCTTGTTTTATTGTGCTCTGCTTTATCGCTCTTCACAGATACTTTGTTTTTGACAAATTGAAGGTTTGTGTCAACCCCACATGAGCAAGCCAGTCAGAACCATTTTTCCAATAGCATGTGTCACTCCCTGTCCCTGTGTCAAATTTTTCATTATTATATCTGTTATGCTGACCTGTGAGCCACTGATCTTTCATGTTACTGTTGTAATTATTTTGGGGCACCTCCAACCATACCCATATAAGATAATAAACGTAATCGCTAAATATGTGCTCTGACTACTCCAAACAACTGGCCATTTCCCCATCTCTCTTCCTCTCCTTGGGTCTCCCTATTCACTGAGATACAACAATATTGAAATTAGGGCAATTAACAACCCCACAATGGCCTCTAAGTGGTCAAGTGAAAGAAAGAATTGCAAGTCTCTCACTTTAAATCAAAAGCTAGAATTGACTAAGATTAGTGAGGAAGGCATGTCAAAAGCTAAGATAGGCTAAAAGCTATCTTGCACCAAACAGACAAGTTGTAATGCAAAGGAAAAATTGTTAAAGGAAGTTAAAAGTGCTACCCTGGTGAACATACAAATAAGGAAGCGAAACAGCTTTTTTGCTGATATGGAGAAAGTTTTAGTGGTCTGGATAAAAAATCAAACCATTCCCTTAGGCCAAAACCTAATCCAGAGAGCAAAGCCTAAACTCTCCTCAATTTTATGAAGGTTGAGAGAGGTGAAGAAGCTACCGAAGAAAATTTAGAAGCTAGCAGAAGTTGGTTCAAATCCTGCCATTTGTTTCTAAGACAGCATCTCATGTTTCCATGGAAACTCACACAGAGGATCTTTAAGATTTAAGGAAAGCAGCCATATGCATAACATAAAAGTGCAAGGTGAAACAGGAAATGCTGATGTAGAAGCTACAATGAGTTATCCAGAAAATCTAGCTAAGATCACTGATGAAGGTGGCTACACTAAACAACGGATTTTCCATGTGGATAAAATAGCCTTCTAATAGAAGAAGCTGCCATGTAGGACTTTCATAGCTGGAAAGGAGAAGCCAATGCCAGCTTCAAAGCTTAAAAGTACAGGCTGATTGCTTTATTAGGGGCTAATGCAGCTGGTGAATTTAAGTTGAAGTCAGTGCTCATTTACCATTTGGAAAATCTAGGGCCCTTAAGAATTATGCTAAATCTACCCTGTCTGTGTTTTATAAATGGAAAAATCAATTCTGAATAACAGCACATCTGCTTACAGCATGGTTTACTGAATATTTTAAGCCTGCTGTTGAGACCTTGATATGGTTTGGCTATGTCCCCACCCAAATCTTATCAACAATTGTAATCCCCATAATCCCCTTCTGCCTAGAGAGAAACCTGGTGGGAGGTGATTGGATCATGGGGGTAGTTTCTCCCATGCTGTTCTCATAATAGTGAGTAATTTCTCATGAAATCTGATGGTTTTCTAAGGGGCTTTTTCCCCTTCACTACTCGGTCTTCTCTCCCTGCCACCATGTGAAGGAGGTTTTTGCTTCCCCTTTGCCTCCCACCATAATTGTAAGTTTCCCGAGGCCTCCCTAGCCATGTGGAACTGTGAGTCAGTTAAACTTCTTTCCTTTATAAATTACCCAGTCTCAGGTATTTCTTTAGAGTAGTGTGAAAACAGACTAATACAGACCTATTACACAGAAAAAAAGATTACTCTTGAAATATTACCACTCACTGACAATGCACCTGGTTCATCTAAGAGTTCTAATGGAGGTGTACAAGGAGATTAATGTAGTTTTAATGCCCACTAAGACAACATTCATTCTTCATTCCATGAATCAAGGAGTAATTTCAATTTTCAAGTCATATTAAAAAATACATTTAATAAGACTATAGCTATACATAGTGATTCCACAGATGGATCTGGGTAAAGTAAATTGACAATCTTCTGGAAAAGATTCACCTTTTCAGATATCATTAAGAACATTCAGAATTCATGGGAAGAAGTCAAAATATCAACATTAACAGAAATTTGGAAGAAGTTGATTCCAACCCTCATGAATGACTTTGAGGGGTTCAAGACTTCAGTGGAGGATGTGACTGCAGGTGTGGCAGAAATAGCAAGACAACTAGAATTAGAAGCAGAGCCTGAAGCTGTCATTGAATTGGTACAATCTCATGATAAATATTGAATGGATAAAGAATTACTTCTTATGGATAAGCAAAGAAAATGGTTTATTGAGATGGAATCTACACCTGGTGAAGATGCTGTGAACATTGTTGAAATGACAAAAAAGGGTTTGAATGTTATGTAAATGTAAGTGATAAAGCAGCAACAGGGTTTGAGAGAATTGACTCCAATTTTCAAAGAAGCTTTATTGTGGGTAAAATGCTATTAAACAGCATTGCATACTACAGAGAAATTCTTTGTGAAAGGAAGAGTCTATTGATGTGGCAACTTTACTGTTGTCTTATTTTAAGAACTTGCCACAACCACTCCACCCTTCAGCAACCACCAGCATGAACAGTCAGCAGCCATCGACATCAAGACAAGACCCTCCACCAGCAAAAAGATTACAACTTGCTGAAGGCCCAAATGATTGTTAGCGTTTTTAATTAAGGTATGCACATTACTTTTTAGACATAATGCTCCTTCATACTACTAGACTATAGTATAATATAAACATAACTTTTATATACACTGGAAAAACAAAAAAATTGTGTGACTCACTTTATTGCAATATTCACTCTATTGAGGTAATTTGGAACCAAACCCACAATATCTCTGAGGTATATATATATATATATATACACACGCAAACTCACATATGTACACACACAGTCACCTACACAGAGACCACCACCACCACCATCCTATACATCACTGTCACAATATCCCAAAAAGGCTAAAAACTAAGGAACTAATCATGAATGGACCAAGGATTCACATCTTCTTCTTTGGTCTGCCAGGTAGGGAATGCTGCCACTGCTTTGACCAGCCTTTGGACTTCCTCCTTTTCTTTTCCCACTTCCCAGTTCCACTTTGCAAGGCTGAACCTCTCAAAGTCGTCTTCAATTCCATGTCCTCCCTTGTGTATAGAGGGCCCTTGTGAGATTATCCTGTCCATTCTCCTACTTCCTGTTGGATCATAGAGCACTCTAGAGAATGGAGAATTTATACTACTGGTGAATTTATACTACTCTGTTCTAAACCCTTTTAGAAAAGAGGGTTTTCTCCACTTGCCTTAGTAACTAACAAATTTTAGGACTGAGAATTCTTCTCAGTCCTAAATGGACTGAGATGGACATAAAGATGGGACATAAAGATGGGAACAATAAACACTGGGGACTCCAAGGACAGGGGCAGGAAGGAGAAAGGATAGCAAGGATTGAAAAATGATCTATTGGTTACTATGTTCACTATTTGGGGTGATGGGTTCAATAGCAACCCAAACCCCACCATTATTCAATATACCCATATAACAAACCTGCACATTATTCCCTAAACCTATAATGTAAAAAAAATTTGAAGGCAACTGCTTCATTGTGACAGAGAAGACAAGTAGATGAAAGACAGAGTCAACCATAAAGAGGGACGAAGAGAGAGAGAAAAATACATTAATTGATATTCCTCAGCCCTCCTTATTCTAGCTCCATAATTCTGAGCATCCAAGTTGTTCATTTCTTTTGAAATATTATTTTTCTATTTCTTTAATCCTACTTTGGGTTTCTTCTGTTATCCCAGCTTCAGGATTTTCTGCTTATGGTCACTGCAGAAAACCCAGACTGTTTAGGAGTTCTCTGGACCTCTAAGGTTGCTTACCTCTAATGATTGTCCATCCTGATCCTGTTCCTTTATACAAGCCAACATGTCCACAGCCCACTTAACACTTCGGCCATTTTCTCAACAAATACTTAGAGAGTATCTACTATGTACCAGGCATGGTTCCGGGCATGGGCTTATAAGAACGAGCAAAAGTGACATAAATCCCTGCCTATTAAGAGCTTGCACACTGCCCTCAGCTTGATCCAACCAAGCTTGGATTCCAGGCCTTCTCCAGTCCTCCCAGACTCATGGCTTAGCCTCCCCCTTATGATCCTGTTGCTTCCCGTGGCCCATTGGGTGCTGGTGTTTATTTCTCACTGCCTTAACTCTAGACTCTTCTATAGGTTGGCTCAGAGCTACCCAATGCCTTTTGTTTTTATTTTTCTACTATCTCAAATTGGGTCCCCAGACAGCCTAGTGGGTTAGGCAGAAAACTCTCATCACAAAAGTTTTTAAAATTTTTGTATATTGTGTTTTCTGTATGCCAGGTGCTGTTTAAGTGCCTTAGATATTAATGTATCTAATCTTTGTAACAACCCCTAAAATAAAGTAGATGTAGTTTAGCCCTGTATGTTGACTAACTCATAAATAGAGAAGTTGTGACCTGCCCAAAGTCACCCAGACAAAAAGGGGCAAACCTGGGTTTGCCATCCTACATTTGACAATGTGGCTTTTCATTTGCTCCGGGTATTCTTATTACCTCTTATGCTTCTGTCCATATCTCCTTTGCCCTGAGATCATTTGAAATATGACCCTTACTATACATACAATCTATCTCTCAGTGTTCCTCTTTCATAAGTGGCACTGGGCCAAGGACATCACCCCACAGGTCCCACTTGTTCCATCTTCTAAGTTGATAAAGAGGAAGACATCTAAGATCTGTTTTGTCAAACTGCAAAGAACTGGTGCTTGAGCATGCTCCCCGCATCTTAGTTCTGGTATCATAAAAGGTGTTTGGATTTTACTATCCCCTCCCATATGGCACTTCATTATATTGTCCACATGACATCCTCTCTCCTTGACATATCTCATCCCTCATGTAATGATAATTATCATCGCTGCACTCCTCTAACTTCTCCAGGGCAGTTTCCTACAGATCTAGGTTTTGTTTTATTTATCAGTTCTGTCTGCCCTTTCTTGCCTTAATTAAACTCAGCCTCAGGACACAGAAAGCCAGAGAACTTATTTTTTCTTCCCTTTGATGAAAGCAATATTGTTTCTTGGGGATAGAAAATATCATATCCCTCAACCCATCTTCTACCTCAAACACCCTTTGTCCTATGTTTTCCCATGTTTGTTTGACTGAGTGTTTCAAGGCTTGATTTACATTTTAATGGTTTCTAATCCAAAGGAAAATAATGAATGGGAAGTAGCCTTTACCCCTTTTACCAGCAACTTTTATCATTTTTCCAAAGCATTGAATAGTAGCTATATTCTCATTCCGGACAATCTTCACAACTCACCAGAGGCCCTTCTGTTATTTGCATAAATAGATGGGTGGAAAAGAATTTCTCTGATGATAGCCAATCTCAGTTAACTGTGGCTTATGGGAAAGAAAGGCCAGCAGATTCTCAACTTCCACAATATGTCCATGTAGGTAGTATGGCTTGAGGGTTTACCCCAAAACTGGGACTTTTACATTCTCCCAATCATCATTTAAAACAGAGACACAAAATACTGCTTTGGGTTCATGTAAAGTCATTGATATCTTAGTACAATGAACACACTGAATTCTTCCAAGACTGAAGTGGCCAGTGACCACACTCATGACAAAAGGTCCAGTCCATTCCTCTTCCACATGAAAGAATGACATTTCTGGGACATTGTGCCACTGACTTCTCATGGTTGTCCCTTGTCTTCAGGCTTAAATCTAGGCTGGAAAGCCTGACGATAAGACTAACCATAGTGGATAGTCTAATTTTTTATG
This sequence comes from Homo sapiens, assembly GCF_000001405.40. Lineage (NCBI taxonomy): Eukaryota > Metazoa > Chordata > Mammalia > Primates > Hominidae > Homo > Homo sapiens. Next base: position 117,685,973 of record NC_000002.12, read on the forward strand.
ATATGTTCCATTTGAAATAACAGAAATCTGTTGAAGGTTTTGCTTGCATGTCTCTGTTACTTTCACTACTGGCAAGGGCAGGTGGCTATTTATATTCCCTCAATCTAAGCCATTCTATCCCCTGGGCCCTCTCCTCTCTCACCTATCAGGACACCTCACATTTCTCTGTTCCCTCTGCCTCAGTGGTCAGCCCCAGTCTCCTGCTCCTTCTGTACTTGGCTAATTCCTTTTTCCCAGCAAGACTCAGCTGAGATGTCCCCTCCATAGTGAAGGCCTCCTTGACTGCCTATCCCTGTCTACTCTGCATTCTGGGATGATCGCATGTTCCTCTCCATTGTGTCACTGAACGTAATGATCATTGTCTTCCCTGCCGCTATCACTCTGTCAGGAAAAAGGATGTTTTTCATTCATGTTTCCTCCATGACTCCCAAAAATAATGTAGTAATTTAATAAGTTGATGAACAATGGTATCAATGATTCAATAAATGAGTAAATAAAGGGAAAGAACAGATATGGAGTCACCCAATATCATATCCCCAGGGTCACAATTTTCCCAAGGACCACCCCTCATTATGGGGACCAAAAAGCCCAGCAGCTACCTGAAAATGCCATATAAAGTATAAACCCAGGGTCACTGAGTCCCAGGAGAGTCTCGACTTTGCAACATTCAGTCATAAAGAGCAGGTTCCCATTGTTTAGCCAAAGGGGCAGGTTATTCACTGCAGCTGTGTCCAAGGCATGAAGATCTCACTGATATCCATCAGCAGAGCCAGCATGGATCCCGGATCACTAACAGGAACTTTCTCAGCCCAGAGAGAACCCAAAGCAAATCTTGTGTTGACAGCAGTTTCTTGGTCAGTCCCCTGAAAGTCCCACTTCCTACTCAAGGACATGAACATGCAAATCTTAAATCTGCCAGTGAAACTGAACTCTTCTGAACTAATTATCACTTATGTATCCATGGCAACAGGGCAGACCCTAGATACCTCAGCCTGCCCAAAGAGCTAAACATTTTTTTTTTAGGCAATGCTTTGTACCTTATCATTATCACAAACATGATTTTTTAAATGCCCCCACAGAATGAAGCTCAGCTCTTAGAAAAGCATACAAATAACCACATATGAAAAAAATCTATATTTTATAGTTCTGACAGTCAGGAGGTTGATATCCTTAATATTTACTTGGAAAAGGTATAAAAGAAAAAGGGTAAAACCTTATTTTTGTAAGGGAGTAGGGAGATACTTGCACTCCTGAAAAGATAGAATAGATGTAAGCTTCTCAATTCCTGCCACTAAGGGCAATTAAACACTCTAGACATTAAATATAAAACAAATGAGAAGGCTCTGAAAGGTGGCGAGAAGAAGGAAGGCAGATGGGCTAGGGACCTCGGACCCAATGTGGTGCTGAGTGGCCTGGGTTGGTTGTTTTTTTTTTGTTTTGTTTTGTTTTGCCTTGAGTATCCCAGACTTGGAGCTGAAGAAGCCAGCAACCTGGAAATACTGATGAGGGCAGGCCAAAAACAAAATATCACCCCAAAAAGACCCCCAAGAAAGAGGAAACCTAGTGAGACAGATCACTTATTGATAATAATTTGCTCTATTCCACTCAAACCCCATCCACACCAGCAAAGACCTCATGGGTAGCTTTGACTTCCACCCTCTTCTGACTAACAAGGTGCCCCTACTACCCCACACCGGGGTGATGTCAGAGAAGGCAAAGTAAGGAGGTAAGGGGCCCAGACTTTCAACCCAATTGGGCAGTAACAATGTCCCCCACTGTCACAGTGCAAGTGGAGACCATGTAGGAAGCTTGAACCATCCCAGTAACAGCTCGCCTGCCAGCAGTCGCAAGGTGGATTGGTATCAGAGGCCTAGTGGAGAATCAAGATCCTTACCACCATCCAGGGATGATGAGAGCACCCTTGCCTCATGGCATCAGCAAAGGCCATTGCAGGAGCAGTAACAAGGCATCCATCCCTCTCCTAGGCAAGGTAGTGTCAGCAAAGACCTAGTGGGAAGCCAGAACTCCTACCCCAACCAGCAGTAATGACCCCTCTGGTGCCAACAGAGAGCAAGTGAGGAACCAGGATTCCCACCCGTACCTGGCAGTAATGAGTGGTGCGGCCCCTTCCTCTAATGGAGCAATGCTACAAAATGACAGCAAAAATGGAAGGTCTGGATAACATCCCAAGTCTCAACACATAATACCAAACATGTCCAGGTTTCAATAAAAAATCATCACAAGATATACAAAGAACCAGAAAAATCTCAACTTGAATAGAAAAAAAAATAGACAACAACACAGATAAATGTTAGTCATTGTATAATACTTAAGGTGAATTAGGAACACATTTGAAACAAAAGACAAAAACAGAAAGATTCAGCAAATAAACAGAAGATACAAAGAAGAACCAAATGGAAAGTTTAGAACTAAAAAGTACAATAACCTAAATAAAACTCAGTGGCTAGACCCAACAGCACAATGTTGAAGGCAGGGGAAATAATTGGTGACCTTGAAGATAAAACAATTGAAATTTCCAAACCGAACAAGAAGGAAAGAGAATAAATAAGTGAATATATATATTCACTTACATGTGTACATATATTCACTTGTATGTGATGTGTGTGTGTGTATAGGTGTGTGTGTGTGTGTGTGTGTACATATGAAACTGAGGTAAAAGTTACATGGACTCTCTTTGTATTATTTCTTATTATTATGTTATTTCTTATTAGTGCATGTCAATATACAATTATCTAAAAATAAAGAGTGTCATTAAAAAAGAAAGTAGAAAATGGGAGAGGTCTTGAATGGCAATTCACCAAAGAACAAATAAACATAGCAAATAAAGCTGGGGGGGAAAGTTTAACCTTACTAATCAGTGAAGTCAAGACAGAATTTTAAGCAAGAAATAAGTTTCCAGCAATTTCTCCACATAATGGAGTAAAACATTTTCACATAATAGGACCTTTTGGGATTTGTGTATCATAATAGTTTTGCAGCTAACTCTTGTTGAATATCTTTCTGCCAAGAATTACACAATATATTTCACATTTTACCTCATTTCATCCTCACCAGAATCCTATAAGAAAGGTACTCACATAATCCTTCTTTTATAAATGAGGAAATTGAGGCTTACAGTGATGAAGCAAATTGCACAATATGGCCCATCTTGGAAATGGTAATACCAGGATTCAAAGTCAGGCAGTCAGTGCATGTAAAACCCAAAACTCTAAAAGCACTGGAAGACAACAGAGGCAATACCATTGTGGACATGGGAATGGAAAAAGATTTCAGGACAAAGACACCCAAAGCAATTGCAACAAAAGCAAAAACTGACAAATGGGATCTAATTAAACTAAAGAGCTTCTGCAGAGCAGAAGAAACTATCAACAGAGTAAGCAGACAACCTACGGAATGAAAGAAAATTTTTGCTAACTATGTGTCTGACAAAGGTCTAATACCCAGCATCTATAAGGAACTTAAACAAATTTACAAGGAAAAAAATCAAAAAATTTCATTAAAAAGTGGGCAAAGTACATGAATAGACACTTTTCAAAAGAAGATACACATGCAGCCAACAAGCATACAAGAAAAAGCTCAACATCACTGATCATTAGAGAAATGTAAATCAAAACTACAATGAGGTACCTTCTCACAGCAGTCAGAATGACTATTATTAAAAAGGCTAAAAATAACAGATCCTGGAGAGTTGGAGAGAAAAAAGAATGCTTTATAACACTGTTGATGGGATTGTAGATTAGTTCAACCATTGTGGAAAACAGTGTGGTGATTCCTTAGGGACCTAAAAACAGAACTACCATTCAACCCAGCAATCCCATTACTGGGTATATACCCAGAGGAATATAAATTGTTCTATCATAAAGACACATACACATATATGTTTATTGCAGCACTGTTCACAATAGCAAAGACATGGAATCAACCTAAATGCCCATCAATGATAGACTGGATTAAGAAAATGTGGTACATATACAACATAGGATAATATACAGATAAGAAAAAATGAGATCATGTCCTTTGCAGGAACATGAATGAAGCTGGAGCCCATTAACCTTAGCAAACTAACACAGGAACAGAAAACCAAATGCCACATGTTCTCACTTATAAGTGGGAGCTAAGTGATGAGAACACATGGACACATATAAGGGAACAACACACACGGGCCTGTTACAGGGTGGAGGCTGGGAGGAGGGAAAGGATGAAAAAAAATAACGATTAGGTACTAGGTTTAATACCTGGGTGATGAAAGAATCTGTACAACAAACCACCCCAACATGAGTTTACCTATATAACAAAACCTGCACATGTACCCTTGAACTTAAAATAAAATTTAAAAAAGAAGAAAACAAAGTGAGGCAGTCAGACCCCAGAGAATTTATACTTTCCCCCAGTGCTTTAGCAAACATGACCTCTTTCTGGTGCGCAGATCTGGACGGCTGGATCAGTTTGCATTGGCAGCCCAGGGTCCTTCTGGTGCTCATAGTCTTGTCCCTAGCCCCAGATTCAAAACTGGCACTTTGGCTGGACCAGGTGCTCCTGACCCTTAAGGTCTGTCAAGAGGAAGGATATCCAAGGCACCAAAGGGACCTCACCAAGAGGGTGAGGGTCTAATGACCCAGGCACAACAGGAGGCCCAGAAGCTCACAGGCTGTATCTAGGGTAGCATGGTGGATGCTATAAGCATGCCCCTCCCCAACACCCAGCCAAATTAGCACCACTGTGAACTTGGCACCAATGGGTGAGCAAGTGAAAGGTCCACAGATAAGGACCTGAACTGTATAAGAACGGTCTACAACAGAGACCCATTGGCAACCTCTGGCAGAAGATGCTGCTGAGACTCCAGTTATCTCCTTCTCCAACATTTGGAAGTTGAACCAATTCCACTCTGTGGACTGTCAGATGAGGCTGAGATGGGGGTGTTGCCGGGAGGTCTCAGGATGGACATATTAAACCTCTTGCAAATATTGGCAATAATGTTTAAATAACCCTTTGTAAAAACTAGAGCAAATTGATCACATTTGTACCCTGAGTACATAAAGCAGGCCATACAGGTTATATTAATTGTCAAAGAAATATATATTATAATACAGTAAAATGTCATTTCTTAAGTTTCTAAGATAGGGAATAAAATGTGATACTTCCTGGTGTTAGAGGGAGTGAGATGAACTCTGACACACCATGGAAGAAACTGCAAATGGGCACAGCTCCGCTGGAGAGCAGTTTAACACCATGTATCTCAACCTCTCCAGGACCAACAAAGAGGTATGGGAAAAGGTGCTCACAGCGGCATTGTCTATGACAATAAAAAATTAGACACAAAAAGAAAGGAAAGGTTAAATAAATGGGAAATAGCCATACAATGGAATATTATTAGTCATTAAAGTTATAAAAAACATGTTTTTGATATAAGAAAATGCTTATAAATGTTAAGTTAAAGAAAACCAGACATAAAAATAAATAGGTAATAGGATTTCAACTGTGTGTGTGTGTCGAGAGAAATACAGCAAAATGTAAATAGCTAGTATTTCTCAGTGGTGGGATTTCAGCAGTGTTTTATTTTTCTTACTTTCCAATTTTCTGAAATGTCAAATTTCTAAAATTGGCAGGTTATTGTTATAATGGGAGGAAACAATGAAAAGAAAAATAGATTACTCCTGTGATCTGTGAGAGGCTACTAATGAAGGAGATAAACACAGAGCAAGTAGAATAAAAGCTGCAGCAAATAAATGAGCAAGGAGAGAGGTGACTCCACGTTAAGTGCATACATATGTCTTTATGGCCCTTAGAAAGCTGCTGGCCAGAGGAAAATGGATGGTTTATGTTTATTATTTATCACTGTCACTGTCTGAGAAATGACACCCAAAGGGAAAAGCCAGATGGCATTCCAGCTAGGAAAGGACAGAGAAAAGAGAAGTGTCTAATAATCTGTAAACCAGAGAACACCTGGATGGGCAAAATCTGAGCACAATGGAGCCCCGCACACTGTGTTGATGGGTGTTTGTGCTTTCCCTCTTTCTGCCACCTCAGCTCTCCTCCCGCAAAGCCTGGACAGCCTTAGCAGAATAACCAATGAGAAAAAAACAATAACAACGACAACAACAAAAAGAGAAACAAGCAAACAAGCATCCCCTTGCTTTGTCTGGCCCCAGACCCTCCCCATATGCACCAGCGCCCCTGGGGACACTCGAGCCCTCAGCCTGGGGCTGAATGGCACTGATTCAAAGCTGCAGACAGAGTCCACTTCTGCAAGTAATGGCCGCAGATATAAACCTGGGATCAATGTGATCAGTAGGGAATAAGCTACAGGCTGGCTATTTCTAGTACTTTGCAGTCTTTTCATTAGGTTAAAGGAAACACCTAACTCCTCTCCAGGGAAAAATCCCCTCTCATCTTTGTATGCAAGAGAGAGAGATTTGTAAGTTTATCTATAGTTCTAGAAACAGGAGTCCATAAGGAGCAATTAGTTTATGTTCAGAGAAGGGTGCTCATACCTTTTTAGGGTAATTCAAATACAGTTCAAGCATCAACAGTACAATTGGGAGGAGACTATATGCAAAGCCTTGGGAGAATGGCATTTCCTGACTGGAGCTAAGAATACTACAAAGAAATGACACAAACACAAATTCAGTGAGTCTTCCAGTATGCCAAGTGCTTTGCATATGTTATTTTAAAAGAAATAGTCCTAAATGGCTTACATAATTATTCATTATTTCCTGAGTTATCAAAGAAAATACCAGGCCTATCCTAGTTACAAAACAATTTTAATGAGGAAGAATTTATGTCTTGGGTTGTGACATGTGCCCATTTTGTTATAATAATAATTCTATCAATTTTACACTGTTTTATCATTGTCTTTTTACAGAGTTATCCAATTTTCATTTCATTGCTTTTATTTTATTCTTTTAATAATATTAATTCTATCCTGTCATTCAGGTCAGTACCATTATATCATTATTCTAAAATAATTCTGTTTATTTTATCAGTCTTTTGGTGTCCTTTACCTGGTACCGTGATAGTGCTTTATCCATATTATTACATTTATTCTTCATATTAACCGACAGTAGTTAATAATAATAATGTTATACAGAAGAAACCCAAGGCTTAAGTAAGTCGTGACTTGCCCAAGAGTGCATGGTTATCAAGCAAAATAGAGGCTTGTGTTGGGGCTATCATCTACAAAGCCCTTGTATTTAAATATTGTCCAACACCACCTCCCACTAGGCTACACTGATGAGAAGAAAGACACACTGAGATCCTCTGAAAATTTGTCGTGAAAGACACTTAACCCAGTGTGATGGCCTCAGATAATAATGCCGCCCATTGACTCCAGCCATTAAACCCTTCCAGAGCCCACAGTGTCCGTAATTATCGAGCTTATCACTGCACTATTTGCTGCTCTTGCCCAGAACAGTAGATAAGGCAAAACATTTTAGAGGTGGATAAAATGCAATCATTTTTAAAAGGCAGGAAGTGCAGTTGATAAAAATGTAATTACCTGTTTCTTCATGGAACATGTTTGCAAAGTAAAATCTCTGGTTTTGCTGTTTTTATTGCTGCAGACAGTAAAAGACATTTAGGAAAATTATTGTCAAATTCTTCTCTGAGCTCTATCAAGAAATTTCACATTACGATTAATTGATTTTTTAGGATGGTTTTAAGCATATGGAAGGTGCATAAGCCTGTGGCTCAGTATCTTATTCTATATCAATTAAGAGAATAAATATGTTACACTCAGTTTCATATTCTGTGACATAATTCAAGAAAAACTGTATCGCTGTCATACATTTCAGGTTACTGTTCTGTTTCCTGTTTTGGGTGTTTTGGTGTTAATGCAATCATTATATTATGATCACGTGATGCTTAGGAATGAAGCCATACATTTGCAAGAGGGAGTGCAGGAAAAAAACCTTTCCTCCTCTCTATGCCCATTCAACTCAAACCTGCTTTATGAGACTAATTCTTTCCTATGTTTTAAAAAAAGATTTTATATTTTTTGTCACTCCTGTACCTTATAAAAACCCTCTACCTTTTATTTATTTGTATAAATTTAGGAAATACAAGCGCAATTTTATTACATGAAAATTCTCTACTTTAGACTCCCAATCTTTTTTCTTAATAAAACTGTTCAGTTCCCGGCAAGAGTCAAAGCTCTCAGCTGCATTTAACCGGAGAGCTTATGCAGGAGAGGGGACAAGGCCACCTTCTCCCTTCCACACCTAGTTTATCTGCCCCTAGAAGATGATGTCTAGCAGATGATGTCTAGTTTATATGTTATAACACATAAACACACATTTATATGTTTATATATATTTATATGTATTTATATGTTTCAAAATAGTATTCTCTTACACGTCGTTCACTTTTTGTCCATCTCAAACAAAATACACTTACCACATAAATATGTTCTTTCAGCACCTGACATAATTCAGAAAGCTATAATAATCAAGTCAAGGGTTAATATTGGGATCATCATCAGAATTAATTATCTCCTCTGGATTGTAGAGATGTACAGGTATTAGTAGGCTCAAGATAATAGTGCATTTCTTGCACTTCCATCAAATTATTTCAATGTCATGTGTGCTCAGAAGAGCCATGCCTTCCATAGGCTCGAACCCCAGGTATACCCTCAGCCTTATCCATCTGTGGTCAATGAAAAAATCTAAAGGGGATGGCAGGGGTAATGGATGAAAAAGTGCACTGACCCATGATTCTTTCCTACTTGCCTGTTGTCCTCACCTCCATCTTGACCTCTGCAAGGTCTGTTTATTAGACTCCTGTACAACTTCCTGTACAACTAGAATGTGTAAACCTTGAGATATTCTACCCATAAACATCAATGGTTCATGCAATTTTTAGGATATTGACACTGTATATCAAGTAAATGTGTCATAGCATGACTCCAGCCTTCCTTATTCTCTGGAAAGTTGGTATCAATTATATATTTGCAAGTACATAAGCTATAGGAAATTGAATTAATTAAAAGTGCATTTTGGATTGGATTTTAATCCTTGAATTGGATTAAAATTAAACTGTGTATTTTTTAATGTGCAAGGGATGGGGCATCCTCAACAGCAAGTAACAATTTAGAGAACAAGAAAACAAGCTCAAAGAGAGGGTCAGTCCTGATGACTTGTAGCCTATGAGGCAAAGATAAGCCTTTTTCAAAGGATTTCCCCATCCTAGGAAATAACCATTTCCTATGGCTCCAGAGATACTGGAGTGCTTAAGAATTTAGTAGTGTAGAAGAAAAGACAAAACAAACAAAAAAAGAACCATGTACAGTAGTGTGAATGACATGTCAAGCAATCTGATGACCTCTCCAAAGCTGCTGAATCCCCGGGCAAGTGGGCCTCGGTGGCAAGCTGGGGGCCACTTGTCTATCCTCCTCTCCTGAGGACATCCACTTCAATGCCATAAATATGTAGTGAGCCTTCCTGTGCAGTGGCCCGGCATTCTCATTGCAAGAGAGATAGACATGAGTGTGACACTAGCCTTGCATTTAGGAAAATTATTCTTCTACGCTACACAGGTAAGTTATTTACTGAACTGGAACCTCATCCTTACCCCAGTCTACAGGGCTTTCTCACTAAATTTCAGATTTCAGTCACTTGTTTCATTCAGTAAGCCTATTGAACTGCCAGGATCTGCCAGGATCTGTGCTAGGTACTAGTGACAAAAATGAATATGATATCATCTTTATCTTATTTTTTTTTGAGATGGTGTCTCACTCTGTCACCCAGGCTGGAGTGCAGTGGTGTGATCTCAGCTCACTGCAACCTCTGCCTCTCAGGCTCAAGTGATCCTCCCATCTCAGCCTCCCAACTAGCTGAGACAACAGGGTGTGTGCCACTATGCTCAGCTAATTTTTGTATTTTTTTGGTAGAGACAGGGTTTCACCATTTGGCCAGGCTGGTGTCTTTATCTTTGAAGATTTAATACTGTGCTGAGAGAGACAGAACAGGCAAACATAGCAAAAGTGAACATGTGGCAGGGGTTATTTCTTAACCCTTCAGAACAACTAGTCTAATGGGGATTTTGACCTCTAGAAGAAAACTAAGGTCACAGCATGGGTCATAGATTAGGTCCCCAGGAAGGAGGCAGGCAGGGCAAAGAATTTGGAAGGGGAGCATGTAGGAGATGTTCACTGTTGGCCCCACAGGCAATTCCTCTCCATCTCCCTGCTAATGGGCTGAGGCTCCTTGATCACAGGGAAGGAAGGAAGAACCCAAGCCCACCTTTCAGGGTATGAGTCATGATCATTCTAACTCAATACGAAATCCACTTATCTTAGCCATAGATTGGTCTTGGGGTGGACACAGTTCTGGCCAATGATTCATAAGGGGAAGTTCATAGGCGGCCTTCATGTGTAGAATAAAAAGATACGACCTCTCTGAGGAGAGAGCTTGAGAGCTTTGGTACCACCCTTCCTGTGGCAGTTCTTTGAGAACACAGGGCCCTGGAGTTGGACCAGCCATCTTATAACCATGAGGTAATAACCCGAGGCTGAAGCATCAGCACAAGGTCTCAGAGAAGAAAAATATAAAGCAAGCTTGTCCAACCCATGGCCCAAGACACCTTTGAATGTGGCCCAACATCAATTTGTAAACTTTCTTAAAACATTATGAGGTTTGGTGATTTTTTTTAACCTCATCAGCTATTGTTAGTGTTCATGTATTTTTTGTGTGGCCCAAGACAATTCTTCTTTTGGTGTGGCCCAGGGAAGACAGAAGACTGGACACCCATGAAGATTGGACTCCCAACCAAAATTGTTGAACCATCAAAAGACCCTGGTACTGCCTACCTCTAAACTGCTTTGTAAGTTAATGAACATCTTTAGAAATAAAGTTAGTGTTCATCGAGGGTTCTGTTACCTGCAGCCAAAAGCATCCTAACTCTGGAAGGGTAGAAAAAGTCAAGGAGCTCCCATGATGTGCCAGTATTCTACTAGTAGCCTAAGATATCAAGATAAATACGTTATTATCTGTGCTCTCATAAACCAGCCATTACCACATAACGCTAAGAAAGATGTGTGGTGAGCTCACAGTGGCAGGGACAGAACATCATGAAGGAGAGACTTCCTGAGGGAAAGATCTGAGCTGAGCAGTGGTTGCTGGAAGGCTGAGGGGATGTGGGCAAGATAGAGGAAGAGGTGAGCAGAGCTACTCCATGCCATCTGCATGCACTTTCAAGCTGGCTCACAGGCTGCTCTACTGACAATGCTCTGAGGCCTCTCATAGAGCCTCCTCTTGAAAACTTGACCCCAAGGCCTCCCCATCACAGTCCTCTCTCCAGAGGTGGTGGAATTGATAAGGATAGCCAAAGGACCTGAGAGGTATTGCTCTAAGAAATAAAATCCACCCTGGGGTGAAGAAAGATACACTTATAGAAGCCCCTTCAGGCAGCAGACAATGCTCCCATAGGGCTGGACTCCCCCCAGCACTACCCCTCAGGAGGCTTCTCTCTCTGGATCATCTTCTCTTGGTTCCTGCAGCTAAAAAGTCCAAGCATCCTGAAGAAGAATACATTCTGGCAAGAGCTACAACCAGAGGGAAATGAAAATGATACACAACAATCCATTACATCCAAGCAGTGGAAACGATCAACCTGAATCAGTGTCTCCCCTAATGCTTAACTAATGCTCACAAGAATTCTATAAGGTAGGCAATGTTATTATTCCCACTTTACAGATGGGTAAACAGAGGCTTGGATAATTTCAATAACTGTCTCAAGGTCACATAGCTTGTAAGTAATTGTGCAAACAAAGATTTGATCTTAGCTCTAATTCCAGAGCTTTTGCTTTTTACCACTATGAAATCTTATCTCACAAAAACGGTAGGGTTCATTCCCATGGAATTCGTTGGCCAGCAGTCAAGAAAATGGGTACAAAAGTCAGTTGAGAAGCAATTTAAATCTATCACCTCTTAAATTCAACAAAAATTTACTGAGGGTCTGCTCTGGAGTAGGCACTGGGTTACAGAAATGTGCTCAGCAAGTCCCCTTCTCATGGCTTCAGAAGAACAAACAACCTCATATTCTAGGCAGCCCTAACCTGAATCAATATGATATCAGACATCAGCTGACAACTACATGATTCAATCATTCATCTAGAGGCAAAATGTCTGAAAAATTGAAAACTTCAATTCTTCATGAGTGGGGAAGAACAAATGGAGTCTGAAAAAGTCAATCCATCATTCATATGGTTGCAAAACTCCTCAAGCTTGATGCCATGAGGGCCCCACATAGAAATGAATGTGATGTCCTTCACCTCCTTTCTGCTGGCTGTTAAGGGCTTGGTCTTGCTTGATCTCACCTCCTCAGAGAAGGAGGAGTTGTGATAAACTCAACTTGTGGTTCCCAACTCCCCATCCTCTACTTGCTTTCTCCCTGCTGCGTAAGCTGCTTCAAGAGCTCCCAGAAACCTTTTGTGCTGTTGTTGATCCTCCATTCAAATCTCTGGCAGTCAAGGTGCTAGGGAATTAGGTGCCGCCTTGATTGCAGGCTTCAGGCTGGCTAAGTATACAGGGATTCCACTCTGTAATCTCATCGGCAGGGGAGGCAGATTTTCCAGCATAAAACAGCAAGAGCCTTGTACATGGTCCTACGTGTAGTCTAGGAGAAACACTTTAAAAATATGTAAAATAATTGTAATGCTAGCATTTACTGAGACTTGGTCTTATTATAATTCCACTTCCTTTTTTCAAGACACAATCCCCAGAAAAAGCATCTGGTTTTTGTCATTTTCAAAAATACTTCTTGCTCTTTTTTAATATTGATTTTATTTTTACCATTCATTCACAAAATATGTATTGACCATCTACTGCATACAGCTCACGTTTGAATGTGTTTCCTCTTGTTCATTCTCTTCCCTGCCCCCACCCCTCTCTCTCTCTCTTTCTCTTTGCTCACTCCTCTCCTTTCTCTCTTACAGGAAGTGGAAGTATTGATAAATGATCAGTTTGAGAGTGAGTAAAGCCTGTAGGAGAACTCAGTAAGACTGGCCTGATCAACACACTTATTGCTGACTTAAGCATTGACATTGAAAAGGTATGCAAATTCTCAGTTGAAGCAAAGCGTTTAAAAGGATGCTTCGATGGTAATACCTGAGTTCAAGACTATCTTAAACTTCTGTTTAAGTGAAGCAATGTATTAAAAAAAAAAAAACTATTTTTTTCAACAACGTTGTAAAAGAATGTTGAAGGAAATGACTTTGAGCTAAAGGACTTTAATCCAGGACTCTGCTATGTGTAGCTTCACTTAAAGTCACAGTTTCCAAGAACCTATCCATGACATTAGTGAGGACTTACGTACTTAGTTTCAAATATTGTTTCCAGGGCAGCTATGATGAAATAACTGGGAAGGTTCTTTATCTTATGGTTTTTCTTTAGTCCTTTATTCATTACGGCTGCTACCAGGTGGCCCGGGATGGCAACAGAGTTTCGTGACCCCTGACCAGATTCCAGAGGGAGCTAAGACCCCCAAACTGGCACACAGTAGAACAGAGGGCTCTCCAGATGCCTTTAGATAATTAACATATTATAATCCCAATGTTTCCTCCCAAAAAGAAAATCTCTGCCATTTTACCTGGGTTGTATGAAGATATATGTTCATGAATTGAGTCTGCATGTCTGGAGTCCCAACCTGCACATACTAACATTCCTCTCCCACCCCATACCCAGTCCTTAAAGACCTCATGCCTTCTGTTGTTTGGTAGAGGGTATCTTCAGAGTGAGAGCTCACCTTCTTCCTCCCTGGCCAGGAATAAAACCTGCTTACTTTGTTCCCAATTGGGTGTTCTTTCTTGGCAACCAATAGAAAGTAAGGAAAGAACTCAAGTTACCAGTGACAATGTCAGTTTCCCAAAGGTAAAATGGGAATCTGTGTTAAGATTGAATATGCACTTATAGGTTAGATTTTGTGTGTGTGTTGTATTGGTATAATTTTTTTTAATTTCATGGAATCTTAGAGTTAAAAGGGAACTCCAATGTCATCAAGTCTTTATTGAACATATGTGAGGTTCAACTCATTGTACTATGCCGGTGGACAGAATAACAGCCTGCCAAAGGTGTCCACATCCTAATCCCAGAAACGGTGAATACGTTATTTTAAATGGCAAGGGGTAATTAAGGTTGCAAGTGGAAATAGGGGTGATAATTCACTGACCTTAAACAAAAAGATTGTCCTGGATTATCTGGATGAGACCAGTGTACACAGGGCCTTTTAAATGTGGAAGAAGGAGGTAGAAGGCCTGAACCTGAGAGAGATTTGAAGATGTTACACTTCTGGCTTTCAAGTTGGAGAAAGAGGTCATGAGACAACAAATACAGACAGGTGGCCGCTGACGGCAGTAAAAGGCAAGGAAACAGATTCTCTCACGGAACCTCCAGAAAGAATGCAGCTCTGCTGACAACTGGATTTTAGCCCACTAAGGCCCATTTTGGGCTTCTGACCTCCAGAACTGTAAGATAGTTGTGTTGTTTTAAACACTAATTTTATGATGATTTGTTAGAGCAGCAAAGCAAACTGATGCAACTAGGTTCATTTATGTGCATTTGCTATCTTATTTGATCTTTACTATGAGTCAGGCATTTATCTCCATTTTATAGACGAGAAAGTTGAAGCTCAGAGAAGCTAAATGCTGTGGCCAAGACCATATGGCTATTCAGTGACAGAGTAGAATTCAAAATCTAAGTCTGTCTCACTTGGATTCCAAGATTGTTCTTACACCCTGTGATGTATGTCAGTGGCTTACTCACTCCAGAGTCTGCTCACTAGTCCCAAATTAAATATAGGAAGTGGTAACTTTTTAAAATAAAATTCAAATCGAAAATGAAGAGAGAAATGAGAAGAGGAGAGGAAAGGAGACATAAAAGTGCACTGCGGAGGCTGTGGGCAAGCATTTTATAAAGCTTTTGTTTTAGGTATGTCTTAGATGGATGTCTGTGCATGATGTAAAATTTAATTCTTATTGTAGTTTGAAGTAAAAAATCTCTAACACACACTGAAGTATGACATATCCACTGGAGAGAAAGAGAAAATATGACACCATTTCTTTCTTCAAGAATATTCACAATCTGAAGAGAAACATAAGCAAATCACTGGAAAGCAATTCAGTATGGCTAGGTCAGTGACAATGTGCCAGCAAGTCACAGTGGACAGGCTCACAGCATCCTGATTGCCAACTGAAGGTCCATGGGGGCCCGTCAAAAACTCACAAACATGCACAGCACAGGATTTATCACTTCACCACAAAACTTCTTCTCATCTGGAGTGGGCAGTTGTTGTTAACAGGATCACTTCTGCCTGTTTGTTCAAAATAGAAACAACATATTATTCTGTTCCTTTCATCTCTTCTTTCACCAAGACCAGTAGATTCTGCCTCCTAAATCCCTAAATTATCTTTTTCTCTCCAATTCTTATTGCCACAGCCTTGAGACCCCCCTCTTCATCTGGGCAACTGCAACATCCTTCCAGGCATCCTCCCTGACCCCAGTCTCTCCTACTGCAGTCCACACTGCAGTCTACAGCCACAGATGTGATGTCTGGTGTCTCTTGCCACAGATGTGATGTCTGGTATCTCTCCCCTCCTTGCAGCCCTTCCTGGCTTCTCCCTTGCAAGTTGTGTAAGTTCAACACTAAAACCGCAGAAATCCTCATTTCCAGCCACCTCCCATAATACACAGACTCCACCGCCTTCTTCCACTAAACTAGTTGAAATTTCCTGCATGGACCATTCATTTTCATTTCTTGCAAACTTTGCATATACTGCTTTCTCTCCTTAGAATGGTGCACTTCCCACTTTCCATCTAGGAAACCGTCCATCTAGCAAAGATAGAAATGTAGCTTTCCTGACTCCCTTAGGCAAAAAAAAATTCTGTCCTCTGCTGATCTCTCGTATTTCTTTTACAACACTAATCCAAATGTATCCTATTTCCTTCTCCAGTGGTTCCAGGACAAGAGTCACATCACAGCTATATTTTCACCCCAATACCTAATCCAGGCATGAGGGCGTCATGGGTCTTTCCAAAGAATAAGTAACCGATAATTGGGAGGCCAGCTCTGAAAGGCCAGGCCTTGATCTCCATCTGCCTCATCAGTGTTTCCTTCTGGAGGTCTCCCATGCACCACAACCTAACTTTTCCAGAGCTGGACTTTTGGTTCTCCTTATACACCTGATCCTTGTCAAGAGGGCTGCACCTTAGTAAATGCAACCACTTGAGCCAGAAATTTGGTCAACCTCCCAGACACTCTCATCAGCCCAGTTCAAGCCATCATTTATCTTACCTCCCACTCAGATTTGCTTTCATTTTCAGCTTCACCTCCTTGGCCCAGCCACTGTCATCGCCTGACTGTGCTACTGCAAAGGCTTTTTCACTGTTCCCACCACCTCTCCATTTGCCCAGCCACACTCTAATCCATTCTGCATGGAGCAGCCAGTGAGAGAGAAAAAGAGAGAGAGAGAGAGAGAGATCCGATCATATCACTCCCCTACTTAAAACCCTTCAGTGACTCTAAACCTTAGGATAAAGTCCATTTTGTATTATTAATTTGTTTTCTATGACACACAAAGCCCTGTTCAGCCCAACTCATGCCTACTTCTCCAGGAATTCCTTGCTTGTTCACCACATAGCTTTTCTCAAGGCTTTTTAAGCACTTCCACCTGGGGGCCCTCCTGAAGCTTCCCTCTACCTAGAACATGAATGATGACCAGCGGCAATTCTATCACAGAGGTCACCGTTCTTGTCTAAGCTTAACTGACACTTCCCTTCAAAGCACCATGTAATTTTCCTTTTTGACACTGAGCAAATTTTCCATTTTACATTTTATTTACAAGCATGTTGGGTGAATGTCTCTGTATTGTACTCTAAGCTTGCTAAAGGCAGGGACCCTGTCTGTCTATCTAGTTCCTTCCTATCTCCCCAGCTACTAGCCTGGCACACTGTAATTATGGGCTCACCAAACTTTGGATCGATGGAAGAATTTAATTAGTGATGTTGATTATTCTGCAGAGCATCAGTTTCCCAGAAAAATCCCCGAGGCCCTAGTTAAGGCCAGAAGGGAGCAGGGCAGATAGATTTGAGCCTCAATGCTTTGCTTTGTCCAAAGAAGCTCTGCATGGGTCTTATTTAGATGCTGGGTCTCTGCAGAAAAGTTTATTTTGAAAATAAATATTCTACTTGTAAAATGTGTAAGAATAAATATAAAAATAGGAACACAGAGGAAAGAGGTTGATGACAAAGGGACAGCATGAGGGAGTTTGCTGGATTGGTAGTATTATTTTGCATCTCGATTGTGGTGGTGGTTACACGACTATCCACTTGTCAAAGTTCATACAATGTGCTGAATTTTACAGTATGTAATCTTTTTAAAGCAAATAAAAGCAGGAAAGACTTGATTGCCTTTTGAAGTTGTTTCCAGGCTCATAAGATTGAAGTAATTTTATATCATAACCAAAAAAATTATGCCATAACCAACACAGAACTTAGGACTCTGAAATCGATGTTCTGTACATGTCCAAATTCAAGGCTACCCTGAATGTAAGGCATGCAGCCATTTTCCCTATGAGAAAATTAAAAAACCTGTGTCTGACTCACTTCCATATGTCAACTTTTAAAGCAGATAAAATTGCTAAATAGCTATATGATTTATTTCATTAAATTAGTTATATATAACCATTTAATGTCACTTATTATATACAGTAACATGTTGATTTAGAAATGTGGCTTTTTCTCCCTCGCATCTTATGAAATAGCTTTCTTGAAACTCTTCATACACACTGCTGACAACAGAATGTCTGCTGTCACCAGAGCTATATTTCGAGTCACACAACACAAAACACAGCCCTTCAAAGCACATCCCTTCAAAACACATCATCTTCACTCCCTTAACGGTTATTTGAAGTATAGCATTTTCTCAATCCATGTGATGTGGTTGAAGCAATTTTTATTACTCTTATAGTTACATTCATGATCTCCACAGAACAAGGCTTCTCAATGCAGCACTATATTTGGACTGGATAATTCCTTGTCGTGGGGGCCGTCCTGTGCATTGTAAGATGTTTAGCAGCATCCATGGCCTCCACCTACTGGATGCCGGGAGCACTCCCTCAGTCATGACAATAAAAAGTGTCTCCAAAAGTTTCCAAATGTCCACTGGTGATGGGGCAAAATCACCCCTAAATAAGAACCGCTGCCGTAATCTCTTACTGTATTGCTATATTGCATGATTTTAAAATTATTTTAAAATTATTTATTTATAACAACACCGATATTTTGAATTGTGAGGTCAGACACAGAGAAACCACTATTAAAATTTTATTAATTTCTTTGCCTCATCTTTTATTGATTCTATTATTTGAATCTACAATGCATTCACTGTAGCATGACTTAAAGTATTTTCAAGTTTACCTGTCTTCCCCAAACCGAGATTCATTGTATTTCCGGTGTAGAAATTCAAATACAGGAAAATTCCTGCTCGTTTGAGTGCTAATTCTCTGGGAAACCTCACCCAAGATTCGGGTACACAGTGTAATCCAGCTGAATCTCACCCACAACATTCTCACAGGTGAGTATTTGGCCTTTGCTTGAATACTGCAAGTAACAGAGGGCTCACTACTTTACTTAGTACTTCTGATAGAAAAGCTTCTCCTTATAATAAGCTCAGCTCTCCCTGCCCAAAACTCCTAGAGGTCAGGCCTAGTTCTGAACAAAATCTGCCCCTTCACAACCTAACAGCATTTTGAATGTCTTAGTGTGTCTGGAGTTGGTTTCTTCCAGTGGGTTTGTGGTCTCGCTGACTTGAAGAACGAAGCCACGGACCTTCGTGGTGAATGTTACAGCTTTTAAAGGTGGCACGGAACTAAAGAGTGGGCAGCAGCAAGATTTATTGTGAAGAGGGAAAGGACAAAGCTTCCACAGTGTGGAAGAGGACCTGAGCGTGTTGCTGGGGCTGGCTGGGGTGGCCAGCTTGTATTCCTTTATTTGTCCTTGCCTATGTTTTGCTGATTGGTCCATTTTACAAAGTGCTGATTGGTCTATTTTACAGTGTGCTGATTGGTCCATTTTACAGGGTGCTGATTGGTCCATTTTACAAACCTCTTGCTATCTACAAAGCACTGATTGGTGTGTTTTTACAGAGCACTAATTGGTGCATTTTACAAACCTCTAGCTAGCTACAGAGCACTGATTGGTGCGTTTTACAAACCTCTAGCTAGCTACAGAAAAGTTCTCCAAGTCCCCACTCAACCCAGGAAGTCCAGCTGGCTTCACCTCTCATTAACACAAGACAACCACTACATTCCCACTTTAGTCATTTGTTTTCCAGGCTACAGACTCCCCTGGCTCATAAGACATGATTTTTCAGCATTGCTTCATCCTAGACCTTACCAACGGCCTTTTAGAAAGTGTGACTTAGGATCAACCCCTTGCAAGTCTGTTCAAGACTGAGAGAAGGGACCTCTGATCATCTAGGCTCTGTGCAGGCTAGAACTGCTTAAGTCTTTTTAATGGAAGGGTCATACCATTTTATAATTTCGTGCTTAAGGACTGCAAAAATTTACATAAACTGCACATAAATAGTAATTTTGTCTTTCATTAGGTAAATTAAAGAACAGTGGTAAATGCTGCTCTGAACCTAATTATGCCCAGGCAGGAGAAATGTTTTTAGTGAAATGAAAAGGTGATGGGAGACAGTGACAATGTGATACCTATTAATAGAAACCTCTCTTCCTTCTATAAACAGAAGGAAAAATAGAGACAGAAACGCAGAGAGACAGAGACAAAGATGGAGAGGCGAAGAGAAATATTAAGAGAGAGCAAGAGATTAAAAGATGGAGAGAAAAACTCCAGCATCTTATTAGGGGTTTTTTTTTTTTGTATAGTCTTATTTAGGCTTTAGCTAGTGTTCCATTATGACTCTCAGATTCTTTATTTGTGTGAAATAACCACAAACCTGCTCCACTGGTTTTTGAAGAAAAGCCACACTGTTGTGAGAGTCAGATGCAATGACACTCAGTATCCTTCAATTACAGAACAGAGAAAAAAGCTTAATTTCTGCTAAATCTTAGGGAATAAATATTCAAGGTTTATTTCCCGTAATACTTTATCCCAGATAGTACAGAATTATATTATTTGAGATTAAAGCCACCCCATAAGAGGATTAGTAACACAGAAGAGCAGGTACATTTTGTAACGATTCCCACCTCTAAACTGAATAAAATGAGATGACTTCAATTTTCTATCTGATCTTCTGATTTTCATTTTCCCAAGACATTAAGGCACCCAATAAAAGTGGACTGACTAATAGCCCTTGATAAGGATGCTTTGAAGAGGCTGTTGCTATCTGGTCTTGGCAACACTGAGAAGTAGGTTACATGTGTTTTTTAAGGACCTTTCCTACCAACCACTAATCTCTGTTTTCAGGAAATCAGCCAGTGCCCTCCAGTTGCTGCCCAAGTGATGTAGCAATAGCCCTTGTCCTCCGAGCCTTGCCACCCTCCTTTCCCCTTGAAGATTTACCTGGTTTGTGGTCCAGGTCCTCCAGCCCAGCTAAACAACTGGATAATAGTCGTGTTTATGCCAGCCAACATCAAGGTGTCTCTAGGTTAACATACAGCTCCACTTTAGATACTTCAACTCGAAAGAATGAGGTACAGAGGCAGTCCAGATAGGAAGGCAGGCCCATGAAGTAGGCCATTTTGACAACGCCATCTACCTTATTCCAGGTAGGTGACCCTTTGCTCTGTGGCTGGGAAGCACAGGGTGAGGATTTTTGCCTGTTTCCTTTTGTTTTGGTTTTGGTTGTGGATCTTTCTCCCTCTCTCTTTTTTAACAATTCACTAGCCCTTTAAGGATCTTATTACCTTGGCTATTTCGTCAAGTGTTTAAATTATCGACCACCTCACCTGAACTGGTAGATAAGCCTAATTCTCACATCTGCAGCAGCAGGCAAGGGGCAGAGGCTTAGAACCACCGAATCTGACCATCAGAGTTTTAATTTCCTCCACCAGGCAGAAAATAAGAAAATGAAACAGTGAGCAACACACGTGCAGCCCATAAACAGCCACCCTTCCTGCTCCCGAGCGGAGATCCAATACCAATTTAGTCTTATCTGTCTAGAAAATCATTATTTGAAGACTTGGAAAGGTCAAGAGAGTTCCAGTTTTCACTTCTTATACTTTCATCTGCAGCACAAAGAGAGGGAGGAATCTGACAAGCGTGGGGCTAATTTGGTTCACTCAAGCACCCAAAGGGAAAAATATTGAGATTGTCTCCACAAGGATCAAATGGAATCCATAATTCATGGCACATTCTGTCCCTCTCAGTGCTGGTAAAACATCAGCTTTCAAGATAAAATGGGAGGCCGGGCGCAGTGGCTCACACCTGTAATCCCAGCACTTTGGGTAGGCCGAGGCAGGTGGATCACCTGAGGTCAGGATTTTGCAACCAGCCTGGCCAACATGGCGAAACCCCATCTCTACTAAAAAAAAAAAATACAAAAATCAGACAAGCGTGGTGGTGCATGCCTGTAGTCCCAGCTACTTGGGAGGCTGAGGAGGGAGAATCAGGAGAACCCGGGAGGCAGAGGTTGCAGTGAGCCGAGATCATGCCATTGCACTCCAGCCTGAGTGACAGTGAGACTCCGTCTCAAAAAAAAAACAAACAGAAAAAAGAAATGGTGGGGTCTGCATGGATGGGAGTATAAAACGTGTCAATCCAGCTGGGCCTCTTATTCATTCAATCATACTAAGAACAGTTCTTGAGCATTTACTGTGTACCAAGCATTGCAAGTCGCTGCCCCCAAGGGCTGACAGCCTAGGGAGAGTCAGATAAGAAAACCAAGGCTTATGGAATTGACCAAGTTTTAAAACAATAAGACAAAACAGCAGTGATGATGGAGGGAATGCCTTACTAGAAGAGATTGTATTGGGGGAGGCACTGAATTATAAAGCAGCAAAGAACTTAGAGAGCTTAGCCTCTTTCTCAGTGGGTGCAGCAGGAAAAACAGTGTAATACTGAGATCTCTGGCAGGAAATGGACTGTGTCAACTATTATCATAGACATCTAACATTGGCAGGGCATTCCAAGTGATCTTCAAACATCCAAAGCTTAAGGTCCAATTTTAAAAACTGACACATATGTAGCAATTAGGGTTAGTCAAGGGGCCATTCAGTGGTGCTGACTCCAACTCAAAAAGTGGAGCTCAATGCAGGCCCAAAATATCAGAGAAGGAAATCAGAAGTGTAAGCACTGGGCCTAGAGGATTGCATTTAAAAGAAAGATGAAGGTGAGAGGGATGCAAGGCAAAGGGAAGAGCATGAGCATGAGAAAAAAACACGCAGAGGGAAATGAGCAAGACAATTAACAAAGACCTATTGCACTGCAATGAATGGCCTTTGCTGGCAAATGGTGGGCATTCATATTATAAAGGTCTAAAATGAATGCCCATAAGAGCTAATATAGAAGCAAAATTAGAGTGCTGACATTCAACTGGATGGTGGAGAGTTTTGACAACTGTATGAAGGCGACATAACAGAGAATAGACAGATGGAATAAAACTCAAAGGAGTCTCCTGCAGAAGTGAGGACCCAGTTGAGAAAAGAGGGCATGGATACTTACTACACTCAGACGGTCTCATCTTAGTTCGCCACAACAGCACACTTAAAAATAGACACTGGAAATAAGTACTGGAAATAGAATGCAGACGTTGGGGCATTTCCTCCCCTTCCTTTCCTATCTAACCCATAGATGTTTCATCTTCCCTCCTATTCTTCAAGGAAAACATTTTTGTGATAGAGAATATCCTCAACCCCTTGTCTTAGGAAGAGGTCTCTTTGCAGGGCTGGTTACAGATTCTGAGAAAAAAGGTATAGATTAGAGGAAAAATAAAACTGCCCACTGTTATCCCCATGTTATAGATGAGGAGGCAGATGCCCAGAGAGTACCTAGACCAAGGCCATATTTCTATCCTTGATAGACTGAAAGGGGGCATTGTTTAAAGCACCAAGGGTGCATGTAGTCAGCAACAGACTGGAAATAGGTAAAGAAAGAAAAGCAGATGGCTGAAGTCTGAACTTCACAGAAAAGCACAAATGACAGCAAGAGAAAAAAGAGGAGGTAGTGAGTTACCTGAGAAGAGAACTAAGAAAATGATGGCCAGAAGTTTAATCATTTTTTTAAATTTTCTGTACCTTATGTTGATTTTATGTCTCAAAAATCTTGTGGGCTGAAGAGAAACTGTCCCTTGCAAGGCTAGCCAGTTCTTAGAGATAACCAAGAGATTGGCAGGGACACGCCAATCATATGTAAACTACCCAATCCAGAGCCCTTATTCCAAAGCACCTACTCTAACTCTACACTCCAAGAGGCAATATTCTAGTGCTGTGATCATCCCAGGGCCAGGTGCAAGACAGCCAGGGACAACTCCTATGCCCCAGAGCCCACTGGAATTATTCAAACTAGCCAATCCTAAACTGTTCCCCCTTCCTGCCTTGCCTTTCCCATGGAATCCATGATGGTTTCATGGTTTTCCATAGAAACCATGCTTCTGCCTTAGTCCTGACCAAGCCTGGTGCTTCCACATGTGGACTTGCATGGCATAGGGTGCCCCTTTTTCTCGGAAAATGTAAGTAATAAAAATTCTCCTTCCAATGGCATTGGCCTCTCTGTGTTGTGACTCAGTCACACGGATTAATTAAGACCCAGACACGGATCATGGCCCCAGTTAACATTTAATCTTGAAATGGAAATTTACCTCCAAATTGTCCTCTCTAATAAAAGATTACAGGTAATCTCCTAAATCTGAATAGCCCAGACAAAATGGAATGGAATCAGTGTACCATTTCTTGAAACTAGTAATGTATTCCTAATCAATTATAGACTTTTAAATAACAACATTAATAAAGTGTCTAAAAAGATTATACACTGCCACAGTTTCTTAATTAAAGCAAACTCAAAACGTAACAATAAGCATAATAAATAAACCTCTGTGGAATAACTCCAGCTTCAAAGAAATCAAATGTGATAAATGGTAGATGCAGGGGAAATGTCTGTTGCCAGAAATAAAAAGAGAAATGAACACACTTAACATAATTCCCAAAACCAGAAAGCAGTTTTGAATGGTTATCAAAGTGGATGCAATCACCAGCATGTGTGAAAGGTGCTGCTTTGAAAAAGAGGAGGGACCCAGTTTCCCTGGGCAGAAGAATAAAAGAATGGGTGGCTATACAGAGATACCATGAAGCAGCAGGGTGGACCACCAGGTGTTCTTCTCCTCTTCCCTAGAAAAGGAGCCCCTGACATTTTAGATGGGCATAGGTCGTATAGCCAATCAGAGCACACTACATTCTCCAGACTCAGTAAAGCCATGAGACTAACTCCTGGGTGGACTGAAAGGTAATGTGTTGTATGTGATTTCTGGGGTGTGTCCTCAAACAGAGAGATATGCCTGATTTCTCCCTTTTCTGCACCCTACTGCCTGAAATGTGAACATGATAATGGGCTCTCAAGCAGCCACTGTGAATCCTTAGGATAAAGACAACACCCAAGGTACAGGAGAGCATTGAGCTGGAAGGTATCTGGATTTCTGAGGATCCTTGAGCCAACATAGAACCCTGAACTTCCCTCTTCCTAACTATACATAAGAGAAAGAAAACAGACTTTACCCTGTTTGAACGACCACTATTTGGAGCAAGTTTTCAAACAACTGTAATGATAAAAGAATTAATTATTTAAGAGAGCTCACCTTGAAAGACCTAAAGTAAAGCTAAAGATAAAATTATAAGCTGCGATAAAATGATGAAGAACAGATGAGATGAGGGCTTAATTACGGCATAGTGAGTATGAAGGCGACATAACAGAGAATTGACAGATGGAATAAAATTCAAAGGAGTTTCCTGCAGAAGTGAGGACCCAGTTGAGAAAGGAGGGCGTGGATACTTACTACACTCAGACGGTCTCATCTTAATTCACCACAACAGCATACTTAAAAATAGACACTGGAAATAAGTATTGGAAATAGAATGCAGACATTGGGGCATTGTGTGCGGTTGGGGATTGTCAACGCAGGTGAAATTCAAAGAGTTAGGAGAATAAGAAAACTTTGGATACTGGCAAAGGCATGACATACACAGCTAAGGGTTTCTGGATTAAAAAAAAAAAATCCAAACCAAGATAGAATTAAAGAGAATAGAGAAAAACTAAGGTTCAGAGTCCTAATGAAGGTAAAATCAGATTCAGAAGAAAGAGGAAGATGAGGGTACTAGTGGGTGCTTGTTAAGGTCGTGAGCTTTCATGATCAGACAGACACAAATTGGAACACCAGATTTTCCATTTACTAGTTGTGTTACCTTAGGAAAGTCATTTAGCTTTTCTGAGTCTCTATTTCATCATGTGTAAAATATGAATGAGAATATCTATATTGTAGGATTAGCCCTTGACCTTAGCTTCATGCCTGGAAAATAATAATAGCTTGAATAAATAACAGCTGTTGCTATAAAGTAAAGAGGCTATGTTTAGGGAGGAGGAGTTCAGAGTTTGAGACTTGAGGTGGTGAACAGCAGGGGAGAGTAGAGGACAGAGGACAAAGAAGTCATACAGTCAGAACCATGTCTGGAAATTGCAAACTTTTCCACCCCAGCATTTAAAACATGCTAAAGTGTTAGTTTTCAAACTGGGTTCCATATAACCCTATGATTGCTCAGAAGTGCCTCAAGGGATCCCCTTAGAGAAGAAGGAGAGAAGATCATACAGACGAGACTCCCGACCTCCTCACCCACTTCAACCAGAGCAGGTTTCTTTTTATAATTTTATATGTTTTATATCTTGGAGTTCAGCATAAATTTTCACTCAGAAAGGTTTCTAGTGCAAAAAGAAAGAAGAAAGAAAAGAGAAAGAGAAAGAAAGAAAGAGAGAGAGAGAAAGAAGAAAAGGAAAGAGAGAGAGAGAGAAAAGGAAGGTAGAAGAGAAAGAAGTAGTAGTAGTAATAGAAGCAGAAGTAGTAGTAGAAATAGTAATAATTTGCAACTCTCAAACCAAGGCAATTCACTTCTTAGTGGCACACATGCACTGGAGAGCACCAATGCAAGCCCCAGTGAATGTGTCAGTCAAGATCCTAGAAGAAACAGACAATATATTCAAAGGGGTGATTGAGAACTATTTTCAGGGTGAGAACAGAGTCAATAGAAACCAAGAAGAAATGGTGAAGCATCCAAAGGCTAGCAATAGTGGGGAGCCCTTACCACTCCTAAAACTGATGAGGCAATTAGAGAGTTGTGGGCCTGGCTTAGCAGCAGGGAAAGGCTTCCCACAGGACTTCTGGCCTTCAATGACTGGATGCTGCCACAGCTAGCCCACTGACCACCAGGAAGGAATCCAGGGGAGCCCAATTGAGGCAGTCCATAGAGGTCAGCCTTCCAGGACATAGAGCAAGCTGAGAACGGTAGAAAGTGAATTCAGAGAGGCAAACAGAATACTCAGAACAGTGGATTCTCATTCCTTCTGCTAAGATCCCACTCTCCTTCATCCCCCATGCCAGGGTGCATTGCTGACATTCCCCAAGAAGAATTCCCAGTGTCTGGTGTCTGGGCAGGTAAATAGAAACAAGGACACTCCACTCAATACTTCCCTGATTCCCTGAATACTCACTGTATTACTTTCTATGGCTGTGTAACAAATTACCCTGGAACTTAGTGGCTTAAAACAGCAAACATTTATATCTCACAGTTTCTGTGTGTCAGGAATTTGAGAATAGCTGAGCAGTTCTGGGTCAGAGTCTCTTATGAGGTTGTCATCAGAATATCAGGCAAAACTGTAGTCATCTGAAGGCTGGAGAATCCACTTCCAAAGTGGGTCATGCACATGGCTGTTGGCACAAGGTCATGATTCCCTGCCACATGGGCCTCTGTCCATAGAGCTGCTTGACTGTCTCTATGACAAGTATTGGCACATGCCTCCGAGGGAGCAATCCATGAGAGGAGAGAGAGAGAGATTGAGAGAGAAAGGAAGAAGCTTTTTTAGTTTGTTTGGTTTTTATTTTTTATTTTTATTTTTTTTTTTTGACATGGAGTCGCACTCTGTCACCCAGGCTGGAGTGCAGTGGCACAATCTCAGCTCACTGCAACCTCCACCTCCCGGGTTCAAGCAATTCTCCTGCCTCAGCCTCCCAAGTAGCTGAGATTACAGGCACCTGCCACCACACCTAATTTTTGTATTTTTAGTAAAGACAGGGTTTCACCATGTTGTCCAGGCTGGTCTCGAACTTCTGACCTCAGGTGATCCACCCGCCTCGGCCTCCCAAAGTGCTGGGATTACAGGTCTGAGCCTTTCATGACCTAGGCCAGCCTCACAATGCCTTTCATGACCTAGGCCCTGAAGTTTTACATCAGTATTATCACTCCTCCCTTATTCTAGTCTTTATAAACAAGTCACCAAGTCTAGCCCACACTTGGGGCAGAGGAGGGAAGATTGAAGCTAAGCTCCACCTCTTGAAGAAAGAATAATTAAAGAATTTATCGACATGTTTTTAAACTACCATGCCCACATCTACCTGTATCCATTGGCTTTAATGCACTACTTCCTGCTATTCCTACCTGCTGGGGACCATACTGCACATGCACCTTCTGCATGGACGGGAGGGAGGCAGAATTTCACTGCAGAGGTACTATAGAGTCCACCCACAGAGACTCCACAAAGAGAAAGGGGATCCAAAAGCTGCGAGGAAAAAAGCCAACTGCATGACCGTTTTCCCTTGCTGATTAAAAATAATTATCATACAAAGTAGATTTTACATCTGCCACTCCCACTTCTCAAAAAAAAAAATAAAACATAAGTGTGATAGCTGAACAGCAATACACGACATCTTAAAAATGATTCTACTAAGTTCAGACAACTTTTGAGTTGGAGCCAAGAACAGCACAATAAACTCTACACATTTAGGGCAACTTTTGTTTGTTTGTTCGTATGATTGTTTGTTGTACAAGGTAAAGGAGCAAGAAAAGTTGTGTGCTAGAAGGATAAAACAATATTTTGTAAATAAAATGTCAGAGCCTTTTGTGCAGTAAAGAGATTTAGAGCTATTGATAAACACCAAAGTTTAAAACATTTCCAAACAGACACATATTTGGTATATGTTTTTAAATCTCACATTATTTGCAGTTACAACTGAAATGTTGCTAACATTCCCAAGCACTAAGAAATTGATTCTCACACATTTACTTACAGCTTCTGGTGGTTTATGAGTTTCTGGTAAATACAATGTCTGCCTTTTCTCCAACTAGTACACATTCATTTGCCAGCCTAAGATAAAGATAATCACAGACTTCATTCTTTCCTGGTGACAGATGTATAAAACAGAAGCCGCACAAACATAACGATGCGATCTGTGCACTTGTCGGTGTCTCTGTTCCTTCCATATGCTGACGGATTGCTTGGTGTGGTACATAAACAGTTCTGATCACACTTAGGTAGAATCTCAATGCTATTGCAGTGGGATCACGTTTGAGCAGCCTTGACAAGCCATTTTTTCCACATCCCATCTATGATAATAACGGTATGACCCCCACATAAGTTATTGTTAAAAGCCCAAAAAAGAAACCCTCCACCTTCTTTAAGTAAATCTTTTTTTTTTTTTTTAAATACGATACAGTGAGATTCTTCTTTTTGATATCTTGGAAACTGTTTCCAGGACTGCTGGTGTTTGCCCTTTTAGCTTCAGTAAACGCTTCGTTAATGTGAATACTCGTACCCTAATTTGCCTTTGTGGTCTATTTAGATTTCTGCATGTCATATTTTATTAAGTAGAGCCCATTTACAGTGTGAAACATTCAGCTGTCATGTCAAGAGTGTCCAGAAGCTGGTGGACAATTCACTGACAGATTTCAGAAGTCATAAGTATTAGCTTCATATTTCATCATGACTGCCTCCCTGATGACAAGAAAGCCATTGTGCAGCTCTGTGTCTCCCTTTCACTGTCACATGCAAATGCGGAGGCGAGTCTTCGGTTTCTCCTTTATAGATGTCTAAAATTGGATAGTTAAAAATATGCCAAAGCTATAAATGGTACAACATTAATGATTTCTGTGCATTCCCTTCCTCTTCACTTCAGTGTGTTTTCAAAAGCCAGCACCTGTATATTTTCTTCGTAAGATGCCCTTAACCTACTAAAGAGTCAGGCCCTGGGGGTTTATATCCCACGCCGCCCACCCCATGATGCAACCATTAGCCAACAACTGTCAAGTGAGGGAGAAGGGGAGGCTAATTTCTTTTCTTCCAGGTGAGGAAACACTGAAGTGTGGCTTACATTCCATGATGTAGGATCACGCTGAAGACCTAGCCTGAGACCACACCACAGCTTGACTTCCTTCCTTCCCTAACCTAATACTTCACTTCCTCCCTGGTCTTCCTGGGAGCCTTTCTTCAATAGTGCACTTGCACATAAAATCTCCATTTCTGGGTCTGTTTCTGAGGAACTTGAGCTAAGACATACCCAAATCCAGAAAAGCAACATCAATAATACTCTCAAAAGGAGTTTATACCTTCAAGAGTTTCCAGGTAAGGACGAGACTCATTGTGCTTGAAGTCTAAAAGAATATGGTAGGTGAGGCTGGGCACAGTAGCTCGTGCCTGTAATCCCAGCACGTCGGGAGGGCGAGGTGGGTGGATCATGAGGTCAGGAGATCAAGACCATCCTGGCCAACATGGTGAAACC
Source organism: Homo sapiens (assembly GCF_000001405.40). NCBI lineage: Eukaryota > Metazoa > Chordata > Mammalia > Primates > Hominidae > Homo > Homo sapiens. The sequence continues at coordinate 117,715,694 of NC_000002.12, forward strand.
CTGTCTCTACTAAAAGTACAAAAATTAGCTGGGCGTGGTGGTGCGTGCCTGTAATCCCAACTACTCAGGAAGCTGAGGCAGGAGAAGCGATTGAACTGGGGAGTCCGAGGTTGCAGTGAGCCAAGATCGTGCCACTGCACTCCAGCCTGGTGATAGAGCAAGAATCCATCTCAAAAAAAAAAAAAAAAAAAAGAATATGGTATATGAAACAATTTAAGATTTCCTGATCACCAGGAATCTTTTGAAACCTTTTATACCTTGACCCCTCACCACTGTGCATGATATCCAGATGGTTGAATTCAGAGAGGAGGGCAAGCATTTGATATTTGTACCAGTCAGTGTGGGTGAGATTATGCTACATTGACAAGCAACTTCCAGTGTTAATGATTTACAGCAATAACAAAAAAAAGGCTCATTTCTCCATCACACTACACATGACTAGCATGGACGGTTGAGGAGCTCTGTTATTGAGGTCACTCAGGGACCCAGGCTGAGAAAGACACCATCTTGGCCCTTCTGTCCACATTTACCACCACCGGAGGAAGAGAATGTGGTGAAGAGCATACTGGCCCTTGAAACTTCTGCCCAGGAGTGAACACACATCACTTCCATACATATTTTATTGGCTAAGGCAAGTCATACAGCCATGACTAACAGAAAGCGATAGGGAAGTGAAGTTTTCTATGTTATTGGAAGGATGAGAATCAAAGTACTGTATTTGTAAACTCTTCTCATGATTAACACAACGGTCTCTTAAATATCATCCAGCAGGTCCCTGAGAAATTAAGTGTTGGCTACTTCTAAAAAGCAAACCAAACACATCTAATGACTTTAAACTAGCAGGCTTTCTACAAGACTCATTGTTATTCAACAAATGTCCAATAATATTTTCCTTAAATAAAAACTAAACTTGGGCCTGAAAGGCAGTGTAACATCATGGCACTAACTACATGCTCTGCAATTAGAGGGTCTGGATTCAATTCCCAGATCTACCACTTACTGACAGCACTAACTCACGTAAATTACGTTTTGATTCAATTTCATTATCTGAAAAATGGGACAAAAAATAGAATGTAGCCTATAGAATCGACCAGATGATTAAAATTAATAATACATGTAAACATCCAATAAATATTAGCTGTTATCTTTATAATTATTCCAAAAAAAATGAGTTGTAGTGCTAGTCCTTGGGAAGCTCACTCTATTATGGAGTATGACTTTTTAACTCATTTAAACTCAGTTTGATTATCTGCTATGTGCAGAATGCTAGACTGGACACTGTTGTACAAAAATAAATAAGGCACGATCCCTGCTCTTAAAGAGTGGACAATTGGCAGGTGCAGCAAAGATATAAACAGATAATATCAATATTCTTTGAGCGACTAGATGCAGTCTACCACAGGAATGCAAAAGTGGAATATTTAGCTGAATCCAAGGGTAAATAGGCAGCTTTTTGAAGGCACTGTTTTCCTGAGGTGCATTTTAAATTTGCAAAAATCAGTTATGCTTTACCTCAAGGTTCGTAAAGAAAGCTTTCAAGTCCTGACACTCCCAGAATGCCTTGCTGTCGCTGTCTGTGCTTGACAGGCACAATCCCCACCCTCCTGCTCCCCTCCTTCATTCAGGAACTGCCGGTCAAAGCCCAGTCAGATATGCAAAGGGCAAACATCTACCTGAAGGCAACCCTCAGCTGCACTAATGAAATACTTGATTCTCCTCACAAAACAAATTATGATCAACAGACGAAATGTCTCAAAACAGCAACAGCCTTCACGTTGCAGGAGTTCTGTGAGAAATTCCACGCAAATCTATGACACTGCTTTAGCCATGCTTAGGGAGAGAGGGGCAGGTTTTTTATTATTCTTTTCCATGAATCATCTGCTTTTAGGAACACAAATCCCACATTAAAATGAATATTGGCACCTTTAAGGTACATGCACTTCTTATCCCTTAACCCAAAAAGACTAACTTAAGTTTTCCCGATGACTACGATTCCACAAAATCAAAGTAAGATCAATGGGCCGGACACCTCAAAGAGAAATAAGGCATACTTTTTCATATTGAAAAGAGAATGCACATATAATCTAAACATGAAGCCAGAGGGCCCTGTTTTTATTTATAATCCACTTGAAAGAGATGGTTTCTGTGGCAGCAGAAAATGTGAGGGTTTTTTCAGAGGAGCTATTGAATTAACAAAGATTCACTCATCCCATTAAAAGTCTTTCTCTTCTTTGATGATATGCCAGAACTGATGAATTTGGGGCAATTTATGCCACGATGCTTGTCCTACAATGTTTGAGAAGATACATGCAAAGGGCTTTCACTTTCTTCTCTGTGAGTGGGTTTCTTACCAGACCATGTGCCTATAGGTTTATAGACCTCCATATGGAAGAAAAAGGATAATAACTACTTAAGTCCATTAAATGGGTACTTAAGTCCATTAAACAGTGGGTACGTGTAAGTAAGAGGGAGGGAGGTGGAAATCTGCCAGTAATGCTTTCAAAGGACACAGTTTAAGAATTCCAGTCGGAAGACCTACTGATATGCTGATAAAACAAACAGCTGCATAAGCGATAATTATTCCTATAATTAAAAGAGGAAGCATTTAATCTATCTTTTCATTACATTTGATTGTAGCCAGTGGAATCAGCATGCATCAGAGGCCAGAAACACTAGCTTCTTACTTTCAGGTATTAGGAACCAGTCTCTGTTTCAACAAGCTGGTAGTGAGTCTTCAATTCTGTCCTGGGAGTATTGGGGCTCAGGTGGCATGTTCTCCACTCTAGGGGGGAAAGAAGTTTTCAAAAGGTGGGAGATAATGCAGAAAGAAAAGAACATTCTTAGAAAAATAAATAACAATGACAAGAGAGGAGACTGTTCTATGCTATTGCCAGCCCTGATCTCTCCTCCAAGCCAGATCCACCTGTCAAACTGCCTCCTGCACATCTCAATTTGGGTGTTCCTAAGGCAACTCAAGCTCACCGCCAAACTGAACCTCTCAGCCTTGATGCAGCACCAGCTTCTTGTCCTGTGCAATCAACCAAGACATGCATCGCCATCCATGTGGCCAAGAAACCAGCAATCAGGAAGTCATCCCAGACTCTGCACTCTGCCTTCTTCCTCCCCCTCACCAATTTTCACACACCACGCCGCACTCTCTCATGCCACAGTTTCCATTCCCACTGTCCCTGCCTCAGAGGATGCTCCTAGCCTTGTCTTTTGCTCATTTTCACCCCCTTCCATCTATCTCCACACTGTTGCAGAGTGCCCTTTCTACGCAAATGCGCACACATTTCAACTCACACTCATAGCTTCTGGAATCCTTTAAAACCTCGAGCTGTGCAGTCAAGACCTATCATGGTCTGGTCTCTGCCTGGCTCTCTAACCTCACTTATCAGCCACTACCTCTTGTATCTCTGTTCAAGCATCACTTCTTCTCCACAGGAACTGCTTAACATTGCTCTAAACATGGAACACACTCTGCCATTTCACAGCCCCTGACTTCCCACAGGCCACCTAACTGCCAGTGCCTGACAAGGCTGTGCTCACCTCTCAGGGGCAGGGTGAGCTGTCCCAGCATCAAACACTTTTACACAGAACTGAAAAGTGGAGTCATTGGACCTCTGAGACCACAAAACTGTGAACAATGGCCATACACACGGTTTTGTTCAGCTACTGCTCCTCTGGCACCTGTCATATTTCTCTTTGTAATAGTGAATTGAGTGAGGGGCCATCAAAAATCCTTGCTAGCAGAATAGCCATGTGTCTAACATTTATAGAGAAACTACACACCAGGAACTGGGTTCCAATCTCATTTCAGCCTCACAGCGGCTTTGTGGGTGGGTATTATTATTCCATTCACTGGTTGAGAAAAGTGCTCTAAAATACGAGAAGGAAGTGATATTGGTCTCTTCTCTCTGGGGGCAGGCTCATCGTGCCCCAAGGAGACAAATTCAACTCTAAACCAAGCCTTCTGCCTTTCCTTAAATTCTAAAACTGATGAATGGTCTCTGGCATACATGCGTGCACACGCACGCACACATACACACGCACAAACACACACGTTTCTTTGCAGCACAAAGAACACACATGTTTTATTTGAATAGGAAAATGCTGGGAACAACCTAGAGGTATATTAATAGACGATGTACTAAGCCAGCTGTTAAAAAAATGAATGATCTATATAGAGTTATGCAAGCATATTCAAGATATATTTTTAGCTAGAAGGGAAAAAAGGCAAGTTGCAGAACAATAAGCATAGAGTATGCTACCTTTGAGTAAAAAGAGGGGTAAAAGTAAGAATATATGATGGTGTTTGCTTATATAGGCATAAAGAAAATAACAAATGGCAACCGTGAACACCTGTAGGAGATTGAGATGAGAAATGGGTGCTTGAAAGACAGGAGTAAAGGGAACTTTTTCTACCTATTTGAATATTTAAAATATAAATGTATTGCCTATTCAAAAATTAAATTTTTAAAAATATTTCCCATTTGTACACCCCTTTGCAGACTAAAAAGCTATTCCACACATGTCATCTTGTAGAATTCTCACAAGTCAGTTGTGGCTGATACACAAATGCAGGTATCTTCTGGGCAAGGGCTTCTGAAGGTCCCTCATGACCACCACAGGCACTTCCATACAGGCCCAGGCAATGCCTGCTTGCCTGACCTTGTGGGGCTGCCCCTCAGCTCCTATTTCAACAAGACTGCACACAATGCTTGGTTTCGTTGGTGTCTCCTAGCCTGAGCAGGCAGCCCTTGTAAGGCAGGGGCCTCCCAGGATGGCTCTAGCCCAGCTGTTCTCCACAGGGTCCAGACGGCTTGGTGCCCCACTGGAGTCCTCTCTCCTTCCTCTGCTGCCAACGGCAGCTCCAAGCAGCCTCTATCTTTATCACTTTCACCCCAAATTCTAAGAGATGCCTCAGGTTCTCCTGAAGACTCTTCTATGTCCACATTCTAACAGCATCACGAGGAGGGCTTATGAGTAACTTCACTCTGGACACATCCAGAGGGGCTTCTTGAAGCTCTCCTTACATGACTTGTTGGGCAAAGGTAGGGCTGCCAGGAAGGACCATATATCCATAAACTCTTATGACCCACAAATCCTTTCCTCCTTTGTGCTAGTATAAAAAAAAGACGTCATTAGAACATCACTATCCTGCAGCCCCTAATAAATTAACAAATCTGGGCATTGAGAAACACCAGTACTGGCATCAAAAAAGAACAAAAACCAGACATTATATGGCTCTTGGTGAAAGAACAGATCACCAGCTACAGTCTTGCCAAGGGAATTCCAGCTGAATCTGATCAAGCCTCTGGATCTATCTACCAGTTTGCAGGAAATACAGAAAACAGAGGGACATGTCGAACTGTGCCTTGGATTTGCCATTAGCAAAATTCAGACTGTGGGAGGTTCTATGGGTCAGAAAAGAGTCTTTCTATGGGTAAAGAAAAAGGGATGAAAAGAGACTTGTAAATGAAAAAATATTTAAAAGGCATGTCAAGTTTTTTACATGGGTAAAACTAATAAACTATATTGTCTGGATGCACACAGGATGACAAAGTCATAAAAATGCAAATATGTGAGTACCGTAAAGTTAGACATACTTGGAAGAAGGGAGGGGCCTGCATTTGGGATTGGATATATAAAGGGTTTTTAGGATGGCTAGCAAAGTTTTGTTTATTTCCCTGGATGGTGATTAAAAGGATGTTTGCCTTATAATAATTCACTAAGCTAGAGTTTTGATTTTCTGGATCTGTGTTTTATTTTACCACACAACATGTACAGGAAAAGGAGAAAAGCAAAGAAAAATTATATGGGGAAAATAATCTAGAAAAAAATATCCTCCCTTTGTGGCAGGCAGAATAATGGACCCCAAAGATATCCACCTCCTAAATCCTAGAACCTGTGAATACATTCCTTATATGGCAAAAGAGCCTGCAAAGGGGATTAGGTTAAGCGTCTTGCAATGGTGAGGTGATCCTGCCGTGGGGAGGTGATCCGGTGATCCTGCTTTATCTGGGTGGACCCAGTGTAATCACAGGGTTGTTTGTTTGTTTGTTTGTTTGTTTGTTTGAAACAGGGTCTCCCTCTGTCACCCAGGCTGGAGTGCAGTGGCGCAATCTCGACTCACTGCAACCTCTGCTTCCTGGGTTCAAGCGATTCTCCTGCGTTAGCCTCCCTAGTAGCAGGGATTACAGGCACCCACCACTGCACTCAGCTAATTTTTGTATTTTTAGTAGAGACGGGGTTTCACCATGTTGGCCAGGCTAGTCATGAACTCCTGACCTCAGGCGATCTGCCCGCCTCAGCCTCCCAAAGTACTGGGACTGCAGGCGTGAAACACCGCGCCCGGCCACAGGGGGTCTTAAAAGTGAAAGTGGAAGGCAGGAGAGTCAATGTTGGAGAAACAGATGTGAAGACAAAAGCAGAGGATGGAGCAATGTAGTTTCTGGCTTTGAAAGCGGAATCAGGACACAAGCCAAAGAATGCGGGCAGCCTCTAAAAGCTGGAAAAGGCGAAGATTCTTCTAGGGTCTCCAGAAGAAATGCAGCCCTTGCTTTTGGCCAAATGATATCTATTTTTAACTTCTGCCCTCTAGAACCGTAAGGTAATAAATTTGTGTTGTTTTCAGCCACCAAGTGTGTTACAAACTGTTGCAACCACAACAGGAAACCAAGACAGCCTCTCTCATAAAGGCAAGCGGTAGCAGAAGGGCTAAAGGTCGCAAATCTAGTGTGGTTTTGTGGAATGTTTGTCAAATATTATGTCTCACCTTTGGTCTTCAGACAAAACTCTTCAATAACAGGAAAAGCCTCATTGGATTCTGTTTTATTAGGCAGAAGGAGGTTCTTGGAAGGACAGCATTAAGAAGTTCATAGAATTAATGAACCACTATAAAACCAGGCCGGGTTACAGAGAGAACTAAGAAAGCTGCAGAGCTCAAAAAAACAGGAAGATTGTGCTCACAGAGAGCCCACTTAGGTGAATGTATCCCACCTTCTAAATCTACCCAACTGGAGGGCAGGGATGCAAGTCTTCTGTTATCCACGGTGGGAGCCAGGCACCTGGATTCACTATCACACCAAGACCTGATGGAAGGAAGGCATGGGGATGGATGCTGAGTGCCCAAACACTGGTAAATATTGACTACCATTTTCATATTAACATCACTTGTAAATTTGTTAATAAACTGGTCTTAGTCCATTCAGCTGCTACAATATAATACCACAGACCAGGTAGCTTATAAACAACAAAAATGTATTGCTTGCAGTTCCAGAATCTGAGAAGCCCAAGATCAAGATACTGGCAGCTTTGGTGTATGGGGAGCACCCATTTCTTGATTCACAAAATGCACCTTCTTGCTGTTTCCTCACATGATAGAAGGCGCATGTATTAGTTCATTTTTATGCTGCTGATAAAGACATACCTGAGACTGGGTAATTTATAAAGAAAAGAGGTTTAATGGACTCACGATTCCACATGGCTTGGGAGACCTCACAATCATGGTGGGAGGCAAAGGAGAAGCAAAGGCATGGCTTACATGGCAGCAGGCAACAGAGAATGAGAGCCAAGCAAAAGGCGAAACCCCTTATAAAACCATCAGCTCTCGTGAGACTTATTCACAATCATGAGAACATTATGGGGACAACCGCCCCCATGATTCAATTATCTCCCACTCTCTCCCTCCCACAACACATGGGACTTATGGGTGCTACAATTCAAGATGAGATTTGGGTGGAGACACAGCCAAACCATATCAGGGCAGGAGGTCTCTCTCATATCTCTTTTATAAGGACACCAACCCTATTCATGAGAGATTGAGCCAAGGCATTTTCCAGGTGAGGAGATCTGAAGAGACTACGGAGGTAAAAGGGACAGAAGACCAAGAAGGTAAGCAGTGGAGAGAAGGGAGCAGGAGAAAGGCAGTGAAAGAGGGACAAATAGGAGCCTAGGGAGAATGCTGAACACGAGCTCCCCACCTCTCCTGCTTGCTCAGGGCTAGTCTCAGGAGACCTCAACCCCTGCAGTTTGGCTTTGCAATAATTCAACTCAATTACATAGATTTATATCCAGAAAAAAAAACAGAAGTAGACTCTTTTTATTAATTATATTAATGCAATGAGAATATATGTGGCTTATTTCTCTCTTCAGTAGGACTATTACTTTTTTGCTGTCTTTTGCAAATCTCCACTCCTAGTCCTTTGAATCGCCATCTAGAGAAAGGGAATGCTGTATTTTAACATTGCTGAAGGCACAGTTTGACCTTTAAATCACATTATTTAAATATTAATGACATAGCAGGAAAGCAGCCTACTGACAGGTGTTATACAAGTCAGACCAAATAGGACACTAAATCTGTGAGTGCCTTTGAAACGCCCATTAGAGATAATGAGGAATAGACATGTATTTCCACACATTGTCCAGCACTAGTTTGTTCCACCTCCAGTCAGAATAAATTAACTGAACATGGTGTTTGACAGGAAAGAAATCACTATTCTTCCTTCAAAATGCTGCTTAATGACTTCTGCAGCTCCACGTGATAATAACAGGAAAGGATCTGTTTGTTTCTCAGACTTTGAAGCGATGACACATTGCTTGCTAGGGCTGGATTTCACACTGAAGAATGACAGCAGAAGCCTTGCCTCACAAAAGGCACCAAACAGACCTTCCTACCTGCCCACGTTTTCCGTCTCGCTTGACAGCACCAGGTACTCCCGAGTCACGGTATATGTTTCTTGGATACTTTAGTTGGAAACTGAGACATCACAGGCTGCTAGGACTTATCCTTCCTAAGACACCCATTGAATTAGGACATCTCAGCTCTCATTCCAAATACCCCAGGCCAAGGTTTTCTCAACCTCAGCACAACCAACATTTGGAGTTGGATAGTTCCAGCTGTAACAACCAAAACTGTCTCCAGACATTGCTAATGTCTCCTGAGGTGAGGGCAAAATGGCCCCCAGTTGAGAACCTCTGGCTTAGGCAAATTTATTAATTATATACCTCAGTGATATGGTGGGGCGTGCAACAATTTACCTCTAACCTTTCAGGGTTTTTCAGCTGGGCCTGAAAATAAAATTGACGTAAGACAGATCAACAGGGAAAAAGCATGCAAATTTATTTAATACAAGCTTTATATTGCACAGGAACCTTTGTGTGAAGACACGAAGTTGCAGTAAGAGACAAACGTACACCAAAATAAACAGAGTAGCAAATTATAAAACTGTGACAATGCAAAGGGCTTGGGCTTGGGCTGGAGTAGTCAGTTGGGTAGAGCAGTGGCTAGGAGGATAAAATTAGCCAAAAACGGTTTGCTCAGATTTCCCTCAGCCTCAACTTCTCATCCTTGATGGTAAGAATGATGCTTTCATTCTAACATAGGGAGGACATCTTTCGCCTGGGAGTTTCATCTCCTGCTTTTAAGAAACAGAAGGATGGTCAGAGTGATCTCGCACCTGTTGTTTTTCAAACGCCTTTGACTCAAAATAATCAATTTGCCAGAGTGGCATATTTTTAACCTCTTCAGTATCCTTATGTGGCTTCACAGCTGTTCAAAGTTGTTATTTCATAACCCAACAGGCTGGACAATTCACCTGCTGATTAAAGTTAACATATTCTTCATGGCACTCTGGGTCATAAAAGGGAATTAAAGTTGTGATGGGATGCATGAGACCAGGAGGATGACTCTGATTCAGTCCCCTAAGATGGAACTAAGAGAAGCAGTCCATAAGTCTTGGGGGAATTCTCTCTCTACCATTGTGTATCTGACGTATTGTTTTAACAGCCATGTAAAATTGGATCTGACTCTACTTACTCCAGAAATAATATTTGTTGATCACAGGGCACTACACAATGATTCATGGTACAGACAATCTGGTTGTCATATTTTCATGTTTGCCAGACACTGTTGCTTCAAACCACTTGTACCCTTGATAAATGAAAGTGTGTGTGAATCTCCCAAAAGTATGTTAAATAAACACATCTTGAATATCACAGTGGAACTTCTGGTCAACCAATATGTTCATGTGCTGTTTCTTACTATCCAAACCTTAACCTATGACAGTTGTCCTCAGAGTGTAGCCCCCAGACCAGCAACACCAACAGTACCAGGAGCTTGTTAGACATAAAGATTCTTGGACTCCACTCCAGATCTACTCATCACAGGATCCGACTAGAGTCCAGCAATCTGTGTTTAGCAAGGCTAGCAGATGATACTGATACACCTGAAGTTTAAGACCCACTGACCTAGAAAATGAGTTTCATTGAGAAGTTAAAACAAACCCTAATTCATGAAAATGTTCATTTTCTTTCCTACCACTACCAAATTTAATCCAGCTCTCTTTCCATGTAGTTTTACTGGCATTATTAAGACTGACAATATTGGTTGCAGGTGGATTAGAAAAAGAACAATCAACAGAATCCTAGCCTCACTTTCTCCCTCCCTTGAAAGTCCTAAAATACATACGAATCTGGCTGACACCCAACCAAATCTGAGACATTCAGAATTATGAACATCTTGGCACCTTTCCCTTCATCCCTCATACATATGCATGATGCCAGGACACATGTTGTTTAATCAAAAGATAACATTACACTGGATAGTGTTCATGAGCACAGGTAAATATTTGACTTACAAACTGCCATAGTTAATTAACTGGAAAAATATAAATATTCACATTTGGCCAAATTCCTTGTACTTCCTCCCTTTGTGTCCCTTCTGCAAACCTCAGGTGGTTGTTCCATTGCCCATCAGAACAAAGCTCTTGAATTATAGAACCCACTGGTTTAAAAAAAAAAAAAAAAGTCTGTTTCTAATTGGCAATACATCAGTGTGAACTAATATGGGAAATAAGGCTAGAGTTTAGTGGGGAGCGGGGAACTGAGGGACCCTAACAGATAGCTGTGTGAGAATGCTGGGCTGGCATCGCATGTAAACACCCCAGCAAGAAGTCGAAGTTCAGTCCAGATAGGCTCTGCAGTCAGACTGCTGAGAGTCAAATCCCAGCTCTGCCCCTCTGGCTTTCCCTTGTAAAATGGGGATAATGGCTCCTTATACAGTTGCTAAGGATTACACAAGATAATCCACATAAAGCTCTTAGTTTTGAGCCTGGCGTCTAAGTGCTTGGTACATGACAGCTATTTCATATTTTTGTTATTGCCAAGAAATCATTTCTGAAGTAGCCAAAGTTATAACATTAGAGATCGGAGTTGGGCTCACATGACTCTGGGCATTCCCTGCCCCTGGCACAGAGTGTATGCCTGCCTTGTCTCTCCTTCTCTCCCAAAGAACATTTCTGAGCACTTCTTATATCTCACAACGATGGCATTGATAAAATGAGGCACAGACATTAAACAATTCTTGGGGAAGGAGAAATGGTGATTTCCTAACCAAAGAGCACAAAGTTTTAGTCAAGCACGATGAATAAACTCTAGAGATCGGCTATGCAACATTGTGCCTATCATCAACAATCATCTATTATACACTTAAATTTTTGTTAAGAAGGTAGATTTAATGTAAAGTGTTCTTATCCCAATAAGATAAATATTAAAAAAAACAAAGAAATGTTTTTAAAAAGTTAACCTATCCAAGTTACACACAGCTAGTAAAAAGCAGAGCCTGGGCTTAAAGTCAGACAACTTGTCCCCACAGAGCCTACACCTAACAGCTATACTATGCTACCTCTCCATAAATATTTAAATATTAACTTAGCAAACATGTATTGATTAGGTAAATGTGAACTCCTAAAATGCAAACACACCTGAGAAAGGTAAAGATTAGTCATTAACACCATAGCAGGAAACTTTAGCACTAACACCTTAGCATCATGGGCTTGGAAAGCAGGAATTATAGTCAAAAATAATTGAACAGTTGTCTAGGTCATTTTTGTTGTGTTTAAAAAGAAAAGCACGAAGTGGAGAGTTCTTGGGTGTATAGAAGCACATGCTTCCAAATCAGACTAAGCTGAAGAAGTTGCTTGAAATTTCTTAGCCTCAGTTTCCACATTTGTAAATTGGATTTAAGAAAACCTACCTCATGGGCTTGCCGTGAATATCAAATACAGTGTCTGGCACAAGGTAGCCACTCAGTTTACATTGGTGACTGTAAAGAGTGATCTTTCCATAGAAAGTGAATATCAAATACAGTGTCTGGCACAAAGTAGCCACTCAATTTACACTGGTGCCTGGAAAGAGTGATCTGTCCATAGAAAGTAGCCTAGGATGTGTCACAACCTAGGGGCGTCAGGAAGACATGAAGTGTCTACCTCCAACCTGGGCGATATAACAGCTGAGGTAGAATGAAAAGAATGAAGACTGCTTTGCTCAGACTCAGCCTTCTGGAACCATTGATAACTGGATTATGCACTACAGGGGCTAAATTCATGGCAAAAGTGGATCTTACTTTCTTAAAACCAGCTGGAAAAGGGGTGCTTTTTTGAAAAGTTAAAAACTGGATGATGTTATTCCAGGATAAATGACTGGATCTGAAAGAATTGTTTTCCAGCCTTCCATAGACACAAGACATAACTCTTCAACAGTAGAGATTGTCAATAGGAATTTCTCCAAAGAAAACCATGAAAGTATATGTCAAGATAGTGGTTTGTTTACGTGCTAGTAGAAAGTATAGCAGGCCCAGGCAGACGTAAGTCTTGTTACAATAGACTACTGTAGGAAGCTTGCTTATCTGCACCTACACCAAAACCATGACTGCAAAAATCAGGTAAAAACCATCTAATCAAGGCACCTGAATGAAGTCACTTGAATCTCCACTGATAAACAGTATTTAAAAGGCTACAAAAGAATCTGTTAAGTGCCTGGTCCAACACTCTATAATGAAAACAAATACAATTTACTATGCATATGGATATCTAATAGACCATAGAGAGGAAAGAATTCTGATATCCAGCTCCATTTCAATCTCACTAAGAAACTAGTAATGATACTGGGACATAGCAGTCACTCAGTAAATATTTGCCAGATATTTAATAAAACCAGTAGGGCTAAAGGGAAAATTCTGGTCTGGGCTATATCATTTCAGGTCCTGGGGAGGCTTTTGTGGGTCACACATTGACCACTCCACACCCTCTATGTAAGAGCTGACTTCTTGATTTAGGTCCTTTCTGAAGAATCATGAGGCATTCTGAGAATTTCTACAGAACCGTTCAACATTGCCAACTCACATCTCATACATCTGCAAGCATTAGGAAGTAAGTCCCGCTTACTTATTTGTTTATCTGAAGAATGGTTGCACAGTATTACAGCTCTTTGTCTATTCAGACTACATGTCATATTTCTCCCTAGAAGTTGCGTTTTGTCTGAGTACTCACCCTCTCTAAAGGCTTGTTAATGATATGTATGAGCACTTTCTATTTAGAATTCATCACAAAGTTGGTATTCCAGTGCACAGGACCTCAGTGATTCCAATGTTGCACCATCTGGCAACCTCTCATTCCAATTCAGAAAGAGTACCTCAGCATGTGTCTTAAGTTATCACTTCATGCCCAGTACTGTGTGGGTTTCTTACATATTCCAAGGACCAACAAGTTAACAGATAGCCTTTACAGACCCTCTGCCACAACTAGAGCTCTGTTCCAGGAGCGTAAATTAAAGAAATAGAAGCCAACATTCCTGATTTTAGTTTGGAGAGAAATCATTTGTGAAAATACGCACATACACACCCGTGAAGGAAACAGTACAAAAAAACACGTCAACAAGTGCAAATTCTTATGGTACACCCCTGGGACATGCCTAATCAGAGAGCACTGAGCACAGAATGAACTATATCACTAGTAGAAAGTTTCATAGAAAATGTAAGCTTTGCCAGGTTCAGTGGCTCACACCTGTAATCCCAGCACTTTGGGAGGCTGAAGCAGGCAGATCATGAGGTCAGGAGTTCGAGACCAGTCTGACCAACATGTTAAAACCCCGTCTCTACTAAAAATACAAAAATTAGCCAGGTGTGGTGGCACACACCTGTAATCCCAGCTACTCGGGAGGCTGGGGCAGGAGAATTGCTTGAACCTGGGAGGTGGAGGTTGCAGTGAGCCGAGATCGTGCCATTGCACTCCAGCCTGGGTGACAGAGCGAGACTCTGTCTCAAAAAAAAAAAAAAAAAAAAAAAAAGGAACCTTTGAGTTAGGCAGAAAAAGGAATGAAGAATAGAGATTAAAAGAGAGAATTTGGGAGAAAAGTAAAGACCAAAAAACTGTAAATGCTCAGAACTGATAAGATAGATGGTGAGATGGCCCTCATTCTGTCATTCAGCAAAGAAAAGCTAATAAGGAGATCCAAATTACTCTCACCTGTGAGAATAACATCACTCCATAAAACTCTTGGAGTCTAACCTGGCCCTTAAAATAGTTCATCTTGTCATCTTGAGGCAGAGGCAGAGTAATATGGACAAATAGAAGCCTCCATTGATGAGAACACCAAATTTAACCACAGTCTACACAAAAAGCACCTTCATGAGAACCAAAAATCAGGTGAGCAATTACAGTACCTGGTTTTAACTTCGTATCACTGAAGGAGGCACTGAAGAAGATATTTTTTAAAATCTTGAATTACTGACGCCATCCTTCGCACATGCCCCAGCAGTGGCTGAGGGGTGCAAAGAGAGTCTGTGCTCTTGGGAGAAGGAGAGCACAGCAATTATGGAAACTCACTGCTGCCAACACCGGGCAGAACTCAGCCCGTGCCCATGGAGGGAGCATTTAAGCGAGCCCCAGCCATAGGGGAAATACCCATCCCAGCAGTTGGAACTTGAGTTTCCATAAGCCTTGCCTCCATGCACTAATGTGCTCTGGGGCTCTAAATAAACCTGAAAGGCTATCTAGGCCACAAAGATTGCAATTCCTAGGCGAGTCCTAATGCTGTGCTGTGCTTGGAGCCAGTAGAATTGAGGGGCATGCAATCTAGTGAGACACTAGCAAGAGCAGCAAAGGGAGGGCTTACGCCATCCCTCCTCCAACCCCAAGCAGCGCAGCTCATAACTCAAGGAGAATCCTTCCTTCTACTTGAGAATAGGATAGGGAAAAGTAAAGAGGACTTTGTCTTGCAACTTGGATACCAGCTCAGCCATGGTAAGATAGGGCACCAGGCAGAGTCCTAAGTAACCCATTCCAAGCTCTAGCTCCTTCATGACACACCCTGGGCCAGAAGGGAACCTGCTGTCTTGAAGGGAAGGACCCAGTCCCAGCAGTATTCATCATCTGCTGACTAAAGAGCCCTGAATAATCAACAGTGGTACCCAGGTAGTGCACGACATGGGCCTTGGGTGAGACTGAGACATGCTGGCTTCAGGTGTGGCCCAGAACATTTTCAGCAATAGTGGCTATGAGGAGACACCCCATCTTCTGAGAAAAGCAGAGGGAGGAGCAAAGGGGACTTTGTCTTGTGCTTAAGTACCAGCTTGGTCACAGTGGGGTAGAGCACCAAGCAGGCTCTAGGGTCCCTGATTCCAGGTCTTGGCTCTTGGACAGCATCTCTGGACCTACCCTGGGCCAGAGAGAAGCCCACTTCCCTAAAGGCTAAGTCCCAAGCCTGGCAGCATTCACCACAAGCTGACTGAAGATTCCTTGGGCCTTAAATGAACATAAGTGGTAGGCTGGCAGTACCCTCCGTGGCTCTGTTGTGGTGGTGGACATAAGGAGAGACTCTTCTGCCTTGGGAAAGGGGTAGGAAGAACAGGAAGGACTTTGGTGGTTTCAGTGCAGCTCAGGCACAGCATAAAATAAACTACTAGGTAGATTTCTAAGGTTTCCAACTCTAGGCCCTGGCTCCCAAACAGCATCTCTGCACCTGCCCAGCACCTAAGGAAACTCACCACCCTAAAGGGAAGGACACAGCCTGGCTGGCTTTGACAGCTGGAGATTTCAGAGCCCTAGGGCCTTGAGTAAATATAGGTGGTAGGCAAGTAATAGTTATAGAAGGCCTTGAGTGAGACCTAGTGCTATGGTGACTTCAGGTCTAACGTGGCACAGTGCCAGTGATGGTGGTGACAGAGGTGCTGGTGTCACCCCTTCTGCAGCTCCAGGCAGCTCAGCACAAAGAGAGAGACTCCATTTGTTTGAGAGGAAGCAAAGGAAAAGAACAAGAGTCTCTGCCCAGTAAACCAGATAATTATTCCAGATCTTATCCAAGACCACCAAACATACTTCTAGGAGCCTGCCAGAACCACAGCGTTGCTGGGCTTGGGGTATCCCCTAATGCAGATACAGCAGCAGTGACCAAAATGTTATATCACAACACCCAAGACCCTTTGAATACCTGGAAAGCCTTCCCAAGAAGGACAGATACAAACAAGTCCAGATTGTGAAGACTGCAATAAATACCTAACTCCTAACTCTTCAATGCCCAGAAACCAATGAATATGCACAAGCATCAAAATCATCCAGGGAAACATGGCCTCACTAAACAAACTAAATAAGACACCAGGACCAATTCTGGTGAGAAAGAGATACGTGACCTTTCAGACAGAGAATTCAAAATTGCTGTTTTGAAGAAACTCAATGAAATTGAACATAATAGAGAGTAGGAATTCAGAATCATATCAGACAAATTTAACAAAGAGATTGAAATAATTAAAAAGAATCAAGCAAAAATTTTAGAGCTGAAAAATGCAAGTGACATACTGAAGAATGCCTCAGTCTCTTAACAGCAGAATTGATCAAGTAGAAGAAAAAATTAGTGAGGTTAAAAACAGGCTATTTGAAAATATACAGTCGGAGGAGACAATAAAAAAGAATGAAGTGCACCCACCAGATCTATAAAATAGCCTCAAAAGGACAAATCTATTCGTTATTGGCCTTAAAGAGGAGGTAGAGAGAGAGAGAGATAGGGGTAGAAGGTTTACTCAAAGAGATAGTAACAGAGAACATCCCAAACCTAGAGAAATATGTTAATATTTAAGTACAAGAAGGTGTAGAACGCCATACAGATTTAACCCCAAGAAGACTACCTCAATATATGTAACAATCAAACTCCCAAAGGTCAAGGATAAAGAAAGGATCCTAAAAGCAGCAAAAAAAAAAAAAAGAAAAAAAAGAAAAGAAAAAAATAATATGCAATGAAGCTCCAATATGTCTGGCAGTGGACTTTTCAATGGAAACCTGACAGTCCAGAAGAGAGTAAAATGACATATTTGAAGAAAAACACTTTTATCCTAGAATAGTATATCCAGCAAAAGTATTCTTCAAACAAGAAGGAGAAATAAAGACTTTTCCCAGAAAAACAAAAGCTGAGGGATTTCGTCAGCACCAGACATGTCCTACAAGGGAAATGTTAAAGGGAGTTCTTCAACCTGAAAGAAAAGAATGTTAATGAGCAAGAAGCAATCATCTGAAACAATTTCAGTGCTAGGTATATATGCCCAAAAAAGGAAATCAGTATATCAAAGAGCTATCTGCACTCCCATGTTTATTACAGCAGTGTTCACAATAGCCAAGATTTGGAAGCCACCCAAGTGTCAGTCAACAGATCAATGGACACAGAAAATGTGATCCATACATACAATGGAGTATTATTCAGCCATTAAAAAGATGACATCCTGTCATTGGCAACAACATGGATGAAAATATACGTCATTATGTTAAGTAGAATAAGTCAGGCCCAGAACGACAAACTTTTCATGGTCTCACTTATTTGTGGGAGCTAAAAATTAAAACAATTATACTTATAGAGATAGAGAGTAGAATGATGGTTATCAGAGGTTAGGAAGGGTAGTGGGGGGAAGAGAGGATGATTAATGGGTACAGAATCATAGTTAGAAAGAATTAATAAGACCTAGCATTTGATAGCACAACAGGATGAATATAGTCAATAATAATTTAATTATACATTTTAAAATAACTAAGTATAATTGCATTGCTTGTAACACAAAGGATAAATGCTTGAGTTGATAGATACCTAATTTACCCAGGTGTGGCTATTATGCATTTTATGCCTGTGTCAAAATATGCCATATACCCCATAAATATATACATCTACTGTGTACCCACAAAAATTAAAAGTAAAAATGAACAACCTGTGCCATATGAATAAAAATTATAGCACCTAAAATCAAAAAAGAAGGAGCCTGTCTTTTCCTGTAAATCTCTCTAGTAAGCAGAGATGGATGGACATTCAGCAATCTCCAAAAGGCTGGTCCTCTGATCCAAACTTATTGGACATAGCTTGAGTTTTATCTCATCCAGCTTCATGGGAGAAGTTTCAAAAATTCATATCATGTTCCATATGACCTTTTTATTCAACTTCAATGTTACCTCAAGCTAGACTATGGTAAGGGGTAACAACATGGAGTACTAGCAAAGTCAGATGTTAAGGGCCTTCTGTCAGCTTTACCAGAAACTGAATGGTCCATTGTTGATAGGTCATTTGACTTCAATAGACCTAGGTTTTCTCATTAATTAAATGAGAAGGATTTGACTAGATCAGGGGTTAGTAAATGACAGCCTGTGGATCCACCACCTGATTTGTAAGTAAAGTGTTATTGGAATCCAGCCATGCTATTTACGTACATATTTTCTACAGTTGCTTGCTACAGTGGCACAGTTGAGTAGTTGCAACAATGACTGTATAGCCCATAAAGCCTAAAATATTTACTATCTGGCCCTTAAGAGCCAAAAAAAAAAAAAAAATGCAGGCTGGGTGCAGTGGCTCACACCTATAATCCCAGCACTTTGGGAGGCCGAGGCAGATGGATCATGAGGTCAGGAGTTCAAGACATGCCTAGCCAACATGGTGAAGCTCCATTTCTACTAAAAATACAAAAAAATTCGCCAGGCGTGGTGGCCGGTGCCTGTAATCCCAGCTACTTGGGAGGCTGAGGCAGGAGAATCGCTTGAACCCAGAAGGCAGAGGTTGCAGTGAGCCAAGATCACACCACTGCCCTCCAGCCTAGGTGACAGAGCAAGACTCCATCTCAAAAAAAAAAAAAAAAAAAAAAAGGCTGATCTATTAGTTTCCTTCTAAGTCTAAAATTATAGGATTCTAACTAATCAAAAAGAATGTGTTCATAAATAACAGTATTTTATTTAAGTCAGGACTCAACCATTGCAAATTTCACATAATCTGATCCAAACGACTTAAGAAAAAAAAGTTACTGCTTATATTGACATAAGCTGAAAAGTCTATTGGGGCTCATTTCAGGGCCCAAACAATGTCACCAGGAATGAGCTCTTAACTCTACTTTCTTTTTGATGGCTTCATCCTCAAAATCCTCAGAACTGGGCCCAGCAGTTTATATTTTTATTGTCCACAGGAAGAAAGAGAATCCAAGTCCCATAAAACTATATATACTCAGTCCCCGAATAGGGCCTTATTGACCTTGACAAACCTGTCTTTGGTCTTGTGCCTAATGCTGAATGAATCACCATGGCGAGAAAGATGGAATGCACTGACTGGCTAGTTTACATCATGTGATACACCCTGGGACCTAGACTAGCCTCAAAGCACATGGGCCGAAAATGGGGGATCGGAGCACTCTTGCCACAAAAAAAAAGGACATTTATGCTAGGCACAAAAGCCACACACTTTCCCTATAATAGAATAATAATTTTTCAGGCCAGTAGAAAGTTTCTTTGAATGGTAGCAACAGACACTGGGAACTCCAAAAGTGGGGAGAGAGGGAAGGAGGCAAGGGTTGAAAAACTACCTATTGGGTACTATGTTCACTATTTGGGTGACGGGTTCAATTGAAGCCCCAACCTCAGCATCATGCAATACATGTAACAATTCTGCACATGTAGCCCCTGAATCTAAAATTGAAACAACAAAAAGGAAAAGGTTTCTCTGAAATTTTGGAATTACATATAATGTACACTGGACAGGCATTGAGAAAAAATTATTTGAAGCCACACAATTACTAGACAAAGTAAAGAATATGGAATGTTAAAATGATATTAGTAACCACACACTAAAATTTTAACCATAGGATGACTTTTTTATGAGGGCCAATGGTAGGTCAATGAAATGACAAAGCTTTGTTATTACTTCAGTCTCTTTAGTTTCAACAGGGATTCAGAAGCAAGATTATTTAAGAAAATTAAAAATTGCACAGTAGATTTACCTCCCTCACATGTGTCCTCTCAAGAATATTTGTTGCTGCTATTTGCTTCTGAGGAATCTTGAGACTTTTGGAAGGTGCAGATTCTAAGCAGGCCAATAAGGAGGTCCCCTGAGGAGCAGGCAATATTTGGTCTGTTGGTGAAAATTTTATCCGAAGTCGCCTCCATATGCCAGTCATAGAGGTAAATAGCAGCTGTCAGGCCCAGGGTACAGATATAAGTAGCTTCCTCTGCTTCCTTACAACCCATGATCAAGACCAGTGATTTTTACCACAATTCACCTAATCAAAAGCTATCTCCCTCCATGTCCTTTTAGATGTACCAGTAATCAGAAGTTTTGAAATCTCCTCTCAGAGAAAGAATAGAATATATAAAGAAACTGTGGAATCAGTGATTCCATTTTTTTTCATTTGTATCTAGAGGTCTTCCATAAAATTATGATCTCTTCTTAAACTCTACTTTTCTGTGGAAATCGTTCTATGCAGAAGAAAGAAAGAGGCAAGTGGGGAGACACCTTCTTAGATTGTCCACTCTGTGGCAGGAGCTTTACATATATAGGCTCTTTTGAGTCTCGTAACAATGGTAAGATGTATTTTATTATACCCATTTTACAGACAAGGATAATATCATGCCTGTAGTCACAGACTTCATCAACAATAAACACATATACTCAATTGAACAAATATATGTTCAACCCATGCATTAGCCCATGTTCATCTCATTTCAAAGGTCATGTTTCCCTTTAGTCCTCTGCCTCCCAGTGTTTCTTATCCATTTACAAATATGAAAAGTGATCCCTAACTTATCAGCTTCCTTTCTTTCCAAACCAAGTAGCTAATAGTCTTTTCAATTTTTTTTCTCCCATTACCAATGGGAAAAGACTAAACAGGAAGTTTAAAAAAAAACGCCCTTTCCAAAAAAGCAGGTAGAAAGAAAAGAGTTTGGCAAAGCAGTTAGAACGGGGGCATGGGAGCCAGACAGCCTCAGAAGAAACCAACCCTGCTGACACCTTGATCTTGGACTTCTAGCCTCCAGAACTATAAGGCAGTACATTTCTATTGTTTAAGCCCCCTAGTCTGTAGTTCTTTGTTATGGCAGCCTGAGCAAGTTAATATAGTCAACACCACATGAGGACCTTGGAGTGGGGTGCAGGGAAAAGGTGGTAAAGCCAAGAAAAGGGCTGAGTTCTGCAGCTCAGATGATGCACAGTACATGTGCAACAACAATGTAGCCTCTAAACAGAATTATGCCAGGAAAGCAGAGACTTGAAGCTGAAGGCAGCCAGCAGAAGTATAACCCACCCCACCCAGAATTCCTGGAGAGGCTGAGTGAAATGGTATTCCCACTGGCTCTGGAATGGGTCCAGAACCAACTTCATTTGAATCTCAGTAGTCAGAGAACCTCAGCTGATAACTGGTTAATACAAAACTGCTCTGAGCACTTTGAAGAAGTGAGGACAGCTCAGTTTTCTAGGCTGGGTAGCTCCAGGTAGCTCTTCATGTAGCCATGAGCCCTCCTTTCTACATCACCTTTTTGGTATCACAGGTGGCCAAAGAAATAAGGGGGTCATTGGCTCTGGACACTTGGCATCATTAAGATTTTGGCTAATGCCCAGGAGTTTGGGAGTCATCATGCTTCAAGAGAAAATATCATTTATGCTTTCCCAATATGACTCAAGGGCTCTAGGGAAGGGTAGTACAAGTCTCTAAGTAATGAGGAGAGAGCAAAATACTGGGAAAAGAATATTAATTGATTGGTGGTGGATAAAAGTAACACTATATTTGTATGAGCTTTCTGCTCTAATTTACAAGATAAACTTTTTTCTCCACCACAATAAAATTCACAAACAACAGAGACATCTGTTTATTGGTCTCCTGTCTCCTATTTGTATTCATCAGGCATCTGGGTGGGGTGGTGGGAACTTCTAATTACTCTCCTCCTCCTCTGACTGAACACCTGATTCCAGTTTCCTTGTTGTACCCAGAGGGGCCCCTTACTGAACTGTAACTAAAATCAGTTTCCTTGGGTGGTTTTGAGTACTAATGATATACCCCATTTGCAGACAGAATCCCTTGGTGGTGAATGGCAAGCCTGGATGACCTGCCCCTGTCCCCTGCCAAGTATGCAAGCCAAGGAACTAGAGAAGGGAGCTATAGGGGAAGGTTTTCACACCTACAAGCTCAAGTTATCAGGTCCCCAAGGACCAGAGAGTGACAGATGGAGGGATTTTTATGACATGCCCTGAAGTACAATAAAGTCCTATCAAACACACACTTAAAGAGAACACTGCCTTCTCTTGGATGGTTGCTGTCACTTCTCACTCCAGGAGGCTGTTTCCATGCAATTTGCTGCCATTCTACCTTATTGTCAAATAACCAAGACAGTAAGTCCAGAAAAGCACTATGGGACTCATGTGACTGAGCTGAAAATTCAAGAAAAGTACTCAAATGTATAGCAGAGGAGTAAGTGTCTGGAACTCATCTCTACTGCTAATTTTGTCTTTCTTTTAAAAATTTTAAAACTGTTCACTTTAACCCTCTATCTAAAGATGTAAAGTTTTTGTGGCAGATTTCAGTACCAAATGTACATAGTAACAGGTTGCAGTAGTGTACTTGTGTCTTCCATAGCCTACCGCCCTGTAGCTCTACCCCTTCCGAACAATCCTGGGCCATTTTCTCTAACACAACCATAGCTGAAATCGAAGAAGAATACAAAACTTCAGAATACACATTTTCTACATGCAAAGCTGGAGATGTTTGTGGGCTGCTAACATTTGGCTCAAACAGAGAGTTTCGTCTCAAAGATGCTAATGGGCTCCTTATCCAGTTAGGCCATAACGAAATGGTACAGTTGAAACATCACGGTATTCAGAACTAAACAGGCCTGAGTCTCAATGCTGACTCTCACTAGCTTTCTACCTGATGACCCATGGTATAATCACTCAACCTCTCTGAGCCTCAGTTTCTCTTTTATTAAAATGGAAATCATTAAACATAGCTTGTAGACTCTGTACTTAGTAAGTATTCAGTAAACAATAGATTTTCTTTAATTTTGTTTTGTTGTTGCTGCTACTGCTTCTGTTGAAACAGAACCGAAGGAAGGATAGAATCCCAGTAATGAGAAAATATTTCTTGAAGAACTTCATTATTGAAAGTAAAAAGAACACATTCTTGCACAAAATAAAGAAGTCCTGTCTGGTCTCTGCCAGGCCCAGATATCCCACTTTGCCCTCTGGAGTTAAGATACAGCTATCATAAGATAGCCCAGAAAAGGTAGAAAAGCCCTTCCAATTCTGCCCAGCTTGAAAATTCCCCAGATGCATAAAAATGGACAGTGGACAAATTAAAGACTACCAAAGGTACTGAAAGACCAATCAGAAACCATTCCAACTGAGTGAGCAATCAGAGACTGTCTCAAGACTTCCTCTTTTCAGTCTATAAAACCTTTCTAGCCCCTTCAAACTTCTGCTGAAATGAAGGTGACAGTAGATGTTTCTCTTGCAGCTGCAAGATTGTGAATACACAGCATTTACTAATTTGGTCTCAGTCTTGTTTTTTGGCTTTAACAGTGTGATAACACATCATTTCACCATAAGTCATTAATGCATCACCCAGGGTTTGTTATCAGAGGATAGGTAGGTCTGGAAGGGAAGTGTCACAGGACACGTATGCTTGGACAGGATCTGGTGTGAGCCAAGAAGGAGAGTGTGGGGTGCCTCCTGCAAGAAGAGCAATCTGGGGCAGCCAACATGCACCAGATGGGTGCTGGGTTTCTGGAGTGAAGAAACAGATGAAGCTGAATGGGAGGAGGTGTTTTTAAAGAAAGTGAAAAAATGCTAAAGTCAGATTTTATCTAAGTCACACTTGTTTGCAGTGACTGGCATGAGAGACCTGTTTTGAAAACATTGTGGTTGAGCTAAACATATCACCTGTTCTCAGGTGTAGAGCGTATAGATTTGCTCTGCTGGACTTGGATACAAGAAGCCACACATTTTTTTGTTTTCATGTTGGATGTAACTTGGTGAGACACTTGATATCACAGATATACACACAGAAGTCCTAGGGAGGGGAAAATTGCTTACATAAACCAGTGTATTTAAGGGAGGGACCAGTGTTCTGACATCCCTATTAGTTCCTGCTAAGATGCTCAGTGACCAGTTTGGCAAGGCCCATTTAGAAGGTAGAATGTTCCTCGACCTGTGCCAAGCTGGACCTCAGAGAACTTTTGCCAAGACTTCCAAGTAGGTTTGTTCTTCCTTGGTTCAGTGGCACCACCATTCCATCCAGCATGCTGTGAACAAGTAGACCTCAGGTTTCCACTTCTTGCGGAGCCCACTCCCAATCCCTTCCCTGGTCATAGGGAAAACATCCTGAGTTTCTGAAGAGAAGAGTCTCAAGCCAGTGCTGCCTCCCCAACTCCCATGAAGAGCCCATCTCCCCATCTCTTAGATGAGCTTCCACCTCCCAAATAATATCTAGGTAGGGCCACATGGACACTTGGCTACTGACATAGTTTGGATATTTGTGCCTGCCCATGAAATGTAAACCCCAGTGGTGAAGTTGGGGCCTGGTGGGAGGTGTTTGGATCATGGTGGGCAGATCCCTCATGAATGGCTCGGTCCATCCCCTTGGTGATAAATGGGTTCTTGCTCTGAGTTCACACAAGTTCTGGTCATTTAAAAGTGTGCGGCACCTCCCTCCCTACTCTCTCTCACTTGCTCCTACTTTGACCATGTGACGTGCCTTTTCCCCTTCACCTCCCATCATGAGTAAAAGCTTCCTGAGTCCTACCCAGAAGGAGATGTCAGCACTATGTTTCCTGTACAGCCCGCAGAACTGTGAGCCAATCAAACCTCTTTTCTTATAAATTACTCAGTCTTGGATATTTCTTCATAGCAATGCAAGAATGGCCTGATACAGCTACCTTCGTACATTGAGGCCAGGAAAAAACACTCTCAGCCTTTTAAGTTTTCTAGTTTATTTGGGACCTTTGTGCAAATAAGGAAAAAGTACCCCTTCCTCAAGATACATCACTCCCTCTGTTAGAAAATTTTCCAGATTTGTTCAAACAAGATGCTGCCATCTGCCAAAAAGTTTTATATAATAAGTATACAAAGCCATGATGTATTTACTATAATGGAGCCCCCTTAAAGGAGACACACTTTTGCAGTGCACACAACCTGCACAATTTGTAAGCATGGCTTATAACAGTATGTGGAGGCTCTGAAAGCAGAGAACAAACAGCAAAAAAGCAGGATGCAAAATAAAACACAGTCTAAGAGGACATGGATGTTGACTGCTCTAACTTGCTTTGCGAATGCATACATTCTGCATGGCTTTTGCATAGTGCATGTTTCCAATTTGAATTATGTATCAGGTGGTCTTCTATGAGATACACTTTTGCAGAATGAAGGCCACAGACCTCCAAAGTGCTATGAAAAATAATTGAAGCCCTCCTCTCTTAATCTTTAAAAGTTATCAATATCTTACCTTATGGAGAGAAAAGACCCCAGAAGTCAGTCATCAGCCTAAAAATGCCAACTTTCCACTGACACCAGAGACAAGCTGCCTTCATGACCCAGTGACAAGAAAAACACTCAATACATTGTGCTCAGACAATTGCTCCAACACTAGGAGTCAACACACCTCTACAAACCACCACATTTGGCTTCATTCACTGAGTGATCCTTGGCAGAGAGTTAAGGAGCCACGCTCTGTAGACTGGGATGATAAAAAGATCGTTTAAATGCCTGGAGGGGATGGGTGGTAAAGCCAAGGTACATTCAAATGTACCATCTTCTGCAGAACTGGAAAAAAGAAATCCACGGAAATTGGCAAAGAGAGCCAGCAATACATCTTTATGCTGTCAGTGAACTAAGACCTATAGGGAAAATCTTTTGGTGTATCTCCCATGGTGACGATCTACAACAATAGAAGGTTTTTGAGATGAGTGCTATTGTCTGCTCTAACCTGCCTCTGTGAGGCAGTGCACAGCTCACATGCAGCAAACTGCTATGGGCCATTTCAGAACAGGAATGCCATGAAGAGTCACTGCTTAGCCATTGCTATACAGCACTGTTGGTGTATTTATTCTGCGATGTGCCGACCTTGATGTCTGTGTTCTCCTCTTATTCCTCAGGCTTAACATTTTGTCTATTTCTCCAGGTACAACTTTGTTTCCTATAGACACTGACCCTGATAATCCACAACTCCAGTTGTTACTGCCTCCCCAGTTCAGCCAACCTACTCTGGGACCCTCAGAGTAGAGTCATGCTACTCTGCTCTGACATGCTCGGTCTTGACCCATCCCAACCTGGAAGCAGGCAACACTCTAGGCATTTGGCTGACAGCACCATATTCCAGGATCCCCTTGACTCTTTGGTCTCAATCACTTGCTGGGAGAATTATGTGGACCCCAACTTATTCTAAGTTCTATTGTGTGGTAGTAAGATTTCAACAAAATTTTAGTAAAAAATATCACAAAAATATCACAAATTCTGTACTGGAGTACCATGAAAATAGAAGAAATGGCTCTAATGAAGAATGGTAAAGCATCTAGCATCCCATATAGGATGAGCTATGCCTTCTCCAACCCATATTTTAAAATAATATCAACATGTAATAACTCATTTACCAGAATAACATTATGTGACCAATACTAGCTGCTTTCACTTTTAGCATTTACAGAATCCCTAACAGAGTAAGACAAAGAATAAAGAGCTTGGAAATGGAGATCGATCAGCCAGGCTGCAATGTCCACTAGAGCAAAGTCAGGATTTGAGCCAAGGTCTATCTAACTCCAATGTCTAGTCTCTTAGTTTCTATCTCTACTGACTCTGTGTTATTTAAATAAGAGAAAAAAGAAAAAGGAGAAATAGGAGGAAGAGGAAGAGAAGAAGTCAGAAAGGAAGAAGAGGAAGAAGAAAAAGGCAAAAAAAGGAAGAGGAGAAGGAGCAGGAAGAGGAGGAGGAGCAAGGAGGAAGAAAACGTGTCAACAAATACAACTTGGAAGGAGCTAAGTGTAAGTGACAGTGAAGTTCAGAAGTGAGTGGGATATTTACAACTGGTTAATTGAGAAAATATTTTAAGGAAGCAAGTAGGGGACCTAGCATGAAAAGGGTCCCCTTAGTCTATTTCCTTAAAGGAACTATTTAAGAAAAGCAAAGAGGAAAGAAGAAGGAGAAAGAGAAGGAGACAGAGAAAAAGAAAGAAGAAAGGAAGGGAGGGAGGGAAGAAAAGAGAAATCGAGAAATGAAAAGGCAGAAAAGAAGAAAGGAAGTTTGGTTTAGTATATAACTCCATTTGAAGTGTACTCTAAGTAGTATAAGGATCCATAGCTTGCTAGAAAATTCTGAAACAACTTAATCATTGTATATAGTGGAACACAATTTTCTTTAAGACAATGCAAACTTTGAGCCAGTATGGAAAAGAGGTCGTGCCATGAGGCTTCCTGCTAATCAATTAGCCAGGGCACTGCAGGACATTTGAACACTGAACATGCACCTCCCTTGGAGAAAACTCCAGGGTTGACTTTCTTTTTAATGGCTTCACTTCTTTGTCTTAGGCTCTCAGAGACTTGTTAGCGTGCCAGGGGAAAATAATAATCTAATTCCACCAGATTGTTGGTAAATGTCACTGAACTGCTAACCTATGTTCTGGGAACACAGGTTCCTCAAGACAATAAGAGACTTTACGTGAGAATCACTTTACCCAGTAAAACAAACAGAAACAACTTTGTTTACTTGAGAACATCTTAAACCTTTACTGTGCCATTTATATTGGTAGCATTTGATAGGTGATAGTGAATGCTATGTCTATCAGGCATTTTTTTCAGGAAAATTGGTGGGGAGGAGCTAGTGTTACAATCATTTGAGAGTCCCTGATTTGACCAACTCCTCTTCCTCGACAATTTTACATTTTACTGGAATCACCCCAGGAGACTCTTAGAGTAGAAGTTTCAGACAACAGGGCAGGAGGATCCAGAAGAACGGATGCTTCCTGAGGAAAGAGGCCAGATTCTCTAAATTCCCATCGTTCACCAGCTGCCTGGACCATTTAAGGAGAAGTCCAAACCTGTCAGCACTCCATGCAGCCACCTCCTTGGGCGGAGTGTTCATTTCTCCAGACATCCACAGGAAATCTGTCATCTCCATCAACAACAGAAAATCCACATTTATCATATTATTAGAAAGAAATAAAGACAGTTGTAAGAACCAGGGTCTCAAACATACTCTTTTATTTTTTATATATACTTTAAGTTCTAGGGTACATGTGCACAACGTGCAGGTTTGTTACATATGTATACATGTGCCATGTTGGTGTGCTGCACCCGTTAACTCGTCATTCACATTAGGTATATCTCCGAATGCTATCCCTCCTCCCTCCCCCGACCCCATGACAGGCCCCGGTGCATGACGTTACCCTTCCTGTGTCCAAGTGTTCTCATTGTTCAATTCCCACCTATGAGTGAGAACATGCAGTGTTTGGTTTTTTGTCCTTGCGATGGTTTGCTCAGAATGATGGTTTCCAGCTTCATCCATGTCTTTACAAAGGACATGAACTCATTCTTTTTGTGGCTGCATAGTATTCCATGGTGTATATGTGCCATATTTTCTTAATCCAGTCTATCACTGATGGACATTTGGGTTGGTTCCAAGTCTTTGCTATTGTGAATAGTGCCGCAATAAACATACATGTGCATGTGTCTTTATAGCAGCATGATTTATAATCCTTTGGGTATATACCCAGTAATGGGATGGCTGGGTCAAATGGTATTTCTACTTCTAGATCCTTGAGGAATAGCCACACTGTCTTCCACAATGGTTGAACTAGTTTACAGTCCCACCAACAGTGTAAAAGCATTCCTATTTCTCCACATCCTCTCCAGCACCTGTTGTTTCCTGACTTTTTAATGATCACCATTCTAACTGGTGTGAGATGGTATCTCATTGTGGTTTTGATTTGCATTTCTCTGATGGCCAGTGATGATGAGCATTTTTTCATGTGTCTGTTGGCTGCATAAATATCTTCTTTTGAGAAGTGTCTGTTCATATCCTTCGCCCACTTTTTGATGGGGTTGTTTGTTTTTTGACCTAAAACCATGAAAACCATAGAAGAAAACCTAGGCAGTACCATTCAGGACATAGGCATGGGCAAGTCTTCTTGTCTAAAACACCAAAAGCAATGGCAACAAAAGCCAAAATTGACAAATGGGATCTAATTAAACTAAAGAGTTTCTGCACAGCAAAAGAAACTACCATCAGAGTGAACAGGCAACCTAAAGAATGGGAGAAAATTTTTGCAATCTACTCATCTAACAAAGGGCTAATATCCAGAATCTACAAAGAACTCAAACAAATTTTCAAACATACTCTTTAAATTAACAAGCATGCAACAAAATATCCCTGTGGGCACTGGGTTCTGGAGGAAAACAAAATGAATAAAAAAGCAACATTTTCTATTGTCCTGGAAAGTGCAATAGGGAAAGGATTTTGTAATAAATAAATGAATAAATAAATAATTTATGAAAAAGAACTAAACCTGTCTTGTCCCACACAGGCAGGCCCTCCAAGGGCTTGCACATGTACTAACTTGGGAGTCTCTCTCTCTCTCCCTCTCTCTCTCGCTATGCACAGCAGTCCTGCTATTATTCAAATGCCAAGGTGGCCAACTTGCCACAGAAGAGTCTGTCTGTTTTGTACCCCATCCTTAGGAAACTGCAGGCACTTCCCACCTCTCTATTTACTGCTCGCTCTTCTGCAAGATACGCATTGATTTACAAAGGCCCACTTCCCACACAAAAGAACAACTTCAGGAGAATAGCCAGAGGAGCATTAAGCCTCAGAATGTGCCAGGAGCTGGAAAAAATTCGTCTTTGTGTTGGTCGGATGAGAATATAAATTACGCCAGCAACGTTTGAGTTCCCCACTGCCACCCCTGGGAGGTCATTAACCCTGCAGGTAGAATTCTCTCTGACTGGAGCAGGGAGTGGAAGAGGGCTTCTCTCAATAGGGGTTTCAGGCAGAGTCATGGGCTTCAGGGATTGGAAACAAAAGAACAACCGGAGGCTCCAAGTGGGTGTCTCACCATGAAAAGGTCAAGGCTAGTACTAAAGCTGAGGCCATGAAGTCAGGATCCCAAATACAAGAATATGAGGAAAAAAGCTGTCATTTAGTAAGCCTGGCACTCTTTCTAAGCTATCAAATAGAATTCTCACAACAGCCCTGAAAAGTTGTAGTTACTGGGCTTGGGGAGACAACTGATTCACCTGACAACCCAGCTCTGAGCAGAAAAGCCAGCTTTTGAGGAAGCTGGTCTGATTCCACAGCCTTTCCTCTATGTCACTCCATCTCTCAGTGGCCCATAGCCATCTTCTGAAATAGTCATTTCTACTTAGTTTCTCTTTAGTTTTTAAATTCGCACATGTAGCACATGAGTATGTTCTCCTTGTAAACAACAACAAAAACACAGGTAACAAAAATCCCCAACTGCTATAGATGAGGACCAAGTCCTATTGAGTCATCCACAATCCTATCTTCTGCAGAGATAACTGCTGCCACTCTTTGCAATCTCTTCTTCCAGAATGTTTCCTTGCATTTACACTCACATAAGTGTACCCATGGAAATATATACTACTGTTATATGGGAGTAACCTTTACATAAACGGTGTCATGTATTGCTCTGCAGCTC
This sequence comes from Homo sapiens, assembly GCF_000001405.40. NCBI lineage: Eukaryota > Metazoa > Chordata > Mammalia > Primates > Hominidae > Homo > Homo sapiens. The sequence continues at coordinate 117,746,448 of NC_000002.12, forward strand.
TTTTTTTTCACTTAACAATACATTTAAGCAATCTTTCTCTCAGAGAATATCTAGAGCTACTCCATTCATTTTAGCCATAGCAACATGCTCAATAGCATGGCTGTGCCTAATGTATGTAGACATCCCCCTACTGTGGGGCGTTTAAACTGGGACTGACTTTTTTAAATCGATCAGCCTCGCTGTGACGTGTGGTAATGACTCAGGCACATTTATGAACCTGAGATAGGACAAACCTCTGAGAATTATCAAGAAAGCACCCCAGCAAAGAGAGATGCAAAGCCTATAGCAGAAGCAGAGGCTCTGGAATTTTTGTCTGAAGATCCTTGGTTCTGCTTTCCCTGGCAGCCACAAATCAAATGTGTTGGAAACTGAAAAGTTGCTGTTAAAGCAAGACATAGCCAATCTTTTCATTTAAGGGGAAGACTACAAGTAGAAACACATTTAAAACAGGAATCGAATCCTCCCTGGTATCAGCAAAGCAGTTAGTTCCTGAAGATTGAGAACTCCGTGCACCCAAAGTGAAAACTGACTTGAAAGGTTAATATTGACAAGGTATGGGAACTGCAGCTCTATGAACTACACAAAGAGGATTTGAAATACAGTCAATGCTTCCCACTTTATATATTTATAATTTGTTTAAGCAAATGAGAAGATAGAGTCGTTCTATATCTGATCCATAAAGGTGCAGGAAGGCATTAGCTAAGAAATCCAACTGATGTGGACAAATGGAATCTACTATGACAGGACAGAAAATGAATTTTATTCACGATCCTTACCAATTCAGTTAATACTGGATTGCATGAAGCTCCACGAGATTGTGTGTGCATGTGTGTTTTTTTTTATTCTGCCTGCTTCCCACCTGCTGTGCCTGGGAACTCCTGTGCATCTTTCCTGACTCTGCCCACCATGCCTTCCTGCAGGACCGCCCCTATCCCCCAGAGCAATGTCAGTGCTGGCATAGCAGTGCATACATATCGAGATATCATAGCATTTCTAGTTTGACATTTAAAGTAACTATATGTAAGCCCTTTGAGAGGAAATACTGTGGTACATGCATTTTGTTCCCGCAACTTGTAACAGTTTCTGGCACATAGCAGGCTCTCAATAAACACATATTGACCTGAAAATCTCTAAAGAATGAAAGTATTCTCCACATTCAATAATCTCCAAAGGTCTACATACATCAGACAAGAGGAGAAAGCAGTGAATCACTAACTCAATCCTAACTATTTACCTGGAAACTCCTTGAGGAATTAACTCTATGAAGTAAAGGTTTTTCTTTTCCCCTCAAATTCAATATCTGGCTTCTTCCTAGAATCTCCAATATCTGGGATTTCATATTAAGAATTCCTCATTAATTAAACAACAGATATCAGAATCAAAGAACTCAAGAAACAAGTCTACAATTAATTGCAGCAAGAGGATCTAATCCAACATATTTTACCTTTTCTAACATCTGTTTCCTTCTGATAAACCAAAGCTCTCAGGCCCCATTCTGGGAGCTTCTGTTGTGCCTCTTGGAGCTGGGGTGAGAAAATGCTCCACACCCTGGGTGAGAATCTCTTGGCTGTCTCAAGAACTGAGCTAAAGGTGAAGAAAATATAAACCATTTTCAGCACTTCCTTTACAAAAGCTGCTGACCTTAGGTGTCTTTATCAACTTTTTTATACCTTGGTTTTTCCCTATAGAAAGTGGGAATAATAAATATGTCCTGCCTATCTAATCCAGACTGTCAACTCCTACCCATAGTTGAACTGTCGAAGCACCACCTCAGCTGTGGAGGTTTCGACACTGCGCCTGCACACCCTCTCATTAAGGAAAATATTATAATGGACACAAATACACAGTTTGATAGAAGAATTAAGACCTAGTGTTAGAAAGATCGGTAGGGTGACTATAGTTTACCATAATCTATCGTACGTTTCAAAATAGCTACAAGAGAATAATTTGAATGTTTCTAGCATAAAGACAAGACAAATATTTAAGGTGATAGATATCCCAAATACACTTATTTGATCTTTACCAATTATACTATGTATGAAATTATCATGTATTCCTCAAAACTACGTACATCTATTATGCATCAATTTAAGAAGACTATTTACAAAAAGAAAAGTATGCAGTGGCAGTCTGCATATTCTAGAAAGAACCACAGGGATATTTCTGGTCCCACATGCTCTTCCAGGACCTTGCCTCGCTGCCCGTCAAGAGATGAAATCTATTTCTCCTCCTCTTAATCCTGAGCAAGCCTATGACAGCTTCCACGCATAGAATACATGAAATCCATGCTGCACCATATCCAAGACTAGTTATGAAAGGTGATAATGGCTTATGCCTTTCACCCTCTTTAGAGACATGTGCCTTTTAAAGCCCTGAACCACCATGTAAGAAGTCCATACACCATGAAGCCACCAAGCAAGATAAACTATATGGAGAAGCCAAATAGAGATGGAGAGAGATGGCCAAAAGTCCCCAATGGCTCCTGCTGTTCCATCAGCTATGAGAAAAACTTTGGACTATAACATCTCCCTCCCTCTCCTCCCGCAACTGGGAAGGAGCAAAGAGACCAAAGAATGACTTGGACAAGTCCAGCCTGACAAGTAGATGAGTTTATGAAGACTTGCATACAGGGCACTCCTGGGCAGGGCAGCTCAGAAGATCCACTCTGTCTCCCATCCCTAAGCTGCTTTTAAGCTGATTTTCTGGCTCTTTGCCTCCTGTGTGTGTGTGTGATGGGAATATTTTCTTTGTTATGTCCCCAGATACTCTGTGAGATGTTTCGGTTCTCAAGGACACCTGTTCCTCGGCTGGGCACCATGGCCTTGGCTCACCACCTGGCCTTCAGGGTTCAGGCAGTGGACATACACTCCTAAGTAACCTGGTGGGAGACCTGTCACACTACACTGTCTCCCAGCTGCTTCTGTTTTCTCAGCACAGGTGCCAGACATGTTAGTGAATAAGCCTCACCCATGACCCCAGCCCGGGCCACTGCCTGACGGCAACCTTATACAGACCCTGAGCCAGAACTGCTCCACTAAATTGCTCCTGAATCCTTGGCTTGCTTTAATACATTAAGTTTTGGGATGAATTGTTACATAATAATAGATAATCAGAACAACTGGAAACTTCTATACCTATCATTTATGCCCTACCTGGAAAACTTCTATGTCCACCATGTATACCCTACCTGCCACTATAAAACAACTGTGTGTCAACCAAAAAACAGAATTTTAGACCAATATCCTTGATGAACATTGATGCAAAAATCCTCAATAAAATACTGGCAAACCGAATCCAGCAGCACATCAAAAAGCTTATCCACCATGATCAAGTGGGCTTCATCCCTGGGATGCAAGGCTGGTTCAATATATGCAAATCAATAAATGTAATCCAGCATATAAACAGAGCCAAAGACAAAAACCACATGATTATCTCAATAGATGCAGAAAAAGCCTTTGACAAAATTCAACAACCCTTCATGCTAAAAACTCTCAATAAATTAGGTATTGATGGGACGTATTTCAAAATAATAAGAGCTATCTATGACAAACCCACAGCCAATATCATACTGAATGGGCAAAAACTGGAAGCATTCCCTTTGAAAAATGGCATAAGACGGGGATGCCCTCTCTCACCGCTCCTATTCAACATAGTGTTGGAAGTTCTGGCCAGGGCAATCAGGCAGCAGAAGGAAATAAAGGGTATTCAATTAGGAAAAGAGGAAGTCAAATTGTCCCTGTTTGCAGACGACATGATTGTTTATCTAGAAAACCCCATCGTCTAAGCCCAAAATCTCCTTAAGCTGATAAGCAACTTCAGCAAAGTCTCAGGATACAAAATCAATGTACAAAAATCACAAGCATTCCTATACACCAACAACAGACAAACAGAGAGCCAAATCATGAGTGAACTCCCATTCACAATTGCTTCAAAGAGAATAAAATACCTAGGAATCCAACTTACAAGGGATGTGAAGGACCTCTTCAAGGAGAAGTACAAACCACTGCTCAAGGAAATAAAAGAGGATACAAACAAATGGAAGAACATTCCATGCTCATGGGTAGGAAGAATCAATATCGTGAAAATGGCCATACTGCCCAAGGTAATTTACAGATTCAATGCCATCCCCATCAAGCTACCAATGACTTTCTTCACAGAATTGGAAAAAACTACTTTAAAGTTCATATGGAACCAAAAAAGAGCCCGCATCACCAAGTCAATCCTAAGCCAAAAGAACAAAGCTGGAGGCATCACACTACCTGACTTCAAACTATACTACAAGGCTACAGTAACCAAAACAGCATGGTACTGGTACCAAAACAGAGATATAGATCAATGGAACAGAACAGAGCCCTCAGAAATAACGCCGCATACCTACAACTATCTGATCTTTGACAAACCTGAGAAAAACAAGCAATGGAGAAAGGATTCCCTATTTAATAAATGGTGCTGGGAAAACTGGCTAGCCATATGTAGAAAGCTGAAACTGGATCCCTTCCTTACACCTTATACAAAAATCAATTCAAGATGGATTAAAGATTTAAACGTTAGACCTAAAACCATAAAAACCCTAGAAGAAAACCTAGGCATTACCATTCAGGACATAGGCGTGGGCAAGGACTTCATGTCCAAAACACCAAAAGCAATGGCAACAAAAGACAAAATTGACAAATGGGATCTCATTAAACTAAAGAGCTTCTGCACAGCAAAAGAAACTACCATCAGAGTGAACAGGCAACCTACAACATGGGAGAAAATTTTTGCAACCTACTCATCTGACAAAGGGCTAATATCCAGAATCTACAATGAACTCAAACAAATTTACAAGAAAAAAACAAACAACCCCATCAAAAAGTGGGCGAGGGACATGAACAGACACTTCTCAAAAGAAGACATTTATGCAGCCAAAAAACACAGGAAAAAATGCTCATCATCACTGGCCATCAGAGAAATGCAAATCAAAACCACTATGAGATATCATCTCACACCAGTTAGAATGGCAATCATTAAAAAGTCAGGAAACAACAGGTGCTGGAGAGGATGTGGAGAAATAGGAACACTTTTACACTGTTGGTGGGACTGTCAACTAGTTCAACCATTGTGCAAGTCAGTGTGGCGATTCCTCAGGGATCTAGAACTAGAAATACCATTTGACCCAGCCATCCCATTACTGGGTATATACCCAAAGGACTATAAATCATGCTGCTATAAAGACACATGCACACATATGTTTATTGCGGCATTATTCACAATAGCAAAGACTTGGAACCAACCCAAATGTCCAACAATGATAGACTGGATTAAGAAAATGTGGCACATATACAGCATGGAATACTATGCAGCCATAAAAAATGATGAGTTCATGTCCTTTGTAGGGACATGGATGAAATTGGAAATCATCATTCTCAGTAAACTATCGCAAGAACAAAAAACCAAACACCGCATATTCTCACTCATAGGTGGGAATTGAACAATGAGTTCACATGGACACAGGAAGGGGAATATCACACTCTGGGGACTGTGGTGGGGAGGGGGGAGGGGGAAGGGATAGCATTGGGAATATACCTAATGCTAGATGACGAGTTAGTGGGTGCAGTGCACCAGCATGGCACATGTATACATATGTAACTAACCTGCACAATGTGCACATGTACCCTAAAACTTAAAGTATAATTAAAAAAATAATAATAATAATAATAGTAATAATAATAAAAAATAAAAATAAAAAAAATAAAACAACTGTGTGTTTATCTGTTGTCATCCCCTATTTAATAGTAGGATCCTCTAAATCTAGAACCATATATTATTAGACCCAATATCAAGTGAAAGGCCTACAACAGTCAAGGTGTTAAATAAGTTTGGATAGATGGGTGAATGGATGGATGGGTGCATGGATAGATAGATGAATAAATAGAGAAATAAAAGATTAAATACCTTCCAGAGATGCTATAGGACCATATAAATGGATTGATATAAAGTATTTTTAATAACACCATAAGCAAAGATTATCTGTTCTTATATGATATCTCTTATTCATCTTAAGACATGTATGATAGATATAGAGATACAATCACAGATATTTTCTGGATGATAAATTCAATAATTTTCATGTATTCTATTCTTACTCAGCTAAACTTTTTATTACAAATACTCGATTACTTGTCTATTTCTCTATTATTTATAAATGCTGTGGGAGCTAAGACTGCTTATTTTGTTTACCACTTATCCCCAGAGCCTAGTACTGTTCATTAAATATATATTTGTTTATTAGAGGGGGAAATAAATGGGGAGGAAAGGAAAAATACATATATCCAAATTTAACATAGGTCTCTCTAACTGTGTAATAGTTTCTCTTATATAATAGTCACCTTTTTCAAACTTTCAAAACACCTTGGTTGTTCACAGCTTCAAACTGAATCCAGGAAACATTTGGAAAAAGGGAAGCCTATGTCCAACACTTAAATAACTTTCAATGTCAAGTCCTTATCAGGCAGCAGCCTGCCTCAACTATGAGCTGTGTAGATATGAATAGCCCTGCTTTCTAGGGGGATCTGAACAGAATCCCAACCTGTGTTGCTCCTTGAGCTCTTTCAGCCATGACATAAGCAGAAAAAAAATTAATCATGAAGGAGCACTTTGATGCAGTAGCTTATATCCCCTGGAGTTTGTTTTACACATAGATAAGCGTTGTGAAAGGTTAAGTAGTCTGTCTAAAGTTACTTCCTGCTAATAATAATAATGACCACTACTTATTGAGCCCTTAGTAAGCTGAACACTTTCATGTATTAACTCATTTAATTCTCACAACAATTATACAAGGTAAGAAATATTATTAGCATCTCCATCTTAAAGATGAGGATGCTAATGCACAGAGAAGCATTTGCCCACCTCAAGAAGCCAGGAAGTGGGGGAGCTGGAGTGACCTGTCTGCAGACTCCACACTCTCCAGCACCACAGCAAACTGCCTCCCAAGCCACAGAGGTAGAATCACACAGCATCTCCCAGCTATGAGCACCCTGGTCAGGCAGGAGACAGGGGAGGATGTGATCACTGATGGTTATCATGAAATACTTCTCAGGGAAAATTAAGTAAATAAAATGAGCTTCATTAAGGACTTAAGGCCCCACAGGTATATCCTGGAATAACTAAAACTAAGGAGTATGAAGTGTTTTATACAAGAAATTAACAGGAAAGTAAGAGGTGGATAAGCAAAGGAAGAGAGAGCCCAACAAATCAGCAAGAAGCTGAGACTGGGATAAAAATACCACTATTAACAATTCTCTAGCAGTGGAAATGGCTAAGGGGCTTTAAAGAACAAGGACATCTAATTATTCATCTAGATATCACTAGTAATGTTTGCCTAATATTTCTACAATTTCCACTTCTGAGCACATGGTTGACTTGTACTTCCTGAACCCCCATAATTGAGTTGGGTTATATGATGAGTTCTCCCTAAAAAGCTGAAAGAAGTGACATGACTCGTGTCACTTCCATCAAATACATTTAATTGTCTCCAGAGCTCTCTTCCCCTCTGCCATGGTGATACAAAGCATTTGAGATGGTGGCTACTTAAGCCTGGTTCCCTGAGTGTCTGTGTGGAGCAGAGCCCCCTGCTGACCTGTGGTGATGCACGGCATAAACTATATTTGTTGTTGATGTTTTTCTAATTTTATTATGGAAGTTTTCAAACATTCAGAAATTAACAGAATTTTACAGTGAATTTTTCTGTACCCACCATCTAGATCCTACAATTAACATTTTCCTATATTTGTTTTATCACACATCTGTACATTCCTCTATCCACCCATCAATTAATTTTACCTATTGGATACATTTCAATAAGTTGCAGACATTAGTACATCTCAGCCTAACCACTTCAGTATGCATATCACTTAGTAGAGCCCAATATTTGTTTGCAGGTGATTTTTTTGACAAAATATACATATAGTGAAATGCACAAATTTTATTTGCCCATTTGATGAGTTACATTTGTTGGTTTTAGCCATGGAGATTTGGGGCTGTTTGTTACTACAACATAACCAAGCCTACCCTGACTGATTCATTCAACTTCGTGTTGGGCTGCCCTGTGATGTCATCCGCAAGTTGCCCTTAAATCTACTATTCAATCTAACACACACATGCTGGAGTTGGTGGGCTGTGGTAAGAGGATGGTCAGGGAGGTTTCCAATATAGTGATGTGGTAACAAAATGAGACAGTAAACAGAGGAGTCAAAATGTAGAGTAGAGATTAAGAACGCTAAATAAGGTGACCTTGGAGGCAAAGGCAATTTGGATAAATGCAAGCACAATCCCCTCACTTTTACCAAAACTACCAGAAAATATTAAAAAGAGACAACATAGTCATCCCCCTGTATGCTGGAATGAGGGTTTGAGTCTATTGACTTGCCTTTATTGACAGAGTTCATTATTCCTTCCTCCTTCTAAACCTTCTTCATTTGGCCTCCAGAACCACCCTCTCTCCTGATTCCCCTTCTGCCTTCCTGGTTGGTCACCCTCATTCTTGAGTTTATCTTCATCCCTCCCACCTCTAATAGTTGGAGTGCCCTAGAGTTCAGTCTCTGGGTCTCTTCTCTTGTCTATCCATACTAATCTCCTTGCAGATTACATTGAGTTTCATGCCTTTAAACACAATCAATATGATTTTTTTAATTTCTGAATGTATATCTCCAGCATGGATTTCTCCCCTAAATTGCAGCTTTAAGATCTGACAGTCCACTCAACATCTCTATTTATAAGTCTAATACACACCTCAAACTTAACTTGATCATATCAGAACTTCTGATCTTCTCCCCCTAAAATTATTCCTCCTAAAGTCACCCTCATCTCAGTTCAGGACAACTTTATCCTTCCCATTGTTCAGACTAGGTCATCTTTGACTCTCTCTCTCTCTCATTCTCTCTCTCTCTTTCAATATCTATATATCTATCTCTCTTTCCCCTTATTATGTCAAGAAAATTTTTATCATTACCTTTAAAATGTATCCAGAATCTGTGATGTCTTGCCACTTTTTTCACTACTACACTGGTCTAAGCTATTGCCATCTTTTCCCTGGATCGTGTCAAAAGAGTTTCAACAGGTTTCCCTGGTTCTACCTTCAACCTCTCACAGTCTTTTCTTAACATATCAGCCAGGGTGATCCAGTTACACATAACTCAGAATAAAATCACTCTTCTGCTCACACGACAGAGTAAATGCTAAAAACCTTCACCATGTTATAAAACCCTACCTGATCTGGCCTACTGTTACCTACTCACCTCATCTTCTTTTCTCCCTATGATTCACTGCTCTCCAATCACATTGGACCCTTGTCTATCCTTGAATATACCAAGCACCCTCTTGTCTGGCTTAAGCCAAAGGAGAGTCCTATTAACCTAGCAGGAAGAGGTAGTCAGTCCCAGGCTAGCTCAGATCAATGATTTCAACAAGGATAGGGCTGATTTTCTCCTCCTAGTCTGCAACTTCGGTGCCATGGCAACAATCTCCTCTTAGGATCACAAAAGAGCTATCACAGCTCTAAGCCTGATATCCTCCCATGACTGTTCAAAGAAGAAAGGAAGGTATTAGCAAAAGGACTCTGTTCTCAAGTGCCTGCGTGTTGTCAGCAAGGCAAAACTTTTCCAAAGAGCACCAGCAAAGCTCCCATTACATATCACAAGCCAGAACATACTCCCTGGCAAAGGAGAGTGTGATTGTCTTGATGGTCACCATTCCTCCCCTGGGGCTAGCCACACTTATGGCAGCAATGAAATAGACATCTGACAGCAAGGAGGAATGGGACAACCAGCACCCTACTAGACACCATTGACAGGCCACTAGATTGAGTAAGAGGAGCCCCAAACTCCATACCTGCTCTGCCCTTGTGATGTTTATATGTAATACCCCTGCACTAAAACAGTTCCTTCATCTGCAAAATGAGGAGGTTGGGCTAGACATTGCCTTCCAGCTTGAATGTTCTCTTATTCTGTGACTTCCATGTGGTGTTGTAAAGGTCTGAGTCTTCCTATGTGCCATTCCTCATGTATGTAAACATCTCCTAAAATGATGGGAACTCTAGGATGTCTTTGATCATCTATTTTAAAAAGAGAAGAGAAATTTTAACAAGAACATTTTGTACTGCTCATTCCCCACTGGTTCTTAAGAGTAAAGAACCTTTTTCTACCATTACTGACATTTAAAGACAGCTATTCAGATTCAGTAATTAGAACTCAAAATCATTCAGCATAAAGCTATAGCTTCCCAACAGTTGTTCCACTGTGGAAGTGTGAATGACTAACTCTTATCTGTGTTGCTAACAGTAATTCCTAATCATTATATTATTACTCAGTTTTAAAGCAAGAGAATGAAAACAATGCTGCCTTTGGCATCAGGACTTCTGTCATTACTGGAACACAAAATTGATATCATGTGTTCATATTAGTAAGCTTAGGCCCTGTTCTTCAGAGGTCGTTGCTGTGAGAAGCTGAAAAACAAATTGTGAGCTCCAAAATATCTGTCGAATGCAAAAGGAACATTGTTCTACCTGTGGAAGATAAGTACAAAAATATATGAAGAGGCCCAAACCATGTGTTTTTTCTCTTGGCATGTCCACTAACTGGCACAGTGCTTACCACATGTCAGTGCTCAAAATTTATGTATTGCATGAATAATGGAAGAATGAATTAATGCTTTATTAGAAAGGCCCACATAGATGTATCTTGGAATCTGCACAGACCAACCATCCTGCTTCCTCCCTCCCTCTGCCTGTGGCAATGACTCACTTTGACTATGATGGTCCATCCACCCATCTTCTTTGATTCTCATGTTCTGCAACAGTAATTGCAAAACTGCTCAAAGGTAGTAAAACACAATTCAGTCCTCTGCCTTTGCACACAAATATTCTTTCTCCTCACCTCCAAGCAGAAATGGAATAGGCATTGGATCAGGAAAGCATCCTCCCAGCACCTTAGTTTGCACAGGCTGTGTCAGCCCTACCCCAAGCCAGTGTCTGTTAGAGCCTGTGGTTCCACGTGTAATTGGGCATATGTGATACACACACTGTAAGCATTTGCCTAGAAGCATAACATTAAGCATGCTGCTGCCTTGTAATACTTCTCAAAAACACAATTTAGCGGAAAAAAATTATTTTCAAAGGTGCATGAAATCTATCCTTTTCATCCTCCCATTTAGATACTCTAAAGTTCACTCCTGAATTAAGCTAGACCTACAGAAATTCGTGAAGTAAAACAGTCTTTTGACCTTTTCTCTCTTCTTCACTCTTCCTGTTGAAAGATTTTCACTGGCATGGGCTATGATGTGATGTTATCAGCCTGCATTGGGAAACACAAAAGAAACACCAATGTAACCCCAGGTGTCTGCAATGAGAAGGTTGAAGGTGCTGTTACTTTACACAGTGGGCTCATTCATGAGAGTCCCGAAAAGAATGTTGTTCCTGCCACAGTATCAAAATGAATTGTGCATCTCCTTAAAATGGGCTTGTTTTTAATCTCATGAACCCTAAATAGTACAACCAAACAAATGTCTCTTTTCATTTAGTTTCTAGAATACTTACAGAACAATTTGAGGCCCACCTGTTAAAAAGAATGACAGGCTGTATGCATGGTCTGCATTGCTGTTTTGGCTTCATTCCTGGCTATTAAAAAAATAGCTCCACCAGGCCAGGCACAGTGGCACATGCCTGTAATCCCAGCACTTTGGAAGGCCAAGGCAGGGTAGATCACCTGAGGTCAAGAGTTGGAGACCAGCTTGGCCAATATGGTGAAACCCCATCTCTACTAAAAAAAAAATAAGAATACAAAAAGTAGCCGGGCATGGTGGCAGGCACCTGTAATCCCAGCTACTCAGGAGTCTGAGGCAGAAGAATCTCTTGAACCCAGGAGGCAGAAGTTGCAGTGAGCCGAGATTGCGCCACTGCACTCCAGCCTGGGTGACAGAGCGAGACTCTGTCTCAAAAAAAAAAAAAAAAAAAAAAGAGAAAGAAAGAAAGAAAAAAAAGGCTGGGTGTGGTGGCTCACGCTTGTAATCCCAGCACTTTGGGAGGCCAAGGCAGGTGGATCACCTGAGGTCAGGAGTTCAAGACCAGCCTGGCCAAAATGGTGAAACCCTGTCTCTACTAAAAATACAAAAATTAGCTGGGCATGGTGGGAGGCACCTGTAATCCCAGCTACTTGGGAGGCTGAGGCAGGAGAATCGCTTGAACCCAGGAGACAGAGGTTGAAGTGGGCCAAGATCATGCCATTGCACTCGAGCCTGGGTGACAAGAGTGAAACTCCATCTCAAAAAAAAAAAAAAAAAAAACTCCACCAGTAATTTTTCTTCTTGTTTCCCACCTACTTCTATTTATGTTGATTTGAAAAACTGAATGCATCCTTAGAAGTGCTTTAAAGCTTTTCTGAACAAGGGAGGGCACAAACTTTTTTAGGCAAATTAATATGAAAGTCAATCTTACCAAACTTTCAAAGGCATTTTTTGGTTCTCCTCTCCAAAACCTTAGTGAGTAATGCCAATAATATGTTCTGAGAATTTTCCCCCCAAATAGCAAGTAACAAATACTTCATCCCACAGTGGCTCAAAGATCTATGGGCGAGGCTTGTTGAACAACCATGCAGGACAGCTACTGGCAGGAAGAAACGTGGTGCCTGCTTATTGGCCTAGAACTGGAAGGATGCGCACCAAAGGCAAATATTGTGTATTTAACACTTTTACCAAAGACAAGCCCCAGCACAGTAATGAGTGTGAAAGGTGTGAAAAACTTCAAAAGTTTGACCACAGAAATGTTGGTGGCACAGAATGTCTTACCAGGCCCAGGCTAACTGCATGGGACACCCTTTACAATCCTGCAATTTGGAACAACTCTTTAGTCAACAACCTTGAGCCACCAGCTAGCTTGATTGGATCATGCACTTATCACCAGTACGGATTGGGAAGCCTTGAGTTTACCCAGAATGAAGAAAGCTTAAGGTTGAAAATGGAAGCTAAGAGTTGATTTCACATCAGCTGCTATAAAGACAAGCACAGCCTGTAAATTTTTTAAAGGCTAAAACTTTAAATTCTCTAGGCTGAATATTGGAGGGAGGGAGAGGATATGCAACAGATGTAATTCAATTCTTGTGTTATGTGTTACTAAAATGACATTGCCTGGTATTAAAAAGTTCTTATAAAATAAAAACTAAAAAAATCCTCACAAACAGCATTGGAAATAAAATCCAAGTCTTGAAAAATTCAAATTGCACCTTCCATCCCAACCTCATTCCAAATCAAAATATGTATCTCTTTTATTCATAAACTGATACATATACCTATGAATAAAAGCCCAAAGCTGGGCATATTGAAATGAGTTATCTAGCCTCCGAAAGCAAATAAGATCATTTCCTTTCACATCTCTTCCCTCTCAGCAATTATCTGGCTGAATTTTAACCTGACTCTGATCAGGAAGGGAACATCTATTTGCCCTGGCTGAATACTGCAGCAATCCATATGCATGTTTTCTTGCTGTCTAAAATCCTATCTCTGAATACGATTTCTTATTAATTTCCTCAAGCAGATTTCCACTATTAGATGTGCTGGCTGTGCATCACAAATGAGCTACGTTTTAGCGGTTGCTGGTCATTACGTAAGTAAAGAGGGGAACATCTCCTTCTGTGTGACTCAATGATTTAATAATTATTAATGAGACATTATGCCTTTGTACATTTCTGACAGATTATTAAGTGCACTATAAATGTTTAACATCACTCTCTGAGGTCCGAAAATGTGATGCCAAATGTGTCCTCCAGCTTCACACAATCAGAAAAGACAAATTAGATTACAGCAATATGGCAGCTTTATTGATTTTTTATAATATTTACAAACTGCAGGTAAAATGTAATATGAGAAAAAGCATGTGTGATGATGGCAGGTCCATTTACCTGAAAGTTTTTCCTCTATCATCATTTGGAAGCAGTTCATCTTGTAGGCAGTGGTGTTGGAACAACTCTTTAGTCCACTTCTTGGGCTGTGTTTCCTTCCAGCAAGCTCCAGAGGGCAGGAGGAGCCTCGTTCACAGCCTCAGACTTATGCTCCATTTTTTTTTTAATCCTTGGACACAGGAACTTTGGCCCAGAGGCTTGTTTGCATGTCAGAATCACCTAGAAAAAAAATATAAAATACAGTCTCTCAGGCTGCCCTCTAGCCCAACCAAACCAGAATCTCTCGAGGTGGTCACAAGGCACTGGTATTTTGTCTTTAACTCCAAAATACTTCTAAAATACAACCAGGGTTGAGAACCTCTGATTTATACCATCTGCTGTGTGGGATTTAAAACATGGCCCCAAAATTCTTTGGCATGTCTGTCATTAGGAGGTAGGGTCGAGGGTCCCTCCCCTAGAATCAGGGCTCCTTGATGACTTGACCAATAGATAAAGGCAAAAGAAATGCTGTGCCAGTGTCCAGGCCCAGACCTCAACAACTGGCAGCTTTCACTTCCTTGCTGTTGAGACCTTACTCTTGGAAACTAGCTGCCATGCTGTGAGCGAGCCCAACAGCCTGTGGGGAGGCCCATATGGAGAGAAACTGAGGCCCTGCCACACAGTCTGGCTCAGCTCCCAGACTTGCCACCCATGAGAATGAGCCACCTTGGAAGTAGATCCTCCAGCCCCCAATAAAGCTGACTCAGCCAGCATCTCATAGAGCACAGACATGCTGTCTCTGCTAAGCTCCAGCCAGACTCAAGATTCATGAGCAAAATAAATAATCATTGTTATTTTAAGCCATTAAATTATGTGATGGTTTGTTAGGCAATAAATAACTGGAACATCTGCTTACCCAAATGGTGTCATGGAAAAGGATTTACTCTTTAAAAGCTGCATTATAAACATTTATGGGCTCGTTGCCTCACAAAATATAACCTTCCACCTTCCTTTTGGCCAAAATAATGAAATTCCTCTCCTTTCTTAACACATAATAGCTTCTCCATGAAGCCTTCCCTGTCTGTGTCAATTCTCTGCAATTTTTGTAATTGTATCAGGCCTTGTTTACAAAATTAATTATCCCCTTGGTCTCATAAAATTATAAACTCCAAATATCAAATACCAATTTTCATTTGGAAGATAGTCTGATGATAAGGTAATCACAGCTTTTGAAGAGCCAAATTCTGAAAGTGTATATAAAGGCTTGGATGGAATTGATAAAAATCAAATGGAATAAGTAAGGAATGCAATGATGGGTAGAGAAATTACAGTGTGAGAGTCAGGGAAGCAGGGTTGTTTACATAATTTAGCTAAGTGTCAGCAGCAGGTCTTAGACTATGTATTAGTATGGTCAGGCTGGTGAGGGCTCTCTTCCAAGCTTGTGGACGGCCACCTCCTCACTGTGTCCTCACGTGGCTTTTCTTCTGCGGGGGTGGGGGGGATCTCTGGTGTCTTCTTATAAAGACAACTGTCCTATTTGATTAGGCGCCCACCCTTATGACCTCATTTAACCTTAATTACTTCCTTATAGGCCCTATTTCGAAATATAGTAACCTTAGGGGTTAGGGCTCCAACATGTGAATTTTGGAGGGACACAATTCAGTCCATAACAGAATAGGAAATCCTTGGAATGAGTAGAAAAGTTTTAGACAGAATTACATCTTTCCATCTTTCTTACATGACCCAGAAGGGGTAGCCATTTTATCATTATTGTTGATAGTGGCGATAACAATGATAACCACTCACCGATCAAATACCAAGTGCCTGATACTTCACATTATTGCATTTGTTCCTCACAACAACTCTGCAAAATACTGTAGGTTATATTATCCCCATTCTTTTTTTTTTTTGTCAGTATTGGTATGGGCAGCATTTTTCCTCTAATTTTAGATTCAGGGGTACATGTACAGATTTGTTACATGGGTATATTGCATAATTTTGGGGTTTGGGCTGCTACTGAACCCATCACCCAAATAGTGAACATAGTACCCAAAAGATAGTGAACATAGTGAAGATAGTACCCACAATAGGCAGCCCTCCTGCCTCTCTCATCACTTTTGGAGTCCCCAGTGTCTACTGTTTCCATCTTTATGTCCATGTGTACCCATTGTTTAGCTCCCACTTATAAGTGAGAACATGAGGTATTTGATTTTCTGTTTCTGCACTAATTCACTTACATTATCTCCACTCCTCACAGCTGAGGAAGCTGAGCACAGGACAATTCAGTAGCTTGTCTATGATCTAATAGCAAACATCAGAACAGGATCTAAATACAGATCTGTGGCTTTCAAAGGCTCTATTTACAATGCTAAAACAAACCACCTAGTTCCAGTTTTCATTCATTTCTCTCCTCACTTCAAAAATTATTGAGATAGCAAAGACTGGAAACCAACCTAAATGCCCATCAGTGATAGACTGGATAAAGAAAATGTGGCACATATAAACCATGGAATACTATGCAGCCATAAAAAAATAATGAGTTTATGTCCTTTGCAGGGACATGGATGAAGCTGGAAGCCGTCATTCTCAGCAAACTAACACAGGAACAGAAAACCAAATACCATATTTTCTCACTCATAAATGGGAGTTGAACAGTGAGAACACATGGACACAGGGAGGGGAACAACACACACCAGGGCCTCTCAGGGTTGGGGGTCAAAGGGAGGGAGAGCATCAGGACAAATACCTGATGCATTCAGGGCTTAAAACCTAGATGACAAGTTGATAGGTGCAGCAAACTACCATGGCACATGTATACCTATGTAACAAACCTGCACATTCTGCACATGTATCCCAGAACTTAAAGTAAAAAAAAAAAGAAAAAAAAGAACTGTACAAAATACAACATTAAAATTCTAAAGTGAAAAAAAAAGTATTCAGTACCCACTATGATTCAGGCCCTAGAATCGTAGGGCCTAGGGATGCAAAGTCACATGGCCCTTGTCAAAGAAAATATTATCTAACACTTTTTTATTCTGACACTTGTTAAAGACGTCAAGAAAGACTATTCAAGGGACTACTGCAATGAGTTATGCAGTAAGGGAGAGGGACCAGACTCAACTGTGAATATAACATGCGTAAGTGAGGATTTATAGCCAAGAAGCAGGGTGGGTGTCATTAGATGGAAAATTAATAAGAAGGAACATCAAGGTTGGGGGATTCTTGCTAGACCAACTCAACAGGATAATGGCCAAAGACAAGCTAGGATGATAAGATACTGGCGGTGGGAGATTTTTGCTGAACTGAGCCATTAAGATTCTTGTTAATTGGACTAAGCAGACTAAGGGTAGAGCCAAAGATCTAGCCAAGTCAAGAAGACTCAGAGAAATTGGATTCAAGTTTGTTCAAGGAGAGAGTCTTTGTCACCATGTCCACAAGAAGCTTATAGTCCAACGAGAGAGAGATGTCACCCAGGAATTGCAGTGCAGGGGGATATATTTGTGAATTTCTTACCATACAAATAACTAGGTTCTCTCCAGTTCTCAGAAATAAGTCTTTGTGCATGTCACCTCGTTTTGAAAGTGGCAGAGAAAAGTTGCTATGGGTACCACTGTTGAAGCCAAGCCAGGGATGCCATGGTAGTGAAGTAATGCTTCAGAGAGTACTGGGAATGCTTGGGAATTATCCAACCGTATATTAGGCTCTGCTTCTTTTTGGCACTAAATAACTTCAAAAAAGCAAATGCATCCTGGCTCACCCTAGTCAAGCAGGTTATCCCTAGAGGCCTCCTGTATGGGTTTCCTCAAAGCAAATCAAACACTCATTCTTTCACGAGACACCCTGTGCTTTCCTTTTCATTTATTTCCTTGGTGCCATTAACCAAATTCCTGATTGTGTTCAGCCAACCCTAAAACACAGAATGTTACTGAACCAACATTGCTTCTTGCTTCAATTTTTACTTTAAAAGCTAGAATCCTTTGAAGTGAAAAAAACAATCTACCTCTAAACTGATTGGGAAACTTCAAGAACTCCAGAAGAACGTATGGCCACAGTTTATCCCAGATCCCATTGCAGACCTGAAGTTTCTGCTGAATTGACTGGAAATGGCTCAGATTGATTTGAAAATTGCTCCTAGAGAATGGAAAGAATGATTTAAGCATTGCCCAGTGTTTAAACAGAACTTAAAAGGTTTTAAAACAAACTACTCTAGAACTATCATTTAGCCCAGCAATCCCATTACTGGGTATATATCCAAAAGAAAACAAACCGTTCTACCAAAAAGACATTTGCACTCACGTGTCATTGCAGCACTAGTCACAACAGCAAAGACGTGGAATCAACCTAGGTGCCCATCAATGATGGATTGGATTTTTTAGAATGTGGTACATATACATCATGGAACACTACACAGATATATATATAAAAAAAAAAGTCCTTTCCAGCAACATGGATGCAGCTGGAAGCTATTATCCTAAACAAATTAACACAAGATCAGAAAATTAAATACCACATGTTCTCACTTAGAAGTGGGAGCTAAACATTGAGTATTCATAGACACAATAATGGCAAAAAATAGGCTGGGCATGGTGGTTAATGCCTATAATCCCAGCACTTTAGGAGGCCAAGGCAGGCAGATCACTTGAAGCCAGGAGTTCAAGACCAGCGTGGCCAACATGGCAAAAATCTCTACTAAAAATACAAAAATTAACCAGGCATGGTGGCACATGACTGTAATCCCAGCTACTCTGGCGGCTGAGGCACGAGAATTGCTTGAACCCTGGAGACGGAGGTTGCAGCAGGCCAAGATCACACCACTGCACTCCAGCCTGGGTGTCCAGTGTGGGTGACAGAGCGAGGCTCTGCCTCGAAATTAAAAAAAAAAAAAAAATTGAAAAATGACAAAAGTAGACACTGGGAACTATTAGAGGGTGAAGGGAGGGAAGGAGGTAAGGGTTGAAAAAATAACAGTTGGGTACTATGCTCAGTACCTGAGTGATGGGATCATTCTTACCCTTAACCCTAGCATCATGCAATATACACATGTAACAAACATGTACTTGAAACCCCTGAATCTAAAACAAAAGTCAAAAAAAACCTGTCCTATCCAACAGGAATAAAATAAAAGGTAAAACCATAAGTATGTCTTAAAAATATTAACACCGTTTTGTCAGGAGGCTGCTGACATCCTGAGAGAGGGTGCTTCAGCAGGTCCCTTGTTGTTCATGCCTTAACCTCTCTCTCGAATCTCATCCACCCCAGAGTCCTCACCACCACCTCCAACCTGGTGCCCCCACTGCCAAGCAGCTAGGGCACAGAAACTATGTCATATATACTTTTTTATTTTTAATACTGAGTCTACTTTTTGCCTCATGCTTTCCAAAACATACCGCTGTTGGAAGCAATTGAATCTACCACAGAAAAACAAAGAAATTGTAATAATTTGTCCTGAAGATTTTCAGAAAAGAATACATAACACTAGTATAATTACAGAGTCTTTAGCTCAGGGGGTTATGTTTTTATTACAGAGTTATAGACCTGCCTTTTCTTTTATTCCTGTTGGTTAGAACAGTTTATTTTAAGTTCTGTTTAGGCATCGTAAAATTTATATACCGACAAACGTGTATTTTTATTTTTTTTATTTTTTTTAAGAATCAATATTGTTTATTTTTCTTATTATTATTATACTTTAAGTTTTAGGGTACATGTGCACAATGTGCAGGTTAGTTGCATATGTATACATGTGCCATGCTGCTGTGCTGCACCCATTAACTCGTCATTTAGCATTAGGTATATCTCTTAATGCTATCCCTCCCCCATCCCCCCACCCCACAACAGTCCCCAGAGTGTGATGTTCCCCTTCCTGTGTCCATGTGTTCTCATTGTTCAATTCCCATCTATGAGTGAGAATATGCGGTGTTTGGTTTTTTGTCCTTACGATAGTTTACTGAGAATGATGCTTTCCAGTTTCATCCATGTCCCTACAAAGGACATGAAATCATCATTTTTTATGGCTGCATAGTATTCCATGGTGTATATGTGCCACATTTTCTTAATCCAGTCTATCATTGTTGGACATTTGGGTTGGTTCCAAGTCTTTCCTATTGTGAATAGTGCTGCAATAAACATACGTGTGCATCTGTCTTTATAGCAGCATGATTTATAGTCCTTTGGGTATATACCCAGTAATGGGATGGCTGGGTCAAACGGTATTTCCAGTTCTAGATCCCTGAGGAATCGCCACACTGACTTGCACAATGGTTGAACTAGTTTACAGTCCCACCAACAGTGTAAAAGTGTTCCTATTTCTCCACATCCTCTCCAGCACCTGTTGTTTCCTGACTGTTTAATGCTTGCCATTCTAACTGGTGTGAGATGGTATCTCGTTGTGGTTTTGATTTGCATTTCTCTGATGGCCAGTGATGATGAGCATTTTTTCATGTGTCTTTTGGCTGCATAAATCTCTCCTTTTGAGAAGTGTCTGTTCATATCCTTTGCCCACTTGTTGATGGGGTTGTTTGTTTTTTCTTGTAAATTTGTTTGAGTTCATTGTCGATTCTGGATATTAGCCCTTTGTCAGATGAGTAGGTTGCGAAAATTTTCTCCCATTTGGTAGGTTGCCTGTTCACTCTGATGGTAGTTTCTTCTGCTGTGCAGAAGCTCTTTAGTTTAATGAGATCCCATTTGTCAATTTTGTCTTTTGTTGCCATTGCTTTTGGTGTTTTAGACATAAAGTCCTTGCCCATGCCTATGTCCTGAATGGTAATGCCTAGGTTTTCTTCTAGGGTTTTTATGGTTTTAGGTCTAACGTTTAAGTCTTTAATCCATCTTGAATTGATTTTTGTATAAGGTGTAAGGAAGGGATCCAGTTTCAGCTTTCTACATATGGCTAGCCAGTTTTCCCAGCACCATTTATTAAATAGGGAATCCTTTCCCCATTGCTTGTTTTTCTCAGGTTTGTCAAAGATCAGATAGTTGTAGATATGCGGTGTTATTTCTGAGGGCTCTGCTCTGTTCCATTGATCTATATCTCTGTTTTGGTACCAGTACCATGCTGTTTTGCTTACTGTAGCCTTGTAGTGTAGTTTGAAGTCAGATAGTGTGATGCCTCCAGCTTTGTTCTTTTGGCTTAGGATTGACTTGGTGATGCAGGCTCTTTTTCGGTTCCATATGAACTTTAAAGTAGTTTTTTCCAATTCTGTGAAGAAAGTCATTGGTAGCTTGATGGGGATGGCATTGAATCTATAAATTACCTTGGGCAGTATGGCCATTTTCATGATATTGATTCTTCCTACCCATGAGCATGGAATGTTCTTCCATTTGTTTGTATCCACTTTTATTTCATTGAGCAGTGGTTTGTAGTTCTCCTTGAAGAGGTCCTTCACATCCCTTGTAAGGTGGATTCCTAGGTATTTTATTCTCTTTGAAGCAATTGTGCATGGGAGTTCACTCATGATTTGGCTCTCTGTTTGTCTGTTATTTGTGTATAAGAATGCTTGTGATTTTTGTACATTGATTTTGTATCCTGAGACTGCTGAAGTTGCTTATCGGCTTAAGGAGATTTCGGGCTGAGATGATGGGGTTTTCTAGATATACAATCATGTCGTCTGCAAACAGGGACAATTTGACTTCCTCTTTTCCTGACTGAATACCCTTTATTTCCTTCTCCTGCCTAATTGCCCTGGCCAGAACTTCCAACACTATGTTGAATAGGAGTGGTGAGAGAGGGCATTCCTGTCTTGTGCCAGTTTTCAAAGGGAATGCTTCCAGTTTCTGCCCATTCAGTATGATATTGGCTGTGGGTTGGTCATAGATAGCTCTTATTATTTTGAGATACGTCCCATCAATACCTGATTTATTGAGAGTTTTTATCATGAAGGTTGTTGAATTTTGTCAAAGGCCTTTTCTGCATCTATTGAGATAATCATGTGGTTTTTGTCTTTGGTTCTGTTTATATGCTGGATTACATTTATTGATTTGCTTATATTGAACCAGCCTTGCATCCCAGGGATGAAGCCCACTTGATCATGGTGGATAAGCTTTTTGATGTGCTGCTGGATTCGCCTTGACAGTATTTTACTGAGGATTTTTGCATCAATGTTCATCAAAGATATTGGTCTAAAATTATCTTTTTTGGTTGTGTCTCTGCCCAGCTTAGGTATCAGGATGATGCTGGCCTCATGAGTTAGGGAGGATTCCCTCTTTTTCTACTGATTGGAATAGTTTCAGAAGGAATGGTACCAGTTCCTCCTTGTACCTCTGGTAGAATTTGGCTGTGAATCCATCTGGTCATGGACTCTTTTTGGTTGGTAAGCTATTGATTATTGCCAGAATTTCAGATCCTGTTATTGGCCTATTCAAAGATTCAACTTCTTCCTGGTTTAGTCTTGGGAGGGTGTATGTGCCGAGGAATTTATCCATTTCTTCTAGATTTTCGAGTTTATTTGCATAGAGGTGTTTGTAGTATTCTCTGATGGTAGTTTGTATTTCTGTAGGATCGGTGGTGATATCCCCTTTATCATTTTTTTATTACATCTATTTGATTCTTCTCCCTTTTTTTCTTTATTAGTCTTGCTAGCAGTCTATCAATTTTGTTAATCCTTTCAAAAAATCAGCTCCTGGATTCATTAATTTTTTGAAGGGATTTTTATGTCTCTATTTCCTTCAGTTCTGCTCTGATTTTAGCTATTTCTTGCCTTCTGCTAGCTTTTGAATGTGTTTGCACTTGCTTTTCTAGTTCTTTTAATTGTGATGTTAGGGTGTCAATTTTGGATCTTTCCTGCTTTCTGTTGTGGGCATTTAGTGCTATACATTTCCCTCTACACACTGCTTTGAATGTGTCCCAGAGATTCTAGTATGTTGTGTCTTTGTTCTCGTTGGTTTCAAAGAACATCTTTATTTCTGCCTTCATTTCGTTATGTATCCAGTAGTCATTCAGGAGCAGGTTGTTCAGTTTCCATGTAGTTGAGCGGTTTTGAGTGAGTTTCTTAATCCTGAGTTTTAGTTTGATTGCACTGTGATCTGAGAGACAGTTTGTGATAATTTCTGTTCTTTCACATTTGCTGAGGAGAGCTTTACTTCCCACTATGTGGTCAATTTTGGAATAGGTGTGGTGTGGTGCTGAAAAAAATGTATATTCTGTTGATTTGGGGTGGAGAGTTCTGTAGATGTCTGTTAGGTCCGCTTGGTGCAGAGCTGAGTTCAATTCCTGAGTATCCTTGTTAACTTTCTGTCTCGTTGATCTGTCTAGTGTTGACAGTGGGGTGTTAAAGTCTCCCATTATTATTGTGTGGGAGTCCTAAGTCTCTTTGTAGGTCACTCAGGACTTGCTTTATGAATCTGGGTGCTCCTGTATTGGGTGCATATATATTTAGGATCAAACTTGTATTTTTAAACTCCAAGCTATTTACAGAAGACAGTTTACATCCAGAGCAGCCCAATGGTGTATGTCCTAGTTGATAAAGGAATTCAGTATCTGGAGATGTCAGGCAAAGTTCCAGTGAGGAAGGAGCACTAAGTGACTTTAAAAAGATAAAGAAGAAGAAGAAGAAGGGGGAAAGGGAAGAAAACCTCCCTCGTTCCTGAGGAAGCAGGACATAAAAACCACTGTGGGGTCACCCTGGTAAAGAGGGTACAAATGAATGAAATCCCTTTCTTTCCATGGATAAGTCAATAATGTGGTGGGTTTTCTTTCCAGGATAGAGGACAGAGAAGAAACCAAAGAGTTATGTAGTCAAGTTGTTGAATACTTTTAGCTGAGTAATATTGCCAGTGAGGGTTACAAACATGCTTTGATTTTCTCACAGACATTAAAAAACTATATTTAATCTAGCTTGGCTGCAGTAGAGTGGAGTAGATAGAAAAGGGGCACAAGTTTAGTGACCTCGCACCTGGCCATGTCCTAGAAAAGTGGTCAGATGGATAATGTACAGAGTAAAGCTCACTGGGTATAATACACAGATGCAGGCAGGAGACCAGCAACATGTACCTGAGAGGCAAATTTGACCCTTGGTCAGCCAAATTAAGACTTCTAGACCCAGAAGTTCTAGGGTGGTGGACATAATGGACTTGCATGGTGTGATGCTTAATTTTATGTGTTAACTTGACTGAGCCACAGAATGCCTAGATATTTGATGAAACATCATTTAAGCATGCCTGTGGGACTGTTTCTGGGTGAGATTAATGTTTGAATTGGTAGACTTAGTAAAGCAGATTACCCTACCTAATGTAGGTGAGCATTATCCAATCCCTTGAAGGCCTGAATAGAACAAAAAGAATAAATAAGAAAGAATTCTCTCTCTCTCCATCTGACTATCTTCAAACTGGGACATCAATCATTTTCTGTCTTCATACTCAAACTTAGATTGGAAATTACACCATCTACTCTCCTGGGACTTCAGCTGACTGACATCAGATCTTGGGACTTCTCAGTCTTCAAACCATGTGAGCCAATTCCATACATACAAACATACACACACACACACACACACAGACACACACACACACACACACACACCCTGTTGGTTTCTCTGGAGAAGCCTGACTAATATGCACAATGACCCTTGAGTGCATAAATCAGGTCCCACCAAGACAAACAAGTCAAGAGAGAGACAGATACAGACAAAGTAAACAAACAGAAATAGAGCAGACATACAGATACAGAGCAGCAAGACACACAGAGACAGAAAGGAACAGAACAGACAAAATCAAAGACAAACAGGCAAGACATCAAGAGAGCAGACAGACACAGAGACGTATACATAAACAGAAACAAAAACATAGACAAAGATAGAAAATGAGAAAAAATACAGTATTTCATGGTGTTCTCTGTGATTTCCTCATAGAGCTTTATTTCAGTGTTTCAGAAAGCACATCTAAGGAGAAGACAAGCCACATATATTTTAATCACACCTCTACCCTGTCTGAATCTTCTGTCAAATGTACCTGTCAGCGACTTACCTGAGCCGACTGCACAGTACCCAGGAAGAAATGATGAGCTCGGATATCTCACAGATACTCAGATACTAACCTGAAACTGCAAGAGAAGACTGAGACCTGGTCTCACCTTTGCAGATAACACTGTGTAAAGACAGCACACTGTAGACTGGGCATCTAAACAAGCTGCCAACTAGAGTCACCTGGGGAGCTGGCCCATGCCAGACCAATTAAATCAGAATCTCCAGGGCTGGGGCATTGGCATGTTTTTAAAGTACCTCAGGGAACCCAGGAAGCAAAAGTAGTTCTGCCATTTAAGGCCATATTCCTAGTTTGCATAGTTTAAACTTGAGTGAGAGCAACACAAGTGGCCAGATTTGCTGACATTTTTTTACCTGGGCACAGGACAGTTACCACTTGAAACCCATGAGGTCTACTTTCCATGCCACTTCCAAACCCCAAAAAGCATGGAATAATCACAAAAGCATGTTGTCACTGGGTAACCAGGCTAAATGCTCTACATATATCACCTCATTTAATCTTCACAGCATCTTGTGATGTAGAGATTATCTCCATTTTCCAGGTAACAAAATTGAAATCAGTGAGACGAAATCGTTTACCAAGGTTAAATAGGTAGGACGCAGCTAAGGCAGGATTTGCAACCAGATCTTCTGCTCTGCTGCATGGAAAACACACTGAGAGGAGACTCTTCGGTTTAGTCCTCTCATGCTTTGTGATGTCTCCTGCACAGATGGTGCTGACAATGAAAACCAGCATTGCCTTCTGCCAGAGCACAGGGCCACACACAGGAGGCACCTGGGACTTCTGTCTCAGTGACTTTATTCTGACCTCGCCAACTGTACAATACACTGTCACTTAGCTTAGCCTTGTCTGAGAGAAGACACAATTAGAGCAAGAGCCCACCAAGAGTAAGAGAGGGTGTAGGAGCTTAAGCTTCTTCATTGACTTTAATTAAGCTCACCAGAGAAGTAGATCGCAAGGGATCCCACAGAACTTTTTTTTAAAGTTTTATTTATATTATTCTTAATTCCAATTTAATGGAAAAAAAAATGTTTCCATTCAAACCTCTTCCACCAGTGTAGGGTTTTCTCTATCTATTAAGAAACAGTGCCATCTACTGACTCGTTTTCACTCTGGTTCTTGTAAACCAGGAAAAAAAAATTAATGTTGCTTATGCCTTAATTTTGAACACTTTCCAAGACATGTCCTTCCTTTCAAAATATCTGTTCTGCAGTTAAACCCATACATATTATTTTATTTCATAGCCACAAATGACAAATGGGTTTGGAATTAGACTGGGACTTTCAAGTAATATGTCTTGAAAAATGGAGTCTACAAATCAAGACTTTGTAAGGTGGGGCACCCAGATGGCAGGTGTTTAGATGTGAAGCTAGGAGGCCAAGGTGCCCTGCACAATGGTGACCTCACCTGTTCACCTAAGCCTGCTTGGGGGCTGTACAGCCAACCCAGAAGGGCATGAACCCTACATTCCAAAATATCAAATACCGAAGAATCAACTTGAAACTAGATACATTTTGACTGCTACACAGAAAAATGATAAAATATTACTAAGAGAAATTAAAGAATATCTAAATAAATGAAATTGGGGATTTCAATCCAAGGAATTGAACTGAATTGATTGAATGAAGGGATTTCTCAATACAAGGGACTCATTCACAACAAGGGTAAAATAGCCCCGAAAGGGAAAAGTGTTAGGTTTTAGGATGATAAAAAAATCTTCTTATATGCAAAGCAAAGATATACAGTATACCTGTGGTATTAAAATTTCACAGTAGGAGAAGTTAGGGAAAAAAGTAAAAAAAAAAAACCGGGGGGCTCCTTCAGTTTCAGGGGGAGCATAGGAAAAAAATTGGAAAGAACTGGATAGGAGGTTTAAAGGTTTAATATTGTAAACATGTGAATCCTTCCAAATGATCTATAGATTCAATGCACTTCTAATCAAAATCCCAACAGGGTGTATGTCTGTGCATGTGTTTATGGGTGCACACTGTGTGTGTGTGTGTGTGTGTGTGAGAGAGAGAGAGACAGACAGAATTGATAAGCTGGCAGTAAATGTGTATTGAAGAAAAAGGAAAGGTAAAAGGTGCTCGACCATATATCAAGGCCTATGATAACATTACAGTAATTAAGACAGCGTGGTACTGGTTCAACAATAGGCAAAGAGACTGATGGTATAAACTAGAGAACCCAGAAACAGATTCATGGACATTTGAACGGTGGTTCACAGAACAGTGGAGAAAGGACTGTCTGTCAACGAATGCTTCTTAGATTTCCATATGAAAAAAATTAAAGCCAACCCTTAATTCATAATTTCTGATGGACTCTAGACATAAATATGAAAGGCAAATCAGCAACGTTTCTACATCAGTGGTTCTTAAAGTGTAGTCTCCAGACAGTGTTAGCATCACCTGGGAACTTGTTAGGAATACAAATTCTCCAGCCTCACCCCAGACCTGCTGATTCAGGAAGTCTGGCAGTGGGGCCCAGCAAGCCATATTTTGACAAGAAAAGGCTTCTTAAACAAAACACAACTGTAAAGAATAAGATGTGTAAATAAAAATGTAGAATTTCTGTTCATCAAATGATAGCATGAAGAAAGTAAACAAAAAAAGCAAGCCACAGGGTGGAGGAAGAAACTCGCAAATCATAACTGACAAACACTCATATCCAGTATCCAGAAGGAACGCCTACTTTTCAATAAAGAAAAGGCAGACAGCCCAAAAGAAAAATGGTCCAGAGACCTGAACAGACATTTCTTAGAAGAAGACAGCCAAATGGCCAACCAAAGTGATAAGGTACTCATTGTCTTTAGAAATTAAAAAAAATTATAATTACAATACAGTCTGATTAGAAACCCACCAGAATACCTAAAATTAGAAAGACTGGCAACATTCAAGTGCTGATGAGAATGTAGAACAGGGATTGGCCAGCTGTTCCTGTAAAGGGCCAGATAGTAATTTTCTTAGGCCTCGTAGTCAAGAGACAACATTTAGGATATTATGAAGGCAGGCACTTATATAACACGAGAAACTCTTGACTTTCTCCACCACATTTGACTGACGTGGACCAGTGAGGTGGTGGGAAGGCTTTGTCCTAGTTGTGGTTGGCTGGAAACTACCTGAAGGAAGAGGAATGGGTCTGAGGGGTCCCGACGGGGAGGAGAAGTGGGAACAGTCACCATGGTCACTTTCCCTCTCTGCCCCAGGTACACTTGATCTCAACATGCCCTTCTCTCCTGGGGAGACTGTGTCAATTTGATCAGCAGGCCAAAGAAGAGGCTGATAGTTTCTATCACTTGGTGTGCCAGCAGCTGCCAACAGCAGAGTCCCCAGAGTGTAGGTGTTGACCAGCCAGACCCCAGGCAGCAGTGAGGCATGGTTCACAGTGCTAGCCCAGTCCACTGGTGCACTCCATAATTGACTGTTGCTCATAGTTTGCTGACCTCTGATGTAGAATAAGGGGAACTCTTTTAAACTGTAGGTAGGAGTAAAGTTAGTATACTGCTTTGGAAAACCACTGGTATTGTCTCCTAAAATACAAGCACAAAGCATACTCTGCAATTCCTAAGTGTACATCCAACAAAAATGCATGCACATGTGCATGCAGAGACATGTACGAAAATGTTTATAAGAGCATTAGTCATAAAAGCCAAAATGTGAAATCAATTATCAAATGTCCACCAGCATTAGAACTGGAAAATAAATGTTGAACTGTTCACATAACACAATTCTTTACAGCAATGAAAATGAAAAAAAAAGTTGCCACTTCATGTGACAGAAATGAATCTGATGAAGAGAATGTTGAGAAAAAAATACATTCCATATGACTTCATTAATGTATGTGTGTAAGGTATGTATGTTTAGCTGATAAAACTACAAAGAAAAGCAAAGAATATATTACCATGAAAGATAGTATAGGAGCAAGAGAGTAGTGATGGTGCTTGGAAGGGAAGATGAGGATGCTTCTGCAATGTTGATAATATTGTATTTCCAGTCCTAGATGGTAGAAACAGTAGGGTTTGCATTGTCATAAATCAGGGATTGGCAAACAATATGGCCCAAACCTAATCTCCCACCGATTATTGTGAACAAAACTTTATTAAACCACAGCCCATGTTAGTTTACACATTGTCTGTATCTGTCTTTTTATTAACAATAGGAGACTTGAATAGTCCTAACAGACACCATATAGCCCATGAATTCTAATATATTTACCATCCAGCCTTATACACAAAAATATGCCAACTCCTGTAACAAATCATTGAGCTGTACATTTCTATTTTGTATACTTTTCCTTATACATGTCATATTTTACAATTTTAACTATACATATTTAGTTATGTAGTTATAGATGTAACTACATTCCATGTTTAGCTCTGAATCATGTTTGACAATAGACATTCAATGCATAAAACAACAATCAAATCAATTAGCTTCAAGAAAACAAAACCACTTTTCTTTAAATATATTCATTATGCAGACAAAATAAACTGTACTTGCCTCTAGAACTTATTTTATTCTCAATTTCCATATCTGCAAGAGAATGAATCATCATCTTTCATTCCAAATACTTGTTTGATGTATTGCTTAAAGCTGTTTTATAGATTGCAGCATGACACTTGAAGGCACTTGATACAAGTGTCTGGCCACATGTTGTCAAGTCTCTATTTGAGTTTTTCTTAGAAGATTGAACTCACATATCTATACACTCAACAAAGGCACTATATTCAGTCATACTTTATTTATTCAGTGATGTGGAGCAAGGCAACTTTTGAACAGTTTGAGTTTCTCTCTCTGCATTTCATAATTCATCCATTTAACAAAGATTTACTTACAGTCTACTATGCCAAAACTTATATTTTCAGCATTTTAATGCAAGTGTTTCTGAAATATGTTACATCGTCCTCTGCCTTTTACACAGAGTTTGACCATTTAATCTTTTATGACTCAGCCTCATTACAGAATCAAACTATACACCAAAATGCGATTTTTAAAATTCTGTTTTAACTGAGAAGTCTTTTCTAGAATTCCAACCAACAAAATAGATACAAAGAAGAGTTGAAGAGAGAGATGGGTGTGCAACAGAGTCCCACCCACTAGGAATTCCTGAGACGACATAGAACCATAAGATTCCAGGAATAGCCATTGGAAACCACTGATCATTTAGTAACACTCTCAAGAACTGCTGAGAGATAAAGGCTGCTCCCGTACTCAACAATCCTAAATTTTGTTCTGAAATTGCTGTCTTTTTTTTTAAGTGTGTTTTATAGTGTCCTTCTTAATGTCAACAATCGCTTCTTGCTGAATCAGTGTAGATCCCTGTATCTGTGCTCTGTCCACCCACTAACCCTCAACATCCGTGGTTTCTGTAGATTGGGAAAATAAAGTCCCCAGGCTTTCTAGAAGTGTGGGAAAATTAAAAGTCCACACACTAACAGGCCTCGAGAGACTTTCTCAAGTAAAGGACATGGGCTTTACATTCTGGACCTTGAATGATCTCTCTTGATGGTCAAACACCTATTTTTCTGTCTAATTTCCAGATTACCAACAGGATATTAGAAGCTAGGTGACACTTATATAAGTAAGGACATTTTCTATCATCAAGACGAAAATGGATTTGCATTGCAGATGGTGATTTTAATTTCTCAAGTGAGAAAACGTTTCTAGAATCTCTTAGTCGTATCTACTAGTAACTTGTTGCTATTATTATCATTATTATGATTTAGAGACAGAATCTCACTGTCTCCAGGATGGAGTGCAGTGACGCAATCACAGTTCACTGCAGCTTCGCACTCAACTTTAAGTGATCCTCCTGCCACAGACTCGCAAGTAGCTGGAACTACAAGCATGGGCCACCATACCTGGAAAAATCTTTGCTCTTCACCCAACAGTCTTAGAGTTTGTCAAATAAAAGAAGTTCTCTCTAGAAACAGACTGTTAAAGCCGGGCGAGATGGCTCCAGTCTGTAATCCCAGCACTTTGGAAGGCCAAGGGGGGTGGATTATCTGAGGTCAGGAGCTCGACACCAGCCTTGCCAACATGGTGAAACCCTGTCTCTACTAAATATACAAAAATTAGCCAGGCGTGGTGGTGGGTGCCTGTAATCCCAGCTACTGGGGAGGCTGAGGCAGGAGAATCACTTGAACCCGGGAGGCGGAGGTTGCCATGAGCCAAGATCAGACCACTGCACTCCAGCCTGGGTGGCAGAGCAAGACTCCATCTCAAAAAAAGAAAAAAAAAAGAAATAGAAACAGACGGTTAAATCCATTCTAATAAGATATGTTTGACCCTGGCACTTCAAAGCCCTGCTAATGGCAGCCATATTGGCAAATTGATATCCTTTGCTGATATTATGAAAGCATTGGGAAAAGGAATGCATTAAATGCATTTATAAGAGAAACTTCTTAAACATGCTTATACAGCAAGCAAACCACAAAGGTACCCTGACTCAGTTACATCCAATGACCAGTTACCCAAAAAAAGTCAGTTCAATAACTTAATCCTGGCAAGATATTCCTCCAGGGAATTAAAATATCCTGTGACTTAAACTTTGAGTTTCTTTCATATTGCAAAACATTTTGTCTGTAAAGAAATTGTGGGGTTTGGGAAAACCACATTTTTAATGGGACTGACTGTAATACCTTATTTCACATATGTAAAAATCTGAAAGATAGACAATATCTGATAGGACATCTCTATCCATCAGATTTGTGATGCATAAACCCTTCCTGACAATTCGTGCCAAGTAATTATCCTTTTTTTCCTTGCATACAGGGTCAAAGAACTTCCTGGATTAGTTCTACATTTATTTAATCCTTACCAGAATATATTCATTTATTAAGTATTTGCGTTTGGGAGGAGGAGCCAAGATGGCCGAATATGAACAGCTCCTGTCTACAGCTCCCAGCGTGAGCGACGCAGAAGACGGGTGATTTCTGCATTTCCATCTGAGGTACCAGGTTCATCTCACTAGGGAGTGCCAGACAGTGGGCGCAGGTCAGTGGGTGCGCGCACCGTGCGCGAGCCGAAGCAGGGTGAGGCATTGCCTCACTCGGGAAGTGCAAGGGGTCAGGGAGTTCTCTTTCTGAGTCAAAGAAAGGGGTGACGGAGGGCACCTGGAAAATCGGGTCACTCCCACCCAAATACTGCGCTTTTCCGACGGGCTTAAAAAGCGGCGCAACACGAGATTATATCCCGCACCTGGCTCAGAGGGTCGTACGCCCACGGAGTCTCGCTGATTGCTAGCACAGCAGTCTGAGATCAAACTGCAAGGCAGCAGCGAGGCTGGAGGAGGGGTGCCCGCCATTGCCCAGGCTTGCTTAGGTAAACAAAGCAGCCGGGAAGCTCGAACTGGGTGGAGCCCACCACAGCTCAAGGAGGCCTGCCTGCCTCTGTAGGCTCCACCTCTGGGGGCAGGGCACAGACAAACAAAAAGACAGCAGTAACCTCTGCAGACTTCAATGTCCCCATCTGACAGCTTTGAAGAGAGCAGTGGTTCTCCCAGCACGCAGCTGGAGATCTGAGAAGGGGCAGACTGCCTCCTCAAGTGGGTCCCTGACCCCTGACCCCCGAGCAGCCTAACTGGGAGGCATCCCCCAGTAGGGGCAGACTGACACCTCACATGGCCGGGTACTCCTCTGAGACAAAACTTCCAGAGAATTCGTGGTTCACGAAAAACCGCTGTTCTGCAGACACTGCTGCTGATACCCAGGCAAACAGGGTGTAGAGTGGACCTCTAGCAAACTCCAACAGACCTGCAGCTGAGGGTCTTGTCTGTTAGAAGGAAAACTAACAAACAGAAAGGACATCCACACCAAAAACCCATCTGTACATCACCATCATCAAAGAAGAAAAGTAGAGAAAACCACAAAGATGGGGAAAAAACAGAACAGAAAAACTGGAAACTCTAAAAAGCAGAGCACCTCTCCTCCTCCAAAGGAACGCAGTTCCTCACCAGCAACAGAACAAAGCTGGATGGAGAATGACTTTGATGAGTTGAGAGAAGAAGACTTCAAATGATCAAACAACTCCGAGCTACAGGAGGAAATTCAAACCAAAGGCAAAGAAGTTGAAAACTTTGAAAAAAATTTAGAAGAATGTATAACTAGAATAACCAATACAGAGAAGTGCTTAAAGGAGCTGATGGAGTTTAAGCCAATGCTCGAGAACTATGTGAAGAATGCAGAAGCCTCAGGAGCCGATGCAATCAACTGGAAGAAAGGGTATCAGTGATGGAAGATGAAATGAATGAACTGAAGCAAGAAGGGAAGTTTAGAGAAAAAAGAATAAAAAGGAATGAACAAAGCCTCCAAGAAATATGGGACTATGTGAAAAGACCAAATCTACGTCTGACTGGTGTACCTGAAAGTGACGGGGAGAATGGAACCAAGTTGGAAAACACTCTGCAGGATATTATCCAGGAGAATTTCCCCAATCTAGCAAGGCAGGCCAACCTTCAGATTCAGGAAATACAGAGAATGCCACAAAGATACTCCTCGAGACAAGCAACTCCAAGACACATAATTGTCAGATTCACCAAAGTTGAAATGAAGGAAAAAACGTTAAGGGCAGCCAGAGAGAAAGGTCAGGTTACCTACAAAGGGAAGCCCATCAGACTAACAGAGGATCGCTCGGCAGAAACTCTACAAGCCAGAAGAGAGTGGGGGCCAATATTCAACATTCTTAAAGAAAAGAATTTTCAACCCAGAATTTCATATCCAGCCAAACTAAGCTTCATAAGTGAAGGAGAAATAAAATGCTTTACAGACAAGCAAATGCTGAGAGATTTTGTCACCACCAGGCCTGCCCTAAAAGAGCTCCTGAAGGAGGCACTAAACATGGAAAGGAACAACCAGTACCAGCCACTGCAAAATCATGCCAAAATGTAAAGACCATCGAGACTAGGAAGAAACTGCATCAACTAACGAGCAAAATAACCAGCTAACATCATAATGACAGGATCAAATTCACACATAACAATATTAACTTTAAATGTAAATGGACTAAATGCTCCAATTAAAAGACACAGACTGGCAAATTGGATAAAGAGTCAAGACCCATCAGTGTGCTGTATTCAAGAAACCCATCTCACGTGCAGAGACACACATAGGCTCAAAATAAAAGGATGGAGGAAGATCTACCAAGCAAATGGAAAACAAAAAAAGGCAGGGGTTGCAA
The DNA here is from genome assembly GCF_000001405.40 of Homo sapiens. Lineage (NCBI taxonomy): Eukaryota > Metazoa > Chordata > Mammalia > Primates > Hominidae > Homo > Homo sapiens. The sequence continues at coordinate 117,780,502 of NC_000002.12, forward strand.
TCCTAGTCTCTGATAAAACAGACTTTAAACCAACAAAGATCAAAAGAGACAAAGAAGGCCATTACATAATGGTAAAGGGATCAATTCAACAAGAAGAGCTAACTATCCTAAATATATATATGCACCCAATACAGGAGCACCAAGATTCATAAAGCAAGTCCTGAGTGACCTACAAAGAGACTTAGACTCCCACACAATAATAATTGGACACTTTAACACCCCACTGTCAACATTAGACAGATCAGCGAGACAGAAAGTTAACAAGGATACCCAGGAATTGAACTCAGCTCTGCACCAAGTGGACCTAATAGACATCTACAGAACTCTCAACCCCAGATCAACAGAATATACATTTTTTTCAGCACCACACCACACCCATTCCAAAATTGACCACATAGTTGGAAGTAAAGCTCTCCTCAGCAAATGTAAAAGAACAGAAATTATAACAAACTATCTCTCAGACCACAGTGCAATCAAACTAGAACTCAGGATTAAGAAACTCACTCAAAACCACCCAACTACATGGAAACTGAACAACCTGCTCCTGAATGACTACTGGGTACATAAGGAAACGAAGGCAGAAATAAAGATGTTCTTTGAAACCAACGAGAACAAAGACACAACATACCAGAATCTCTGGGACACATTCAAAGCAGTGTGTAGAGGGAAATTTATAGCACTAAATGCCCACAACAGAAAGCAGGAAAGATCCAAAATTGACACCCTAACATCACAATTAAAAGAACTAGAAAAGCAAGAGTAAAAACATTCAAAACTAGCAGAAGACAAGAAATAACTAAAATCAGAGCAGAACTGAAGGAAATAGAGACACAAAAAACCCTTCAAAAAATTAATGAATCCAGGAGCTGGTTTTTTGAAAGGATCAACAAAATTGATAGACTGCTAGCAAGACTAATAAAGAATAAAAGAGAGAAGAATCAAATAGATGTAATAAAAAAATGATAAAGGGGATATCACCACCGATCCCACAGAAATACAAACTACCATCAGAGAATACTACAAACACCTCTACGCAAATAAACTAGAAAATCTAGAAGAAATGGATAAATTCCTGGACATATACACTCTCCCAAGACTAAACCAGGAAGAAGTTGAACCTCTGAATAGACCAATAACAGGATCTAAAATTCTGGCAATAATCAATAGCTTACCAACCAAAAAGAGTCCAGGACCAGATGGATTCACAGCCGAATTCTACCAGAGGTACAAGGAGGAACTGGTACCATTCCTTCTGAAATTATTCCAATCAATAGAAAAAGAGGGAATCCTCCCTAACTGATTTTATGAGGCCGGCATCATCCTGATACCAAAGCCGGGCAGAGACACAACCAAAAAAGAGAATTTTAGACCAATATCCTTGATGAACATTCATGCAAAAATCCTCAATAAAATACTGGCAAACCAAATCCAGCAGCACATCGAAAAGCTTATCCACCATGATCAAGTGGGCTTCATCCCTGGGATGCAAGGCTGGTTCAATATATGCAAATCAATAAATGTAATCCAGCATATAAACAGAACCAAAGACAAACACCACATGATTATCTCAATAGATGCAGAAAAGGCCTTTGACAAAATTCAACAACTCTTCATGATAAAAACTCTCAATAAATCAGGTATTGATGGGACGTATCTCAAAATAATAAGAGCTATCTATGACAAACCCACAGCTAATATCATACTGAATGGGCAAAAACTGGAAGCATTCCCTTTGAAAAATGGCACAAGACAGGAATGCCCTCTCTCACCACTCCTATTCAACATAGTGTTGGAAGTTCTGGCCAGGGCAATTAGGCAGGAAAAGGAAATAAAGGGTATTCAGTTAGGAAAAGAGGAAGTCAAATTGTCCCTGTTTGCAGTTGACATGATTAAATATCTAGAAAACCCCATTGTCTCAGCCCAAAATCTCTTTAAGCTGGTAAGCAACTTCAGCAAAGTCTCAGGATACAAAATCAATGTACAAAAATCACAAGCATTCTTATACACAAATAACAGACAAACAGAGAGCCAAATCATGAGTGAACTCCCATTCACAATTGATTCAAAGAGAATAAAATACCTAGGAATCCACCTTACAAGGGATGTGAAGGACCTCTTCAAGGAGAACTACAAACCACTGCTCAATGAAATAAAAGAGGATACAAACAAATGGAAGAACATTCCATGCTCATGGGTAGGAAGAATCAATATCGTGAAAATGGCCATATTGCCCAAGGTAATTTATAGATACAATGCCATCCCCATCAAGCTACCAATGACTTTCTTCACAGAATTGGAAAAAACTACTTTAAAGTTCATATGGAACCAAAAAAGAGCCTACATCACCAAGTCAATCCTAAGCCAAAAGGACAAAGCTGGAGGCATCACGCTACCTGACTTCAAACTACACTACAAGGCTACAGTAAGCAAAACAGCATGGTACTAGTACCAAAACAGAGATATAGATCAATGGAACAGAACAGAGCCCTCAGAAATAATGCCGCATATCTACAACTATCTGATCTTTGACAAACCTGAGAAAAACAAGCCATGGGGAAAGGATACCCTATTTAATAAATGGTGCCTGGAAAACCAGCTAGCCATATGTAGAAAGCTGAAACTGGATTCCTTCCTTACACCTTATACAAAAATCAATTCAAGATGGATTAAAGACTTAAACGTTAGACCTAAAACCATAAAAACCCTAGAAGAAAACCTAGGCATTACCATTCAGGACATAGGCATGGGCAAGGACTTCATGTCTAAAACACCAAAAGCAATGGCAACAAAAGACAAAATTGACAAATGGGATCTCATTAAACTAAAGAGCTTCTGCACAGCAGAAGAAACTACCATCAGAGTGAACAGGCAACCTACAAAATGGGAGAAAATTTTTGCAACCTACTCTTCTGACAAAGGGCTAATATCCAGAATCTACAATGAACTCAAACAAATTTACAAGAAAAAAACAAACAACCCCATCAAAAAGTGGGCGAAGGACATGAACAGACACTTCTCAAAGGAAGACATTTATGCAGCCAAAAAACACATGAAAAAATGCTCACCATCACTGGCCATCAGAGAAATGCAAATCAAAACCACAATGAGATACCATCTCACACCAGTTAGAATGGCAATCATTAAAAAGTCAGGAAACAACAGGTGCTGGAGAGGATGTGGAGAAATAGGAACACTTTTACACTGTTGGTGGGACTGTAAACTAGTTCAACCATTGTGGAAGTCAGTGTGTCGATTCCTCAGGGATCTAGAACTAGAAATACCATTTGACCCAGCCATCCCATTACTGGGTATATACCCAAAGGACCATAAATCATGCTGCTATAAAGACACATGCACACGTATGTTCATTGCGGCACTATTCACAATAGCAAAGACTTGGAACCAACCCAAATGTCCAACAATGATAAACTGGATTAAGAAAACGTGGCACATATACAGCATGGAATACTATGCAGCCATAAAAAATGATGAGCTCATGTCCTTTGTAGGGACATGGACGAAATTGTAAATCATCATTCACAGTAAACTATCACAAGAACAAAAAACCAAACACGACATATTCTCACTCATAGGTGGGAATTGAACAATGAGAACACATGGACACAGGAAGGGGAACATCACACTCTGGGGACTGTTGTGGGGTGGGGTGAGGGGGAGGGATAGCATTGGGAGATATACCTTAATGCTAGATGACGAGTTAGTGGGTGCAGCGCACCAGCATGGTGCATGTATACATATGTAACTAACCTGCACATTGTGCACATGTACCCTAAAACTTAAAGTATAATAATAATTTTTTTAAAAAGTATTTGGTTTGGTACAAATTTTATTTTTGATTCAATATGGGTTTCACTGAAAAGTCAATAGATTTTTCAGTAAAAACCATAAAATCCTTGCTAATGCTTGGGAATAATTAGACTTCAGATGAGTAATGTTAAACCTACGGGAGTCAATTCAAAATATAAGCAGAATAAACAGATAATCTTTCATTTCTTCAGGATAATATAGCGTTACTACCTGTATCTTATTTCAAATACTGTAAATGTCTCCCACCAAAAGAAATCATTTAAATAAAAATAACAATATTTTAAACTAATGCATAATCTGACCATTAGTATGTATCTAAATATGAGAAATATGTATCTAAAAATTAAAATGGATGGCCCAGATTAATAAAAAATACTACTGTGTTCTGAATATTTGTGTCCCTCCAAAATTCATATGTTAAAACCTAATCCTGGAAGAGATTAGTATTAAGAGTTGAGGTCTTTGGGAGGTGAGTAGGTCACAAATCAGATTAGAGTGGGATTAGTGTCTTTATAAAAGAGTCCTAAGGGAGCTTATTTGCCCCTCCCACCATGTGAGGACACAGGGAGAAGGGACCACCTATGAACCAGGAAGCAGATGTTCATGAGATACTGAATCTGCCAGCACCTTGATCTTGAACTTTCAGCCTCCAGAACTGTGGGAAATTAATGTCTGTTGTTTAGAAGCCACCCGATTCATGTAATTTTGTTGTGGCAACCTGAACAGACTAAAACAAATACTTTATGGTTACAGATCATATCCCCTTTGAGCAATTAGTTATTCATTTGAAAAAAACTCAGGATTCTGGAAATAGAAGATCTAAAGGAAAATTTGGGATAAGTCTGATATAAAGAATGGAATCTTAAGAAATCCACCACCTACTCATCACACACCTCACAAATTCTCAGCTATTCTAGCTCATTGACAAGGTGGAGAACCAAAGTTAACTCTTTTTTTTCCTTTAAGGAGAAATGAACCATATTTTTATTACTATAACCAATATCAAATTTATATTCAAAACCATCACCAGTCTTTTAGAAGGGCTGGTCACAGTGGCTCATGCCTGTAATCCCAGCACTTCTGGAGGCTGAGGAAGGAGGATTACTTGATCCCAGGAGTACAAGACCAGGCTAAGCAACATAGGGAGACCCCATCTCTACAAAACATTTTTTAAAATTAGCCTGGTGTGATAGCACTCACCTGTGGTCCTAGAGACTCAGCAGGCTGAGACGGGAGAATCACTTGAGCCCAGGAGGTCAAGGCTGCAGTGAACCATGATCATGCCACTATACTCCAGCCTAAGTGTCAAAACAAGACCCTGTCTCAAAGAAAGAAAAAAAAAAGAAGCAGTAAAAGCATAAAAGATTATTGAATATTACAGTAAAAAAAATTGATAAAACTCGGAGTACATCAAAGCCACTTAGGCTGCTGCATTTTGAGTGAAAATGTCTGTAGGAAAAATCCAAACTTTAAATGAGGACTGAGGCACCCCTCTCATTTGCACTAGGGATAGTTTATCAGTTGTACTTGTCATTAGAGACTGTGGTCCTTGAAATCAGACAGAAATGCTTTCAGGGCCCCCTGGTGGTGATTTAAAGACCTTGACAGTAAGATCAAAATGTCCATGAATCAAATAAGCTAAGGTAACCAGGTTTTGGAAACTCCTATGTTCTCCAAATGACTCTTAATGTTTTCAATACTTATAGTTTGTCTGTCTCAACCAAAATTGATTCAATCTCTTTATATGTAGTCTTCTACAAAAGAAAAAATGTTTTTTCTTGCCTTTCAGTTTGCTGCAACTTAACAAAGAAAATAAACATTTAGTATCTTCACATGAAGAATCCTCTCTGTTTCTCTGTTTAGATAATTTTAACCAAAAATATCGACCTTATACAACACCATGGTTAGTGTTTCACAATAAAAACTCATAAATCTGTGTATGATTCTATCTATTTACTTCTCCTCGGCACTGGGAAATGAATTACTGTTGAAGCAAATCTTTTAAATGTCAATATGTTGCTAAAAGTGGTGAATTTAATAGCATAAAAAGGACATAACTGATTTTCATCAAGAATTGCAACCCAGAAAAGGAGTTACTCAGTGGCCTATTAGAGTTAGAATACTCTACCCAGCCAGTTGAGATTGATCTAATAAACCACCTCTCTAAAGCTACCTGAAAGGTAGACTGACTATTTAGTAGAACCCAGATTCACCAAAGCACCTGCTCAAAGGTGCCTGTATTAGTCCATTCTCACACTGCTAATAAATACATACCAAAGACTGAGTAATTTATAAAGGAAAGAGGTTTAACTGACTCACAGTTCTACATGGCTGGGGAGGAAACTTACAATCATGGTGTAACAGTAAGCAAACAAGTCTGTATTCACATGGCAGCAGGAGAGAGAAGTGATGAGCAAAGTGGGGAAAGCCCCTTATAAAACTATCAGCTCTCATGAGAACTCACTCACTATCACTAGAACAGCATGTGGGAACTGACCCCATGATCTAATCACCTCCCATGAGGTCCTTCCCCCAACACATGGGGATTACAATTCAGATTACAATTCAATATGAGCTTTGGGTGGGGACACAGAGCCAGACCATATTAGTCCCCTACCCTTGGCTGAACATTATAATCAACTGGGGATTATTTTTTAAATGAGGAAACTAGCCTACTTACAGAGATTGTGATTTAATTGGCCTGGGCTGAGGCCAGGACATCCGTACTTTGTAAAAGCCCCTCGGGACATTCTTAAGGACAGCCAAGGTGGAGAACCACTGCATAGAGGATGCACTTATTCTCAAGACCCCCTAAGCAAGGCATTTCAGGCTGCTCCTATCTGACTGTAGCTGAGTCCATACTATAAAGTAGCACTTTCTTCATTCACCTTTCTCCACTTCTGATGTTTCTCCCTCTTTGTGATTATAATTACAATGCAAGATTATAATTGCAAGATTGTGAGGTAGTCAATAATAAGCTTTACCTTACTATTGAATATGTCATGTTTATAGCCAATTACAAATTTGAAAATCTCATTGTTCACAGAAATTATAAAAGTTGAGCTACACAGAAAATTTTGGAGTTATAAAGTTGGTAAGTTAGTGTTTTTTATGTTGTCCAATCATCAGATACTGAAGTTGACTGGGGAACTTCTCTGCAGGGTTTTGTTGTAAATTAATAACCTTTTGAAACATTTTGATCCTTGGCTTCTGTGACACCACATTCTCTTCTTACCCTGCCATTCTCTCTGGTTACTCCTTGCCATTCTTATACTCAGTGTTCTCACACTTTAAGCAGCATAAGAATCATCTGGAGGCCTAAAACACAGATAGGTAGGTCCCAGCCCCAGTGTAGGTCTGGGGTGTGGCCAAAAAATGTACATTTCTTTTTTTTTTTTTTTTTGAGATGGAGTCTTGCTCTGTTGCCCAGTCTGGAGTGCAGTGGTGCAATCTCGGCTCACTGCAACCTCCACCTCCTGAGTTCAAGCGATTCTCTGGCCTCAGCCTCCAGAGTAGCTGGGACTACAGGCATGTGCTACCACGCCTGGCTAATTTTTGTATTTTTAGTAGAGACAGGGTTTCACTGTATTGGCCAGGCTGGTCTCAAACTTCTGACCGCAAGTGATCCACCTGACTTGGCCTCCCAAAGTGCTAGGATTACAGACATGAGCCACCACACCTGGCCAAGAATGTACATTTCTAACAAGTTCCCAAGTGATTCTGCTGTCATTGGTCTGGAGGCCACACTTTAGGAACCACTGTCCTACATTACATGTTGAAGTTGCTCAAGGCTCTATCCTAGGCTCTCCTCTCATTTTAATCTACACCCTCTCCTTCACAATTACAGCCAAGAATGCCCCCAATATTACAAAAATAATCCCACATTTCTATCTCTGGCCAGACTTCTGGTAAGTTTCTTCCAGGCTCCAATTGGCTACTCAACACCTCAACTTTGCGGTCTTATCAGCATCACCATCTCAACGTTCCAAGGCCAGATTTGTGGATCTTGAACCTACCCAAGCCTGGTTGTCTTCCTCTTCCAGCATTCTGTAACATAGTGAATGCCTTCATCACTCAATTGTACAAGCCAAAATCTTTTTTTATTTATTTTATTATTATTATACTATAAGTTTTACGGTGCATGTGCACAACATGCAGGTTTGTTACATATGTATACATATGTGCCATGTTGGTGTGCTGCACCCATTAATTCATCATTTAGCATTAGGTATATCTCCTAATGCTATCCCTCCCCCCACCCCCCACTCCGCAACAGTCCCCGGTGTGTGATGTTCCCCTTCCTGTGTCCATGTGTTCTCATTGTTCAATTCCCACCTATGAGTGAGAACATGCGGTGTTTGGTTTTTTGTCCTTGAGATACTTTGCTGAGAATGATGGTTTCCTGTTTCATCCATGTCCCTACAAAGGAAATGAACTCATCATTTTTTATAGCTGCATAGTATTCCATGGTGTATATGTGCCACATTCTCTTAATCCAGTCTATCATTGTTGGACATTTGGGTTGGTTCCAAGTTTTTGCTATTGTGAATAGTGCCGCAATGAACATACGTGTGCATGTGTCTTTATAGCAGCATGATTTATAATCCTTTGGGTATATACCCAGTAATGGGATGGCTGGGTCAAATGGTATTTCTAGTTCTAGATCCCTGAGGAATCGACACACTGACTTCCACAATGGTTGAACTAGTTTACAGTCCCACCAACAGTGTAAAAGTGTTCCTATTTCTCCACATCCTCTCCAGCACCTGTTGTTTCCTGACTTTTTAATGATCGCCATTCTAACTGGTGTGAGATGGTATCTCATTGTGGTTTTGATTTGCATTTCTCTGATTACCAGTGATGATGATCATTTTTTCATGTGTTTTTTGACAAGCCAAAATCTTATGATTCATCATTGACACCATCCTGTCCCTCCTGCCCATGACTAATAAGCAATTTATTCCAAGGTCTATCTATTTTTACCTTATAAATTTTTTAAAATTTTTATTTTAACTTTTCTGCATAATAGTAGGTAGATATAGATATAGGTATATATGGGGTACATGAGATGTTTTGATACAAGCATGCAATGTGTAATAATCACATCATGTAAAATGGGGATATCCATCTCTTCAAGTATTTATCCAAAAACTATAATTGAATTGTTTACTGCCTAATTTTTTTGCAAATATGTTCACTTTTCTCATAACTGCTACCTTCACCCTAATCCAGACCATAGCCATCTCTCACCTGGACTATTTTAGTTTGTTTTGTGTTGCCATAACAGAATACCTGAGACTGGCTAATTTATAAAGAAAAGAGGTTTATGTAGCCCATGGTTCTGCAGGCTGGGAAGTTCAAGGACATGGCTCTGACTTCTGAAGAGGGCTTTCATACTGCATCAGAACACAGAGGAGAAGATCAAAGAAAAAGCAGACACATTGAAAGAGAGAGAGCTCAAGGGGCCTCCTGGCTTTATAAAAATGCACTGTCATGGGAACTAATCCATTCCCACAAGAACCAATCCAGCCTCACCAGAATGAGAACTCAGTCACTACCAAAAGAAAGGAACCAAGCCATTCAAGATCATTCAGGATCTGCACCCATAACATAAACACCTCTCACTTGGCCCCATCTCCCAACACCACAACATTGGAGATCAAATTTTAACATAAGTTTTGATGGGACAAACCACATCCAAATGGAATACTATTATTCTCCCATATTCACACCACATTCCCTACCCCATCCCTGCACTCCAGTTTTTTCTCTACACTACAGGCAGTTATTTTTCCAAATGAAAATCTGGTATTACTCTCTTCCCTTCACTGGCTTTCCATTGACTTTTCAACTAAAATGAAAGTCTAATTTAACTTAGTTCACAAGTTCTGGAAGGCACTGGCCTCCACACACCTTAATAGCCACTTTTGGCTCACTCTATGAACACCAGCTACAGGATCTGCCTTTCAGCTCTTTGAACTCTTTCCTAGTGTCACCCTCCACAAAGACCCCACCCATATCATCTGACACTACACACAACCTCACAACCTCTCCCCTTCTACTCACGCACTTTCTTTGCCTAGTTAACCCAAGCTCATCGTTCAGCCCTCAGGTAAGATGTTCCTTTTTCTGGAAAGTTCTTTGTTATACAATTAGGCTTCTTGACTCCAGAAGACCAAACTCATTTTTCTAAAACAAATATTTGTAATGTCACCTTTATGGTCCTAAAATTAAATTTACAGATTATTTAACCTCCCTATACATATAGTTTAAAAACAACCAGTGCAGTGCCAAACCATAATATGAAGCAGAAATAACAGGAAAGCAATTAATAATTAAAAAATTCAATATGTGACTGCCTAGTCATGACCACCTGAAAAGATTCAACAAGGTAATCTCATGCTTGTATATGATTTCATGTATGGAATAATTACGAATGAAAGAGACCGAAATGCAGATCAATACAGGTTTGTTGTGTTGGTGACTCAAACGCCATAAGCAGCTTTGCCATCAGTAACATGATTTCCCAAAATGATGAACAACTCTCATTAAAGTTGCAAAAAAGATGAAGTACAATCTTCCCTCAATTTACGCTGAATTAAAACTATAACCTAACAGTATCAGGAAGGATTAAGGGGAGATTTGATTTAAAAGGAAATGTTTTCTATCATTGCACAAAGTTTAAAAAGCTTAATATCTTAAAATTAAAATATAGCGATATGTAAGTTGGGTACCATTTCTAGATACTTAAAAATACAATGGTACCCGCCAGGCAAAAGAGCTTAGAAAGTTAAAGCAAGTTGTCACTGGGATGGAGATTGGAGTAGAAGACTTATTTTCTACATGTTCAAATCATGCAAACATATTTTGCATTTATATGTAAAATGGAGTTTTACATATAATGAGTTCCAAGCTCAGGTAATTAAACACATGAATCTCTAGAGGATATTTGAAAGTCACGTGTGAAGGGAGACAATCCTTTGAATCAGCTCTGTCCTGGGAGGTATAGGGTGTCTAACACTCTGTTTCTCTCCCACTGAATGCCTCCAATCATATGTGAGGAGAAACAAAGATGCTCCCACAAATTCCCAAAGTTCCTTCTAGGTGACAGAGCTGCCCCCATGACAAACAATGGCTATCATTGCCTTCAGCACTTACACCATACTCTGTCCCAGAACCCTGTTTTTCATTTGTAATAACATGTTAACCTGAAAATATTCAATTAGTGCCTGATGCCTTCCTAGACTCTCAGCAGTGGGAGAACCGCGAGTGTCTAAATTTTACTCCCTGTTGTGTTCCTGGTGCTTTGCATGATGCCAGCATACAGTGAGCACTCAATCGGTTTGGCTGAATGAATGATTGCACACGATTTCTCTCATGCTGAGTGCCACAAGAGTGAAGAGCTCTATGCGTGGCTCCACAGTAGTAGCAGAAAGGGCACTAACTGGAGTCCAGCACAGCCAGTAAGGAATGCTGCCTTGATGAGAGTTCCTATGCATCATTCCTGTTAAATTTAATGTACTTCCTTTTTTCTTAAGAACTATCAAGTTAGGCTTATACTTCCATTTCCACCAATGCCAAAGTGAGAGCCAAACCACCTGATTTGTTAATCTTTTTTTCTTTCTTTCTCTTTCTTTCTTTCTTTTTCTTTCTTTCTTTCTTTCTTCCTGTCTGCCTTCCTTCCTTCCCTCCTTCTTTCCTGTCGTTCTTTCTTTCTTTTATTTTTTTTCTTTCACAGGCTAGAGTACAGTGACACAATCATAGCTCACTCCAGCCTCAAACTCCTGGGCTCAAAAGATCCTTCCACCTTAGCCTCCTGAGTAGCTAGGACTACAGGTGCATGCCACCATGTCCAACTATTTTTTAAATTTTTTGTAGAGATGGGATCTCACTATGTTTCCCAGGCTTGTCTCATACTTCTGGCCTCAAGCAATCTTCCTGCCTCGACCTCCCAAAGTGCTGGGATTACAGACGTGAGCACCACGCCTGGCTGTAAGTCTTTAGGCTCTCAAATATGGTCAAAAAGCCACAACACAAATTGTTCATAAAAACCAAATCTGGAAGAGTTAACAAAAAACTTCTGGTTTAATTCTCTGCCTTCAGATTATTCACAAATAATGAGTAGCCAGGGCAGTTAGACACCCAAAAATACATTCAGATCACTATTGCTTTATTTCATATATGATTATCAGGAGCAGAAAGAGAGGCTAGATTACTCCAAGTTAAAAAACACATTGAGAACTGGCCAAAATCAGGCTGGATTCATGATGGGGTGACAGAGAACTTTTTCTGCAACAAGTCACATATGAGAAAAAAAACCATATAATTTATATGTATATAATTACATGTATCATAATTATATAATATAGTGATATTAACATATTACATATTGTGATATATAATGAGAAAGACCTTATAATCTTCCTCATTATAAGTGAAATACAGCTAACTCTCTCCCCTCAACACACTTCTTACTATATTGGAGGAGATATTTATCAAACCACATAATTATGCCCCAACTTATTGAAAATGTTGGCATTAGGTAACAGGTCCAAGAGCAAACAGACGAGATTGAAGAAGTAGGATACAGACATCCTTATAAAATTAAAAATAGGCAGATAATAAGTTATTTAAATGAAAAGCAAGACAATTAATGTGTCTGAGAAAGACAAAAATCTACATGTCTCTGTAAGGATAATATTTGCGTGGATACAATGAAGAGGGCATGAATAATTAATAATTAAAAATAGTAACATAACTCTATCAAGAAGGATTAAGATGAAGACTTATTAAAGGGACGAAAAGTGTCCTATAATTATATAAAGTCAAAAAAATCTAGATATTTAAGATACAGCAATAAATGAACTACTTAGAAATATGATATTTACTTAGAATTTAAAAGAAAGAGCAGAAAGTTAAAGCAAGTTTCCACTGTGATGAAGACTGGAGTGAGAGATTTATTTTTTCCCTTGTAAATGTCACAGTACTTTTTATTTTTATTTTTACAAGTATTATCTTGATAACTTTTTTTTTGTTTTTGAGATAGGGTCTCACTCTGTCACCCAGGTTGGAGTGCAGTGTGTGATCATAGCTCATTGCAGCCTCAACATCCTGGGCTCAAGCAATCCTCCCGCCTCAGCCTCCCAAGTAGCTGAGATTACAGTCGCTCACCACAACACCAGGCTAATTTTTTTTTTTTTTTTTTTTTTTTTTTTTTGGTAGAGACAGGGATTTGCCATGTTGCCCAGACTTGTCTCGAATTCTGGACTCAAGAGATCTGCCTACCTCGGCCTCCTAAAACGCTGAGATTACAGGCATGAGCCATTGAACCTGACCTCTTGATAACTTTTTAATATTTACATTTCTAAGGAGATCTCTAATCAAGCACTATGAGCCACGTGAACTTTTAAATCACGTATTTATTCAATTCTGAGCCCTGTTAAAAGTATATGATTTGCTGGGCGTGGTGGCTCACGCCTGTAACCCCAGCACTTTGGGAGGCAGAGGCGGGTGCATCACCTGAGGTCAGGAGTTTGAGATGAGCCTGGCCAACATCGTGAAACCCCATCTCTACTAAAAATACAAACGTTAGCCAGGCGTGGTGGCAGGTGCCTGTAATCCCAGCTACTTGGGAGGCTGAGGCAGGAGAATCACTTGAACCCGGGAGACAGAGGTTGCACTGAGCCGAGATCATGCCATTGCACTCTAGCCTGGCAACAGAGCGAGACTCTGCCTAAAAAAAACAAACAAATAAACAAGCAAAAACAAATTATATGATTTAATATATTGTTCTAGTCACAAAAATCCAAATTCTCAAGACTGCACATACTGTACAGAACTTGAGCGATGATGGATGTATTTTCTCAGACTTTTGTTTAGGAGCAGACTGTGGACTAGAAATTTTAAACCCAGAGCCATAATGACTTAATGGCAAACTACATATTTCTAGGTGACTTCTTGGCCATAAGTTACTTTAGGTACTGAAAAGGGTGAGCTAGGTCTGCAGGTTTAGTCCATAGTTCTGTGTGTATTTGAGAGAGAGAAAGGGAGAGAATCCCTTACCATGATTCCTTAAAACATTTCTTTTTGGTAGCTGAATAGGTATAAATAATTGAGGTGCACATTGTTGATGGAAAAGAGATTGTAATCCTTTTTTTGAGAACCTTCATATTAAAAAAAAAAACAGAACAGCTTATCATAGAAAAGTCCTCTACCCTAGGGAAAATTATGATTTTAAAGATTATGAACCTGTCAGTCTATAAGTTATGAGCTAGAGGCAGCATCTGAAGTCTTGATTAATCTGCTCATTATTCAGTTGACCCTACTTGCTAGCCTTGAAAAATCAGTAGTGCTAATGTTACTTCAAGTAGAAAAACATGGGAGTCACTTCTCAACTGCAAGAGTCTGTGAAGTTTTCTTAATGGTGAAATCTGTACAGAAGTGATCTACTAAAATGGGTCCTTGGTACTTTATGGCTTAAAGTCTGTGCTTCCAAAAGGCTCTATTCTTCTCCCGCCCCTTGGAGAATTTCAAGCCAAGGTTTCTGAGCTGTACTGTGTGACTCACATGTCTGTATGAAAGGAGGCATGCCTATAGCCAAGAATCTAAGCAGGACTGAGAGCATTTTCATTCATTCATTCATTTTCTATTGAATCTCAACCATGTGTCAGCCACCATACTGCATGCTAGAAAAACAAAACAAATATAATAAGATATGTTCCCTGTGGCACCACGAGCCCAGAACCCACAAAGCACATCTTTGACGAGCTCTCCAGCTACTTTCAGCCTGCTTAAGGCTTTCTTTACAAACACAAAACAGCAAACCAGAGAAACACCTTAATGATACCTGCCAATGTTTATTGAGCTATTTTCTGTATACTAGGATTGTTCTAAGCACATGACACATATTGACTCATTTCACTTTCTCAGTGATCCAATGAGGTAGTTACTAACATCATCCCCATTTTATAGATAAGAAAATGAAGCACGAAAATTTAAGTAACTTGTCCCAAGTTTTTATAGCCTGGCTCCAGGTCTTGCAGGTATAATTATTCCTTTCACACAGGTGTAAGGCAAACCAAATGAAAAGGGAAAAAAGAATAAAGAGGCATTCTTCTTTCATAGTCACAGAGGTAAGTGACTATGTGAGTGAGTTTAACCCAAGATAAAGGGAATCAATAATGGCCAGTTACCTGGACATGCTGTCAGCTAATACCACCACATGCATAGTTTAGGCCTTCCTTTGCCTCCACCTTTATCCTTACTCTAGGAAGTCTTATGCATACGAATTCACAGACAGCTATTTGCAAAAAACAAGCCTATGGGAATGAAGCACTAAATATAATACTTTTTAATATTAGGTTGAGCTGAGAAGACAACAAAAATAGAAAATAACTAATGATGTACACTTTTTAGTACCATTTGCTCCATTTCAATGCCTTATCTAAGGAACCTAGAGGGAGATGAACCACTACAGGGGTTAGAGGGCCCAAAATGTGTAGATAATATTGATGCTATAGACTCACAGGTAACCTCTACAGCATGGGACAATGAGGCATGTACATGACAGGAAGACACATTGAGAATGCAAATGTGGGGACGTGGGGGTCAATTAGAAGATGCAGGTGAATCTCAATAAGAGCCACCAATACCTATGGAAATTTCTTAGAATTGAGCCCCTTGTTGGATGTGAAGGACCTCTTCAAGGAGAACTACAAACCACTGCTCAATGAAATAAAAGAGGATACAAACAAATGGAAGAACATTCCATGCTCATGGTTAGGAAGAATCAATATCGTGAAAATGGCCATACTGCCCAAGGTAATTTACAGATTCAATGCCATCCCCAACAAGCTACCAATGACTTTCTTCGCAGAACTGGAAAAAACTGCTTTAAAATTCATATGGAACCAAAAAAGAGCCCGCATTGCCAAGATAATCCTAAGCCAAAAGAACAAAGCTGGAGGTATCACGCTATCTGACTTCAAACTATACCACCAGCCTACAGAAATCCAAAACAGCATGGCACTGGTACCAAAACAGATATGTAGATCAATGGAACAGAACAGTGGCCTCAGAAATAACACCACTCATCTACAAACATCTGATCTTTGACAAACCTGACAAAAACAAGAAATGGGGAAAGGATTCCCTATTTAATAAATGGTGCTCAGAAAACTGGCTAGCCATGTGTAGAAAGCTGAAACTGAATCCCTTCCTTACACCTTATACAAAAACTAATTCAAGATGGATTAAAGACTTAAACATAAGACCTAAAACCATAAAGGCCCTAGAAGAAAACCTAGGCAATACCATTCAGGACATAGGCATGAGCAAGGACTTCATAACTAAAACACCAAAAGCAATGGCAACAAAAGCCAAAATTGACAAATGGGATCTAATTAAACTAAAGAGCTTCTGCACAGCAAAAGAAGTGACCATCAGAGTGAACAGGCCACCTACAGAATGGGAGAAAATTTTTGCAATCTATCCATCTGACAAAGGGCTAATACCCAGAATCTACAAAAAACTCAAACAAATTTACAAGAAAAAACTAAACAACCCCACCAAAAAGTGAGCGAAGGATATGAACAGACACTTCTCAAAAGAAAACATTTATGCAGCCAAAAGACACATGAAAAAATGTTCATCATCACTGGTAATCAGAGAAATGCAAATCAAAACCACAATGAGATACCATCTCACACCAGTTAGAATGGTGGTCATTAAACAGTCAGGAAACAACAGATGCTGGAGAGGATGTGGAGAAATAGGAATGCTTTTACACAGTTGGTAGGAGTGTAAACTAGTTCAACCATTGTAGAAGACAGTGTGGCAATTCCTCAAGGATCTAGAACTAGAAATACCATTTGACCCAGACATCCCATTACTGGGTGTATACCCAAAGGATTATAAATCATGCTACTATAAAGACACATGCACACGTATGTTTATTGCAGCACTATTCACAATAGCAAAAACTTGGAACCAACCCAAATGTCCATCAGTGATAGACTGGATTAAGAAAATGTGGCATGTATACACCATGGAATACTATGCAGCCACTAAAAAGGATGAGTTCATATCCTTTGTAGGGACATGGATGAAGCTGGAAACCACCATTCTCAGCAAACTATCGCAAGGATGGAAAACCAAACACTGCATGTTCTCACTCATAGGTGGGAATTGAACAATGAGAACACTTGGTCACAGGGCGCGGAACATCATACCCCGGGGGCCTGTCATGGGGTGGGGAACAGGGGGAGGGATAGCATTAGGAGAAATGCCTAATGTAAATGATGAGTTAATGGGTGCAGCAAACCAACATGGCACATGTATACCTATGTAACAAACCTGCACATGGTGCACATGTACCCTAGAACTTAAAGTATAACAAAAAAAAAAAAAAAGAATTGAGCCGCTTGTCTTTGGAATTCACTGGGGACTCTGCTTGTCCAGGTCTTCAGGCAAAGAGGTAGATGAGGAATGGTGGCTAAAAAAATAGGGAAAGTAACTCTCTACCACCAATATATGGTTGTTTGCATAAGAAGAAAGCCACCCAAACCAACAAAGAAAGTAGAACCAACTCTCCATGGAAAATCAAAAAAGGAAATGACTTTCTGCCTTTTTTTCTCTCCCTTCTCACTGCAATGCTCAAGGAACAAGCACAAGCAATAGAAAGGAAGAGGAAAGCTTGCAGGCAATGCATCATTCCTCACCTTCAAATCTTTGGAGAACCTAGCCTGCTCTGGAAGGGGAACGGACATTTGAATTGAATGTGAGAGTGAGACAATAGGCCAGACGTTTTAATAACTAAAGATAGCAGAAATGATAGAACCAAACTGAAATATAATTAAGGTATCTCACAGCGTAGTGTGTTTAGAGATCTGACGGGACACGGTAAGAGTTAAAAAGCCATACTCTACAATGTTTGCACCCCAAAGGGTTTGAGTGAGGTCCCTCAATCCCATCAGCTTCAAGCTGATCTGTTTTATGAGGTGAAAAAAAAATCATCAGTTAATGTAGAAGTAATCTCGAGATGTATCTTAAACTACCCCAGTCCAAAATATGTGACACTCATAAAATCCTAGTGCAAATAATTCTAGTTTGAGGCTAACTCAATGGCTAATTATGAATGGCTAATACCATTGATAAATACCTGATATAAGTATGTCCACTGTGTACTGGACAGAGATGAACAATTTTTTCTTCAATCAAATGCCTATGTGACATGAGGGCAGCAATAAATATCACAATTTCAAAGGAAAAAATGATTTACATTTGGATTTCTGCCTGAATTCTGGGCCAGACTTGCCACTGAGCCATCATCAGTATTTCCTTTTTTTTTTTTTTTTTTTTTAGTATATATATGAGACAGAGTTTTGCTCTGTTGCCCAAGCTGGAGTGCAATGGTGCAATCTCGGCTCACTGCAACCTCTGCCTCCTGGGTTCAAGTGATTCTCCTGCCTCAGCCTCCTGAGTAGCTGGGATTTCAGGCATCCACCACTACCGCCCAGCTAATTTTTTGTATTTTTAGTAGAGACAGGGTTTCATCATGTTGGTCAGGCTTGTCTTGAACTCCTGACCTCAGGTGATCCACACCCCCTCGGCCTCCGAAAGTGCTTGGATTACAGGCATGAATCAGTATTTCTTTTGGGGTTTTTTTGGGTTTTGTTTTGTTTTCTTTTCTTTTCTTTTGAGACGGAGTTTCGCTCTGTCGCCCAGGCTGGAGTACAGTGGCGCGATCTCGGCTCACTGCAAGCTGTGCCTCCCAGGTTCATGCAATTCTTCTGCCTCAGCCCCCGAGTAGCCGGGATTACAGGCGCCCGCCACCACGCCTGGCTAATTTTTTGTATTTTTTAGTAGAGACGGGGTTTCACTGTGTTGGCCAGGATGGTCTGGATCTCCTGACCTTGTGATCCGCCCACCTCGGCCTCCCAAAGTACCGGGATTACAGGCATGAGCCACTGTGCCCGGCCCAGTATTTCTTGTGGAATATCCCAGTTCATATTTTTTGTGGATAGTGATTGAAAAATAACTTTTGAAGGACAAACAGATTATTATATTAAATAATTTTAAGAAAATATGTTATTGTTTCATTTTGCATTTAAAAATGATATTTTAACTTGAAAGTGAAGGTTAACACAGGCTCAGTATTGAAAGGACAAGACGTGGAGATCCCATTAATATTGAACCTAATTCTCCCTTCACGATACTCGGGTACAGGGCCCTTTTGTTTTAATGGAATTATTCTCTTTGTCTAAAACCAGGTATATGATGCCTGTTTCACTGCCTCCTTTCAGTGTGTAGGAAATACATATGAATATATAATCAATTGCTTTTAATCAGCAGGCCTAAGGTTCATGACAGAGAGTACTCAGCTCTATCTTCTCCATGCTCCAATCCCAGAAGAAAGGCCTTTATAGCCCCCCAGCCTCTGCTTTGCAAGGTATATACTAGATACCCCCAACCCTCTTTCCAGCTCCAGCAATCCATGAATCCTTGTAACAACAGTACTTCTGCCTTTCCTATCCCAGATCAGGCTCCCGATACCCCTCTTTGAGAATATAAATCAGACATTCTGTCAAATACGAGGAGTTAGTCTCTGCTTATCTTTGCATAAACCCAAACAGGAAACTTTTGGTGAATTGCAACAGGCTATTCTCTGTCATAGGCTGGAGAATCAAACCAATTACCCATTAATTTCATATGTTCTATATCATGTTCAGCTAAGGTATATGGAGATACTCCTTTTGGTTTTTGATAACCATTTCATTTTCATCTTCTGAAAAGGGATATCCAACATCAGTTTTCAGCATGGGGCTTTAAGAAAACCTCATCTCAATAATCATAACCCTAGACTCATAGCTAACACATTCTTTTTCCTAGGATGCTGAAAGGTAACTCTGGTTTGGGTATATTATTCCAGATTAATCATATTAATGTGGTTATTACTTCAACACAAATTTTCTGTATAAAACATAGAAATTCTTCATGCTTTGGTAATTATAGTTATCTTTAATTTACTCAAAAGTAATTACATGAATGTATACGAGATGTTTCCCTTGTCCGTAATTTCTGACCCTGGCAGAAATTCCTATCTTCAGCTCAAAGGCTTTCTCATAGTTGTTGGTTTTAACTGGCTGTTCCTATTCCTGAATAACTCCCGATTAATTCTATTATGTGTGCATGAATAATAGGGACTATCGTCATTTAATAAAAGCTAAGCATCAAGCTACAATGTGCTTAACATACGACCTCACTGAATCCTCGTACAACTCTGTGGGATAATTATTACTATATCCTTGAGTAGATAAAGAAATTGAAGCCAAAAAAAGGTAAATATTTGCCTAAAGTCACATAGCCAGTAAATGACAGAGCTGAAATTCAAGCCTATATCTCTCTTATTCCAAACCTTGAGTGCTTAACCGCCCCATTTTATTTTTTTCTTGGAATCTAAGTATTTTGTTTGAAAACTGTAACATGCTATATTCATATGGTTATAGTTTCTAAACTAAATGTTTACATATTTGTATATAACATTGTATATAATTGTATATACTTATATATTATGATATACTCTATTATAGATTTATGTTGTATAATGTACATGAGAAATATTATATATAAAATATATATATATGTATTTTTACATATTTATATATATTGCATATACATGATGCTGTTCCTGACTGACTTTATTACCTTCAAAACAACTCACCACTTCCACTCCACCCTCAATGAATATATGCATTCTATAGGTGACAGTTCTTTCCTTAAATTATCCAGTAAATATTATCAGTTATGTCCTCCAAATGTATCCTTAATTCACTTTTCTTTCCATTCTTCCGTCATTAATTTATTCAACATAAATCAGAATCAATTTACTGAATGTCTACTATATGCTCAACCCAGTTCTGGAACCCACAGGTAGTTATCTCTACCCTTAAGGAACTCAGTGTACTAGAAAAGAAAGATACTCAAGAGAGTACATTACCATCCAGTGTGAAAAGGGCATCCATAGAAACCATATACAACACATTGGCAGCCATCAGGAGGGCATAAGAGTTATGGGAGCTTTCCAGGGGAGGCTGCATTGAAGCTGAGTCTGGAAGGTGACAGGTGGGTAAAACTAAGTGGAAGCAGAAAAGACAAAGGAGGATTGCCAAGAAATGGAGGTCATACAGGGGCATGAAACAAGCACTCGAACTCTTTCCAATTCATTCCTGAATTACCAAGCCAGTCACCAGCAGGTCTCAACGCTCCCCCATTATCCAAGCCCACCTGAACACTGCTGACAAATAGATCCTCCAAAAGCATAACTTTGATCATCCCACTTCCCTTCTCATTAATCTAATATCGCCATATATCATCAAAGTATGCCCACACTGCCACCTCTTGTTAGAGACCTCATGATGTGTTCCCACATATCCTTATCTTGACTGTTACTTACCAGTGCCCCTCAAAAACTGCTAATGAGTCTGCTCCTTGTTGACAGGAGGCACAACTTCTATTTGTCTTATTCCCCAGCCAAATTCTATCCAGGCTTAGGATCCAGCTCATGTGCCACCTGTTCTTGGCCCTTTTTTACCTGCTCCAGTTGCCAACACTGTTGGGCAGTTTCCATCACAGACTCAAAATTGTATCTACAGAACAAATTTAGCCCCAGTGAGTTCAACTTCCTCATCAATCCACAGTTACTCAAGTTGTGATGCATTCCTTCCTTTACTCATTCAAGAAGTATTTGTGGGTCATCTTTTATATGGAATTCTTTTCAAACTAAATGTCCCATACCAAATTAATTATCTTTCCCATTTTCTCCTTTCCCTTCCTCCTTTCTACCAGCATTCTCCAAACTTGTTTCCTCTTCCTGTATTCTATATAACACATCCCAAGCTGGAAAATTCAGAAGCATTCTTTACTTCCTCCTCTCACTTTACTCCCATATCCAATTGGTCACCCAGTTATGTTCATTCTTTCTCAGAAAATATACTTAAACTCACTCTGTTCTGACCCTGTGAGCTTCATAACATCCCTGCTGAACTGTTGTAACAGTCACCTGATTGATCATCTCACCTCCATGCTCTCCACTGCTACCAGAAAGCATCTTCTTAAAACAGGATGCCAAACATTTATTGAGTGCCCACTAAATGCTAGGAAATATGTGGGGCATTAGAAGTCTAAATGTGACTAAACATGTCTTTGACTCTTATCAAAGCATGAGCATTTTGAAGATGAGCGCTTTGGTTAATTTCTCTCTATCCCTAGCACCTAGACAATTTCCCAGCATATTATCGTTGATAGTCAATAATGGTTTGAAAATATGAATGAATGGAAAGTTCTAAGTGTGAGTGGTCTCTAAAGATAAATGAAATAACATTCCTGTCCTCAAGTAGGTAAAATTAGCTGAGACGTTATAACACAGGAAGGTAGTTTGATAGATTTCATGAAAGCAGTTGCTGGGGAATCAGAATTCTCATTCATTTTGTTGGAGTAAAATAGCTAGGTAGAGGGTTGGGATCTAGTAGGTGCTTCCCTAAACTCATTCTCCAAAAGTGGTCCGTTTTCAAAAATGTTTAAGGAAATAAGTTGGTGGGATGATTGTAAAAATTATTATGAAAGGATGATCATGTAAAAATACCAACACTACTTCAAGAGGGTAAGGGGTTGGCATGGAGGAGGGAGACCATAGGTTCTACTAGGTAAAGTGAAGAAAGAGTTAAAAAAAAATGTGGTAAGGACTATGGGGTGGAAGTTAGCTTCTGGCTGGTAGTCACACCCCTCATTTATTCCCAAATACAAATTGTTTAGGAAATGGCAAAAGTCACATTTCAGAAAATTTTCTACATACAATATGGTAACCTGGATTAGATCCTGAGACAGAAAAAGGAAATTAAGTGTAAGGAAGAGGTCCAGTTTCAGTTTTCTGCATATACAAAAAAATAACTCAAGATGGATTAAAGATTTAAATGTAAAACCCAAAACCATAAAAACCCTAGAAGAAAACCTAGGCAATACCATTCAGGACATAGGCATGAGTAAAGACTTCATGACAAAAATGCCAAAAGCAATTGCAACAAAAGCCAAAATTGACAAATGGTACCTAATTAAATTAAAGAGCTTCTGCACAGCAAAAGAAACTATTATCAGAGTGAACAGGCAACCTACAGAATGGGAGGAAACCTTTGCAATCTACCCATCTGACAAAGGCCTAATATCCAGAATTTACAAGGAAATTAAACAAACTTACAAGAATAAAACAAACAACCCCATCCAAAAGTGGGTAAAGGATATGAGCAGACACTTCTCAAAAGACGACATTTACGCAGCCAACAAACAAATATGAGAAAAAGCTCAACATCACTGATCATTAGAGAAATGCAAATTAAATCCACATTGAGATACCATCTCATGCCAGTCAGAATGGTGATTATTAAAAAGTCAGGAAACAGGAATAGGAACAGCTCCGGTCTACAGCTCCCAGCGTGAGCGACGCAGAAGACGCTCATTTCTGCATTTCTGCATTTCCATCTGATTTCTGCATCTCCATCTGAGGTACCGGGTTCATCTCACTAGGGAGTGCCAGAGAGTGGGCGCAGGTCAGTGGGTGCGCGCACCGTGCGCGAGCCGAAGCAGGGCGAGCATTGCCTCACTTGGGAAGCGCAAGGGGTCAGGGAGTTCCCTTTCTGAGTCAAAGAAAGGGGTGACGGATGGCACCTGGAAAATTGGGTCACTCCCACCCGAATGCTGCGCTTTTCCGACGGGCTTAAAAAAACGGCGCAGCACGACCTTATATCCCGCACCTGGCTCCGACGGTCCTACACCCACGGAGTCTCGCTGATTGCTAGCACAGCAGTCTGAGATTAAACTGCAAGGCGGCAGCGAGGCTGGGGGAGGGGCGCCCGCCATTGCCCAGGCTTGATTAGGTAAACAAAGCAGCCGGGAAGCTCCAACTGGGTGGAGCCCACCACAGCTCAAGGAGGCCTGCCTGCCTCTGTAGGCTCCACCTCTGGGGGCAGGGCACAGACAAACAAAAAGACAGCAGTAACCTCTGCAGACTTAAATGTCCCTGTCTGACAGCTTTGAAGAGAGCAGTGGTTCTCCCAGCACGCAGCTGGAGATCTGAGAACGGGCAGACTGCCTCCTCAAGTGGGTCCCTGACCCCTGACCCCCGAGCAGCCTAACTGGGAGGCAACCCCCAGCAGGGGCACACTGACACCTCACACAGCAGGGTACTCCAACAGACCTGCAGCTGAGGGTCCTCTCTGTTAGAAGGAAAACTAACACAAAGGACATCCACACCAAAAACCCATCTGTACAACACCATCATCAAAGACCAAAAGTAGATAAAACCACAAAGATGGGGAAAAAACAGAACAGAAAAACTGGAAACTCTAAAAAGCAGAGCGCCTCTCCTCCTCCAAAGGAACGCAGTTCCTCACCAGCAATGGAACAAAGCTGGATGGAGAATGACTTTGATGAGTTGAGAGAAGAAGGCTTCAGACGATCAAATTACTCTGAGCTACGGGAGGACATTCAAACCAAAGGCAAAGAAGTTGAAAACTTTGAAAAAAATTTAGAAGAATGTATAACTAGAATAACCAATACAGAGAAGTGCTTAAAGGAGCTGATGGAGCTGAAAACCAAGGCTCGAGAACTACATGAAGAATGCAGAAGCCTCAGGAGCTGATGCGATCAACTGGAAGAAAGGGTATCAGCGATGGAAGATGAAATGAATGAAATGAAGCGAGAAGGGAAGTTTAGAGAAAAAAGAATAAAAAGAAATGAGCAAAGCCTCCAAGAAATATGGGACCATGAGAAAAGACCAAATCTACGTCTGATTGGTGTACCTGAAAGTGATGGGGAGAATGGAACCAAGTTGGAAAACACTCTGCAGGATATTATCCAGGAGAACTTCCCCAATCTAGCAAGGCAGGCCAACGTTCAGATTCAGGAAATACAGAGAACGCCACAAAGATACTCCTCGAGAAGAGCAACTCCAAGACACATAATTGTCAGATTCACCAAAGTTGAAATGAAGGAAAAAATGTTAAGGGCAGCCAGAGAGAAAGGTCGGGTTACCCTCAAAGGGAAGCCCATCAGACTAACAGCAGATCTCTTGGCAGAAACCCTGAAAGCCAGAAGAGAGTGGGGGCCAATATTCGACATTCTTAAAGAAAAGAATTTTCAACCCAGAATATCATATCCAGCCAAACTAAGCTTCATAAGTGAAGGAGAAATAAAATCCTTTACAGACAAGCAAATGCTGAGAGATTTTGTCACCACCAGGCCTGCCCTAAAAGAGCTCCTGAAGGAAGTGCTAAACATGGAAAGGAACAACCGGTACCAGCCGCTGCAAAATCATGCAAAAATGTAAAGACCATCGAGACTAGGCAGAAACTGCATCAACTAACGAGCAAAATAACCAGCTAACATCATAATGACAGGATCAAATTCACACATAATAATATTAACGTTAAATGTAAATGGACTAAATGCTCCAATTAAAAGACACAGACTGGCAAATTGGATAAAGAGTCAAGACCCATCAGTGTGCTGTATTCAGGAAACCCATCTCACGTGCAGAGACACACATAGGCTCAAAATAAAAGGATGGAGGAAGATCTACCAAGCAAATGGAAAACAAAAAAAGGCAGGGGTTGCAATCCTAGTCTCTGATAAAGCAGACTTTAAACCAACAAAGATCAAAAGAGACAAAGAAGGCCATTACATAATGGTAAAGGGATCAATTCAACAAGAAGAGCTAACTATCCTAAATATATATGCACCCAATACAGGAGCACCAAGATTCATAAAGCAAGTCCTGAGTGACCTACAAAGAGACTTAGACTCTCACACATTAATAATGGGAGACTTTAACACCCCACTGTCAACATTAGACAGATCAACGAGACAGAAAGTCAACAAGGATACCCAGGAATTGAACTCAGCTCTGCACCAAGTGGACCTAATAGACATCTACAGAACTCTCCACCCCAAATCAACAGAATATACATTTTTTTCAGCACCACAACACACCTATTCCAAAATTGACCACATAGTTGGAAGTAAAGCTCTCCTCAGCAAATGTAAAAGAGCAGAAATTATAACAAACTATCTCTCAGGCCACAGTGCAATCAAACTAGAACTCAGGATTAAGAATCTCACTCAAAACCACTCAACTACATGGAAACTGAACAACCTGCTCCTGAATGACTACTGGGTACATAACGAAATGAAGGCAGAAATAAAGATGTTCTTTGAAACCAATGAGAACAAAGACACAACATACCAGAATCTCTGGGACGCATTCAAAGCAGTGTGTAGAGGGAAATTTATAGCACTAAATGCCCACAACAGAAAGCAGGAAAGATCCAAAATTGACACCCTAACATCACAATTAAAAGAACTAGAAAAGCAAGAGCAAACACATTCAAAAGCTAGCAGAAGGCAAGAAATAACTAAAATCAGAGCAGAACTGAAGGAAATAGAGACACAAAAAACCCTTCAAAAAATTAATGAATCCAGGAGCTGGTTTTTTGAAAGGATCAACAAAATTGATAGACTGCTAGCAAGACTAATAAAGAAAAAAAGAGAGAAGAATCAAATAGACACAATAAAAAATGATAAAGGGGATATCACCACTGATCCCACAGAAATACAAACTACCATCAGGGAATACTACAAACACCTCTACGCAAATAAACTAGAAAATCTAAAAGAAATGGATAAATTCCTGGACACATACACTCTCCCAAGACTAAACCAGGAAGAAGTTGAATCTCTGAATAGACCAATAACAGGAGCTGAAATTGTGGCAATAATCAATAGCTTACCAACCAAAAAGAGTCCAGGACCAGATGGATTCACAGCCAAATTCTACCAGAGGTACAAGGAAGAACTGGTACCATTCCTTCTGAAATTATTCCAATCAATAGAAAAAGAGGGAATCCTCCCCAACTCATTTTATGAGGCCAGCATCATTCTGATACCAAAGCCAGGCAGAGACACAACAAAAAAAGAGAATTTTACACCAATATCCTTGATGAACATTGATGCAAAAATCCTCAATAAAATACTGGCAAAACGAATCCAGCAGCACATCAAAAAGCTTATCCACCATGATCAAGTGTGCTTCATCCCTGGGATGCAAGGCTGGTTCAATATGCACAAATCAATAAATGTAATCCAGCATATAAACACAGCCAAAGACAAAAACCACATGATTATTCAATAGATGCAGAAAAAGCCTTTGACAAAATTCAACAACCCTTCATGCTAAAAACTCTCAATAAATTAGGTATTGATGGGACGTATTTCAAAATAATAAGAGCTATCTATGACAAACCCACAACCAATATCATACTGAATGGGCAAAAACTGGAAGCATTCCCTTTGAAAACTGGCACAAGACAGGGATGCCCTCTCTCACCACTCCTATTCAACATAGTGTTGGAAGTTCTGGCCAGGGCAATTAGGCAGGAGAAGGAAATAAAGTGTATTCAATTAGGAAAAGAGGAAGTCAAATTGTCCCTGTTTGCAGACGACATGATTGTATATCTAGAAAACCCCATTGTCTCAGCCCAAAATCTCCTTAAGCTGATAAGCAACTTCAGCAAAGTCTCAGGATACAAAATCAATGTACAAAAATCACAAGCATTCTTATACACCAACAACAGACAAACAGAGAGCCAAATCATGAGTGAACTCCCATGCACAATTGCTTCAAAGAGAATAAAATACCTAGGAATCCAACTTACAAGGGATGTGAAGGACCTCCTCAAGGAGAACTACAAACCACTGCTCAAGGAAATAAAAGAGGATACAAACAAATGGAAGAACATTCCATGCTCTTGGGTAGGAAGAATCAATATCGTGAAAATGGCCATACTGCCCAAGGTAATTTACAGATTCAATGCCATCCCCATCAAGCTACCAATGACTTTCTTCACAGAATTGGAAAAAACTACTTTAAAGTTCATATGGAACCAAAAAAAGAGTCCGCATTGCCAAGTCAATCCTAAGCCAAAAGAACAAAGCTGGAGGCATCACGCTACCTGACTTCAAACTATACTACAAGGCTACAGTAACCAAAACAGCATGGTACTGGTACCAAAACAGAGATATAGATCAATGGAACAGAACAGAGCCCCCAGAAATAACGCCGCATATCTACAACTATCTGATCTTTGACAAACCTGAGAAAAACAAGCAATGGGGAAAGGATTCCCTATTTAATAAATGGTGCCTGGAAAACCAGCTAGTCATATGTAGAAAGCTGAAACTGGATCCCTTCCTTACACCTTATACAAAAATCAATTCAAGATGGATTAAAGACTTAAACGTTAGACCTAAAACCATAAAAACCCTAGAAGAAAACCTAGGCATTACCATTCAGGATATAGGCATGGGCAAGGACTTCATGTCTAAAACACCAAAAGCAATGGCAACAAAAGCCAAAATTGACAAATGGGATCTCATTAAACTAAAGAGCTTCTGCACAGCAAAAGAAACTACCATCAGAGTGAACAGGCAACCTACAAAATGGGAGAAAATTTTTGCAACCTACTCATCTGACAAAGGGCTAATATCCAGAATCTACAATGAACTCAAACAAATTTGCAAGAAAAAAACAAACAACCCCATCAAAAAGTGGGCGAAGGACATGAACAGACACTTCTCAAAGGAAGACATTTATGCAGCCAAAAAACACATGAAAAAATGCTCACCATCACTGGCCATCAGAGAAATGCAAATCAAAACCACAACGAGATACCATCTCACACCAGTTAGAATGGCAATCATTAAACAGTCAGGAAACAACAGGTGCTGGAGAGGATGTGGAGAAATAGGAACACTTTTACACTGTTGGTGGGACTGTCAACTAGTTCAACCATTGTGGAAGTCATTGTGGCGATTCCTCAGGGATCTAGAACTGGAAATACCATTTGACCCAGCCATCCCATTACTGGGTATATACCCAAAGGACTATAAATCATGCTGCTATAAAGACACATGCACACGTATGTTTATTGCAGCACTATTCACAATAGGAAAGACTTGGAACCAACCCAAATGTCCAACAATGATAGACTGGATTAAGAAAATGTGGCACATATACAGCATGGAATACTATGCAGCCATAAAAAATGATGATTTCATGTCCTTTGTAGGGACATGGATGAAATTGGAAATCATCATTCTCAGTAAACTATCGCAAGAACAAAAAACCAAACACCGCATATTCTCACTCATAGGTGGGAATTGAACAGTGAGATCACATGGACACCAGAAGGGGAATATCACACTCTGGGGACTGTTGTGGGGTGGGGGGAGTGGGGAGGGATAGCATTGGGAGATATACCTAATGCTAGATGACAAGTTAGTGGGTGCAGCGCACCAGCATGGCATATGTATACATATGTAACTAACCTGCACAATGTGCACATGTACCCTAAAACTTAAAGTATAATTAAAAAAAAAAAAAGTCAGGAAACAATACACGCTGGCGAGGCTGTGGAGAAATAGGAACACTTTTACACTGTTGGTGGGAATGTAAATTAGTTCCACCATTGTAGAAGACAGAATGGCGATTCATCAAGAATCTAGAAGCAGAAATACCATTTGAATCCATAATCCCATTACTGGGTATATACCCAAAGGAATATAAATCATTCTACCATAAAGACATATGCACATGTATGTTTATTGCAGCACTATTTACAATAGCAAAGTCATGGAACCAACCCAAATACCCATCAATAATAGACTGAATAAAGAAAATGTGGAACATATACACCATGGAATATTATGTAGCCATAAAAAGGAATGAGGTCATGTCCTTTGCAGGGACACAGATCAAGCTGGAAGCTATCATCCTCAGCAAACTAACACAGGAACAGAAAACTGAACATCACATGTTCTCATTCATAAGTGGGAGTTGAACATTGAGAACTCATGGATACAGAGAGGGGTACAACACACACCAGGGTCTGTTGGGGGGTTGAGGGTGAAGGGAGGGAACTTAGAGGATGGGTCAATAGGTACAGCAAACCACCATGGCACACATATACCTATGTTACAAACCTGCACGTTCTGCATGTGTATCCCTTTTTTTTTAGGAGAAATAAAGAAAAAGAAGAAGAGAAAAAAAAGAAAAAGGACATTAGTGGAAAAACTAGTGAAATCTGAATAAAGTCTAATTTAGTTAATAGTGATTCACTAACGTTAATGTCTTTATTTTGATAAATGTATCACGGCTACATAAGTTGTTAACGTTAGGGAAAACTGGGTAAAGGGCACTGTTTTTGCAACTTTTTTGCAAGTCTAAAATTATTCCACATAAGAAGTGTATTAAAAATAAATTCATTTCCATCCTCTTATTTCCGCAACATACTGTACAAGCAAGACTCAGTCTGTGATTCAATCATCAGTGGTCAGACTATGACTCGAAGGGAAGGAAGTCAAATGCAGTTCATTTTAACATTGTCACTATCCCCTTATTCACTCAAGCCTGACCCAGCCCCTAGACTCTTTCCCCCTGCAAATCTCCTCTTATGCTCCTGACTACAAATCTGCTCTTGATCCCTTGAATTGTTACTTAATAGCATATTAAGACTTGTCTTTGACAGCCTTTTCTCTGACCTTAGATCTTTGCCTCCTCAAAAAATACCTCCCACCTGAATAGCATGCTGTCCTGCCCTCCCACCCATCCCTCTTTATTATATTGCATTGTCTGGTTGTAATGTCTTCCCAGCATTTAGCTTCATGCAAAGGTATCTTGTTCAATCACAAGGTTTACTTATACCTGTCGTCTCTTATCCAGGCTGTAATCTCCCTGGAAATGAGGACTTTTCCTGTCTTGTTTACTGCTGATCCCTGAGGCCTAAAACAGTACCTGGAATGGATAGATGGTATTTTTTTAAATTAATAAATGAATAAACTTCTTGACAGAAAAGTTTCTGTTATATGTTTCTGTATCCTCTCCAGCTCCTAGGACCACTGCAATAATGACTTGTCATGAATTGTGGTGATGCTCTTTAAAATAATCTCTCACTCTTATGTCCATCAGTTCACTGAAGAAAACCTTTCTTAAGTACCAGCCATCTGCTTTCTACAATGTAGAAATACACAGAACCAGATGCTGGTCCAGGAAAGTCAGGTAATGTGAAGGAGGCAACATCATGCTTATTTACAATAACATAGCACTTTTTAAGTTCCAATACACAACAGAGTGGTTAACCTTATAGAAAATAGCATTTGAAAGTTCCTAGAAAATCACTTCAAGAGTCCTAATGCAGTGATCCGAGAGGATGAGTCAGTTATTTCTGGCTCACAATTCTATGATGTTGGTGAAATAGATTGATTTCTTTTCCCAGTGAAGTGGGACGTTTTTAATTTGAATGACAAACTACACAAATCTGCGTTTTATTTTACAAACACTTGTCTCAGGTTTAAGGATCTCAAGTGAAAACTGAAAAACAAAACAGCATGAATAAGACCTGTTCTATGTTAAACTTAATTATTTTTAGTCAGGAGGTAAAAGACAGAAACTCCTGGCCAGGTGCGGTGGCTCATGCCTGTAATCTCAGCACTTTAGGAGGCTGAGGCGGATGGATCACCTGAGGTCAGGAGTTCGAGACCAGCGTGAATAACATGGAGAAACCCTGTCTCTACTAAAAATGCAAAATTATCTGGGTATAGTGGTGCATGCTTGTAATCCCAGCTACTTGGGAGGCTGAGGCAGGAGAATCACTTGAACCCAGAGGCGGAGGTTGCGGTAAGCCAAGTTCGCGCCATTGAACTCCAGCCTGGGCAACAAGAGCAAAACTCTGTCTCAAAACACACAAACAAACCAACAAAAAAAAGACAGCAACTCCCTTCCTGCTTCTGCCTGCTGCTGGCTCAGTCCCTATGCATAATGAATATTGAATGACAGACTCCATCCCCAGACCCCTTCCCAAGGCTAGGATGTTGCTCCTGTGATGTGCTTCCTTTTCACTGCATTCATCATAGTTTACCATAATCGTTTAATTTTCTGTCTTCCTTGTAAGCTCTGTAAGCTCCACCTAGGCGAGCCAGGTCTATCTTGTCCACCATTTTATACCCAGGATTTGGCACATGCCTACCACACACTCTTAGCACAAAAATGCTCAAAAAATAGTTGCATAATGACTATATTATGCGATTGTTTTATGGCGAATGACCATATTCTGAAGAGAGAGACCTCTGTGATGGAGAGCCCAAGCAAGAAGTTTTAAAGACTGAAACGCATTCTGAATAGATACTGGGATAGGCTCCAGCTGTGAAGAACAACAGGCTTTTCAGAAGCACGTGATTGTTACCTCATCCTCACAGGTAATTTTTGAGTAGCTAACCCAATGACATTGTTTTCTTTGCTAGAGTAACTGATGATGTGGCCTTGGAAATTCACTCTGTTAAAAATAACTCTCAACCCTAATTTTGAGAGTTGATTTGAAGTTATAATTTCTCATTCTTCTTCTAAAAATCCAGAAGAATTGGCATCAGTAGCTTTATCTATGTTTCTTAAAAGGTTATCAATCCCTAACGTTAAGCATTTCCATGCACCTGAAAGGATCGGCTTCTCTGATCTAAATGTCTTAAACACCTCGTAAATGTGGGTTTTTTTGGTTTTGAGGAAATGACTGCCAATCTTCACTACTAGCTAGAAAAAGTCACACTCTAGAAAAAAGGGAGTACCTTTCCATTACTACTACCAAAACATAGCCCCACAAATTTAAGTTACAACATAAAAGAAATAACAAATTTTGAGCACTTTCTATATATACTTCAGTTGTATCTATTTCAAAGTCACAGACCCAAAACTCACACATGTAATCAGGTAAATATATATGTATGTACATAGAGCTATAGAAATAGATACATATGTGTATATGCATATATATACTGATATATGCATAAATTTAAACTGGCATATATATTTACACTGAGATAAATGTTTGCGTGTGTGTGTGCGCTCTTACATTTCTGAATCATTCTTCAGCCTGCCTGATCATTAACAAATTAATCTAAGCACATTATTATTTGTTTGTCTTAGTTTTCCAGTCCAATCCAATGTGATTTCGAAGTCAATTCCTTCACATTCTGTTTAAACTCCCTCCCAAGTTTTCTCCCTCTCTGTTCCTCACTATGATCAGGTCTAATCTCCAGGGTCTCATGTTCTGCCCCTCCAAGTAAACAAATTAATCCAGGTTTCATGGACTCTTCCAGTTGTTCAGCTCAAATTGATTACTGTTAAGGGGAATTTGAGGGCATTGGGCCAATTTTTAAAGACAAATATGAATTTTTATGGAAATCTCCAAGTATTTTAATGTTGATAACAATTTTTTTAAAAATTAAATACTATATGCATACCCCTGTCTTCCTCCCCATCCCAAAAAAGAGATGACTATTAGCTAGCCACATTGCAATTTCTGTCCTGGACTGCTGAAGGGTCCTTGGGTATACTTAAGGAATATATAAACCTCTTTTTCAAACTGCAGTCAACCTATTATTAATGTAGTAAAGTTAATTTAAATTCATAGGAATCAGTATTTTTAGTAAGCTAAAAAGAATAATTTAGGATGGAATGAATGGAATTGAAGGAAAAAGAGTGAAAAGCAAGAATATTATTTTGAGAAATGTTATATTTATGTGTGTATGTGTACCAAGTGACACAGAAATTGTATTTCTGAGGAGAGTGGCCAAACAAGTTTGGAAATGCATATATATAATTTAGTTCTATTCAGTTTCCCAAATACAGTTGTCCCTCAGTATCCACAAGGGATTGAGTCCAGGACCCTCTATGGGTACCAATATCTTAGGATACTCAAAACCCTTATATACAATAGTGTAATATTTGCATTTATTTTACACACAACATCCTGTATACTTTAAATCATTTCTAAATGACTTATAATACCTTATACAACCTAAATGCTATGAAAGTAGTTATCACACTGTATTATTTTTAATTGTTTTTTTTTTAATGTTTTCAATGGGGGAGTTGGTTGAATCCACAGACAGGGAATTCAGGTACAGGGAGGGCCAACTCTAGTTCTGCACCCACAGAGGATAGGAACATAAAAATGCGGACTCCCTAAGGCCTCCTTCCCCTCCACGTTCTTTCTTCAGTCTTCCTCTAGGGGGAGCTCAAGTTAGCTTTAGCACAGTGTGAAGCCAGTGCAGCGTCTCGCTTCCACTTCTCCAGGGGGCGCTGCAAAGATTTTGGTCGCCAAAGATATCACGGTGCGCGCGTCTGGAAGCATTTCCGCTCTGGAGCATTTTCGTTCCGCCGGGTGCCAGCGTTCCTGTGACGCGTTTCCTGTTGGCCGAGCTGCGCACGTGCGGCCGGAAGGGAAGTAACGTCAGCCTGAGAACTGAGTAGCTGTACTGTGTGGCGCCTTATTCTAGGCACTTGTTGGGCAGAATGTCACACCTGCCGATGAAACTCCTGCGTAAGAAGATCGAGAAGCGGAACCTCAAATTGCGGCAGCGGAACCTAAAGTTTCAGGGTGAGATGCGTTGACTCGCGGTGGCTCAGAAGACCCACGCGCGAGCCCTGGCGCGTTCGGGCGGCCGGGGGCCCAGCTGCTCTGTGTGACGGAGGCAGCTTCCCCTGCAGCGTGTGTGATTGGGGAGAGTGAAAAGGCAGCTTCCACTCGGGACCCGCGCTGCTGCCCACTCGTCGCGTGGCTCCAGCGCTGCTCCTGACCTTTCTGAGCAATCAGTGTCTTCTTACAACGTTAGAGCGGGAGGACTCCCCGTTCACTTCTAGGCTTACGACTAACCCTGCCTTTTGCATTTCCACCTTAGCTTTTGGTTCCCTCACCACCTGCAAGTCGCACCTCACCTCATCCCTCATTTCCGGTTATGCTGCATGAAACGTCTCATTTCCACCCACTTTTCACATCTATTTAATTCCCGTATTTCTTTCCCCAAAAGCCCGTCTGGCTGTTTCCACAGAGCTTCTTTGATACTATTGCCTTCCTCTACCCACTTCCACACGTTCTCGTAGCACTTTCTCACCAGAGCTTCTACGTATTTGTGTCCCGCACAGTGACCTAAATGAAAAGGATTTTATCTGAATGTCACCTTTCTTACCTACCTCATTTGCAGTCCCAGTGTCCTGACAGTGGGGCCACAGATCTTGAAGTAATTGTGTTAACCTGTTGTCCAGGTTAAGATACAAACTCCCCGAGGGAAAGTTTGGAGGCACAGTGCCTTGCCCCAGTTGGTTTTCAACAGACATTAATTGAAAAAAAATTCTGCAGGAGGCAATAGGTTTGTGAATTTTAGGAATATGTTTTGAAATACTCTTGTATTTCTAATTCCTATAGAATAATACTACAGCATTACTACTTTTCAGCGCATATGTAAGTAAATTTGAACAAAAGATGGTGTTTTATCTTTTTCAGTAAACAAACAGGGAACCTTTGGTAAGGACATTCTCAGGTACAGTCATGCATCGCATAACAGGAGGGGGGATACATTGTGAGAAATGTGTCATTAGGGGCTTTTGTCGTTTTGCGAACTTTATCTAGTTACACAAACCTAAATCTACTACACACCCAGGCTACATGATATAGCCTGTTGCTCGTAAGCTGTCATCCTGTACAGCATGTTACTGTACTATACTCAGAGAATTGTAACACAATGGTAAGTGTATGTATGGCTAAATATATCTAAACATAGAAAAGGTACAGTAAAAAGACTATGACATGAGAGATTTAGAAAATGGTACCTCTGTATACAGTACTTACCATGAATGGAGTTTGCAGGACTGGAAGTTACCCTGAGCGAGTCAGTGAGCGGTGAGTGAATGTGAAGGCCTAGAACATTACTGTACACTATAGACTTTATAAACACTGTACACTTGGGCTACACTGTTGAGTTTTTTAATACTTTTATTCTTAAATTAACCTTAGCCTGCTGTAACTTTTACATTATAAACTTGTTAAATTTTAACCTTTTGACTTTAATAACACTTAGCTTACAACACAAGCACATTGTACATACAGCTGTACAAAAAGTTTCCTTTTGTCCTTATTCTATGTGATTTTTATTTTATTTTTTTTTCTTTTTAAGCTTTTTGTTAAAAATGTAAAGACACAGACACATTCAGTTTCACTGTCTTCCGCTTCCACATCTTGTCCCACTGGAAGATCTTCAGGGGCAACAATAGGCATGGAGCTGTCATCTCCTATGATAACAGTGCCTTCTAAAATACCTCTCTCCCTGAGGCTCTTTTACAGTCGACTCATTTTTTTTTAATAAGTAAAAGGAGTAAACTCTAAAATGATGATCAAAAGTATAGTAAACACATAAACAAGTAACATAGTTTATTATCACGTATTATGTATTGTACATAATTATGTGTGCTGTACTTTATACGACTGGCATTACAGTAGATTTGTTTATACTAGCATCACTACAAACATGAGTAATATGTTGCACTACGACATTGCAGTTACTGATGGCACTAGGTGATAGGAATTTTTTAGCTCCGTTATAATCTTATGGAGCCACTGTATATGTTGTCCTTAATTCACAGAAATGTCATTGTGCACGCATTACTGTATTTGCATATGATAAATATTGGAGCAAATAAGTGGTCTTATCAACTGAATTTTCAACTCACTGCAGTCTAGAAGAGTTGGGGTTGAATGTTTTGAAGTGGTATGAAAAATAGTACTTGTGTGAATGAGTTGTAAATGTCTTTTTCAATATATCAGTTAATCATATGTTTATCAAATACTTATGTTTATTCTGTAACTGCCATTATCTGACCTCATCTGTTTAAATATTTGACCTCATTGAAGTTTTCCTGTCCTAGACTCCTTAAAGTCAGATGTACGGTCTTTTGCAGTTAAGAAATCAATATAGCTTTCCCTTTTCCAGTATTTTTTCTTTAAGATAACTTACTTTCCCTATAAGGGAACACCATAAAACTATAAGTTGTTTTAATTACATGAAAGAGAAGAAAATCTAAATAATTTGTGTCAGGAAGCCATGGAAGTTCTCATTTGGGATTTCAGTGTTTCTAAGTAAACTTCTCCTTCTTTGTCACAGTATATGTTCTGTTTATTTAAACAGGGGCCTCAAATCTGACCCTATCGGAAACTCAAAATGGAGATGTATCTGAAGAAACAATGGGAAGTAGAAAGGTTAAAAAATCAAAACAAAAGCCCATGAATGTGGGCTTATCAGAAACTCAAAATGGAGGCATGTCTCAAGAAGCAGTGGGAAATATAAAAGTTACAAAGTCTCCCCAGAAATCCACTGTATTAACCAATGGAGAAGCAGCAATGCAGTCTTCCAATTCAGAATCAAAAAAGAAAAAGAAGAAAAAGAGAAAAATGGTGAATGATGCTGAGCCTGGTAGGTATTTATTATCTTTGAACTTCAGCCATTTAGTTTTTCACAGACGGTTATTGTTCCTCTTTCTATTACTATTGTGTGCACATGACATGAGAATTCCCTGTACTCACCAGTATGTTAGAGATTAGCCTGGTAGCTAATGGAAACATTTTATTGGCAGAAGCGGGGAGTCCATTTCAACTTTTCTCAAAATATTGAGGAATATATTTTTAATTTCACTAACCTTGAAGAAAACCTCTCTCAGAAAAGACTCTCCTTAGAATTCTAGAAATTTTCTCTTCTTTTTAAGTTACCTTTTTTCCTGCTTGATTCTTCCCATTTTCCTTCCATAAATTCCTCCCTTTGAAAGGAATATTAGTTACAAAGTATATAAAGTAGGAAACTTCTGAATAAATGGAACATTAATTTCCAAGTGCTAAGAATGGCAGGAGGAAAAGGAAGGAATGTTTTTTGAAGATGATGGAATTTCAGTAAGCTCGGATGAAAGAATGGACATTATAATTGAGATTTGTATAAGCAGAGATATCAAGGTAGGATAAGATAGGGGTCAGCAAACTATCCCTCCTTCTACCTGTTTTTGTAAATAAAGTTTTACTGGGTCATAGCAATGCCTATTTGGTTGTGTTTATGGCAACAGAGATCATATGACCTGCAAAGCCTAAACTAT
The DNA here is from genome assembly GCF_000001405.40 of Homo sapiens. Classification (NCBI taxonomy): domain Eukaryota; kingdom Metazoa; phylum Chordata; class Mammalia; order Primates; family Hominidae; genus Homo; species Homo sapiens. The sequence goes on from NC_000002.12 coordinate 117,818,396, forward strand.
TTACTATCTGGCCCTTTGCGGAAAGTTTGCCAGCCCCTGAGTTGGAACATCCTATTCATGTATTTTACCTGAAATAAGGGTTTTATTTAGAAAGGGACTTTGAACTTTTCCAAACATGCATTACTGTCTTCATGATGCCTACACACAGAAGTCATTGTAATCCTGTTCTAAAATTATTGCCTTCACAATTCTTGTTTTGAGTATGCCCCAGGAAGTGGTATTATTTCTGCTCCCAAGCATTGAATCACAATGCTGGGCGTTTTAACCTTATGGGTTTTTTGTTTGTTTGTTTGTTTGTTTGTTTTATTATGAGATGGGGTCTCACTGTGTTGTCCAAGCTGGTCTTGAACTCCTGGGCTCAAGTGATCCTCCCACCTCGGCTTCCCAAAGTGCTGGGATTACAGGCAGAAGCCACCACACCCAACCACCTTATGGGTACATTTTAGGAACTATTCCAGGGAAAACAAAATAAGCCATGGAGACCAGCTGAAGATATCTGTGGCTTTTGAACATGTAGGTCCTACAAAGTTGACTCTTTCCTGGAAGGGTGGCCGTCAGGTACAGGGAGGAGACCAGTACTGAGCTACAGAGAGTCCTGGGTTGTGGTCTAAGTTCTTTTCAAACATCACTAATTGCCATATAGTTTTATATAAACACAGCATGTGGTTAATCCATTTGACCCAGAGTCGAACATTGAAAAGAGAAGTGAGAGGTAGGACTGAAAAGGTAGTTGGGGCCACATGAAAGTTGTGAATGTAGAAATGAGGGTGGGAAGAAGCCCTGCCTTTCCTCCCACCCTCATCCCTGATAGCCAAGGCACAGTCCAGTGTATGTCAGCCAGGCAAGTGGGTTGTTGCCCTTCCTTTACAGTCTATCTCTAGTAACATGAAGAGCCTTTGATAGTGATTGGCGTGGGAAGAAAAATGACTACTTATAATGAGTTTTTAAGGATTATGTTAATCAGGTATGCTTCCTTTCCCCTCAGTGGAGTATGTGAAACTTATAATTGGTATGTTTATACTGTTTAGTTGAACAAAAGCCTAAAAGGTTTTGTCACCAAGTCTGTCTGTACCCTGGGTTTTTAAATACAACCACTCATTTTTCACCAAACAGAATTCTTAACAAATTAATACAGCATATACTTAGCTTTTGAAAATATACGTCTTTATATCAGAGATCTTCTGTTTGTTGATCTCATTTGGAATTCTATTTTAAGGAAAAATTTTTTCGGATTTTGTCTTTTAAAACCAAAGATACGAAAAAAGCAAAAACTGAAAACAAAGGGAAATCTGAAGAAGAAAGTGCCGAGACTACTAAAGAAACAGAAAATAATGTGGAGAAGCCAGATAATGATGAAGATGAGAGTGAGGTGCCCAGTCTGCCCCTGGGACTGACAGGTAACGTCCAGGAAGTTTTCTAGAGGTAACTTCTTTAAAATGTGCCTCTCTTAGAGGATTATAGGTTTGAAGGTTCAGTTGTGACTTTCAGTTTACCTGAAAAAAGTAACTATCAACAAGAAACTTTTTTTATATCTTTCTGCTGCTTTTTCTCTTTATCTTCTATTTTGTGGTGTTTTAGTTCTTTTTGTTCCCTGTTTTTTTCCTTTTGTTCATTCCTGACACCAAATATTTTATATGCACACTAGCAGCTTCTAGGATTCCTTGGTTTGTCCTTTTCTGAGTCTCATTCTATGTTGTAATAGGAAAATGATTGGCCCTGTACGAGGTTAACCTCCTTTGGCCTTTGTTCCTTTATAAAGTTGAGTTTAGGCTAGAATTCACTGCTCCTAACCAGATATGTCTAGGAGTTACTTGAGTTGTTTATTTGGTTTGGGTTGGTTGGTTTGTTAAAATGTTGAGGCCCAACCCTAGACCTGCTTAATCCAAATTGCAAACGTTTTGGTAGTAGCTCTCGAGCAGGGAAATTCGCCCCCCGAGTAAGAAGAGTAACTCTTCCTGGTTTGCCCAGAACTTTAACAGTTTTAGCACTGAAAGTTCTGAATCCCAAGAATCTCCTCTGTCCCTAGCCTACTGAGAAGATTGGTCATCCTAAGCCTAGGAGACATTTTTGGTTCTCAGAGCTAGGAGCAGTCTGCTGGGATCTGGTGAGTAGAGGTCAGAAACACTGCATAATATCTTATAAGGCACAGGATAGTGTTTCACAGCAAAGAATTATTCAGCCCAGATGTCAGCAATGCCAAGGTCAAGAGTGATTGGTTTACACCCTGGGCATGTGGAGTATGGGGAACCCCCAGGTGATTTTGATGCCTTCTGCTGAACCACCACTGTATTACTTGATACGTAGGCTCAGCCTAACATTCTGTGGCTGTATCTGACTCTTCTGTGTCTTGTTGGAGTGAGATTAACAGGTTTTTTTTTTATTATTGACTTCACACTCAGTTTTTATTAATGCTCAATGTTTTCACTTTTATATCAGATTTCTTAAACATTTCATTTATCTCTGGACTCTCATTATTTTCCTTGTTTTGGTATTTTTATTTTATATAAATTCCTTGGTTATACCTCCTCTCTACCCCTTGTTTTGTTATAGTATGGTCTCTGGACTATAACTCACACAGCCGTTAACAGTGGAGAAACTTGAAAGATATAGGGTCTTTTTCTTGATATTATCACATATGAATAATTAAGGTTTAGCCTTTTCTTACTGCGGGAAGCTTTTCTAAGCAAAATAGATTTAGGCAACTGTAGCAATACTTTTTTAAAAAAAAAGATAAATTTGCTAATGATAAATTGTCTTCTGTTTAGGAGCTTTTGAGGATACTTCGTTTGCTTCTCTATGTAATCTTGTCAATGAAAACACTCTGAAGGCAATAAAAGAAATGGGTTTTACAAACATGACTGAAATTCAGCATAAAAGTATCAGACCACTTCTGGAAGGCAGGTATGATTAACATTGAAGCTTAGATATTGGCATCTATTTTTAGAACTAGTAGATGATAAAGAACATACCAGTATATTCTGTTGATTTTGTACTATATGTTGGGTCATGTATCCAGCATACATTAAAGGCTTTAAGTTAATTACTGATGTTTGAAGGAAAGTGTTCGAAAGGTGTTCTGCTTCTGTTGTAGCACAGTTCTGACTTATGATTTCAGTATATAACCCAGGTGATCAATTTCAGCACTGTAGACGTTTCTTGTTCATGTTCTAGCCGTAGTGCCTAAGGTGTGTGTATGTAGTACGTCGTAAATGAGTAGGCTAAATGTCTTTCTCCTTTCCCTTTTTAATATTTAGGGATCTTCTAGCAGCTGCAAAAACAGGCAGTGGTAAAACCCTGGCTTTTCTCATCCCTGCAGTTGAACTCATTGTTAAGTTAAGGTTCATGCCCAGGAATGGTAAGCGTTCATCTGCTTGTTTCTGCCATTATTTCACTAGAGGTTTATTGTAGCTGTTACGGACTCAGTGGTGACAGCCACATTTAGACTTCTACCATATATCATTTTTAGGAACAGGAGTCCTTATTCTCTCACCTACTAGAGAACTAGCCATGCAAACCTTTGGTGTTCTTAAGGAGCTGATGACTCACCACGTGCATACCTATGGCTTGATAATGGGTGGCAGTAACAGATCTGCTGAAGCACAGAAACTTGGTAATGGGATCAACATCATTGTGGCCACACCAGGCCGTCTGCTGGACCATATGCAGGTAAGAGATGTAGTGCTTGTCTCATTGTCTTGTATGAAACATAAACTGACAACTAATGGTTGTTCTTTGTCCTTTGTTTTGTTAGAATACCCCAGGATTTATGTATAAAAACCTGCAGTGTCTGGTTATTGATGAAGCTGATCGTATCTTGGATGTGGGGTTTGAAGAGGAATTAAAGCAAATTATTAAACTTTTGCCAAGTAAGTAGGTAGCATCTGCATTTGGTTTGCAAAGTATCTGTTGGAGGTAGATAAGAGTTGTTCCTATAGAAAAACTGTACTAATGCCAGAACTTTACCATAGCCAAGTGAGGTAGTTGTGCCAATTAACCCGAAAGGTAATTTGGAATACAAGCATCAAATGTATTATAACTTGATATAATAGTTTTGCTGTTTTAGAAGTTATAAGGCACGTTAAGCAGTCTTCACATAGGTCCTGTCCTCCACCTCTTGCCCATTCTTACCTCATCTAACATCCCCCAAGAAGCCGCAGATTTTTTGCCTTACTTGTACATACCTTGGTTATAGTACTTGCAACATTATGAACTGGTTATAACTAAGACCATGGTTTCCTTCATTATATAATTTATTTTTAAAAGCTTTGTCAAAGTATAATTATATCTACCCATTTATAATGTACAATTTGATGTTCTTTGATTTGTTTACCACTGTGACATCATCGCTGCAATCAAGAAAATGAACATGTCCATCACAGTCAAAGGTTTCCTCCTGCCCCTTTTCAATTTCTCCCTCCCACCCCTCCTTACACGTATACCTTGTCCCCAGGTGAGTATTGATCTGTTTTCTGCTGCTAGATTAGGTTGCATTTTCTGGAAATAAAGTTGCTGTGAACAGTCATCTACAACTCTTTGTAGAGGCATATATCTCCTTTTCTCTTAAGTAAACCTAGGAGTGTCCTAGTTGGTATATGTTTAGTGTATGTTTAACTTTTTAAAAAACTGCCAGATGTTTTCCAAAGCGGCTGTACCATTTAACATTCCTATGAGCAGTGTATGAAAGTTCCAGTTCCTCCTATTAAGTCTTGACCATCAGGTAATGTTAGCCCCAAGTTTGTTCTCTTTTAAAGTTGTGGTATTCTTGTCCTTTGCTTTTCTATATAAATTTTAGAATTGGTTTGTCAGTTTCTCCCCCTTCCCTCCAAAAAAGTCTCAGATCTTGACTGAGATTTTATTGAATAGAGATTATTGGAGGAAGACAGTATTGAGTCATGTAACCCATAATAAGGTATATCTCCATGTATTCGATATTTTCTCTATCATATTTAGGGGGGTTCGGGATACAGGTTTATTCACATCTTTTGTCAGATTTATCTCTGAGTGTTTCATTAAAATTTCAAGTTCCAATTGCTCGTTGCTTTAATATATACATATATACACACACACATATACACACATATATATGCACACACAGTTGAATTTTATATTGATCTTGTATCTAGCAAGACAGTTAATCCTGTACCGAATGATTATTCAGTATGACTTTCCAGATGACTGTAGCCTTTTGGATTTTCTATATAGGCAATCATGTGCAGATAAAGACAGTTTCACCTCTTTATTTAATTTTTTTTTCCTGCCTGATTGCCCTGGCCAGAACCTCCAGTATGGTGCTGAATAGAAGTGGTGAGAGCAGACATCCTTATCTTGGTTCTGATCTTAGGGGAAAGCATTCAGTCTTTTACCATTAACTACATATGAAGTTAGCTGCAGGTTTTATATAGATGCCTTTTATCAGATTGAGGAAGATCCCTTCTGTTCCTAGTTTGCTGAGGATTTTTAATCAGAAATAGATGGTCAAATGTTTTTTTTCTGTCTGCTGAAATAATCATGTTTTTTCTTTAGTTAACATAGTGAATTGTATTGGTTGATTTTTCAAATGTTGAACCAACCTGCATTTCTAGAATAAACCTGATCCATTTCTAGAATAAACATGAGCCATTATCCTTTTTATATATTGCTGAATTCACTTTACTAAAATTCTATTTCAAATTTTGTATATGTGCTCACGAATTGTATTGGTCCATAGTTTTCTTGTCATGTCATGTCAGGTTTTTGTATAGTGTAATGACTGACTTCGAAGAATGAGTTGACATGTAAGCCCTCTTTTTAATTTATTGGAGAGTTTGTGAATAATTGATGTTTTTTTCTTAAATGTTCAGTAGAATTCACCAATGGAATCCATTTGGGCCTGGAATTTTCTTTACATGAAGGTTATAACTAAAATTTCTTTAGTAGATATAAGGCTATTTAAAGTTTTCCTATTTTCTTCAGTTGTTTGTCTTCAAAGGAGTTTGTCCATTTCATCTAAGTCCTCAAATTTATAGACCTAGTGTTTCATGATATACCCTTTTTACCTTTTGTAATATTTGTAGATTCTGTAGAAACATCATATCTCCCATTTCTGATATCTCTACCTAGAATATTTGTAGTTGTGAGGCAATTGTAAAGATTCCCTAAAAGATTGGGGTTATTTTTATATGTATCTGTTTCAGCACGTAGACAGACTATGCTCTTTTCTGCCACCCAAACTCGAAAAGTTGAAGACCTGGCAAGGATTTCTCTGAAAAAGGAGCCATTGTATGTTGGCGTTGATGATGATAAAGCGAATGCAACAGTGGATGGTCTTGAACAGGTACTTTTTATCAATAACTGAAAACTGTAGGGATCTTACTTGGTGTTTTTATGTAATTGTTGGAAGGATCATTCAGAAAGCAAATGGGTTAATGAACTTTTAAAATGCTGTAGGTGAGGCATGACAGTTTACACACTGTGTTTATCAGTGCTCTTGATGAAATTACACAAGTTAGGAAATGGAAAATGTCCACTTGGTTCATTTGTATCTGTCTGCTTAAACGCTTTCTAGGGATATGTTGTTTGTCCTTCTGAAAAGAGATTCCTTCTGCTCTTTACATTCCTTAAGAAGAACCGAAAGAAGAAGCTTATGGTCTTCTTTTCATCTTGTATGTCTGTGAAATACCACTATGAGTTGCTGAACTACATTGATTTGCCCGTCTTGGCCATTCATGTAAGTGATGATGATGAGCTCATTGAAAACAGGGTATGCTTATTAAATCCTATAGATTGTAGGATTGGAGGTATTGCCCTCTCCTGGAAACATTGTTCTGAGTAGTTTGATCACCACTAGATGATGGATCCTGTGTGGGGGAGCGCTGCTGGGTGTGGAGGGGTATGAGGACTTTCGAAGAGTGCAAGACACCATCCTCCTTGAGGGGCTTGCGGAACAGTTGGGGAAATAGGACATAGGCCAAGGGATGAGCTCGAAATAGGGTAACAGTTCCACAATTTGGGGGTTCTACTGCTAGTCTTCCTCAAGATTCCAGCTCTAATGGATGTTTTTATTTAATTCTAGGGAAAGCAAAAGCAAAATAAGCGTACAACCACATTCTTCCAGTTCTGCAATGCAGATTCGGGAACACTATTGTGTACGGATGTGGCAGCGAGAGGACTAGACATTCCTGAAGTCGACTGGATTGTTCAGTATGACCCTCCGGATGACCCTAAGGTAACTGGCATCTTTGGAATATCTTCAGAATGACTCTGCATTAAAAGTTCACTTATTCTCCCAGTTCCCTGACGGAAACTGCATTCCACATTCAAGGTAAAGATCCCTACTATACAGTGACTGCAGTATTTCTCTGGTATTGAAAAGTACTTAAGGCTTTTCAGGGCTCAAACGGGCTGTGCCAGAGGATTGAAAAGGATCAGTGGGACTTAAGTTATGAAAATGAGATCCTTGGAATGATCTCTTAAGAACAGCAGATGCCTGAAGGAAATAAAATTGCTTAAGGAAGTAGATAAACTTCTGTAGTATATGTGGTAGAATAAGCTTCATTGAGAAGTATTTTCAACAAACACTGGATTAAAGCCGTTTTGATGATGAAGCACACATAATACTCATTTTATTAGATCGCTGTTAATGCAAACATCATGTCCAGCCTTTTTTTTTTTTTTTTTTTTTTTTTTTTGGGCCTCAATCATTGGCCTATTGGGGGTGATGTGCACAGAGCGATTGCTGGCCCAGCTTTGTGGGGGTGTGGTGAAGGTGTGTGTGGCCCAGCACCGTGGGACTACACCATCTCAGTACAGACATGCACATACTCAGGATGCAGATACGCAAATGGGCTCATGTGGAAGTCACTGCGTTAACTCAGATTTTCTTTCTCCACCAAAGGAATATATTCATCGTGTGGGTAGAACAGCCAGAGGCCTAAATGGGAGAGGGCATGCCTTGCTCATTTTGCGCCCAGAAGAATTGGGTTTTCTTCGCTACTTGAAACAATCCAAGGTAAAGATCTGTACTTGGAGAAAGATTTCTCTTGGTGTAGGGATTGTTAGCAAGCAACATTTCTACATGTGTCAGAGGAGTCTCGAGTCTGGCCAGTGCTGTTACAACCATTCTTATGGCAATTAAGCAAGTAAGGTTTTATGTACTTCTAGCCCAAGAAGTGAGCACAGAAGGAACTGCCCACATGGCTCGGCTTTCTAGCTCTGTTACCCAGCAACACCTCTGTGTCCCAGCCTCTCCTTTCCTGTTCCCTCCAGCCCTCTTTGAAACCTTCTCCACTCCTTTGAAGCTCCCTCACACCTAGTCATCTCTGCTTCTGCTCCCCTTCTTTCCTCTTACCTCATGTGAAGCAGTGGGGAATCCTTGTTCGCTCTAGCCTCTGCCTCCTCCCCTGCCCTCTGTCTCCTATTCATCAACTCTTGGCCTACAGTCTCTTCCTTGCGGTTGGCGCTTTACCATCTCAAATTTCTCACTGTAAAAAAGTAACTTCAACCTTAAACCTGTTCTTCTACCCCTGCCTGCAGGAGCTACTGTCTGTTGCCTTTCCTCAGTCAGCCTTACTGGAAAAATGGCTTATATTCTTGCCATTTACCTCCCTCTCAGTCCCTAACCAGCCTAATTTGGCTTTAGCTTTCTACTATCACACCAGAATTGAATCCATCAGGACCCTAAGTGGCCTCTTCATTGCTAGGCCATGTGGGGGATGCATATCAGGCCTTCTCCTGCCTGACATTTACATCCTCATTGGCCTTTCTGGCATAGTCTTGATGATAGGCTTCCTCTACCCTGTAACTGCAGGCAGTTCCCTGAAATTGCTCTACAGCTTTTGCACACTTTGTCCAGAATGCTTGGTTTCAGCTCGCCTCTGTCTTTGCTGGGAAGCCATCGCTGATCTCCTGCCTCCTTGTTCCCACAGCACAGGTGCTCATCAGGTTGACATTTCTTTCTTTCTTTCTTTTTTTATTATTATTACACTTTAAGTTCTAGGGTACATGTGCACCATGTGCAGGTTTGTTACATATGTATTCATGTGCCATGTTGGTGTGCTGCACCCATAAACTCGTCATATACGTTAGGTATATATCCTAATGCTATCCCTTCCCCCTCCCCCCACCCCACGACAGGCCCCGGTGTGTGATATTCACCACCCTGTGTCCAAGTGTTCTCATTGTTCATTTCCCACCTGTGAGTGAGAACATGCGGTGTTTGGTTTTCTGTCCTTGCAATAGTTTGCTCAGAATGATGGTTTCCCGTGTCATCCATGTCCCTACAAAGGACATGAACTCATCCTTTTTTATGGCTGCATAGTATTCCATGGTGTGTATGTGCCACATTTTCTTAATCCAGTCTGTCATTGATGGGCATTTGGGTTGGTTCCAAGTCTTTGTTATTGTGAATAAACATACATGTGCATGTGTCTTTATAGCAGCATGATTTATAATCCTTTGGGTATATACCCAGTAATGGGATGGCCGGGTCAAATGGTATTTCTAGGTCTAGATCCTTGAGGAATCGTCACACTGTCTTCCACAATGGATGAACTAGTTTACAGTCCCACCAACAGTGTAAAAGTGTTCCTGTTTCTCCACATCTCCTCCAGCACCTGTTGTTTCCTGACTTTTTAATGATCGCCATTTTAACTGGTGTGAGATGGTATCTCACTGTGATTTTTATTTGGATTTCTCTGATGGCCAGTGATGATGAGCATATTTTCATGTCTGTTGGCTGCCTAAATGTCTTCTTTTGAGAAGTGTGTGTTCATATCTTTCGCCCACTTTTTGATTGGGTTGTTTGATTTTTTCTTGTAAATTTGTTTAAGTTCTTAGTAGATTCTGGATATTAGTCCTAGCCAAAATTGACAAATGGGATCTAATTAAAGAGCTTCTGCACAGCAAAAGAAACTACCATCAGAGTGAACAGGCAACCTACAGAATGGGAGAAAATTTTTGCAATCTACCTATCTGACAAAGGGCTAATATCCAGAATCTACAGGTTGACATTTCATTACTTATCTTTCTCCCCCTCAAGACGGCAAGCTCTCTGAGGGCAGAGTCCATGAGTTAGGTACCTATTTTCTCTCTAGCACCTGGCACAGGCCTGTTGCTTTTCTAGTTATCTAATGAGTGATAACTGATGGCAGATCCATCCTGTAGGAGTTTGTGGTCATCATGGCCTCCAGTGTCACAAGCCTCAATACAGGACTGTGGGGGTATTAGGGCCCCTCTTCTGACATGGAGAAAAGGGGCTGATGGCCCTTCTGACTAGAAGCTTCAAGCTGATTCATGGTTGCAAATAGTCAGGATTATAGAGATTCTTACAGAAAAGTGCTTTACTGACTGTGTCCCTATCCAGTTCCTTGCCTTTCAGAAAGAAAGAAGTGCAGATTGCCTAACTCAGCAGAGCAAAGATGTAACTTTCCCATCAACATTGGGAGACTAGAAAAAGCAGATTTTCCTTTCTGTCCTGAGGGAATTTCATAGGCCGGTTCATCCTTCCCTGTCTTCAGTACCCAGTATCGGAATGCTGATCATCCTGGTTTACTAATCTTAATACTTTTGATTTCTAGGTTCCATTAAGTGAATTTGACTTTTCCTGGTCTAAAATTTCTGACATTCAGTCTCAGGTATGTGCTTTTTAAACGTTTGTGAGTAAACAGGAACCTTGTCCCAGCACTCTGTTTGTAGTGATTCACTGGGCAATCACTGTCCTTTGAAGTCTACCCTGTCCTAAAGTGAGGATCAGGCTGTGTAGTGTATAAGGTTTCTTGCTATTCTAGTTATCACCACTCTGTGCCCTCTTTAAATGTTTTCCATGGAGTGGCTTTGCTCTAGGATATTTAAAATCTGGTGTTTTGGAGGTTTTTGTTTGTTTTTGTTTATTAAAACCAGTGTTTCTTTCTATTTCAGCTTGAGAAATTGATTGAAAAGAATTACTTTCTTCATAAGTCAGCCCAGGAAGCATATAAGTCATACATACGAGCCTATGATTCCCATTCTCTGAAACAGATCTTTAATGTTAATAACCTAAATTTGCCTCAGGTTGCTCTGTCATTTGGTTTCAAGGTGCCTCCCTTCGTTGATCTGAGTATCCTTTTCTTTAATGAAGTTATCCTGTGACTAAGGAACAAAAGCTTGACAGAGGGGCATTTGGGGCTTTGCAGTGGATTGGTATGTGTTCTGGCTCAGACTGGAGGCTCCAGTGTTCACCCTGGTCGATGTCTGCTTTTCTGTGCTAGCACAGGACATAGAGGTTGGATGGGGTAAGCAGGGCTTAATCATTAGGATGGGGTTACAGGGACAAGGCAGCTTATGCCTTGAGCCTTCAAAAGACAAAGAAATTTGACTGTCAAGGAGAGACAGAGACAGTTGTGTGTTCCAGGCAGAAACACAGGTTAAAAAAATCAAAACTTCAGTGTTTGCTGAGGCTGCACTGTGCAGGGTACTTAGGTGAATGGGGTGTTTTGAAGCTAAAGAGAGGATGGGACCTTTCAAGGAGTTTTAATCATCTTAGAACCCCTGAAGGATTTTATGCAAGAAAGTGGCAAGTTCAGCAAAAGAAAATAAAACTTAGGTGTTGCTTAAGATAAAAGGCAGGAGTACTTCCAGTTGCTTCAGTTGTGATTTATAATTTGTGCCTTTCAGAAGAAGAAACTGAGCAGCTGAAATGAGGCCTGTGCTTCAGTGCCATAGGGGTAACTTCTGAGGGAACTAGAGGACCAAATTTTGGGTCACCATCCCCATTGTCAGCATTGAGTAAATGTCAGCTGAAATGAATGTATGTCGAGTCCTGTGGAAGGAAGAGCAGCTCCTTCACTTAGGCATTCCTAAATCAATTCCGAAGAGAAATGATAGTCATTTGTTTTGACACAGGAGGTGTTTTTTTAATGTGCTCCTACCAACTTCCTGATTAAACTCATAAATCCTTATTCACTGTCATGAATTTCATCGTGTGGAAGAAATAATTAATATGACTATTACACACCGAAGTTTAAAATCATACCTGCTAATTTAAGTCCACAGTCACGTGGCCACTCCTAATTTTCTGGAAATTTATTGCATAGGCTTATGTTCCCACATTTTCATTGTTGAGAATGGGGTTGTGGAGGAACAGTAGTGTTCATGCCGGTTTTTTTCTCTGTGTAGATGTTAGATTGGAGTTCATTATCTTTTTTGCTTGATTTCCTTAATGTTTGCCTCCAGACGTCAACAGTAATGAAGGCAAGCAGAAAAAGCGAGGAGGTGGTGGTGGATTTGGCTACCAGAAAACCAAGAAAGTTGAGAAATCCAAAATCTTTAAACACATTAGCAAGAAATCATCTGACAGCAGGCAGTTCTCTCACTGAACACATGCCTTCCTTTCATCTTGAATAACTTTGTCCTAAAATGAATTTTTTTTCCCCTTGATTTAACAGGATTTTTGTAGACTTTAGAATTTGGACTTACCTAACAAGAGTATAAATTGACTTGGGTTGCAAGCACTGAGCACTGTTACTTCTATCACGTCTCTCTTTTATTTCTGGGATATAAAACAGGCTTTAAGTTTCTTGGTTGCCCAAGGGCAGAGCAAGGAATATCTGGTGTTTCTTGTGATGATAATATTTTAATTTTAAATATCCCTCCCTCATACAAGTGTATGTTACCATTTTAATATAATTCTTTTTGTACCTTTCCTTCTTGTTTTGCGAAGATTTTTGTGGCATGGATTGCTGTGCTCACTGCTGTAAAAGGTGACCTAGTGTACTGGGCAGCTGGTGGCGGTGCAGAAAAGAGTCTCAGGTTATTTTTTGTTTTTAGTTATTTCTTGGACCTTGACAGTATCTAATGACTCCTCCTGAAAATGCTGCAGTATAAAAGAGCAAAGAGCTTTGGGAAATACCTAAGAAGCACCTTAAGATTAGGGTGGCATTGCTTTTATAGATTCTTGATTTTAAAGCAACAGGCCTTTCTCAGGTGTTGCATTTTTTGGAGCAAAAACTATGGGTTGTAATTTGAATAAAGTGTCACTAAGCAGTTATAACGTTTGATGGCTGGGGGGTAGGAAGAGGATGGAATTGAGATGTTTGAGCCTCATTTACATCAATAGAGGTGTAATGTACTGCATTTCTTCATTTGGTAACATAACAAAGACTTTCATACAAAGAACGATGATGCTCCTCATTAAGATTTGTTTAATTCAAGGTGGTTTGGATTTGGTAAGCCTTTGCACTCTGTAGAGTACTTAGAAGACAAGGGCAACTTACTTGGAGTTAGAGCCAAGCTGTCAGACGGTGCCCAGCACACATTAATGTTAGCTTCTTTCTGAGAAAAAAATACCTCTTCCAGGCCCTGAAACAAAAAATACATTTGCTGTGAAGATTGAAAATGAACAAAGTTAGAAAAAAAAACAGCAAAATCAGTGATTTAGTCAGATGAGTTTTTCGTTGTAGGAGCACTTGATTTCTAGTGTGTTTTGTACAGTATATAACTACAAGATAGTACATTTTGTAGCAGTTCAAAGCCAAAGTTGCTAGCATCATTTTGCTGTTGTGCCAGTTAATCATAGGATCCCATTAAATAAGTGTGCTAACATCGAATATAGAGAAAACTGGTAAAGAACATTCCAGTAGGAAAAGAAAAGAACAATCTTCCATTTCTGGGCTTGGCCACCATCACCCTGGTCGGACCTGTCCTGGACTTCCAACCTTGACTGCTGAGCTCCTGGCTTAGCTTCTTGGGTTCCTAATTCCTGGTGTTTAATAATTCTCTCCACGATCATGTTTTTCTGATTTTTTTTTTCAGAAATAATGTTTTTTAAAAGACAAAAACAAAGGGAAGAATATTTAATTACTGAGCAGAAGTAAATACTGTTGGCATTTTGTACATAATCTAATTTTTATATGCATGTTCATGCTTTTTAATTTTTTTATCAAAAATTAAGTCATCTACCTACTACTTGTAACCAGCTTGTTTCATAACATGTTATTTTCCTGTGTCATTAAATAATTACTTCAATGTTGTATTTCGTTTATGGATGCTTTGTTGACCCTTGTTTGGTCTGCCAGGATTTAGGTTCAAGATACCTACCTGAATGTGCCAAACTGGCTGTCCCTATCTCAGTATGTCTTGTGCTCAGTAGTCTTGAGATTGTTTACCTCTAGTATGAGTCAGTCTCTAGAGGTTTTGTGAGAAAAGCATATAAACAAAGTGGACAGGGTTGGCCCTGCTGTATGAGAACTTACTTCAGGTCCATTAGCAGCCTCATCTATGATCTCCATTACCTGTAGTCACAATAAGATACTTTGAGAGGCCACATTTACATGACTTTTTTTACAGTATATTATAATTGTTTTATGTTAATCTCAGTGTGCTAATTTATAAACTAAACTTTGTCACAGGTAATGTATAGGAAAGAACAGAGAGAGGGTTCAGTGTTGTCCACAGTTTCAGACATCCACTGGGGATCCAGGAATGTATCCCTGGAGGATAAGGGGGAACTACCGTATTCGCTGGGTGCTGTTTGTGATTGTAGTGGCAGGATGGTCCAGGCTAGGGACAAGAGACAACCAGACTTGACCAGCCTGGCCAGATTCAGATATGAAGGAGCCAGTTACTGGTATCACGTACAGTGAGTGAAAGCAGCACCATCTGCAAGGCTCGTGCACAGTAAGAGCTTCATTTGGTGGCAAATGTGAGCGTTTGACAGGTGGAATTAGGTGGCTGCAGCCATGAAGGTTCGAAGGCAGAATGTGAGGTGGGGGAGCCAAGCACATCACTACATGCAGGTAAGTCTTTGGGTCCTGTGGGCTGCAAGTGATGACACTGCTATGTCTAAATTTATTTAGTCTCAGCCAGCTTTGTATAAATAAAACAAGATACCCAAAACAGGATCCCTAAGTTATACAGGGCTTAAAAGTGAGAGCTCTGTAACTAGAATGCCTGGATTCAAATTCCAGCTGTGCCACTTGCTAACCTCAGGGCCTGATTCATGAGTGAAGCAAAAGTAATACCTCCTTCAGAAGGCAGTGCTCAGGACAGTGCCCTGGTGCTGAGTGCTCTGTCCATGGTACCGGCCTCCGTGCATCCTACGTGAAAAACTTGCTGCCATACAGCAGCAGGTACAGAGGCTCATCCCAAACCGTGAGCCAGTCTGGGCTTTGGCATACAGGATTTCTAACAGTCTGGATCTCTTGGAATTCTGGAGAGCAGACTTGGGCTTTGGAAAGCGGTCCAGTCCTGCAGCACCTTCCTAAGGTAGCTGTCAAGTATATTAATGCTGTTTTCAAGGTTACTGTACTGAGTATGGGGTGGCAACAACAACAGTGTGCGTTTGGATAACCTAATTCATCATAAATTAAAAGCCTGTTAGATGTCATAAACTGCAGAGGACACAGAAGAATACGCCCAGATCCTTCTTGGGATGGATACAGATTAGAGAAGGTAGGCATAAACAGTTGCAATATTGTTTTCTAAATGATGTGATAGATGCAGGCAAATATTCCAGCTATTTTTATTAAGCCTAGAAATCCTGCATCCTCGGGTCCTAGTGGACTATGATTTTCTTGCCCCATCTCTAGGAGATTCTGATTCAGTAGGCCTTTGCCAGGGCAGAGGTATGTAGGTGATGCTCACGCTCAGCTAGGTTTGGGAGCAACCAGACTAGAACCCATTCACATACAGACTCTTAGTAAATGTTTTCTGCTCTCATCTTGCAAAGTGAAAGTGCCCAGCACAGGCAATGGTGTTAGTACGTTGTAGTCATTCACAAACTAGGGCTGCCCAGAAGAGAGACAGGCTGGGACTTTCGAGAGAGAAACAGCTGTTTCATTTGAATGCCTGGTGTGGGAAGAAGAAGGACAGCCTAGCTTCATGGAACCTTCTTGCACCAAACAAAGCCTCCAGATCCCTCCACAGTGCTCCATTCAATCCCTGTCCATTGGTGGTGGACCAAAGAAGAAACCAATTTGCCTTGGCCACATGTCTTTGAGAAAAAAAGCCACTCTCCCTTCTGGGACTCAGAGCATCTGTACCTGTAATATAAGAGGGGAATGTGGAAAATTCTAACTGGATGATCACTTTTCTGTGGAGGGAAAAACACATTTTTTGTTTTAAGGGGCTAGCCAGCATCAAACCTTTTTTTGAGATGGAGTCTCGCTCTGTCACCCAGGCTAGAGTGCAATGGCACTATCTCCGCTCACTGCAACCTCCGCCTCCTGGGTTCAAGCGATTCTCCTGCCTCAGCCTCCTTAATAGCTGGGATTACAGGCATGTGCCACCACGCCCAGCTAATTTTTGTTGTTTTGTTTTGAGACGAAGTCTCGCTCTGTCGCCCAGGCTGGAGTGCAGTGGCGCAATCTCGGCTCGCTGCAAGCTCGGCCTCCCGGGTTCACGCCAGTCTCCTGCCTCAGCCTCCCGAGTAGCTGGGACTACAGGCGCCTGCCACCACGCCCGGCTAATGTTTTTTTGTATTTTTAGTAGAGACGGGGTTTCACCATGTTAGGATGGTCTCAATCTCCTGACCTCGTGATCTGCCCGCCTCGGCCTCCCAAAGTGCTGGGATTACAGGCGTGAGCCACCTCACCCAGTCCGCATCCAACCTTTTATTTGGAGACAATACCTTTCAAGTACTGGTGGGTTACTGAGATCACCTCCCATCAGACAAGCAAAAACGCCTCCCATGCAGCCAGGGTGGGGCTGTGACCTGGGTTTGGCTAATCACATACATTTGCCCAGAGTGAATCAGATACTAACTAATAAAACAGGAGCAGAAACAGTAGATGTAGCAGCTTTCTCATCCAGGGTCCAGAGGCAGCTGTGTTGGGAACAGGCAGCTCCAGCTGTGGCACCCCGCAGCAGCCGTGCTCACACCAGGTTGAGAGTGACTGAGTGTGTGCCATGACTTTGTCCAGGGTCCTGCCCTTTAGCTACCTGCCCTTGTTCCTGCCTATTTTGCAAGCCTAGTTCTGCAGCCATTTCATATCCTTTCAATTAATTCTGTTTCAGTTTAAATTACTGAGTGGCTTTTTGTTGCTCATAATTAGCCCAAGGATACAATAACCGCTAAGGTCTGGTTTCTCTCTCCCTCTTTTTGTCAAAATGTCCAGGTTGCTTGCCACCATTCTTGTCCTCCCTGCCTGGAGCCTCCTGCCCCTCGGCACAGGGAAAATTGGACATTTTGAGCAAGGCCAGGACTTTGAAACATCTAGGGCAAGGATGCGTCGAAAAAAGAACAAGTGGCAAACTCACCACCTCGGGACAGGTCATGGGGAAGCTGCTCTGGAGGTTTGGGAGGCAGGCAAAAGCAGGATGCTTGGCATCGCTGAGAGCCTCTAGAGGAGTGTCCACAGCTGGGAAAGGGGGAACCAAGGGTTGTCAGACCTCCCAAGGCAGCACTTTCTGGAGTCAGGCAGAATGTACAGGAGCCTTGGAGCAAGTGAATTCCCTGCTCTGTGCCTCAGTTTCCTCATCCGTAGAATGGAAGGAATGAAAACACAAGGATTAGGTGTACAGTCAGGCCAAGTCAGATCTTAGAAACAAGACCTAACGACACTATTATCAGGAACATCAGGAAAAGGGGAAGAAGGTCAGAAACAAGAGTTTTCTAGGACTTACCGGTTTCTCACACCCTCTCCCCACCATCAAAATCATGGTTTCAGAGGCATTAGGCCAAAAAACTGCAAAAGGGAGCCTCCTTCTGGGAAGTCTCCGGCCCTTCCGCGGCTCCCGGCGTCTCCAGCAGAGGGCTCTCGGCTGTGCCGACTCAGGACAGCTGCTGCGACGGGGCCGGCTACGCTTGTCAGAGCAGCAGCTGGTGATTTTGGACTTGCCTTTGCTGGCAGGGGAGCGCTATCGAGGGTTCATTTTATCCAGCTTGAGGAAAGAAAGGTCGGAGTGTAGGGGAAGAGTGGGACAAACACGCGACCCAGTCATGCCGAGAGCATGCGCTGAGGGGGACGTGGAGCGAGGAGTGGGGCTCCAGGCTGCTGAGGCTCCGGACCAAGTGCCCCCTGCACTTTCAACGCCGTAGGTCTCCCGGCAGCCCTGGAAGGACAGTCTTACCCGGACGCCACGGTGGTCTCCCGGCAGCCCTGGGAAGGACAGTCTTACCCGGACGCCACGGTGGTCTCCCGGCAGCCCTGGGAAGGACAGTCTTACCCGGACGCCACGGTGAGGGAGGAGAAGCGCAGAGTCAGCCGCAGACGGGAGGGCGATGGCCTAACCCGGACGCCAGCGCGGTTTGCTCAGCCCTAGGGCCGGGCGCTTTCCCGCTCCCTGACCGCCTCCTGTTCCTCCGCAGGCCGAGCTGCCCTTCCCTCCCTGCTGCCCCCAGGGAAGGCTGCTGGTGTCCTCAGATGCGGGCAGGAGGAACCCGCCAGCGCCTGAGAGCCTGGCCCGAACCAGGCCTGGAGGTGCTGGGGCGAAGACACAGAGGATGTGGCCTCCATCCCTGGTAACAGACGGTTACCAGGGCGGCTTTGGGTGAGGACATTGAAAAAGGTCAGACTCCCTGGGAGCAGCGCCCTGGACTCCATTCTCATCACAGGTATATTTGTGTGGCTACTAAGAGTAAGAGCCTGGGGGTGCAGGAGTGATTCCAGCCCCCTCCTACAAAGTCATGTGAGAGGGATCTGAAGAAAATCCAGGGGAAAATGTACCACAGCGAGGAAATCGCCATCTAAAGGGCTGAACGCTCAAGAACGGCGTTGGGTGGGCTCCGCGTTGGAGTTGAGTCCCGAAGGATGTTCTAACAGCAAAGGGGAGAAAGGAAGAGAGAAGCCAAGGCGTGCGGGCAACGTGAACCGCATGAGCCGAGGCAAAGGGGCAGCGTGGGGCTGGACCCTGGAGTCTGCTCCTGTCTGAATTCTAGTGCTGTCACTGACTAGCAAGGAACTTCCCTGTGCCTCGTGGCTGTCACATGGAAAGACAGCACCGCCATCCAGCCCTTATACCGTAAGGGTTATATGAACTAGCACTGTGGGCATTAGCAGAGCATGCTGTACACTTTGGTATATTGTGAGAATGAAATAAATCAACAAATGCAAAGCAGGTTTTGCATAACAAAGACTAAACAAGTGTTAGTTAGCTCCTTTCCTCCTTCCCGCCTGTGAAAATGCTGTCTTATGATGTCCTTTAATTATTTCGTGTGGTTAAGCTTCAGCTTATTGGCCAGTTCATCCTTGTAGATACAAGTATTTTTAAAGCCTCCAATTTTAATTTCCTCACAGACCATTGCTGTACTTGTCCTTACATCTACTTCATACTGAAATTTTCTTTCTGTTTCTTTATGTCTCTGCATCTAGACCAGTGGTTCCCAATTGAAGTCAGTTTTGCTCCTCAGGGCACACTTAACAACATCTGGAGACATTTTTAATTGTCCTGACCGAGAGGACAATGCTACTGGCATCTAGTGGACAGAGGCCAGGGATACTGCTGAACATCCCGCAGTGCACAGGACGCCTGCAACACAGATTATCCAGCCCCAAACGTCAATAGTGCCGGAGTTATGGAACCCTAATGAAGACAATTCTTGAAGGCATAGACTGAATCTTATTTATCTTTGTTTCCCTCATGTCTCACAAGCAGAGTATGAGTTCAGCAAATAGGAGTTGAACAGAAATCAGGAGGAGGTGCTGATTGACAGGAAAAAAGAAAGATTTAGTTTAGAGCTGAGAATTCAGCTGGACAGCCATAGGGGCTCTGGCATGGAGACTGGAAGTCAGAAGAGAATTTGCAGCAAGACATTTAGAGCCATTTATCCAGCCATCATAATTTTATTGAGTAACTATTTTGTGTGAGGCACTGTACTGGATGCTTTGGCAACAGAGATAAGCAAGGCAACCCCTGTGAATAAGGCACTCCTGGTCTACACACAGTGGGAGAAACATAGAAATTCATCTCTTCTGAGCGGAGCCTGTGGGAACCCAGAGGATGGACACCCAGCGTGGTCTGAGGAATCATGGGCCAAAACAGGAGGCATCAGGAGAGATCTCTTGGGTAAAGAAGAGTGAGGGCTGGAAGGATATTCCAGGCAGTGGGAACAACTTACATAAAGTGAGAATATTGCAAATGCCTAGCGGGTCTGTAGTGAGAGGGTCATGAGGCGGAGGAGTGAGGTGCGTAGCAAGGAATAGCAGGTGGGGCCAGAGCAGTAAAATTAACCATTGTTCTATTTGAAGAAGGGTAGGACGCATTTTTAGGTTTTTTGGCTATTTCTCCTTTTGGTAATAGCATCTATTTTCTTTAGAGAATTATCTCTTCCCCCTCACTCCTCTCCTAGTGGAGGTACAGGCATGAGAAAAAGCTAAACCAATGACATGTTCTCAAATATAACTTACAATCCCAGGAGTCATGATGAAATGGTTGAAAAAAAAAATAGTTGAAGCTCACTAACCTTAGCATCACATTTCAATGAGATTGTCAAATAATTCTTGTTTCCCAGGCCCCCAGAGCTGCCGAGTTTCTGACTTCTCTAAGCCAGGTTCACAAGCCTTCCCTTCAATTCTGTGAGGATTTTTTTCCCCATTTTTCCTGAAGTTACGTGGTCACTTTCTGTTACTTGCAACCAGAGTAACTTAATTGATAAAGTCAGTGAGGAAGGAATAGAATACAACAAATGGCTTAAAAACAGAAGGCCAAGCGTGATGGCTCATTCCTGTAATCCCAGCACTTTGTGAGGCCGAGGCAGGTGGATTGCTTGAGCTCAGGAGTTCAAGACCAACCTGGGCAACATGGCAAAACCCCATCTCTACCAAAAATACAAAAAATTAGCCGGGCGTGGTGGCTCACACCTGTAGTCCCAATTTCTCAGAAGGCTGAGGTGGGAGGATCACTTGAACCCAGGAGGAGGAGGTTTCAGTCAGTAGAGATTGAACTACTATACTCTAGCCTGGATGACAAAGTAAGACCTTGTCAAAAAAAAAAAAAAAAAAAAAAAAAAAAAAAGAAGGATAATCAAGACAATGAGCTAACACAGAAGCCATAGTGGACTTTCTTCAATATTTTAAGAAAGGTGAAAAATAGCAGGAATTTAACCTCTCAAAAATGCTATTCCCATTATCTATTCTTCCTCAGCTACAAAGCCCCTGATTTCACCTAGGCACATGGCTGCCCAAAAAAGACAACCCTGTCTGGCCCCCCTTAAACCTGATTGTAGCTATCTAAGTTGTAGCCAATGAGGTGTCAGAGGAAGTACCATGCAGTGCAACTTCTTAAGTAGCCTAGAAAGATGGGGTCACATCCCCCTGGGTTGTTTCCTTCTTTGTGTCATTTTGATCTCTCTCGCTGGAAAACAGAAATGATGTCTGGAGTGTAAGCAGCCATCTTGGGCTAGGAGACTACATGCTGACATGGTGACACACCACCCAGAAAGAATCTGAGTAGTCGATGATCACAGAGCTACCATATCAGCACTAGACTCTCTACCTCCACATTTTATTTGTGTGACATAGAAATAAAGTTTAAGCTTTGTTTTTTCTGGGGTGTATGTGTGTACACATGTGCGTCTCTGTCTGTCTCACATGCAGTGAGACCTAATTCTAACTGATATGCCGGTAGGATGGGGGGACCTTGCCACAAGGTATAATTGTGGTGGGATGGCTGTGTCTTGCTCCCATTCAGGATCCATGGAAAGCTCCTCCTCCTTCCTGTTCCCCTGGATGCCAAGCGATGGGCCTGAGACCCTGGCTTTGCCATGTGGATGCTCCCCCTCAGGACTTTGGATGTGCAGTGATTGCTACAAAAAGGGCAATGAAGATGCCTGGACCACAGCCACACAGTCTCCATCACAGCAGTGGTATTCTGTGGAATGAGTACTAATTTTCTGGCCACATTTTCTGTTAAAAACTGGTTGTTGAGCTGCCCACTTGTCTTGGTCAAGGGATGCTGGAGTGGCCTGGGAAGGCAGTGTTGTTTGCTTTTCTTAGGATGGAACACACTTAGGCATATTTTTGGTCAAAGCAAAAGAAGAATTCAAAGGTGAGAGAAGTTGAAGATAAAAAGGGGAAAATGAGGGTAGCAGATGAAGCAAAGTCACACAGAAAGCTGGCAGGCGAGTAGTAGAATCAGAGTACAGGCTGAGCATCCCAAATCTGAAAATCCAAAATCGGAAGTGCTCCAAAACCTGAAACTTTTGGAGCACCAACACAATGCTCAAAGTAAATGCTCAGTGAAGCATTTTGGATTTCATATTTTCAGATTTGGGTTTGCCCAACCGGTGTAATACAAATATTCCAAAATCAAAAAAAAAAAAAAAAAAAAATCTAAAGTCTGAAACACTCCTGGTCCCAAGCATTTTGAATACAGGATACTCAACCTGTATGACACTTTCCTATTGGACCCTCTTTCCTACCCCAAATAATACTTAATAAGTTTTTGTTTCAAAAGTGCCACTCTGAGCATCTTTGGCTATAAGGAGCAGAGTCACATTCTAGCTCCCCTGGCACCTGCTTCACAGGAGCCCATGTGAGAAGACCAGGTTCTGGTCAGGACAGGCATACCTGAGAGCTGTTGGGGTCTGTGATCTGCTGAAAAATGACTTCTCAATGTTCTTCACATCCTAATCCTCAGAAACTGTGAATATATTACTTTATATGACAACAGGGATTTTAAAGATGTGATTAAGTAAATAGTTTGGAGATGGACAGATTATCCTGGATTATCCAGATGGGCCCAATGTAAACACAAGGGCCCTCATGAGAGGGAGGCAAGAGGGTCAGAGAAGATGCTGTGACAGCAGAAGCAGAGGACAGAGAGTCGCAGAGAGATTTGAAGATACTACACAGCTGGCTTTGAAAATGCAGGAAAGGGCCATATCTGTTGCTTCACACCACTAAGTTTGTGATAATTTGTTACAGCAGCAGTGGGAAACTAATAGAGCATCTTTCCTTTTTTTCTAGTTAAAGGACTCACTTGTACGTGTACACATTTCTCAGGAGTCCTGTCAACCACTGGGAAGAAAGAGGCTGGACTTCTGCATTGAACCCAGGAACGGGGTTTCACAGCAATGGAAACCTGGGGTTAAATATCAATGGAACCTTACATGACTTGAAGAATCTTTAATACAAGCTAGGTTTTGACCCCAAATTAGACATTTGGCAGCCTCTCATTACAGTCTATCTTGCAAACCTCAGTGTGGCAAGGAATCAGATTCACCCACACTCCCTAGTCTAAAGGATTGTCCTCTGATCCTTCCAGGTGGATTAAGCCCTTTCTAATCTGTCATGGACAGAGCAATGTACCTGCCTTTGTTTGTTTTCCTTAATTCTTTCAAGTGCCTTTGGGTAATAAATGGTTGCGTACTCAGGTTTTTAGTCCAAATTTTTTTTCTTCAACTCTAGGTAATTGCTTTACTTGCCAGAATAGGTTACCATAGCAATATTTTCTGAGCAATAGGTGAACTGAATTGTACTATTGAGGAAGCCCAGGAGAAAAATACTAATAACAACCTGAGAAAGTCTAATCACTTTATGGAGCCTCAGGGCTGTGAAGAGGGGGATAAGACGGACTCCCTGGGTGATTAGGAAGTGCTGCTGCCAGCTCACACAGGACGCAATGTGAGAAGCCACCCATGGTCCCCAAATTCCCCCATCTCCTGATATCCAAGTCCCCCATCCAAGCTGCTTAAATGACAAAAGACAAATGTAAACTGGGGAAACATTTGAAATGCATATCAAAAAGGGGTATTTCACAAAGCTCTCCAACAGGAGGCCTAGGAAGATGGTAACAGCGATACCAGAATAATGTTTGGATCTTCCAGAGTGCCCATGTGAAAACAGAGCAACCAAACTGAAAAGCCATGGACAACAAAAGTCGGTGACAAAGTGTCACCTTGAATCCTGAAATACAAGTAAGTGGAATTGCTGGTCGTAATTCTACGATTAGCTTATTAAGAAACTGCCAGCTTTGCACAGCAGCTGCACCATTATTTATTACATTTCATGAGAGCTGCAAGTTTTTTGCCTCCTTGCTAACACTTGTTATTTATATTTTTCATTTTTCTTATAGCCATCCTGGTGGGTATAAAATAATATCTCATTATGGTTTTGATTACATTTTCCTAATGACTCATATCACTTAGCATCTTTTTAGGTGTTTGTTGGCCATTTGTATATCTTCTTTAGAGAAATATCTTTTCAGATCCTTTGCCCTTTTAAAAATTGGGAAATTTAAATTGCTGAGTTGAAAAAGTTCTTCACATATGTTGGATACTAGACTCTTATCAAATATATAATTTGCAAATATTTTCTCCCATTCTGTGGGTTGTCTTCACTTTCTTAGTAGTGCACAACTTGTCAACTTGTCCTTTGATGCACAAGTTTCAAATTTTGACAAGCCCAATTTATCCATTGTTTTCTTTTGTTGCTTGTGCCTTCGGTGTCATAGTTAAGAAACCAGTGCACAAGCTACTGCTCTGAAGAGTTTCCTCTATGTTGTCTCCTAAGAGTTTTATATTTTTAGCTCTTAACTTTCAGTCTTTGATAGATTTTGAGTTAATGTTTGCATTAGGTATGAGATAAGGATTCAACATCTTTCTTTTACATGCGGATGTTCCAGAACAATTTGTTGAAGAGAGTGTTCCTTTTCCCATAGAATGGTCTTGGCACTGTTCAAAAATCAATTGACCATTGATATATGAATTTATTTATGAACTCTCAATTCTGTTCCATTGGTGTATATGTGTATCCTGATGCCAGAACCACACTTTTTTGATTACTGTAGCTTTGCAGTCAGTTTTGATCCTGTGAATTATGAGTCATTCAACTTTATTCTTTTCTCAAAATTGTTTTGGCTATTCCAGGTTCTTGAGATTCCATATAAATTTTAGGACTGAGTTTTCTATTTCTGAAAAAAAAAGGCTGTTGTGATTTTGATATGGATTGCATTAAATCTATAGATTGCTTTGAGAAGTAATGATACCTTAATAATATAATGTTGTCTTTCAATGTATGAATATGGCATGTCTTTTCATTTATTTAGTTCTTTTAAAATTTCTTTCAGTGATGTTTTTTAGTTTTCATTTACCAGCTTTGCAACTTTTTGGTTAAATTCATTCCTATGTATTTTATACTTTTTAATGGTATTGTAAGTAGAATTGTTTCTTAGTTTTATTTTGAATCATTCATTGTTTGTGTATAGAAATACAACTCATTTTTAAGTGTGGATCTTGTATCCTGCAACTTTGTTGAATTAATTAGCTCTAACAATTTTTTGTGGATTCCTTAGGGTTTTCTATATATAATATCATGTCATCTGCAAATATAGTTTTACTTCTTTCTTCCCAATTTGGATGCCTTTTATTTCTATTTCTTGCTTAATTGCTGTGGCTAGAACTATGCTTAACCGAACTGGCAAAAGTGGGCATCCTGGTCTTCTTCCTAGTCTTAGAGAGAAAGCTTTCAGTCTTTCACCATTGCATATTATGTCAGCTCTGGCTTTCCATATACGATGATGGTCCTGTATCATGTTGAGGAAGGTCCCCCCAACATTTTTTTTTTCTTTTTTTCTTTTCTTTTTTTTTTTTTTGAGACAGTCTCACTCTGTCACCCAGGCTGGGGTGCAGTGGTGTGACCTTGGCTCACTGCAACCTCCACCTCCCAGGTTCAAGCGATTCTCGTGCCTCAGCCTCCCAAGTAGCTGGGATTACAGGCATGGGCCACCATACCTGGCTAATTTTTGTATTTTTAGTAGAGACAGGGTTTTGCCATGTTGGCCAGGCTGGTCTCAAACTCCTGGGCTCAAGCAATCCGCCCACCTCAGCCTCCCAAAGTGCTGAGATTATGAGCCATCACCATACCCAACTGGAAGTTCCCTTTTAATCCTAGTTTCTTGGATATTTTGTCTTCAACTGATGTTGAAATTGTCAAATGCTTTTTCTACATGCAAGTACAACTTGTTTTATTTTATTTTTTTATTTTTTTTGGAGACAGAGTCTCGCTCTGTCACCCAGGCTGGAGTGCAGTGGTGCGATCTCAGCTCACTGCAACCTCTGCCTCCTGGGTTCAAGCAATTCTCCTGCTTCAGCCTCCCGAGTAGCTGGGACTACAGGTGCACACTGCCATTCCTGGCTAATTTTTTGTGTTTTTAGTAGAGACGGCGTTTCACCATGTTGCGCAGGCTGGTCTCGAACTCCTGAGCTCAGGCAATCCGCCTGCCTCAGCCTCCCAAAGTGCTAGGATTACAGGAGTGAGCCACCGTGCCTGGCTGCAAGTACAACTTTTTAAAGAATTAGAAACAATACCCGGAGGTTGTCTTGTCCCTTCTCCTATTTCATGCTCAAGCCATGCAGGAAAGGGAATCAAGTTTTATTTTCTACTGTGATTAACCGTAATTAGCCCTTCTTGACGTCATTAGTGAAAATAATAGTTAATATTTGCCCAAGAAAATGTTTAAAGAACAACAGAGAATTTCCAGAATTTGTCTTGGAAATTTGTCATGACAGAGTGAGGGCTGGGGCTGGTTGTGTGACTTCCATCACCTGTATCATTTCACCTAGAATACACTAGGCGTTTCATATCTTGGCAATAGAATATAAATGTTACTCAAAAAAGACAATAAGGACTAGCATCTCTTTTGACTAGATGAGTTCAACTGTCAAATGGCTCAGGAAACAGCGAAATCTCCAATGGACCGTACAGGCAAACACAAGAAACTTGAAAAAGAAAAACAGAGAAAACAAGAAAATCCTCCATGACAAGATCATCTGGGAGCTGAAAAGCAATTTGGATGTAGTGCTTCATAACACAAAACATAAGCTCCTTTAAAGCAGTGCAAGTCCCATTAAGTCTTTGTGATATTTTTGCATTTCTTCACACATGATTTAAAATTCACCTATTTCCAAAAAGATGTACAATGAAAAAAGAAGACAATAAACAATAAAAATAGAGATAATTTATAAAAGTACAACAAAGGAAGGGAAAGATATATGCAATTAATAATTAAATATGAGCCACAGTGAGATACAAGGAACACTGACTGAGATGGCTATAATTTAAAAAGAAAAGAAAAAATGGAAAATAACAAATGTTGCAAGAATGTGAAGAAATTGTAACCCTTATACACTGCTGGGGGAGTGTAACATGGCACAGCCACAGTGGAAAACAGTTCACCAGTTCATCAATAAGTTAAACATAGAATTATCATATGACGCAACAATTCCACTCCAAAGGAAATGAAAACAGGGACTCCACCAGATACTTGTATGTCTATGTCTTTGCAGCCTTATTTACAATAACCAAAAGATGTAAACAGCCCAAATGTCCATCAACAGATGAATCCAGAAATAAAATGAGGTTTATATATTCCAACGGAAGATGAAAAGGGATGAAATTCTGACACATGCTACAAGATGGATGAACCTTGAAAACACTTTGCTAAGTGAAAATAGCCAGACACAAGAAGACAAATACTATACAATTTTACTTAAAGTATCTAGAATAGGCAAAACTAATAGAAAAATAAAGTTAATTAGAGGTTACCAGGGGTTGGGAGAAGGGAAAATGAGGAGTTATGGCTTCATGGTTAGACAGTTTTTGTTTGAGGTGATAAAAAAAAGTTTGGGAATAGTAGTGGTGGTTGCATATGTTGTGAAGGTAATTAATGCTGCTGAATTGTACACTTTAAAATGTTTAAAATGATAAATTTTATGTTTATAAAATGTAATATGTATATATGTGTGTATATATATACATATATATATATGTAAAACCACAATAAAAAATTAAATTAAATACCGCTCTAAGCATCCTGATGCCCAAGGCAAAGCGGGGAAATGAGGCTTCCATGCTAACAAGTTCAAGGCTGCTGGCTCTTGTCCCCATGGGCTAGATACCCTCCAACTGAGGACAGTTCTGATACCAACTGCGTCCTAGTCGCACACCAGATCTGCAACCCTATTCACACCCTTTGGTCACAAGTTATAGCGACTGTGCATGGCTCAGGGCAAACCATTTGCCTTCATGAGAAAGAAACTCAGAGTGAGGGGGTGTGGCCTCCTTGTTGAGGTCAGTTCATTTTACCCCAAATATGTGAAGTGGGATAATTTGGGAAGCAAGAGTGAAAGGGACAGATATGCTCTGGGCCTTACCAGGCGACAGCACTTTTGGTCCATTGGAAGGATGGGGTCTGGAAGCCCCTGGAGCCTCAGATTCCAACTACCCACTCCTACCCCCATCTTCCCTGTTTAAAAGTTCCATCAGGCAGAATTGAGCTCTCTTTGGCAATTCCAATTAATCTGGCCAATTCCCTCGAAATGTTTGTTCTTGTCCTTCTCCATTGCCCTTGCCTGGGTCCTTGTTCCTTTCACTCCCCGCTTGGATCCGTGGAAATTGTCACCCAAAAGGTTTCCTCCCTTCAAAGTAATCCCAGCACTAACTCATCATATAGACTGCTGGTAAAATAATACTCCTGCACACACAAATGCAACAGGAAAAGTCTGGTGGTGCCGTCAAGCAGCCTCTCTCAAACTCCCATCATAATGTGCCAACAGCCGGGAGGGGGAGGTGTCACTGCAATGGAGCTGTCGACAGTTGCTAAAACAGCCACACACCTTGTGAGACTTGAGTCACTGTTCTATTAGGTTGGTGCAAAATTAATTGCGGTTTTGCAAAACCACAATTAATTTGGCACCAACCTCGAATGTTGTAATACTCTACAACAAAATGAAAATGTAGTAATTTTCTTAAAAATAAGTAAAATTAGGAGTGATTGTTTCAACTACTGGTATCAACTATGATCATGAAATCTCTGCCACCCAGCCTAAACAATTATTCAGCATCACCTCCACCTAAATAACATTCAAGTCCCTCTTCTGCACCACTATGTCTCATTGTTCCTCACTGCTTGGGGGAGCTCAGGCATCTCAACCTGGCTGTCAAAATTCTTCCAAATCTAACTAAACACCATCTAGCTTATCCAAACCACATGTCTGCTTTGCCCACATAAAACTCGCCGTATCACAAACTAAGGATGTTCATTTTCAAATTGCTTAAGCAATTCCCTACCTAAAGTCCTCAGCGTTGTTCCTCCTCCTTTTCAATTCCTACTACCCACGAACAACAGCTCTCACTCCACCTCCTCCAGGAAGCTTCCCCTGACTACTCTCTCCCATTGATTTTTTTCCCCATAAATATGTTGTTTGAATGGAATGCTAAGTGATGACCTTTCATTGGTCACCATCTTTTATCACGATGGACCTGTTGAGTGTAGATTTCTTTTGTCCATTGAATTGTGCCTTCTTTATCCTACCTCATCATGATTCTTGTAGGTCAGGTTCGCTAGGACACAGACACTGAGACGGGGATTGGTATGCAGGGAATGTAGGAAGATTTGGGCCAAGGGGGAAGCTGAGGCATGACAGTTTTGACAAAAGTCACAGCTAACCCCACTGGGAAGTTGTGAAGCTGATCAGACCCTTCTGAGCCTCAAGTTGGGGCTGGGGCCTGGGCCTTTATATGCTGTGTTGATCATGTCTGAGGGCTGCTCCTGGAACAGGCAGCAGCCTTGTGTGAGGTGATTCCAGAAGAGGCTGTGTGGTGAGGTGAAGGCTGTTTGTGGAAGCTTTCCCAGCAGCCGAGAAGGGGAGTGATACGGTTTGCCTGTGTCTCCACCCAAATCTCAACTTGAATTGTATTTCCCAGAAAGGGACCCAGGGGGAGGTAATTGAATTATGGGGGCCAGTCTTTCCCGTGCTATTTTCATGATAGTGAATAAGTCTCATGAGATCTTATGGGTTTATCAGGGGTTTGCACTTTTGCTTCTTCCTCATTTTCTCTTGCCGCCGCCATGTAAGAAGTGCTTTTCACCTCCTGCCATGATTCTGAGGCCTCCCCAGCCATGTGGAACTGTAACTCCAATTAAACCTCTTTTTCTTCCCAGTCTCGGGTATGTCTTTATCAGCAGCTTGAAAATGGACTAAAACAGGGAGGGAGGGACAACTCAGTCCTTCAGTCCTGAAAGGGGGATCTTGGTGTCAACTATGATGGCCTTAAAAAAAAGAGAATGAAAGGAAAGGAGGAGAACGGAGGAAGAAGAGGAAAGACAGGAAACATCCATCACACTTGTTTGTCAGGTCTTATTTGGAACAGAGTGTGCCAAGGCAGTCACTCCCTGGAGGAGAGAGGCAAGCTGCAAGAAGGCCATGGGGACAATGTGCAGAGCAATGAAGCCTCCTGCCCATAGTGACTGTACCCGCGACCTGGTGGTGACCAGGCAGGCATTTGCACCTGCTGGGCTCCAGAGCTCCCCTTCTTTCTTCACTCGGTGACAGCAAACCAAGACTTGGGTCACATCATTTCTGGGTAAGTATGCGGAGATGCTGAAAGAACAGTGGGAGCAAAAAGAACAAGAATCTTGAACGTCTTCTGTTTTCTCTATGACCCTTAGAAACCCAAAGAAAATTTCACAGTAGGAAAATAATCCATTGCACAAACTGTATTTTTAAAGGTGAGAGCTGGCCGGGCGCGGTGGCTCATGCCTGTAATCCCACCACTTTGAGAGGCTGAGGTGGGTGGATGACCTGAGGTCAGGAGTTCAAGACTACCCTAGCCAACATGGCAAAACCCCATCTCTACTAAAAACACAAAAATCAGCCGGGCATGGTGGCGCATGCCTGTAATCCCAGCTACTCAGGAGGCTGAGGCAGGAGAATCACTTGAACCCAGGAGGCGGAGGTTACAGTGAGCTGAGATCGCACCATTGCACTCCAGCCTGGGCAACAAGAGTGGAAACTCTGTCTCAAAAGAAAAAAAAAAAGTGAAAGGTACGTTTGCTTAGAGGAAGGGGATCCAGAGACTGGATTTCTGTAAAGTCCAGAAAAAAAGTTCAGATTTTGCAAGATAAAAACCATGTGCCTGGAATGTGCTGGAATCAGAAATTATAAACATCAAAGAAACTCTGAGGAGGAGGCGTGGTAAAGACTCTCTCCTACCACCCATAGGAAATCAAATTCCAGCAAAGACAAAGATCAGTACAGGAGAAGAAAGCCTGGGCGGAGAAAACGAGGGAACCCTGACGGAACCTGGGCAACTGGAAAGTATTACTCCTTCGAAATTCTGAAGTTCATTTACAGCTGCCAGTCAGCACACCAGGGAATCAGAAACCACCAGAGCCTTTCTCTGCAGCTGGAGAATTTGAATTCATTTCAGAAACTTCCTGGAGACGAATGAAAGGCAAGGGCTTCCAGAAATCAGAATACCTTCTGCCCCAGGGTCTTGGGCAGAATTGCCATTTTCATCACAGCACGTGAAGTAAGATAGTGAGTGAGGGGTTTTTCTTAGAATCTATACTTAAACTCATGCATTTTTCAAAATATTTCATGCTTTTCTCTAAAACCTTATAGCTATCATTCACTGACAAGCAATGCATGGGTAAGATATTTCTTTATGGCCCTCTATTGTCATCCTATTAATCTAGACATTAAACTTATAAGTATCATCTTGTCTTGATTTATTTTTCTAATCTATACTTTTCTCAATGATGTGTTTCCTAATTGACATTTCCAAATTACGAGCCTTGGGGTTCTTTTAATCATTTTGGTTTTTAAGCACTTTTTTATTTTGCTTCTCCGAAGTTAGTTAGAAATTGCAACTACTGGTTATTCCAGGGCTGATGGTTCAGTTACAGGCTCTGGGGCTAAATCCCCTGGTCCTGGCTACCCTGAACTTCACGCAGCTCTGAGTAGGGGAGTAAATTAGCCTGCAGGGGGAATGTGGGTAATTCTCGACCTCATTACAGCCCTCCTTTCCAATTTCGCCTTCCTACGAGCAGCTTAAAATGCAGAAGAGATCAGCTGAGACACACACTCTCCTCCACGTGCTCCCTCTCCCTCCCCACCTGATCCTGCTTCTATCCCCTCACCCCTCCTGATGAGGGAGGGAGGAGAGCACAACAGGTGGAAAGATGAGCCAGTGAGAATTTCAAACCCAGCGGAGTCCCCGCCCATGGGATGTGACCTGTTTGTACAGGATTCTTGCAGTTATTGGGTGGTCTTTATTATCATTGTTGACTCTGGGAAACTTTTCATTCTTGACCCAGAGTCTTCATTAGAGATCTTTTCATGAGAAAAAGGGCATTTTTAAGAGCTGAGGTTTGAATGCATGGAAATTTTTAAAAACTACCTTTGGTCATGTGAAAAGAAAGCAGCTGGCAGGTGGTGGGGGAAGGAGCCCATCTGCTAATTAAAACTCCAAGAGTAGTAGGAGGAACAACTACTCTAAGGCACTATCTTTCCCCACGTTCCTGCAAACAAATTAGCTTCAACACCCACACACAGTAGGAAAACAAATGCCAATTATGCCTCGATGTTTCCTTGAACCTGTTTTCTTTTCCCTGTCTCCAACTGATCCTTAACACTGCTTTGATAGTGGGCTGGAGATAAGCCCATTGCTTATCTGGAGAAATGATTTCCACCCACTTTTATTCTAAAGCAAATCCGCAGCACTGAGGAGGCTGGGACCAACATCAAGCCCAGATCCGTTTCCACACATAGAGCAAAACTCTTCATTTTGGTTGAGTACCAACAATAGTAGTTTATAACATAGGAAAGGAGTGTGCCTTTAATTATTGTATTTCAGTGTAAAACATAATCAGAGGTTAAAACAGTTTTATGAAGGCAGATAACATTATGGCATATATTAATGTATAGAGGATGCACATCCATTTATTTCCAACTGCAGATATAATGGGGTACCTGACTGGGACTAGATCAAATGATTTTGGCTTTATTCTTGGTTGCTTCCCAGTTTTGGCAAGTACGCAATTATGAATAAATATGCTACAAACAACGATGTGCAGGATTTTTTGTGTATATAACTTTATTTTCTCCATATGATTTTCTAAAATCCTGGTGGAGACAAGCAGTGGGTGAGGAAGAAAGATGGCTAAAGTTGCAGGCACTTTTTCAGTTTCTCTGGAGGCAGAGGTCTGAATTTCACCTGTGATGTCAAGCAATTTCTTTGTCTAAGCCTTTTGGTAATGCCAAAGTAAAGCAGCAATCCCTTCTGGAACAGAGAGGTTTAGGAGCAACAAGGAGGGAAACAGGGCTGCTTGGCCCCATAAAAGAGCATTTCCCTATATGTGGCAGGCTTCTCTGTTCATCACATTCCCTTTAGGGGAAAAAAATTTCTCTAAATGTGGATTTAGACTATCCCTAAAAAAATTTTGCTTGTTTCCCAGAGGGGTGTGTGTGTGTGCATGTGTGTTGGTGTGTGCACACCGACTTTCTTGTTCAGGAACTCACCCGTCTGTGTGGTTAGGAGCAGAATGAAGCTATGAAGGGAGCAGGAAGGATGAGGTGGCATGTCTTCATGACATGCTCTCTTTTTTAAACTTCACACCAGGTATCCTGGCAGATTTAATAACTCTGACCTCAGGAAAGTTCCCTCTTTTGGGGGTTTTGCACTGTTTAGGTGAGGAGAAGGACTAAGGCAAGGCCTTAGAAGGATCCTTTGTTTCTGATGGGAGTAGACATTCTGGGTACCAGATACCCTGGAGATGGGCTGGAATGTGAGGTCTGAGGAGTTGAGTCTCAAACTTGAAGGTGGAGAGAAATCCTCAAGGACCTTTGTGTTGAGATGTTTAACCCTTCCAATATTGGTCATTTGGAACAGCCATATCCAGTGTCTGGCGGTTTTCTCTGATTCCTTGTGAAAAACATTGATTATCACATAGAGCACTAAGGCAAGGGCTGTGCCAGTGCTGCAGACCTTTCTCTGGGAAACCACAGGAGGGAAACCTGGCAGGACTAACACTTCCTGGTTGAACGGGATGTTTAAGAGAGGAAATGCCTGCTAGAGACATCTGAATTATCTAGATCAATGGTTCTCAACTGGGTTGATTCTGCTCCCAGGAGATAACTGGTGGGGTCGGTGGTGGCTACTGGCATCCAGGGAGTAAAGAACAAAGAAGCTGCTAAACATCCTACCACATACTTGATAGCACCCACCCCACCCCCAACAAAGAATTATTCAGCCCAAAATCTCCATAGTGCTTAGGTTGAGAATCCCTGACTCAGGAGGAGTTAGTGAAAACATTTAGATGTTCATATGTAAATACAATAAAAGCTGAATCTCAAAAGTAGGAATAATGTTGATCTAAAAAGAAAAGTTTACCTGGCGAAAGACAACACAAGGGATATTTATTGAGAGTCTAATATGCGCCAAGTTTTATTCCGGTTTCTAGCAACCAACAAGACAACTTCTCATTCTCATAGAATTGATGTTCTGGTTGGGAGGGAAGACCTCTAAAATATCATATATATTTCAGATCATAATTACAATAAGAGCCCCCTTGTGAATTGTTTCATTTAGTCCTCCCAACAACCCTATGAGATTTGTGCTATTATAATCTCCATTTTAGAAGACACTGAGGCAGAGGTAAGTGGCTTGTCCAAGGTCCACAACAGATAGACTCCGTCTGGCTTCTTCAGAGCATTTAAAGTTCCTCTTATGGTCAACGGACTTTAGAGCTTAACTAGCTACATGATGTGGGGGGTATGACTTAATTTCTCTTGATTCTTCCTTCATGTGTGGCATGGAGGTAATAAAAGTATCTCATAAGATTGTGTAAAAACTGAGTATTTTGATTTATAGAGAGTGCTTAGAACAGTGTTTGGCATACAGTGAGAGCTTATAAGTTATATAAGAAAATGGAAAGTAGGTAGAGAATGACTGAGAATCCTACTTTACACCCGTGGTTCCCAAAGCATGGTCCCTGGATCAGCAGGACCAGCATCCCCTGGGTACTTGTTAGAAATGCAAATTCTTGGCCCCTAGCCCATGTAACAAGAAAAACCCAGAATCATACAGAAAAACCATCTCCCAAGCTGGGAGGAAGCACAGAGACCAAAAAGTGACTCAAACAAGTACAGCTTGGTGAGTAGATGAGTTTATTAGAGCTTGCATACAAGGCATTCTGGGGCAGCAGCAGGGCAGCTCTAGAGATGTGTGCCCTCTCCCATCTCTAAGCTGTTTTAAGCTAATTTTCTGGCTCTTTGCCTACTGTGTGTGTGTGTGATGGGACTGTTTTCCTTAGTAGGGTCTCAGATACTCCCTGGGATGTTTGAGTTATCAGGGACATCTGCTCCTCAGTGGGGCACCATGGCCTTGGCTCATCACCTCTAGGGTTCCGGCAGCAGACACATACCTTTAAGTAATCTGATGGGGGACTCATCACATTACAGCCCAGACATGACTCTGGGGTGGCCCCAGCAATCTGCTTTAACAAGCTTCCCAGGTGACTTTGATGTCAGCTGAAGTTTGAGAACCCGTGAATTAGGCCATTCTGAGGAGGTGATGTTTGGACTGTGATAAAGGAGTTTGTCTTGACCCTGCCCTAATGCCTTCCCTGACTACAAACCTTTAAAAAGAACCAAAACTCTGTATATGTCCTCCCTTCTCTTGTGCTATTTAATTCTACTTGGCTTTAGGCTTAGATAGCTTCTTCTCGGCTTCTAAGACCAGATGTCTTCCTTGATATCCTTAAACACCCTCAACTGTTCTCCATCCTCAGTAAGCTGGTTCTTGGTTCTCTTCATATCTTTCCTCATTCATTCATTCATGTGAGTTTATTAAGCCTAATCCAGGCCTTGGGTGAGGTGGAAGTGGGGTGCATGGCAGGGAAAGCTGAGAGACACTTGGTGCCCAGCCATATCCTCGGGGAGCCTGCCAGGGAAAGCTGAGAGACGCTTGGTGCCCAGCCATATCCTCGGGGAACCTGCCAGGGAAAGCTGAGAGACGCTTGGTGCCCAGCCATATCCTCGGGGAGCCTGCCATCTAGTAGAGAGGCAGAAGTGCATCCCTGTGTCAGCACTCGCTTCTGGGGCCAGTCACAGCAGGGGCACCAGCTAGGACTGGGACTGGGGCAGATGTAGGGATCAAGACCACCTTCTCGAAAGCGGTAATGCTTGATCTGAGACTCAATGAGCAAATAGAAATAAAAAAGCCCCGATAAAACAATATTAAAAATCATCTGGAAGAACACACAAGGGAAATAATATTGAAGAATGAATGTTTTTTAATAACAGCAAAAAAGGTAACTATGGGAGATACATGGAATTACTACAGGCAAGGAATCAGCTGAGTGAAAATGATAGAAATGTTCTACGTATACTTTCTTTAAAATCAAAAATTGACAAGCCTGAAGTGAATGAACAGCCATCTAGTCAACATTGGGTACTCACTGATTATTCTTATGGTTTTGTTTTGTTGTTGTTCTTTTGCCTCCAGGCATTTGCTCACCCTCCTCTCGCCAAGTATTCCTCCATCCTCTTCTCCCCACACTTGCTGGTGAAAATCTTCCTCATATTTAAGGTTCAGATCAAAAGCTGCCTCCCTCGGAGGACTTCTCTGATCCTCCTCATTGGAGGTGATTTCTATCCCCAGCAAGGCCAGAAACCCTTGTTGGTGCTGCTAATCAACTGTTAGCACATTTTGCTGCGTCGTGGTTATTCGGTAAGCAGATTTTATTCTGTGATAGATGAAAGAGCCTCTGAGATCAGGAAAGCATCACACCTATCTTTGTACGACCAAGATGTCTTGCCCTCAGTAATCAGTCCCTTCCCTAGATAAGATTATATACAACATGCAGGTAAGAGGGCCGAGCCACCACCTCCTGCTACATTCAACAACCACCACAGGGGGATCAAAGAATTACACTTTTAATCTAGTCATAAACTTTAATAACACAAATGGAGGACAGGAAAGTGATTTATGATTACTGAGTAAGTTGAAGATATTAATGGAGACAAGAATTAATGTGTTTTATTACATAAAAAATTTATTCGACAAAATGTAATAAACACGAAGAGTAATAGAGAAAAATTACGTGACAAAAAACTGATTAAAATATGCTCTCTAAATGCATTAAAGTTGATAAATATTCATAAAATCAACACCCATATTCCTTTATAGAGTAGTTTAAAGTGAATAAACAGCTTTTATGCAAGAATACATAGATAATAAACACCATATGGAAATATGCAGCAGTTTTAGCAATTAAAAATGCAAATCAAGCTGGACATGGTGGCTCATGCCTGTAATCCTAGCACTTCAGGAGGCTGAGGTAGATGGATCACCTGAGGTCAGGACTTTGAGACCAGCCTGGACAATGTGGCAAAACACCGTCTTTACTAAAAATAAAAACATCAGCCAGATGTGCTGGTGTGCGCCTGTAATCCTAGCTACTTGGGAGGCTGAGGCAGGAGAATCGCTTGAACCCAGGGGGCAGAGATTGCAGTGAGCCAAGATCTCGCCATTGCGCTCCAGCTTGGGCAATAAGAGTGAAACTCTGTCTCAAAAAAAAAAAAAAAAGCAAAAAGCAAATCAAAACAATTAAAATACATCATTATACACCAATTGAACATTGTTTTTAATGATAAAAAATTTGCTTTAGCAAGGCTGTTCGTTTCTTTCTTGTTTCTCCAAAGCCAGGGCTAAGAAAACTGACACCATTAAATTTTTCTGAGGTACAATTTGAAAATGCATAAAAAGAACGGTTACACCATTCCTATATTTTAACTCCATAATTAAATTTGGGAGAAAATGTATCAAGAAAATAAACCCAGGCAGAGCACCTGTAATCCCAGCACTTTGGGAGGACTAGGTAGGCGGATCACTTGAGGTCAGGAGTTTGAGAGCAGCCTGGACAACATGGTAAAACCCCATCTCCACTAAAAATACAAATATTAGCCCAACGTGGTGGTGCATGGCTGTAATCCCAGCTATTTGGGTGATTCAGGCAGGAGAATCACTTGAACCCAGGAAGTGGAGGTTGCAGTGAGCCAAGAAGACGCCACTGCACTCCAGCCTGGGTGACAGAGGGAGACTCCATCTCAGAAAAAAAAAAAAGAAAGAAAGAAAAGAGAAAAGAAACCCAAAAGAGAAAAAAAGTGCTAATTGTAATTTTTAAAAATCAGTAAACTGAATGCCTGTCATGTACTGTGCAGGGTTGAGATTTTACCCTACTTGCAAGCTCACAAGCCACCCTGTTACAATTTCATAGATGCTGGCAGAAGACATTAGACTCCTGAGTCAGAGAAAACAAACTTTAATACACTAGGCAAAAGCCATAGCCAGAGCTTCACCTTTGCTTGTGATAGCTCTCCATGTTTCCCAGTTCTCATGCGGGTGATAGAAAGGGCTCATGCTGAATTCCTGCCCAGTAGTGAGCAGAGTCACAGAGAGAAATGCTGAGCTTGGAATTCACCACTTTGACATTAAGTGGAAGCAAGCATGCCCCTTGCCCAGAGGAGAGGTTACTTCATCTTTTAAGGTTGCTTGCTACAAACACAACACTCAGGAATGGCCTAGGAAATGAGCAGTCAGGGCCTTGCATTCTTGGCACACACGAGGAGAAGGTTCAGGGGATGCTCAGGGCCTATGAACCACGTCTCCCAACAATGCCTCATTTATTTATTTAACTCATTCCAATGTATTGAGTCAACTACTATGTGCCCGGCACAGAATAAGATGCTAAGGATATTGCAGTGAACAAATTCCCTGCCCAAGAAGAGCTTATATTTTAGTGGGGGAAGGCATTTAGATAATGGAAAGGGAATTAAATAATAATATGATGTCACTTCTGTGAAGAGCTATGAAAAGAGAGTGGTAGGATAGAGGGGTGGGAAATGGGGGTCAGATAGTGGAGTCCCAGCTATCAGTCTCAAAGCAAGTGTCTTGGTCTGCTCAGACTGCTATAACAAACACCTTAGACTGGCTGCCTTAGACAACAGAAATTTATTTCTTACAGTTTAAGGGGCTGGGAAGTCCAAGATCAAGTTACCAGCAGATTCATTTCCTAGTGGGTACCCTCTTCCTGGCTTGTGGGCAGAATCCTTTTCACTGTGTCTTCATATGTTAAGGAGAGACAGAGTGAGGTCTCTGGTGCCTCTTATAAGGACACTAATTCTATCAAACCAGGGTATTACCTCTTTGTAGGCCCTCTCTCCCCATACAGGCACACTGAGAGTTAGGGCTTAAATATATGAATTTGGGGCAACACAATTATGTCCATAGCAGAAAGTCAACAAATCTCTCTTCATTTCTTCTTCTGCAAATGAGAATGATGCCTAAAATGACTGTGGGTAAGATCAACTGAAATAAAGTGGTGAAAGTGTTTTGTTGTTACAAATATTTTAGAGAATATACCTATCTAAAAACATAATCTACCTCAAAGATCAGAAGATAACTGAATCTAAGGTTTAGACTAGAAGTTAGAAAGAGCAGGAACAGTCATTATTTATTGAACACTTACTCCTGTGCTACTGGCTCTAACTCTAGTTTTATAATGATCTCATGACAAGTATAATTATCCCCACTTTTAAGATAAGGAAAATGTGTCTCAGAAAGCCTAAGTTGCTCAGAGTCTCCCAGCTGATAAATGGTACCCTATAACAAGTGGAACTATGAAGACAATATATAATAACATGAAAAGTGCTAACAGAAATCTGTAAATAAAAAATTGATTTTACCTATAGAAAATGTACGTGGAGGTGGGTGCGGTGGCTCACGCCTGTAATTCCAACTCTTTGGGAGGCCGAGGCAGGCAGATCACGAGGTCAGGAGATCGAGACCATCCTGGCGAACACTGTGAAACCCCGTCTCTACTAAAAATACAAAAAATCAGCCGGGCGTGGTGGCAGGTGCCTGTAGTCCCAGCTAATCAGGAGGCTGAGGCAGGAGAATGGCGTGACCCCGGCAGGTGGAGCTTGCAGTGAGCTGAGATCGCGCCACTGCACTCCAGCCTGGGTGACAGAGCGAGACTCCATCTCAAAAAAAAAAAAAATGTATGTGGATAGGGACAAAAGATGAGAGTAAAAGCATGTGATGCATCTGGCTAGTGCAATATGAATGTTTTAACATTTCTAATATTCTTTGCTCTTATAATGTTTTCAATAAAATGGAGAGATATTGTAAAAATATTTCAAAGGCTAGTCTTCCTTTTCTTCTAACAAATTCTCTTCATCAGGTCAATTTTCTCAAAATCTTCTCAATTCCAGCTTTCTCCATGTTGGAAACTGAAAGGACAGGGCTGGGTGGAGAGTGCGCGTATGTGGGGGGTGAGGACATGATAGGGGAGGTTAGAGCTGGCGAAGATGATGGTATAAAGGGTTCCTCTTCCAGATCTCTGCCAGATTGCTCAGAAGCCGCGTTCTTTCCTCATAGAGCCAGGGAGTGAATTTCTCAAGGCGTCACCAAGCCCTCGCCGGGCAGCCGTGCTGGAAGCAAAGCGGCGGCAGGATGGGGCTGGGCTTAGGAGCTTTCTGTTTTATATACCCCAATACCTGGGTTTCCCATTTCGGGTATAGGTAGAATCGAGATTACAGGAAACCCGAAGCCCCCTGGCCGGGGCAGAGCGGGACCCTTGTTTCCCAGTGTCAAACCGTGCCACCAGCAGGTCCGAGGGGTCCGCAGAGGTGGTGGCAAGGGACTTTCTCCCCATTGTAAACCTTTCCCGGAGACCACCTCAGTTAGGGTTGTCTCTGCTTGGCACAGTCAGGGAGACCAGCGGGGACAGTGTTGAAGGCCTGGCTCCTGTTGGTGGGCTCTCCAGCTACCCCGGGTTGTCTCTGCTTGGCACAGTCAGGGAGACCAGCGGGGACAGTGTTGAAGGCCTGGCTCCTGTTGGTGGGCTCTCCAGCTGCCCCTTGCTCCCGCCCACCCCCGCCCACTGCAGGTGCAGCTCGTCTCCCGACGCCGCTGGGTGGGGGAGGGGCAACTCTCCAAGCACAACCCGCGCTCTGTCCCTCGGCCGCGCTGATTCCCAACCCCCTGGCGGCCGGTGGCACCCGGGACCGCTAAGAGAGGTGGTAGGAGGGACTGGCGAGCCGAGCGGAGCTAGACTGAGGGGTCCTGCTCTCTCTTACTCATTCTCCTGGAAAAGAGGATCTACGGGGGCTGCAGGCATACGTGCCAAAGGTGGGCTGCTGCCCGCAGGAGGGATCAGGATAGGACGACCTGGACCCCTCTTCCAGCCTCCCCCGGCAGGCAGTACCCCCTCCACGCCCGCACCTGCCCGGTCCACGCCGAACTCACTGAGGACTCGTGTGCCCCCTGCCCTGGAGCTGCGATCCCAAGCGCCATGGAGGCCGCTAGCCTTTCAGTGGCCACCGCCGGCGTTGCCCTTGCCCTGGGACCCGAGACCAGCAGCAGGACCCGGGACCCCAAGCCCGAGAGGGATACTCGGTTCGACCCCGAGCGGCGCCGTCCTGCCGGGCCGAGGGCCGCCCTTCTCTGTCTTCACGGTCCTGGTGGTGACGCTGCTAGTGCTGCTGATCGCTGCCACTTTCCTGTGGAACCTGCTGGTTCCGGTCACCATCCCGCGGGTCCGTGCCTTCCACCGCGTGCCGCATAACTTGGTGGCCTCGACGGCCGTCTCGGACGAACTAGTGGCAGCGCTGGCGATGCCACCGAGCCTGGCGAGTGAGCTGTCGACCGGGCGACGTCGGCTGCTGGGCCGGAGCCTGTGCCACGTGTGGATCTCCTTCGACGCCGGAGCCTGTGCCACGTGTGGATCTCCTTCCACGGCTGTGCTGCCCCGCCGGCCTCGGGAACGTGGCGGCCATCGCCCTGGGCCGCGACGGGGCCATCACACGGCACCTGCAGCACACGCTGCGCACCCGCAGCCGCGCCTCGTTGCTCATGATCGCGCTCGCCCGGGTGCCGTCGGCGCTCATCGCCCTCGCGCCGCTGCTCTTTGGCCGGGGCGAGGTGTGCGACGCTCGGCTCCAGCGCTGCCAGGTGAGCCGGGAACCCTCCTATGCCGCCTTCTCCACCCGCGGCGCCTTCCACCTGCCGCTTGGCGTGGTGCCGTTTGTCTACCGGAAGATCTACGAGGCGGCCAAGTTTCGTTTCGGCCGCCGCCGGAGAGCTGTGCTGCCGTTGCCGGCCACCATGCAGGTGAGGGGTGGGCTGAGGAACGTTGCTATGGGGAAGCGGTTGCTAGAGAAGGAGGCAGCTTCGCGAATGGGAGAGTGGGCGGAAGCTTGTACTAATGGAGCGCGCGCCCAGAGATCACCTGGGGCGCACGAGGACAAGTTTGCCATCAGTTCTTCTGAAGCGGGCACCGAGGGGCTTGTCACCGGCTCACCTGGCACGCAAGTGAGGGGTTCGCCAGCTGCGTACTTGGTGCGCGCAGAGGAAAGGGTTTCACAATCTGCACGTTAGGGAGGCAGATCTGACACCGACCCACGACGCACGATATGGCCGGAGGGGCTTGTAGGTTCAGCCCGTCTCAGTAGCGATGAGGGCACATCTTGTTACCTGCACTATCTGTTGTTTTCCCCCTCAAGGGCCCCTGTCCATGTGAGTCCTGGAGCCGCCGGCTTCCTTGTCCCAACTAGACCTAGAGGGGATGCAGTGGACTGGGAATTCGTCTTTCAGAAATTCCTGTGACCAATCACGCCTTATTTTCTGTCTCCACCGTACCCCAGTCTATCCTCTGCAGTTCAGAGACTATTCCCCAACTCCATTAGCCAGCACCCTGCCAAGGGGAATAGTGAGGATTTTAAAATATAATAATTGGTGTCACTTTGCTTTCCTTATCTCAACCCCGGAGCTATCCTCTAGTGATTTAGGAAAGAGAACCATGGATTCAAATCCCAGCTTGGGACATTAGGACAGTTGCTTAATATCTGTGGGTCTCATTTCTTCATCTTTAAACATGTTCATTCGTAATTGATAGGGCTCTTGGTGAGGATTACGTGAGATGAAGAATGTAAAGCACCTGGCATAGTGGCTGGCACACACTGGGTGGCAGACTGGCTGGA
Organism: Homo sapiens; assembly: GCF_000001405.40. Lineage (NCBI taxonomy): Eukaryota > Metazoa > Chordata > Mammalia > Primates > Hominidae > Homo > Homo sapiens. The sequence continues at coordinate 117,861,114 of NC_000002.12, forward strand.
GAAAGAAGGGGTTCAACAGGATATTGCCTGGCAGTCCATAAGGAGGAGGAAGATAATGCTGGAAATGTAATGAGATGAGCAAAATTGCAGTCGGCAGATCTTCTCTCACCGTATTTATTATTCTGTCTGAAGCTTTCTGCCTTTTGGCCAGGATCTAATAGGTGCTCAGCATCCTTCTCACTCTGGAAGCCTCAACTTTCTCTTTTGAGGGTATCAGGTGTTTCAAGTAACATGCTCCCGGTCCTATAGATTAACAGGATTTATTGCCCTTTGCAAATACAATACATGGGTGAGGGAAGAGGTGCATATGAGAGCAAAAAGAGACAAGGAAAGTTTTTTGTTGCTAGTTTTGTTTTAATTTTGGAAAATTAACTCAGATACTTAGAATACAGGACAAATACATGTGATTTTTAAAGTAGGCCTTTTTTCTTCTACATTAAATGGCAGAGGAATTTTGCAGCATAAAATAGGAATGTCAAGACTATAACTGGAAGTGTTGGTGAGGGAGAGTTTTATTCAGAATTAATGATGTTCTTTGAAAGGTCCCTTGGAAATGCCTGGGGTGATTATAGCTTTTCTGTCTGATTGCCGAGCTAGGGCTGACTTTTAATAGCTACGTCAATCCAATGCGCACTTAGAGAAATCACGGTGAAATGGATGCCGGAAAACCTTGCCAAGCCTGATTTTAGTGTTCATTTTTGACAGTTCCCATTCAGGCAGGTGACACAGGGAAGAGGTGCCTGGATGAGAGGCTGGCCAATCTGGAGTGTCCATTGGTGGATAGAGAGAGCTCTGAGAGGAAGAGGAACTGTTAAAAATTTAGCCACTCCCGGCAGGAGGACCTGGGGCAAGCCCTTCCCCACTTTGGGCCTCAACTTCTCTAACATACAGTATTCTTCTAAGTCATGTCTAAGGGCCTTGAATCACAGGATGCTGAGATTGTAGATGGGGTAGTGTTCAGGAGCATGCTGCTTCTATGGGTCACAGCAAGCCCTCACTCAAACTTCTGGGTAATGTTCCTGAGTCCACGTTTGCAAGCCTTCTGGAAACAAGACATCTAAACAAAAGTGTAAAACACCGCGCCAGGAATACTTCCTCTCTACTTTCCCCCACCTGCATCATTCTACTCTCCAGGCGAAATGAGTTGTATTGTGTTTAGGCTCTGCAAAGTGTCTGTACTGTTTTCTGCAGGGAACAGGAGCCTATGTGAAGCCTGAAGGCCTCTGTTGATGAGGCTGTGTAAGACCTTCATCTTTTTCAGAATTCCGTGTCTAGGTCCCAACACTAACATATTATAAGACAGGGGTCTTATCAGAATGTAGTTTTTGGGCAATGATTAATCCTTTGGGGCAAAATGCAGTTTTTCAAAGTTGAGAAGGGAAAAAAATGTTTATTGAGTGAATTGTCTCTTCCAGACACATTTCTGATGCTTTACATTCACCCTTTCATTTCATTCTCACAATTCAGTAAAGTTGGCATTAAGTCTCTATTAGTCAGGATAAGCTAAGGCATGCTGTGGTAACATGTAACCCCAAACCAGAAGTTTATTTCACTCTGACTTAAAGTTCAATGTGGGTCTGCATACCTGCACAGCTCTCTTCCAGGCAGTCTCTCATGATTTTGGGCCATTTATCATTTTTAGCTATGCTGCCTTGCACATGTGCCTTCCAGATTTATTGTGGGAGAAGAGCTATGTATGGAGATATGCCAGCTTTTTACTGCCTTACCCTGAACTGGAAGCATGTCATCACTATTTGCAGCCCATTGGCCAGCCATTGGCAGTGAATTGGAAGGGAGCATGTAGCTATCTGGTGAGCACTGTCTTTGCCATAAGGCCCTCATTTTACAGATGAGAAAACTGCAAGAGAAAACTATGGTAAGGCACCACAAACCTAGTTCATCCAAAACCACGCAGTTCCTGGGTAGAGAGTCTGAAGGTTGTACCAGATCTAAGAATCACTATTTTTGGCCAGGTGCGGTGGCTCATGCCTGTAATCCCAGCACTTTGAGAGGCGGAGGCAGGCGGATCACGAGGTCAAGAAATCGAGACCATCCTGGCCAACATGGTGAAACCCCATCTCTACTAAAAATACAAAAATTAGCTGGGTGTGGTGGCACATGCCTGTAGTCCCAGCTACTCTGGAGGCTGAGGCAGGAGAATTGCTTGAACCCAGGAGGTGGAGGTTACGGTGATGCGAGATCGTGCCACTGCATTCCAGCCTGATGACAGAGCGAGACTCCGACTCAAAAAAGAAAAAAGAAATCACTGTTTTCATTACTCCATGCCATCTCCAGGGACTTGACTTCTGAGGCCTGCCCCTCTGCTCATGGGTGTCTCTGCTTGAGAGGAATGAGGCAGTCACAGCCCAGTCAAGGTGGGTCCCACGAAGCAGGATCTCAAAACTACTCAGGTGAACTCTCCTTTTCAGGAGAGCTGAACACAATTGAGCACAAAAGCCTTGCCTGCTTCCCTCAGGGGACAGGTTTAATTCCTGCCCTGGTGTCTTTTCTTTCAACATCTTAAACTGAGACTCTGAGCATCCCATGTACACTATAATCTGCTCCCCACCCCAAAGCAAGCCCCATGGGTTACGATTACTTCCTACTGCCCTGTGCCCTTCACTGTTTAGAAAAGAAGAAACATTATTTCTTTGGCTTTTAAAATGTGACATTAAAAGGGTTTTTTTTTTTTTTCCTATCTCTCTCTCTTTTCTTTGCTATTGCTTGTTTGATTTCTGTGTGCAATTTGATGCTGGGACCTAGTTATCCATCAGGCGTAGTAGTCATACTACTTAGAACCAGAATTCTTTTAGGGACCCATAGAAATATTTTAATTTTAATTTCTTTTAAAATTAGAGGAAAAATGAATATAACACTAATGAATATATTATAATGAATCCAGTCTTGCTTATACTTGCTTATACTAATGTTTAACATAATTTTCAGTATTTCTTAATGAAGGAAGGGATACATTAAGGCAAAGATGTCTAGGGACCACACAAATTATAATGAAGCCTTGGTTAATATCTTGCCCTCATTCTTTTTTTTAATCGTACTATTGCTTTCTTTTTAAAATTTTTAAATATATTTTTTAATAGCTTTGGGGCTACAAGTGGTTTTTGTTTACATGGATGAATTATATAGTGGTTAATTCTGAGACTTTAGTGCAATTGTCACCAGACTAGTGTCCCCTTCTAAGTCTCCAAAGTCCATTATATCACTCTGTGTGCCTTCCCATATATTCATAGCTTAGCTCCCACTTATAAGTGAGAACACATGGTATTTGGTTTTCCATTCCTGAGTTACTTCTCTCAGAATAATGGCCTCTAGCTTCATCCAAGTTGCTGCCAAAGACATTATTTTATTCCTTCTTATGGCCAAGTAGTATTCCATTATGTATATATACCACATTTTCTTTATCTACTCATTCGTCAATGGGCACTTAGGTTGGTTCCAAATCTTGGCAATTGTGAATTGGGTTCTTGCACTCATTCTTAATAAATATATATTGGGAGATAATGTACACAGTGGTTAAGAACATGGGACTTGGAAACAAAGAAACGTGGGTTTCAATTTTTTTGACTGCCACTTATTAGCACTTCAGCCAAGTGACTTAATCTACATCTGCAATTCTGCATATGTAAAATGGAAATATTACCACGTGTCTTTTAATATTCTTGTGAAGAGCAAATGAAATTCTATCATATGTGGAGTCCCTTAAGTAGTAAACCATAAATAATAGCTACCGCATTACTTTTGTTATTTTTCTATTTCTCTTTAATAAGAAAAGTATTATTTTATTTCTCTTATTGCTATTCCTCATAATCATAGGTAGATTATTTATTGCTTGTGTAGAAAATTATCCCACAGTTTAGTGGCTTAAAAGAACAAACATGTATTAATTCACAGTTTCTGTGGGTTGGGCATTCAGAATGGCTTAGCTGGGTGGTTCTGACTTGACATCTCTTTTGGCTGTAGGCAAGATGTTGCATGGGGCTGCAGTCATTCAAAAGCTTGACTGAGGCTGGAAACTTTGCTTCCAAGATGGAGCACTCACATGCCTGTTGACAAGAGGCTTCAGATCCTTGAGAAAAGGACATCTCCAAAGGGCTGCTTGGGTGGTACCACATGATAGCTGACTTTCCCCAGAGCAAGCCGTCCAAGAGAGTGAAGCAAGGAGGAAATTGCAGTGCCTTTTATGACTTAGTCTCAGAAGTCACATATGATTATTTTCTATTCATTAGCAGTGAGTCACTAAGTCCAGCTCACACTCAAGAAAAGAGGAATTAGGCTTCATCTTCGGGAGAAGTATTTCCCAAAACATATTGAATGTAGTGTTCAAAATTACTCGATTGACTTACTGATCTTATGTACCAGGCAATGTCCTCTGAGGTTTCAAAGAATGAATAAGCACTTTCCTGCTCCCAGTGGATTTTTAGTAGATTATAATTATAGAATTATAAATGCAATAAAGTCTTATAAGTGCTCTGCTAGAAATCTGTCCAAAGTACAATGGTATCTGAAAGATTTAATAGTGTATGGGAAAGCACTATGTAAACTGTGAAGGGCAAAGTAAATGTGAGGTATTGAGCTTTAGGGTTTATGGCAACTTGGAACATAGATTTTAGATTATGCTGTATTACAAAAATTTGACTTTCTAAGCCAGTCCTCTTTGTTGACGTTTTGTTTGAACAATGACACACTGCCATAAAGGTTATGTGCAGTAGGCCCCAAGTGACCCAAAATCTGTACAGAGCCATTTATGTTTATATATTTATTTTAAATTGACAAATAATAATTGTATATACTTATGGGATACAATCTAATTTTTAAAAATTTTGTATTTTTAATTTTTGTGGGTATACAGTAGATTTATATTTTTATAGGGCACATGAGATATTTTGATACAGGCATGCAATGTATAATAATCACATCAAGGTAAATGGGCTATCCATCACTTCAAACATTTATCCTTTTTTATGTTACAAACAATCCAGGCCAGGTGTGGTGGCTCACGCCTGTAATCCCAGCACTTTGGGAGGCCGAGGTGGCCGGATCACGAGGTCAAGAGATTGAGACCATCCTGGTCAACATGGTAAAACCCCATCTCTACTAAAAATACAAAAATTAGCTGGGTGTGGTGATGGGCGCCTATAGTTCCAGCTACTTGGGAGGCTGAGGCAGGATAATTGCTTGAACCTGGGAAGGCAGAGGTTGCAGTGAGCTGAGATTGTGCCACTGCACTCCAGCCTGGCAACAGAGTGAGACTCTGTCTCAAAAAAAAAAATACAATTATACTATTTTAGTTATTTTTAAATGTACAATAAATTATGTTTGACTATATTCACCCTATTGTACTATCAAATACTAGATCATATTCATTCTATCTAACTGTATTTTTGTACCCATGAACCCTTCCCTCTTACCCCCTCCCACTACCCTTCCTAGCTTCTGGTAACTATCATTCAACTCTCTATCTCCATGAGTTCAACTGTTTAAATTTTTAGCTCCCACAAATAAGTGAGAACATGTGAAGTGTGTCTTTCTGTGCCTGGTTTATTTCACTTAACATAATGACTTCCTGTCCCATCCATGCTGTTATGATGGGATATCATTGTTTATATGTATGTACCACATTTTCTTTATCCTTCATCTATGAATGGCCACTTAGGTTGTTTCCAAATCTTGGCTATTGTGACTAGCACTGCAGTAAACATGGGAGTGCAGATATCTCTTCTATATACTGATTTCCTCTCTTTTAGATACACAGCTGGCAGTGAGATTGCTGAGTGATATGGCAGCTCTATTTTTAGTGTTTTGAAGACCCTTCAAACAGTTCTCCATGGTGTCTGTACTAAGTTACATTCTCACCAACAGTGTACAAGGGTGCCCTTTTCTCCACTTCGTCACCAGCACTTGTAATTACCTATCTTTTGGATACAAGCCATCTTAACTAGGGTGAAATGATATCTTATTGTAGTTTTGATTTGCATTTCTCTGATGAGCAGTGATGTTGAGCACATTTTAGTACACCTGTTTGCTATTTGTCTTTTTTTGAGAAGTGTCTATTCAAATCTTTTACTCACTTTTTAATCAAATTATTTGATTTTTTCATATAGAATTATTTGAATCCCTTATATATTCTGGTTATTGAATCCCTTATATATTCTGGTTATTAATCCCTTGACAGATGGATGGTTCACAAATATTTTCTTCCATTCTATGGGTTGTCTCTTTGTTGATTGTTTCCTTTGCTGTGCAGAATCTTTTTAACTTGATGTGATCCTACTTGTCCATTTTTGCTTTGGTTGCCTGTACTTGTGGGGTATTACTTAAGAAACCTTTGCCAAATCCAGTGTTCTAAAGAGCTTCCCCAATATTTTCTTGTAGGAGTTTCATAGTTTGAGGTCTTAGATTTAAGTCTTTAATCCATGTTTAATTGATTTTTACATGTGACAAGAAGCAGGTGTCTAGTTTCATTCTTCTGCATACAGATATTCAGTTTTCCTAGCACCATTTATTGAAGAGACTGTCCTTTCCCCAGTGTATGTTCTTTGAACCTTTGTCAAAAATGAGTTTGCTGTAGATGTATGGATTTTTTTCTGGGTTCTCTATTTTGTTCTATTGGTCTTTGTGTCTGTTTTATGACAGTTCCATGCTGTTTGGGTTACTATAGCTTTGTAGCACAGTTTGAAGTCCGGTAATATAATTCCTCCAGTTTTGTTGTTTTTGCTTAGGACAGCTTAGGCTACTCTGGGTCTTTTGTGTTTTTATATAAATTTTAGGATTGTTTTTTCTATTTCTGTGAAGAATGTTATTGGTATTTTCATAGGGCTTGCATTGAATCTGTAGATTGCTTTAGGTAGTGTGAACATTTTAATAAGATTTATTCTTCCAATCAATGAACATGGAATACCTTTCCACTATATTGTATCATCTTCAATTTCTTTTTTTTTTTTTTTTGAGACAGAGTCTCACCCTGTTGCCCAGGCTGGAGTGCAGTGGCGTGATCTCGGCTCACTGCAACCTCTGCCTCCTGGGTTCAGGTGATTCTCCTGCCTCAGCCTCTCAGGTAGCTGGGATTACTTGTTATCTTCAATTTCTTTCATCAGCCTTTTATAGTTTTTATTCTAGAGATCTTTTACTTCTTTAATTCCTAGGTATTTAATTTATATGTAACTATTGTAAGTGGAATTACTTTTTAAATTTGTTTTTTCAGATTATTTGCCATTGAAATATAGAAATGCTACTGATTTTTGTATGCTGATTTTGTATCTTGCAACTTTACTGAATTTGTTTTTTAGTTCCAATGGTTTTTCAGTGGAATCTTCAATTTTTTCCAAATCTGCAAGTAATGACAATGTAATTGGACTTCTTCCTTTCCAATTTGTATGCTCTTTATTTCTTTCTCTTGTCTGATTGCTCTAGCTAGGACTTCCCATACTATGTTGAATAACAGCGGTGACAGTGTCTTTGTCATGGACAATGTCCATGTCATGATCCAGTGTCCTTGTCATGGACAATGTCCTTGTCATGTTCCAGATCCTAGAGGAAAGAGTTTCAGTTTTTTCCCATTCAATATGATAGCGGCAATGTTTCTGTCTTTTATGGCTTTTATTGTGTCGAGATATGTTTTTTCTATACCTAATTTTTAAAGGGTTTTTATCATGAAGACATGTTGAATTTTATCAAATGCTTTTTCAATATCAATTGAAAAGATGATATGGTTTTTGTCCTTCATTCTGTTGATACGATGTGTCACATTGACTGATTTGCACATGTTGAGCCATTCTCGCATCCTGGGATAAATCGCGCTTGGTCATGATGAATGATATCTTTAATGTGTTATTGAATTTGATTTGCTAGTATTTTGTTGAGGATTTTTGCATCAACATTTATCAGGGATATTGGCCTATAGTTTTTTGTTTGTTTGTTTTAATGTGTGTTTGTCTGGTTTTGGTATCAAGATAATACTGCCCACCATATAATGAGTTTGGAAATATTCCTTCCTCCTCTATTTTTCAGAATAGTTAAAGTAGGTTTGGTATTAGTTCTTCTTTTAATGCTCGGTAAAATCCAGCAAAGAAACCATTGGGTCCTGGGCTTTTCTTTGCTGGGAGACTTTTTATTATGGCTTTGGTCTTGTTACTTGTTATTGATCTGTTCAAGTTTTGGATTCTTCATGGTTCAACCATGGTAGAAGGCTATCCATTTCTTCTAGGCTTTCCAATTTATTCGCATGTAGTTGCTCATAGTAGCCTCTAATAATCCTTTGAATTTCTGTGCTCTCGGTTGTAATGCCTCCTTTTTCATCTCTGATCTTATTTATTTGGGTCTCCTCTCTTTTTTCCTTAATCTGGTAAAGGTTTGCTGGCTTTGTTTATATTTTCAAAAGATTAACTCTTAATTTTCTTGATGTTTTTATTGTTTTCTTCATTTCAATTTCATTTATTTCTGGTTAGATCTTTATTGTTTATTATCTTCTAATTTTGAGTTGGGTTTGCACTTTTCTGGTTCTTTAAAATGCATCATTAGGGCTTTTTGTGAGTTTTTTTTTTTTGATGTAGGCAATTATAGCTATAAATTTTTCCTCTTAATACTGCTTTCACTGTGTTCCATAGGTTTTGGTATGTTGTGTTTCCATTATCATTTGTTAAATAATTTTTTTTTTCCAGACAGAGTCTCACTCTTTCGCTAGGCTGGAGCACAGTGGCAAGATCTTGGCTCACTGCAACCTCCACCTCCCGGGTTCAAGCAATTCCCCCGCTTCAGCCTTCCGAGTAGCTGGGATTACAGGCACATGCCACCATGCCCAGCTAATTTTTGTACTTTTAGTAGAGACGGGGTTTCACCATGTTGGCCTGAATGGTCTCGATCTCTTGACCTCGTAATCTGCCTGCCTCAGCCTCCCAACATGCTGGGATTACAGGCGTTAGCCACCACGTCCAGCCTATACATTTTTGAATTCCTTCCTAATTTCTTCATTGACCCACTGGTCATTCGGGAGCATATTGTTTAATTTCCATGTGTTTGCATAGTTTCCAAAATTCCTCTCGTTATTGATTCCTAGTTTTCTTCCATTATGGTCAGAGAAGATACGTAACATAATTTCATTTTTTAAAAATTAATTAACACTTGTTTTGTGGCCTAACATATTGTTTATCCATGATAATGATCCATGTACTGAGGAGAAAAATGTATATTCTGCAACCGTTAGGTGAAATGTTCTGTAAATATCTATTAGGTCCATTAGGTCTATAGCACAGGTTAAGTCCAAAGTTGGTTTGTTGATTTTCTGTCTGGATAATTTGTCCAATAATGAAAGTAGAATGTTGAAATCTTCAGCTAATACTGTATTGTGGTCTATCTTTTTAGCGCTAAAAGTATCTGCTTTATATATCTGAGTGGTCCAATGTTGGGAGCATATATATTTATAATTGTTATATCTTCTTGCTGAATTGACCCCTTTATTTATATAATAACCTTTTTTGTCTCTTTTATAGTTTTTGTCTTGAAATCTATTTAGTTACATATAAGTATAGCTCTCCTTTTTACTTTTTTCCTTTTTTTTTTTTTTTTTTTTTTTTTGAGATTGAGTCTCACCCTATCACCCAGGCTGGAGTGCAATGGTGCGATCTCAGCTCACTGCAACTTCCACCTCCTGGATTCAATCGATTCTCCTGCCTCAGCCTCCTGAGTAGCTGGGATTTGGCATGTGCACCTCACCCGGCTAATTTTCTGTATCTTTAGTAGAGACGTGGTTTCACCATATTGGCCAGGCTGGTCTCAAACTCCTGACCTCCTGATCCTCCCACCTCGGTTTCCCAAAGTGCTGGGATTACAGGTATGAGCCACTGTGCGCGGCTTCCTCCTCCACTGCCGCCGCTGCCTCCTCCGCTGCCACCGCCTCCTCCTCCTCCCCCTCTCCTCCTCCCCCTCCTCCCCCTCCCTCTCCCCGCCGCCGCCGCCGCCGCCGCCTCCTCCTCCTCCTCCTCCTCCTCCTCCTCCTCCTCCTCCTCCTCCTCCTCCACCGCCTCCTCCTCCACCTCCTCCTGGTTTCCATTTGCATGGAATATCTTTTTCCATCTCTTTATGTTTACATGCATCTTTATAGATGAAGTGTATTTTTTGTGGGAAATAGATTGTTGGGTCTTGTGGCTTTTTTTTTCTTTTATATTTATTTATTTGTTTATTTTTCTTATTTTATTATTATTATACTTTAAGTTTTAGGGTACATGTGCACAATGTGCAGGTTTGTTACATATGTATATGTGTGCCATGTTGGTGTGCTGCACCCATTAACTCGTCATTTAGCATTAGGTATATCTCCTAAGGCTATCCCTCCCCCCTTCCCCCACCCACAACAGTCCCCGGAGTGTGATGTTCCCCTTCCTGTGTCCATGTGTTCTCATTGTTCAGTTCCCACCTATGAGTAAGAACATGTGGTGTTTGGTTTTTTGTCCTTGGGATAGTTTCCTGAGAATGATGGTTTCCAGCTTCATCCATGTCCCTACAAAGGACATGAAGTCATCATTTTTTATGGCTGCATAGTATTCCATGGTGTATCTGTGCCACATTTTCTTAATCCAGTCTATCGTTGTTGGACATTTGGCTTGGTTCCAAGTCTTTGCTATTGTGAATAGTGCTGCAATAAACATACATGTGCATGTGTCTTTATAGCAGCATGATTTATAATCCTTTGGGTATATACCCAGTAAAGGGATGGCTGGGTCAAATGGTATTTCTAGTTCTAGATCCCGGAGGAATCGCCACACTGACTTCCACAATGGTTGAACTAGTTTACAGTCCCACCAACAGTGTAAAAGTGTTCTTATTTCTCCACATCCTCTCCAGCACCTGTCGTTTCCTGACATTTTAATGATCACCATTCTAACTGGTGTGAGATGGTATCTCATTGTGGTTTTGATTTGCATTTCTCTGATGGCCAGTGATGATGAGCATTTTTTCATGTGTTTTTTGGCTGCATAAATGTATTCTTTTGAGAAGTGTCTGTCCATATCCTTTGCCCACTTTTTGGTGGGGTTGTTTGTTTTTTTCTTGTAAATTTGTTTGAGTTCATTGTAGATTCTGGATATTAGCCCTTTGTCAGATGAGTAGGTTGCGAAAATTTTCTCCCATTTTGTAGGTTGCCTGTTCACTCTGATGGTAGTTTCTTTTGCTGTGCAGAAGCTCTTTAGTTTAATGAGATCCCATTTGTCAATTTTGGCTTTTGTTGCCATTGCTTTTGGTGTTTTAGACATGAAGTCTTTGCCCATGCCTATGTCCTGAATGGTATTGCCTAGGTTTTCTTCTAGGGTTTTTATGGTTTTAGGTCTAACATGTAAGTCTTTAATCCATCTTGAATTAATTTTTGTATAAGGTGTAAGGAAGGGATCCAGTTTCAACTTTCTACATATGGCTAGCCAGTTTTCCCAGCACCATTTATTAAATAGGGAAACCTTTCCCCATTTCTTGTTTTTGTCAGGTTTCTCAAAGATCAGATGGTTGTAGATATGTGGCATTATTTCTGAGGGCTCCGTTCTGTTCCATTGATCTATATCTCTGTTTTGGTACCAGTACCATGCTGTATTGGTTACTGTAGCCTTGTAGTATAGTTTGAAGTCAGGTAGCGTGATGCCTCCGGCTTTGTTCTTTTGGCTTAGGATTAACTTGGCGATGCAGGCTCTTTTTTGGTTCCATATGAACTTTAAAGTAGTTTTTCCCAATTCTGTGAAGAAAGTCATTGATAGCTTGATGGGGATGGCATTGAATCTATAAATTACCTTGGGCAGTTATGGCCATTTTCACGATATTGATTCTTCCTACCCATGAGCATGGAATGTTCTTCCATTTGTTTGTATCCTCTTTTATTTCATTGAGCAGTGGTTTATAGTTCTCCTTGTAGAGGTCCTTCACGTCCCTTGTAAGTTGGATTCCTAGGTATTTTATTCTCTTTGAAGCAATTGTGAATGGGAGTTCACTCATGATTTGGCTCTCTATTCGTCTGTTATTGGTGTATAGGAATGCTTGTGATTTTTGTACATTGATTTTGTATCCTGAGACTTTGCTGAAGTTGCTTACCAGCTTAAGGAGATTTTGGGCTGAGACGATGGGGTTTTCTAGATATACAATTCATGTCATCTCCAAACGGGGACAATTTGACTTCCTCTTTTCCTAATTGAATACCCTTTATTTCCTTCTCCTGCCTAATTGCCCTGGCCAGAACTTCCAACACTATGTTGAATAGGAGTGGTGAGAGAGGGCATCCCTGTCTTGTGCCAGTTTTCAAAAGGAATGCTTCCAGTTTTTGCCCGTTCAGTATGATATTGGCTGTGGGTTTGTCATAGATAGCTCTTATTATTTTGAGATACATCCCATCAATACCTAATTGATTGAGAGTTTTTAGCATAAAGGGTTGTTGAATTTTGTCAAAGGCCTTTTCTGCATCTATTGAGAAAATCATGTGGTTTTTGTCTTTGGTTCTGTTTATATGCTGGATTACATTTATTGATTTGCATATGTTGAACCAGCCTTGCATCCCAGGGATGAAGCCCACTTGATCATGGTGAAGCTTTTTGATGTGCTGCTGGATTTAGTTTGCCAGTATTTTATTGAGGATTTTTGCATCAATGTTCATCAAGGATATTGGTCAAAAATTCTCTTTTTTGGTTGTGTCTCTGCCCGGATTTGGTATCAGGATGATGCTGGCCTTATAAAATGAGTTAGGTAGGGAGGATTCCCTCTTTTTCTATTGATTGGAATAATTTCAGAAGGAATGGTACCAGCTCCTCCTTGTACCTCTGGTAGAATTCAGCTGTGAATCCATCTGGTCCTGGACTTTTTTTGGTTGGTAAGCTATTGATTATTGCCACAATTTCAGAGCGTGTTATTGGTCTATTCGGAGATTCAGCTTCTTCCTGGTTTAGTCTTAGGAGGGTGTATGTGTCGAGGAATTTATCCATTTCTTCTAGATTTTCTAGTTTATTTGCATAGAGGTGTTTGTAGTATTCTCTGATGGTAGTTTGATGGTAGTTTTTATTTCTGTGGGATCAGTGGTGATGTCCCCTTTATCATTTTTAATTGCGTCTATTTGATTCTTCTCTCTTTTCTTCTTTATTAGTCTTGCTAGCGGTCTATCGATTTTTTTGATCTTTTCAAAAAACCAGCTCCTGGATTCATTAATTTTTTGAAGGGTTTTTTGTGTCTCTATTTCCTTCAGTTCTGCTCTGATTTTAGTTATTTCTTGCCTTCTGCTAGCTTTTGAATGTGTTTGCACTTGCTTTTCTAGTTCTTTTAATTGTGATGTTAGGTTGTCAATTTTGGATCTTTCCTGCTTTCTGTTGTGGGCATTTAGTGCTATAAATTTCCCTCTACACACTGCTTTGAATGTGTCCCAGAGATTCTGGTATGTTGTGTCTTTGTTCTCGTTGGTTTCAAAGAACATCTTTATTTCTGCCGTCATTTCGTTATGTACCCAGTAGTCATTCAGGAGCAGTTTGTTCAGTTTCCATGTAGTTGAGTGGTTTTGAGTGAGTTTCTTAGTCCTGAGTTTTAGTTTGAATGCACTGTGGTCTGAGAGAGAGTTTGTTATAATTTCTGTTCTTTTACATTTGCTGAGGAGAGCTTTACTTCCAACTATGTGGTCAATTTTGGAATAGGTGTGGTGTGGTGCTGAAAAAAATGTATATTCTGTTGATTTGGGGCAGAGAGTTCTGTAGATGTCTATTAGGTCAGCTTGGTGCAGAGCTCAGTTCAATTCCTGGGTATCCTTGTTAACTTTCTGTCTCGTTGATCTGTCTAATGTTGACAATGGGGTGTTAAAGTCTCCCATTATTATTGTGTGGGAGTCTAAGTCTCTTTGTAGGTCACTCAGGACTTGCTTTATGAATCTGGGTGCTCCTGTATTGGGTGCATATATATTTAGGATAGTTAGCTCTTCTTGTTGAATTGATCCCTTTACCATTATGTAATGGCCTTCTTTGTCTCTTTTGATCTTTGTTGGTTTAAAGTCTCGTTTATCAGAGACTAGGATTGCAACCCCTGCCTTTTTTTGTTTTCCATTTTTTTGGTAGATCTTCCTCCATCCTTTTATTTTGAGCCTATATGTGTCTCTGCATGTGAGATGTCTTGTGGCTTTTTAAAAATCATTCAGCCACTCAATCTCTTTTGATTGTAAAGTTTTGTTTATTTACATTCAATGTTATTACTATAAGTGAAGACTTACTTCTGTCATTTTGTTACTTGTTTTCTGGTTGTTTTGTCGTCTTTTTTCCTTCCTTCTGGTCTTCCTTTTAGTGAAGGTGATATGTTTTAATTTCTTGCTTTTTATTTTTTGTGTATGTGTTGTGTGTTCTTTTACTTGAGGTTACCATGAGGCTTGCAAATAATATCTTATAACCCAATACTTTAAACTGATGACAACACTGGTTGCATAAGCAAACAAATAAGCAAAAAGAAAATGAATAAAAACTCTATACTTTAACTTTCCTCCCCTGCTTTTTAACTTTTTGTTGTTTCTATTTATATTGTGTGGTACTATGTCTTGTAAAGTTGTCATAGTTATTTTTTTTTTGGTTTCTGTTTTAGTCTTTCTGCTCAAGATTGAGTAGTTTATACACCACAATTACAGTGTTATAATATTCAGTGCTTTTCTATGTACTTACAGTTACCAGTGAATTTTGTACCTTTGGGTGATTTCTTACTGCTTTTTAACCTACCTACCTACCTTCCTGCCTTTCTTTTCTTTTCTTTCTTTCTTTTCTCTTTTTTTTTTTTTTTTTTTTTGAGTTGGAGTCTTGTTCTATCACCCAAGCTGGAGTGCAGTATCTTGGCTTTTTGCAACTTCCCCTTCCTGGGTTTAAGTGATCCTCCCACTTCAGTCTTCCAAGTAGCTAGTGTGTAACGGATCTTGGAGCCCCCAAATCACCAGGCTAAAGGGAAAAGTCAAGCTGGGAACTGCTTAGGGCAAACCTGCCTCCCATTCTATTCAAAGTCACCCCTCTGCTCACTGAGATAAATTCATATCTGATTGCCTCCTTTGGAGAGGCTAATCAGAAACTCAAAAGAATGCAACCATTTGTCTCTTATCTACTTATAACCTGGAAGCCTTCTCTCCACTTCAAGCTGTTCCCCCTTTCCAGACCCACCCAATGTTCATCTTACATATGTTGGTTGATGTCTCATATCTCCCTGAAATGTATAAAACCAAATTGTGCTCTGACCACCTTGGGCCCATGTCGTCAGGACTTCCTGAGGCTGTCATGGGTGCACATTCTCATCCTTGGCAAAATAAACTTTCTAAATTAACTGAGATCTGTCTCAGATTTTCTGGGTTCACACTAGGATTACAGGCATGTGCCACCACTCCAGGCTATTTTTTTTTTTTTAAGTAGAGATGGGGTTTTGCTATGTTGGCCAAGCTGGTCTCAAACTCTTGGCCTTAAGTGATCTGCTCAACTTGACCTCCCAAAGTGCTGGGATTACAGGCATGTGCCACCGTTCCCAGCCTATCCTTTTCTGTCTGATTGAAGAACTCCCTTTAGCATTTCTTATAGGACAGGTCTGGTGTTGAAATCTCTCAGCTTCTGTGTGGTAAAGTTTTTATTTCTTCTTCATGTTTGAAGGATATTTTGCTGGATATGCTATTCTAGGATAAAAGTTATTTTCCTTCAGCACAATAAATATGTCATGCCACTGTCTCCTGGACTGTAAGTTTTACACTGAAACGTCTGCTGCCAAATGTATTGGAGCTCCCTTGTAGGTTATTTCTTTTCTCTTAATGCTTTTAAGATCTTTTCTTTATCCTTGACTTTTGGTAGTTTGATTATTAAATGTCTTGAGATAGTCTTATTTGGGCTAAATCTGCTTGGTACTGTATAACCTTCTTGTACTGGGTATTGATATCTTTCTCTAGGTTTGGGAAGTTCTCTGTTATCTCTTTGAATAAACTTTATACTCCTCTCTCTCTCTGCCTCCTCTTGAAGGTGAATAACTCTTAGATTTGCTATTTTGAGGCTATTTTCTAGATCTTGTAGGCATGCTTCATTCTTTTCTATTCGTTTGTCACTTTTGACTGTGTATTTTCAGATAGCCTGTCTTCAAGCTTACTTATTCTTTCTTCTGCTTGATCAATTCTGCTGGTAAGAGACCCTTACGTTCTTTAGTATGTCAGTTGCATTTTTCAACTCAAGAATTCTGCTAGATTCTTTTTAATTATTTCAATCTCTTTGTTAAATTTATCTGATGAGATTCCAAATTCTTTCTTTGTGTTACCTTGATTTCATTGAGTTTCCTCAAAAGAGCTATTTTGAATCATCTATCTGAAAGATCACATATCTGTCTCTCCAGGGTTGGTCCCTGGGGCCTTATTTAATTGATTTGGTGAAATCATATTTTCCTGCATGGTCTTGATGCTAGTCAATGTTTGTTAGTATCTGGGCATTGAAGAATTATGCATTTATTGTATTCTTCACAGTCTGGGCTTGTTTGTACCCATCCTTCTTGGGAAGGCTTTCAAGGTATCCAAAGGGACTTCAGTGTTGTAATCTAAGTTTTCAGTCACTACAGCCATATCTGAATTAGGGGGCAATGCAATTCCAGTAACGCTGTGGCTCTTGTAGGCTTGTAGAGGTATCACCTTGGTGGTCTTGGTTAAGATCTGGAAGAATTCTCTGAATTACCAGGAAAAGCCTCTTATTCTCTTCCCTTTCTTTCAAACAAACAAAATTGCTCTGTGCTGAACTACCTGGAGCTAGGGACGCAGTAACACAAGCACCCCTGTGGCCACCAGCACTGGTACTGTGCTGGGTCAGACTTGAAGCCAGCACAGAACCAGGTCTTGCCCAAAGCCCACAGTAACTACTACCTGGCTACTGCCTAGGTTCAGTCAAGGCCCTAGGGCTCTGCAATCAGCAGGTGGTGAGGCCAGCTAGGCTTGTGTCCTTCCCTTCAGGGCGACAAGTTCTCCTAGGCCATGGGCAGGTCCAGAGATTCTGTCCAGGAGCCAGGGCCTAGAGTCGGAAACCTTAGAAATCTACCTGGTGCTTTATTCTACTGCAGTCAAGCTTGCACCCAAGCCACAAGACCATGTTCTTCCCACTCTTCCCTCCCCTTTCCACAAGAAGAGGAGTCTCTCTCCATGGCTAACACCACTTTAGGCCTGTGGTGAGTACTGCCTAGCTACCATTAATATTCACTAAGGCCCAAGGGCTCTTCAGCTTGTGGTCAATGCTGCCACGCCTGTGACTCTCCCTTCAGGGCAGTGGGCTCTCCTCTGACCCAGGACAGGTCTAGAAATGCTGTCCAGGAGCCAAGGTCGGGAACTGGGGATCTGAAGAGTCTG
Organism: Homo sapiens; assembly: GCF_000001405.40. Lineage (NCBI taxonomy): Eukaryota > Metazoa > Chordata > Mammalia > Primates > Hominidae > Homo > Homo sapiens. The sequence continues at coordinate 117,878,455 of NC_000002.12, forward strand.
CTTGGTGCTCTACCCTACTTCGGCCAACCTGGTATCTCAGCTGCAATACAAAAGCTCCTTTACTCTTTCCTCTCCTTTTCTCAAGCAGAAGGAGTCTCTCCTCATAGCTGCCACAGCTGGGAATGTGCTGGGTCACACCTGAAGCCAACACATCCCTGAGTCTCATCCAAGGCCTATGGCTTGTACTGCCTGGGTATTACTCCTGATTATTCATGGCCCAAGGGCTCTTTAGTCAGCAGGTGATGAATCCTGCCAGGATTGGGTTCTTCCCTTCAAGGCAGAAGTCCTCTTCTGGCCCAGATGTGTCAAGAAATGTCGTCCAGGAGCTAGGATCTGGAATGGTGGCCTCAGGACTCTGCCTGATGCCATATCCTACTGTGGCTGAGCTGGTATCAAAGCTACAAGACAATGTCATCTTTACTCTTCCCTCTCTTCTCCTCAAGCAAAGGAAAGCAGTTTCTCCTGAAACTGTAACCTGTGCTGCCTAGGGTTTGCTGAGGGGTGACACAAACCAAACAGTCCCTTGGCTGCCCTGGTTAGTGTCTCACTAGGTTACTTGCCCCCAAAGTCCACTGGCTCCAAGTCCAGCAAAGCACCAGGACTTGCCCAGGAATTATAGTCCTTGTGGCCAAGATTGCCTTTTAAGTTTATTTAGAGCCCCAGAACACTTTAGGCCTGCAGTGGTGGGACTTGCATGAAGTCAGGTTCTGACCGCTGGTATGGGCAATTCTCCTGTGGTTAGGCTAGGGTTGGTCTAAATGCTTCCTCTGTAGGCATCAGCTGAGTTCTGCCTGGCATTGCTTTCTGCTGTGACCAGACAGCACTGAGTTTTAATGCAAAGTCCCACAATCACTGCACTTTCCCTCCAACAAGCACACAGATTCTCTCTCCACACCACATAGCCACAGCCAGGGGATGCCGGAGGGGTGGCATCAGCAATTCAAGGCTGTCTTTCCTATCGTCTTCAGGGCCTCTTTCAGTGATATGAAGTTAAAACCAGAAACTGTGATCACTCACTGTGATGGCTAATATTGAGTGTCCACTTGATTGGATTGAAGGATGCAAAATATTGTCCCTGGGTGTGTCTATGAGAGTGTTGCCAAAGGAGATTAACATCTGAGTCCATGGACTGGGAGAGGCAGACCCACCGTCAATCTGGGTGGGCACCATCTAATCAGCTGCCAACGTGGCTAGAATAAAAGCAAGCAGAAGAACATGGATGGACTTGACTCACTGAATCTTCTGGCCTTCATCTTTCTTTCTGTGCTGGATGCTTCCAGCCCTCAAACATCTGACTCCAAGTTCTTCAGTTTTCAGACTCTTAGACATACACCAGTGATTTGCCAGGGGCTCTTGGGCCTTCGGACACATCCTGAAGGCTGCACTATCGACTTCCCTACTTTTGAGGTTTGGGGACGTGGACTGGCTTCCTTGCTCCTCAGCTTGCAGATGGCCTATTATAGGACATCACCTTGTGATCATGTGAGTCAGTACTCCTTAATAAACTCCCCTTCTTATATACATCTATCCTATTAGCTCTGTCCCTCTAGAGAACCCTGACTAATACACTCACCAAATTTTGGGTTCTTAGGAAGGTGCTTCTTTGTGTGGATAGTTGTTCAATTTGTTGTTCCTGCAGGGAAGACAATAAATGAAGACTTCTATTTGGCCATCTTTGCTCTGCCTCTGAATGAACAATGTAATGTTTTGGGATATACATACATACATACATACACACACACATACACAAGCACATATTATGGATATCAAGAAAATTAACATATTTATCGCTTCACATGTTTTTTTTTTGTAGTGACAAAATTTAAAATATATTGTTTTAGCAATTTTTAAATATTCATCACATTATTATTAACTATAGTCACTTTGCTGTGCAATAGATTTTGAAAGCTTTTTCCCTTTGTCTAAATGGAACTTTGTACCATATAGTCAGTCTCTCCATTCTCCAGTCCCCCTACCCCCTACCCTCCAGCCTCTGTAGCCGCCACTCTATTTTCTACCTCTACAAGTTTGATTTTTTTAGATTCCACATAAAAGTGAGATCATGGAGTATTTGTCTTGCTGTGCCTGGTTTATTTCAATTGGCATCATGTTCTCCAGCTTCAACTGTGTTGCAAAAAATAACAGAATCTCCTCCCTTTTTAAGCTAAATAGTATTGTGTGTGTGTATATATGTATATATATATATATACACACACACACACACCATATTTTTCTTATTCATCTATTGATGGACACTTAGGCTGATTTAATAGCTTGGCTATTGTGAATAACTCTGCAATGAACATGGGGTGGAAATATCTCTTCAATATACTGATTTCAATTGGAATTGAAATACCCAGAAGTGGGATTGCTGGATCATACGTTAATTCTCTTTTTAGTTTTTTGAGGAACCTCCATACTGTTCTCCATAATGGATGTGCTAATGTAAATTCTCACCAACAATGTGCAAGCGTTTTGTTAGTTCCATATCCTTACCAACACTTCTCTTTCATATTTTTGATAATTGCCATTCTAACAGATAATGATGTGATATCTCATTGTGATTTTAATTTGCATTCTCTGATTAGTGATGTTGATTTTTTTCCATAAACCTCTCGCCCATTTGTATATCTTCTTTTGAGAAATATCTATTGAAGTCTTTTGTCCACTTTTAATCAGGTTATTTGTTTTCTTGCTGTTGAGTTTTTCAAATTCCTTATATATTTTAAATATTAGCCCCATATTAGATATATGGTTTTCAAATATTTCCTCTCATTCTGTGAGTTGTCTCTTCACACTGTTGTTTCTTTTGCTGTGTAGAAGCTTTTTGGTTTGATGTAATCTCACTTGTCTACTTTTGCTTTTGTTGCCTGTGCTTTAAGGATCATATCCCAAAAATCATTATCTAACCCAATGTCAAGGAGCTTTTCCCCTATGTTTTCTTCTAGTAGTCTTATAGTTTCAGGTCTTTCATTTAAGTCATTAATATATTTTGAGTTGATTTTTGTGTAAGAGGTAAGATAAGGGCCCAATTTTGTTCTTTTTTATGTGGATATCTAGTTTTTATTAAAAAATACCTAGTTTTAGTTTCATTTTATATCTACTATTTATTGAAGAGACTGTTTTTTCCTATTGTGTGTTCTTGGCATATTTATAGAAAATCAACTGACCACAGATACATTGATTTATTTCTGGACTCTCTATCCTGTTTCATTGGCCAAAGTGTCTGTTTTTTATGCCAGTGCCATGCTGATATGGTTTGGCTGTGTCCCCACCCAAATCTCATCTTGAGTTGTAATCCCCTTGTGTCACAGGAGGGACCCAGTGGAAGGTAATTAAATCATGGGGGCAGTTTCCCTCATGTTCTCATGATAGTGAGTGAGTTCTCATAAGATCTGATGGCTTTATAAGTGTCTGGCATTTTCCCTGCTGGCACTTCTCTCTCCTGCTGCCAAGTGAAGAAGAAGGTGTTTACTTCACCTTCTGCCATGATTGTAAGTTTCCTGAGGCCTCCCTGGCCATGCAGAACTGTGAGTCAACTAAACCTCCTTGCTTTATAAATTACCGAGTCTTGGGTATTTCTTCATAGTGGTGTAAAAATGAACTAATACAGTAAGTTGGTACTGAGGTAGTGGGGTGCTGCTATTAAAGATATCTGAAAATGTGGTAGCAACTTTGGAACTGGGTAATGGGCAGAGGCTGGAAGAGTTTGGAGGGCTCAGAAGGAGACAGGAAAATGTGGGAAAGTTTGAAACTTCCTAGAGACTTGGAGGGCTTAGAAGACAGGAAGATGTGGGGAAGTTTGGAACTTCCTGGAGACTTGTTGAATGGTTTTGACCAAAATGCTGATAGTGATATGGGCAATGAAGTCCAGGTGGTCTCAGATGGAGATGAGGAACTTCTTGGGAAATCATCTCTTGCTATGCTTTAGCAAAGAGACTGGTGGCATTTTGCCCATGCCCTAGAGATCTGTGGAACTTTGAACTTGAGATGATTTATGGTATCTGGCAGGAGAAATTTCTAAGTGCCAAAGCACTCAAGAGGTTGCAAAGCATAAAAATTTGGAAAATTTGCAGCCCGATGATGTGATAGAAATGAAAAACCATTTTCAGGGGAGAAATTCAAGCCTGTTGCAGAAATTTGCATAAGTAAAGAGGAGCTGACTCTTAATCACCAACACAATGGGGATAATGTCTCCAGGGCATGTCAGAGACCTTTATGGCAGCCCCTCTCATCACAGGCCTGGAAGCCTAGAAGGAAAAAATGGTTTCATGGGCTGGACCCAGGTCCCCACTGCTCTTTGCAACCTCAAGACATGGTGCCCTGCATCCCAGCTGCTTCAGCTTCAGCCATGGCTAAAAAGGGCAAAGGTACAGCTCAGGCCATTGCTTGGAAGGTGCAAGCCCCAACCCTTGGCAGCTTCCACGTGGTGTTGAGCCTGCAGGTGCACAGAAGTCAAGAATTGAGGTTTGGGAACCTCTGCCTAGATTTCAGAGGATGTGTGGAAACACCTGAATGTCCAGGTAGAAGTTTGCTGCAGGGGCGGCGCCCTTATGGAGAACCTCAGTAGGGCAGTGCAAAAAGGAAATGTGGGGCTGGAACCCCTACACAGAGTCCCCACTGGGGCACAGTCTAATGGAGCTCTGAGAAGAGTGCTGCTGTCCTTCAGACCCCAGAATGGTAGATTCACCAATAGCTTGCACTGTGAACCAGGAAAAGCTGCAGACACTCAATGCCAACCTGTGAAAGCAGCTGAGAAGGGGCTGTACCCTGAAAAGCCACAGTGACAGAGTTTCCCAAAGCCATGGGAGCCTACCTCTTGCATCAGTGTGACCCAGATATGAGACATGGAGTCAAAGGAGATCATTTTGGAACTTTAAAGTTTAATGACTTCCCTATTGGATTTTGGACTTTCATGGGGCCTATAGCCCCTTTGTTTTGGCCAATTTCTCCCATTTGGAATGGGTGTATTTACCCAATGCCTGTATTTCCATTGTATGTGGGAAGTAACTAACTTGCTTTTGATTTTACAGGTCCATAGGCAGAAGGATCTTGCCTTGTCTCAGATGAGACTTTGAACTTGGACTTTTGGGTTAATGCTTAAATTAGTTAAGATTTTGGAGGACTGTTGGGAAGGCATGATTGTGTTTTAAAATGTGAGGACATGAGATTTGGGAGGGGCCAGTTATGGAAGGATATAGTTTGGCTGTGTCCCCACCCAAATCTCATCTTGAATTGTAATCCCCACATGTTGTGGGAGAGAGTCAATGGGAGGTAATTGAATCATGGGGGCAGTTTCCACTATGCTGTTCTCAGGATAATGAGTTCTCATGAGATCTGATGGTTTTATAAGTGTCTGACATTTCCCCTGCTGCCACTTCTCTCTCCTGCTGCCATGTGATGAAGGACATGTTTACTTCCCCTTCCACCATGATTATAAGTTTCCTGAGGTCTCTCTAGCCATGTAGAACTATGAGTCAATTATAAATTACAAATTATCCAGTTCTGGGTATTTCTTCATAGCAGCATGCAAATGAATTAATACACATGCTATTTTGGTTACTATAGCTTTGTAGTATAATTTGAAATTCGGTAGTGTGATGCCCCCAGCTTTGTTCATTTTGCTTAATTACTTTGGCTTAGGGTTGTTTGTGGTTCCATATAAATTTTAGGATTTTTTTTCTATTTATGTGAATAATGCCATTGAAATTTTGATAGGGATTGCATTGTGTCTCTAGATCACTTAGTTAATATGAACATTTTAACAATATTAATTCTTCCAGTCCATAAACTTGGCATATCTATTTATGTCTTCTTTATTTTCTTTCATTAATGTTTTATAGTTTTCAGTGTACAGATCTTTCACCTCCTTGGATAAATTTATTTCTAAGTGTTTTGTAAGCTATTGTAAATGAAACTGTTTTCTTAAATTTTTTCAGGTAGTTCATTGTTAGTGTATGGAAACACTACTGACTGGTGTATATTAATTCTGTATCCTGCAACTTTACTGAATTTGTTTACTAGTTCCAGGTTTTTTGGTGGTGTATTTAGGGTTTTCTATATATAAGATTATGTTGTCGTCTGGGCACTGTGGCTCATGCCTGTAATCCCAGCACTTTTGGAGGCTGAGGCAGATGGATCACGAGGTCAGGAGATCTAGACCATCCTGGCCAACATGGTGAAACCCTGTCTCTACTAAAAATACAAAAATTAGCTGGACGTGGTGCTGCACGCCTGTAGTCCCAGCTACTCAGGAAGATGAGGCAGGAGAATTGCATGAACCTGGGAGGCAGAGATTGCAGTGAGCCAAGATCACACCACCACACTCTAGCCTGGGTGACAGAGCAAGACTGTGTCTGAAAAAAGATATGTTGTCAAAAAACATGATTTTCACTTCTTCCTTTTATATTTTGATGCCTTTTACTCCTTTCTCTCTCTTTCTTTTCTTTCTTTTTTTTTTTTTGCCTCATTGCTCTGGCCAGGACTTCACCAGTATTATATGTTGAAAAGAAATGAGACTGGGCATCCATGTCTTGTTCCTGATATTAGAGAAAAAGCTTTCAACTTTTCACCACTGAGTATGATGTTAGCTGTGGGCTTGTCATATATGGCCTTTATTGTGTTGAGTTGAGGTACATTACTTCTATGCCTAATTTGTTGAGAATTTTTATCATGAAAAGATGTTGAATTTTGTCCAGGATTTTTTCTACATCTATTGAGATGATCATATCATGTTTGTCCTTCATTCTGTTAATGTGATATAGCACATTTTTTGACTTGTGTATGTTGAACCATTCTTGCATCCCAGGGATAAATCCCACTTGATCATGGTGAATGCTCCTTTTAATGTGCTATTGAATTCAGTTTGCTGGTATTTTGTTGAGGATTTTTGCATCTAAGTTCATCAGACATATTGGCCTGTAACTTTCTTTTCTTGTAGTGTCCTTGTCTAAACGTTTTATGTTTTTACTGCTTTTCCAATGCTTACTTGTAATCTGGATCACCTGAAAGACTGAGCAGCTGGTGGGCTTGCAGATAGAACCACAAATGAGAGCTGGGTTCAGCCTGAGCTCAGATATGAAAAGAGGATGGTAGAAAACCACCACCCTTCTTCTGATTCTATTTTAAAAACTGTGGGCTCAAACACATTCTCATGCCAGACTGCAAGGTTATTTTAACTTTAGAAAATTAAATGTTATGAATTAAATTGTATCAGTGATAACAAAACATCTGGCTTATGGTTCGATTCCTTTAAGACCGGCACCTAATTGCCTTAAAATGTTCAAAAATACTTGGATGCATCAAGTATTTTCCCTACACCTTCAGAAATATCCCTGGTTCTCTAAGTCTCTATAAAGTTCTTCCTTGTTCCCCCTACATCATTATATTCACCCTGCCTCTTTACCTCTGTTTCCTTGTCTATTTTCTCTTATTGGATTGTTAGAGAATAACGGAGGAGGATGGAGAGAAACAAAAGAGATATAACAAGTATGGCATAGGGATCATGTCTCCACATATGGCCTTGCAAAAAGCTATTTCTTCTATCTGTGTAGTTTTTGGAGAACATTGGACTTCTCAGTGGAAAAATGAGACCTAAACTCCATGCTTCTTAACTTTTTGGGGTAGGTCACAGAATTCCCTTGAAACATTAAAGAAAGCTTTGAACTTGTTACTCAGAAAGCTATCTAGCTGCTAGCTTGTCCAATTTGCATACAATTCCTAAAGCCCTTCCCTGGAGGATGAAGCTCAGCCTTCTGCAGTGCTGTCTCACCTGTGAGAAGGAACCCACAGTGGGTATTAACTAGCTCTCTTGGAGGCAGGGGTAGTCTTCTATCCTGGAGCCCTTGCCCTGTAAGGCACATATCAGAACACTGAAGCTAAATAATGCATGTGAAAAAGACAACTTCTGCTCTCCCCATTTCATCCACCCCCTGTACAAGGAATCAGCTTCCACTAGTAAAGGGGGATGATTTTAGATTAGATGATACCAGAGCTGAAAACACAAATGTACTTAACCTTAATTAACACACTTGATTACACCTTCCCCTTCTCAGCATTAACTCCAGTAGGTCTTTAGCCATGCCAGGGTGACTAAACCCCCAACCAAAAAACAAAAAAAAAAAACAAAAAAACAACAACCATGTTTTCCAAATAGCAATAGCAATTGTGCCTTATGTTATGATCATACCCAAGAGCTTAGGAAGACTACATTCTGTAGTGGCTATAATTACACTAAGGGGAAAGTTTATTTTCTTCAAGCCTAGCAGTGTTCTCCTTTTGTTTTTACAAGAAAATCTCCTTAAGAAACATCTAAGAAAATCTTCTGTTTTAGGTTCTAAAATAAGCCAGCCACATTTGTTTACTTCGGGGGCTATTTTGATTAGTTATCTCCTTAAAGTGCCTTGAAGAGAAATAAGACTTGTGCTTGGTTAGCTCACTAAACCTTGGACAGACAGAATAAAGCCCCAGGTGTTCTAAGCCCTGATCTGCAAGATCTGGTGAGAAATTGTACTTTCCAGTTATAATCCAGATGACCTTCAAGCTTAACTGGAAAGTTCTCAGTGTCTTCTCCTCAGATGTGGTAGGACTTGAGTCGCTGTTAGGATTAATGTGGTCCACTGACACCAACTTTGTAAAGCGTCTTGCTATAGTCAGTGTGTGACCCTTGTGGTCACAACACAAAGTGGTAAGTTCCACAAATGATTAAGGAACTATCCTCCTCCTTTCCAATATTTTTCTATTTCTTCTTCCTAAGACATTTATCTGACAACATTAGAGGATTGAAGGTTTGTAGGTTTTTTTCTGTGGCAGCTGGCATTTTTTAGAGGGGTGGGAAGAGATGGGTGCCATGAAGTTGACCTTTACTGAGGGCCTACTCTGTACCACTGTCTCCTTCAGTCCTCACAATGAGCCTGTGATAGAGGTAAGGTTCTTCCTGGTGGGAGATTAGAGATGGGGACCCAGCTTGGAGGTGGAGCTAATCTTTAACGTGCTCTGAGCCTTGGTTTCCTCCTTCCTTCCTTACATGGTTGCTGCTATAACTGAGTAGGACTGTGTGTGGAGCCACCTAGCCAAGTGCTAGACATATGTCAAGAACTATGAAGGGTCTGAGATTTTACCCTGCCTGCAGGCTAACAGGTCAGCCCGCCATTGCCGGATGCTGGCAGAAGACATGAGGCTCTTGGATTGGAATTGAAAGACTTTGCTACACAGTGTGAGCCTCAGCTATGGATCGGTTCCCCTTTCACTCAAAGTCCGACAGGAGTGATTTGGATGGTTCTGATGGATTTGCATCACAGAAGAGAACTCCTAGATTAGGGAATCTGAATCCCTTTTGCCTAGTGTTGGACAGTAAACAAGCCTTCCTTCTGTTCTTATTTTTTGTATTATTATATTACACATTTCTTACATTATAAAAGAAGCCTGCATCTTTTATAATGGGTTGCAAGCAAGTTTACCCTCTCTTCCACTGGCAGATAGTGTCTCTATCTTCCAGAGCTGTTTGCTGTACAAACGTCCTTGAAAAACTGGTTTATAACAAAGGTTGCCAGAATCTTTGCTAGCAAAATGTGCAGGAATGCAAGAAACTCGCAAGAGAATTATCTCTCCTAAACATTTCTTTATTCAATAGATGTTTATTGAGTATTTACTGTATACCATATATCACACCAGGTGCTAGGGACTTCAGTGGACAGAATACTCAAGGTCCCTACCCTCGTAGAGTGTTGGTCATGACACAATATTCTGAATGACATCTCCAAATTCATGCCCCAATATCAGAGTACTTATGGGAATAGTGGGACAGAATATTTAAAATTGAAACCTCATGAGAAATTTCAGTACATTGTCCCTATGCACACAGTAGGTGATCAATCAAGGTCTGAGCATTTGTTGTCTGGCAGATTTGATCCTTAGTTAATTTTGAATGGAACAGCCCTAGACTCTATAAAGGCATTTAGGTAAATTCATCTTTCAGGTCATGTTTTAGCATGGTGGAAAGAAACCCTGTGGTCCTGGAACCACAGAGACTGGGCAGGCGCCTTGGTTCTGCCTTTCCCTGCATGTGTGGCCTTGTTTATAGAGTTCCCTCTCTCCAGCCTCTGTATTCAGAGCACTTCTCCTTGCACAACAGGACTAGAAAGTGCCAGGTAGTACTGGTTGTGTGGATTCAACAATTCATATTCTCACCTTCCTGATGAGCAGATTCTAAATCCAGGGTCAGAGGCCTCTTGACCATGAGTGATCATCAGACACGTGTGCAGAGGGGGCATTGAGGGCCAAAGGCTGAGGAGAGACAAGAGGAAAGAGGGAGACTCTGGGTGCCCCCAGAGCTGGTTGCTAGAGGCCCCAAGAATTGCCTGAGGAGCCATAGATGCCCACTCTGCAAAGCTCCCCAACATAAATATGACCTTTAAAATCGATTCTGTAGGAACCCATTCAGATCAATCACTTCTACTCAAAGATGCAGAGTAACATGTAGGGGTTAAGAGTGTGGACTCTCCTTCAAATTACCCAAGTTTCACTTTCAGCTCTAACAATAAGCAACTGTGCGACTTTGGACAAAGGTATCTCACCTTTCATAGTGGTTTCTCAGCTGTGAAGTGGGGATAATACAATTCCTTAATGGTCTGGTGTGAGGAAGAATGAAAGTCATCCATTGCAGGCATGCAGCACAGTATCTGTTTCATAGCAGCTTCTCAGGAGTTGTACTGCTTCCTGTTTGTTTCTGTTGGTTTCCTAATAGACATTACCCATTGAACTGAAAGAACCAGCCTAGTCATCTCCTAGCAAAAAAATAATAATAATAATAATAATAATAATAATCACCCACAATTGGCTCATTTTCTTTGGGGCTGTTTCTGGAAAGATTCCATTGCCTTACAGCATCACTCTGCACAGGCTATGCCAGGCTCAGGCTGAAAATCTGTGAACACAGGGCTTCTAGCAAGCAGACACCTTGACGGACCACAGGTGGACCCTGCTCAATACTGCAGTGGTAGAGCCGGGTGTGTTTCAAATGAACCGATTTAATCAGACTTGCCTTTTCTGTTTCTCTTCCTCCAGGATCTCTTTTAACTGAACTTACCCCTTCAATTTGCTTACTTCAATAGCTTAACGAGGATTTGGAATTTCATTACACAGTGGAGGAACTCAAGTGCTTGGAAGGTCATTTAGGTCAGCAGAGAAATGGCTGGAAAAGTGCCTATTACTGAGCTTAGTGGGAGAAAAATAACAAAATCACTTTCCACTTCCTTTCATGCTCTGATGATGTTTTTTCTCTCCCAAAAAGGGATTGCTAAGTATTCACGGGGTGATTTCAGGATGCCACGTTTTGTCATTCAGACTTTCTCTGGTGACTTGATGAGAGTCTACAAAGATGTGGACGGGTCAGTATTATCTCTTGTAAATGGAAAAAGTGATGTGCAGCTCCCACTGCCTGGGGACTGGGAAACCTTGGAATGGCTCATTAAAGAGGGGCTCTGGCTGGCAGGCCAGTTCTCAGCTGCCTCTTCAGAGAGTACGTGTTTGCCATCCCAGATGAGGGGGATACTGTTTGTTCTCTTTCCCTCCAAGTAGCAGGTGGGGAGGATGCTGGATGTATACTGGCAAAGGAAAGGACTCTCTGTCCTCATCTCCATGATCTGTTTTTGGGCTGGCTGAATGATTTTCCAAATGTAGGATAAACACATCTGACACAGTAACTGAAGCATGCCCATAGAATGACCCTATATGGCAGATGCACATGAATGTGTTTCGAGCTAGAGAATCCAGCAGTGGCCAACCTGCAGATTCATTCCTTGTCTCTGAGGAACAACAACTGAGCCCCCGTCCCATCCCATCCTGTGGGACCTGGGCCATACAGGGGATTCAGGCCCTGAGTTTTGGGTTACACGAAGGTTTCCAGGTGGAGGTTGTTAAGAGGAGGGTGTTCAGTGAAAATGCAATATAAACTACATGCTGTTTGCAAGCGGTTGTGGTTTTCTTGTCCAGCCCACCACTGAAGGCAAGACAGTTCTCCTGCCCAGCCCACCACTACTGGACTCTCTCCCCTGTATGTAAGCCCCTGATAAAACCCCATGTCTCATTTGCTGGCTCTTGGTCTCTTCTTCAGTCTCTTGAACCTGGTGCCTCCCCAACTGAAGTTCATAAGGGTTCACTACAACACAAATAGTTAGATCCAGGGAGTGCTGGGGGGAGTAGAAGAAGATGCAGGATCTGAAGGTAGTATCGAGAACGAGGAGTCTTGAGTTTGTGAGAGCCAGGCCAGTAGAGCCCCTTGCACTCACTCAGCTTTGGCCACCCTGATGCAGGTGACAGGAGGCAAGTGCATCAGCCATGAACCGCATCAAGTGCCCACAGTTGAGTGGTCATCCTGATAGTTGCTTCTAGTTGTGCCTGGGAGAAAAGCTAGACACAGTCGTTGCTGGGAGGCTCTGTGTCTGTCCGTGCAGCAGTACCTGAGGCCATCCCTGGCAGCGTTCCGAGGGGGAAGAGAAATAGGTCACTCTGCTGTAACAATACACCATTAGTGATAGATATTTACTGGGCACCCACTAGGTGCCTGTGCTGTTGCCAGGTAGGTAGGAAGACACTGCCTTTGTTCAGCTTGACCTGGGACGGGAGAGCCAGACATCGGGCAAATAGTCACACAAATCACTGCAAAGGAGGAAAACATGGCACCAAACAGGGAGCCGTGGTTGAGTCTGGAGGATCAGGGAAGATGGCTCTGGGAGGACTGGTGGTCTTTAAGCTGAGACCCAAAAGGTAAACAGGAGTTAACCAACAAATGGAGGTGAAAGGTGTGGAGAGTAATGCCGGAGACTCCTTAATTTGAAGGTAGTTATGATCACAAAGGCATTTACAGTCAGTTTTCTTTTTATAAAGCTGGACAGTGCAGAATTATCACCTAATTTAAACTGAATCTGTTTACCACAGTAATTATGCAATCTCTTGCAATATTCATGTTTACAGGCTGTCTCTCTAGCTGTAACCTTTTTGAGGGGCAAGATTGAGTCTGTTCTATTAGTGGTCCTAGTCCCAGCCTCAAGCCCGCTCCATGTGTACGGAATAGGTGAATGCATATGCCAGGCAGTAGTGCTGGGCCCAATCAGGCATTCCCAATTCATTGGCAGGACATCCTTAGCTGGGGAGAGGACTTTCATCACCCAGCATCATAGCTGGGGAAACGGGCTTAGACAGGCAGAGGCACTTTCCCCATGGTCTTGGGACTCCAGCCTAGGTCTGACACCAAGGCTCCCGCTCTTAATCGCCCCCCTTCCTGTTTATATCATATTATTTGAGGTCGTGGGGACCATCATTCTCTCTCCTTGACGAATCTTCGGATATTATTTTAACCTACAGTTTCAGTGACCTTTTCACCTAACATTGTTTGATGGGCTATGGTATAAATGCATTTTGAATGAAGTTGGAGGAGAGGTTCTGGACAAGACTGGAATAACCTCCCATTGCTTTAATCATACAGTATTATAGTTTGTCTATGGCCATACCACCCTGAATGCATCTGATCTCATAAGTATTATATTTTACTTATTTACTTAAATTAATAAAGTTAATTTTTTAGAGCAGTTTTAGGTTCCCAGCAAAATTGAATGGAAAGTATAGAGAGTTGCCATATACTCCCCACCCCCACACACATACAACCTCCCCCACCATCAACATCCCACACCATAGCAGCACATTTGTTAAAATTGACAAACCCACATGGACAGTGACAATAATTATCATGAAAAGTCCATAGTTTACATGAGGGTTCACTCTTTGTGTTCACATTCTATAGGTTTGGACAAATGTATAATGATATGTATCCACCACTGTAGTTATCATACAGAGTAGTTTTTCTGCCCTAAAAATCCTTTGTGCTTTGCTTACTTGTCCCAACCTCTAGCAACCACTGACTCTTTATTGTCTCAGTTGTTTTGCCTTTTCCAGAATGTCATACAATTGGAATAATACAGTATATACCCTTTTCAGATTTGTTTTTCTTTTTACTGAGTAATATGTAGCTTTCTCATTGCCTTTCCATGGCTTGATAGCTCTTTTCTGTTTGTCACTGAATAATATTTCACTGTCTGGATGTACCACAGTTCATCCATCCACTTACTGAAGGACATCTTGGTTGTTTCCAGGTTTTGGCAATTACGAATAAAGCTGCACTGCCATAAACATCTGTGTGCAGGTTTTTGTGTGGACATTAAGTTTTTAACTCCTTTGGGTAAATACCAGGGATCACGATTGCTGCATTGTATGGTAAAAGTATGCTTAGTTTTGTAAGAAGTCACAAAACAGTCTTCCAAAGTGGCTCTACCATTTTCCATTCCCACCAGCAATAAATGAGGGTTCCTGTTGGTCCACATCCTTACCAGCATTTGGTGCTGTCAGCATTCTGGATTTTGACTATTCTAGTAGGCGTGTAGTGTTATCTCACTGTTTTAGTTTCACATTTCCCTGATGACATATGCTGTGGACCATCTTTTCAAATGTTGATATGCCATCTGTATATCTTCTTTGAGGTGTCTATTAACGTTTCTGGCCCATTTTTTAAATGGGTTGTTCATGCTCTCATTGAATTTTAAGAGTTCTTTGTGTATTTTGGATAACAGTATTTTATCTGATAAGTCTTTTGCAAATATTTTCTCCCAGACTGCGGCTTATCTTTCGATCATCTTGTCAGTGTCTTTTACAGAGCAGATTTTTGTTGTTGTTTTTGATGAAGTCTAGCATGTCAATTCTTTCTTTACTGGATTGTGCCTTTAGTATTGCATCTGAGAAGTCATCACCAAACCCAAGGTCATCTAATTTTTTTTCCTATGCTATCTTTTAGGAGTTTCATAGTTTTGCATTTTACATTTAGCCTGTGATCCATTTGCAGTTAATTTTTGTGAAGGGTGTAAGGTCTAGTTCTAGATTAATTTTTCTTTTCCAATGAATATCTAGTTGTTAAAGCACTATTTGTTGAGTAGACTGTCTTTTCTCTGTTTATTGCCTTTCCTCCTTCATCAAAGGTCAGTTGACTGTATTTATGTGGGTTTATTTCTGGGCTCTCCTTTCTGTTCCATTGATCTATTGTCACTATTTTTTCACCAATGCCTCTGTCTTATTTACTGAAGCTTTATAGTGTGTCCTCAAGTCAAGTAGTTATAATCCTCCAAAATTCTTTTCCTTCAATATTATGTTGGCTATTCTAGGTCTTTTGCTTCTCCATATAAACTTTAGAATTAGTTTGTCAATATCCACAAAATAACTTCCTGGAGTTTTGATCAGAACTGCATTGAATCAAGTTGGAAAGAACTCACATCTTGACCTGATTGAGTCTTCCCATCCATGAACAAGAATATCTCTCAATTTATGTGGTTCTTTGATTTATTTCATTAGAGTCTTACAGTTTTCTTCATACAGATCTTCTACATATTTTGTTAGATTTATGCCTATTTCATTTTTCAGATACTAGTGTAAATGGCATCATTTTTACTTGTGCATTGTTAACGTACAAGAAAATGTTCAATTTTTTTTGTATTAACTCTTATCCTGCAACCCTGCTATAATCACTTATTATAATAGTTCAAAGGGTTTTTTTTTTTTTTGGTTGATTCTTTCAGATTTTCCACATAGATAATCATGTGACGCGTGAGAAAAAGGCAGTTTTGTTTCTTCCTTCCCAATCTGTACAATTTTTATTTCCTTTTCTTGTCTTATTGCATTAGTTAGGACTTTTGAATATGATCTTGAAAAGCAGTGGTGAGGAGGAATATCCCTGCCTTGTTCCTGACCTCAGTGAGAAGCTCATTAAGTGTGATGGCAGCTGTAGGTTTTTTGGTAGATATTCTGTACCAAGTCGATGAAGTCCCCCTCCCTCTATTCCTACTTAAGAGTTTCTTTTAAAAAATCATGAGTAGGTGTTGGATTTTGTAAAAATGCTGTTTTTGTATCTATTATTATTATATATTTTTTCTTTTTTAGCCTATTGATGTGTTAGATTATATTAATTGATTTTTGAATGTTGAACAAGAATTGCATACCTGGGATAAATTCCACTTGATTGTGGTGTATAATTCTTTTTTTTTGTACATTGTTAGATTAATTTGCTAATATTTGTTGAGAATTTTTGTATCCATGTTCATGAGATATTGATCTGTAGTTTTCTTGTCTTTGTCTGATTTGGGTATTAGGATAATGCTGCCTCATAGAATGTGTTAGAAAATATTCCCTTCTGTTTCTATTTCCTGAAAGAGATTGTTGAGAATTGGTATAATTTCTTCCTTAAAATGTTTAATAGAGTTTTCCAGTGAATCGATCTGGGCTTGGTGTTCTCTGTTTTGAAAGGTTATTAATTATTAATTCACTGTATTTAGTAGCTATGGGCCTATTCAGATTTTCTATTTCTTCTTGTGTGAGTTTTGGCAGCTTATGTCTCTCAAGCTTGTGTCTTTGAAGGGATTGGTCCATTTCATCTAAGTTATCAAATTTGTGAGCATAGAGTTGTTCATAGTATTCCTTTGTCCTTTTTTTTTTATCCCGAGATGGAGTCTTGCTCTGTTGCCCAGGCTGGAGTGCAGTGGGAGGATCTCAGCTCACTGCAACCTCTACCTCCTGGGTTCAAGTGATTCCCCTGTCTCAGCCTCCCCAGTAGCTGGGATTACAGGCACATGCCACCATGCCCAGCTAATTTTTGTAGTTTTAGTAGAGATGGGGTTTCACCATGTTGGCCAGGCTGGTCTCGAACTCCTGACCTCATGATCCACCTGCCTTGGCCTCCCAAAGTGTTGGGATTACAGGCGTGAGCCACCGTGCCCAGCCTCCTTTGTCCATTTAATGTCCATGGGATCTATAGTGTTATCTCCTCTTTCATTTCTGGTATTTATAATTTGTTAGATTTTTTCTTAGCCTGGCTAGAGTTTATTAATTTTCTTTTTTTATTTAAAGAACCTGCTTTTGGTTTCATTGGTCTTCTCTATGGATTTCCTGTTTTCACACATTGATTTCTGCTCTAATTTTTATTTTTCTTCTGCTTATTTTGGATTTAATTTGCCCTTGTTTTTCATCAGTTTCCTCAGGTGAAAGCTTGGATTAATGATTTTAGATAGTTGTTCTAATATATATAAATATATAAAGTGTTATAAATTTTCATCTAAGTACTATTTTGCAGCATCACACAAATTTTGATGTTTTCATTTTCATTTAGTTGAAAATATTTTAAAATTTTCCTCAATTTTTTTCTTTGACCCATGTGTCATTTCAAAGTGTTTTTTAAGTCTCCAAGTATTTGAGAATTTTTTATTCTTTTTGTGGAAAAAAAAAAAACAGACCTTGCATGCTTTCTCTTCTTTTAAATTTGTTAAAATGTGTTTTATGGCCAAATGTGGTCTGTCTTGGTGAATGTTCTAGGTGAGCTTGAGAGGAATGTGTAATCTACTGTTGTAGGTTGTGTAGTACTATAGATGTCAATTATATCATGTGATTGATGGTGTTGTTGAGTTCAACTATGTCTTGTTGAGTTCATCTATGTCTTTACTGATTTTCTACCTGCTCTATTTGTCCATTTATCATAGAGAAGTGTTGAAGTCTCCAACTATAATAATGAAGTCATCTGTTCCTTCTTGCAGTTCTATCAGTTTTTGCCTCACATATTTTGGTTTTGTTTTTAAGCACATACACATTAAAAATTGTTATGTCTTCTTGGAATACTGACTTTATCATTGTGTAATGTTCCCCTCTGTCTCTGATAACTTTCCTTGCTTTGAAGTTTGCTCTGCCTGAAATGAAATTAGCTACTCCCTCTTTCTTTTGGTTAGTGTTAGCATGGTATATCTTTTTCCATCCCTTTACGTTTAATCTATATGTGTCTTTATGTTTAAAGTGGGTTTCTTGTAGACAACATATAGTTGTCTTGTTTTTTTATCCACTCTGACAATCTCTTTTAGCTAATGCCTTTAGACCATTGATGTTTGGAGTGATTACTGACATAAATAAATATTTACCATATTTGTTACTGTTTCCTATTTGTTGTCCTTTTTCTTTGTTCCTATTTTTCTCTTGCACTCTTTTTCTGCCCCTTGTAGGTTTCTTGTTTGTTTGTTTATGTTGCTATGTTGCCCAGGCTGTTCTCAAACTCCTGAGCCTGAAGCAATCCTCCTGCTTCAGCCTCCTGAATAGCTGGGATTATAGGTCTATGCCACTGTGTTCAGCTCTGCCCTTTGTAGTTTTAATTGAGAATATTATTTCATTTTCTCTCCTTTCTTAGCATATTAGTTATACGTCTTCACTTTTTTTTTAGTGGTTGCCCTTGAGTTTGCAATACACATTTACAACTAATCCAGCTCCACTTTCATATAACACTATATTATTTCATGGGTAGTACACATATCTCATAATAAGAAAATAATTCTAATCCCTCACTCCCATTTCTTGTATCATGCTGTCATTAATTTCATTTACATATAGCTTACATAAGTGTGTGTATGTGTGTGTATATGTATATATATATATCTTCAAATACATTGTTGCTATTATTTTTTGAACAAACTTGTTAGATCAAATAAGAAAAGTAAAAGTTTTTATTCTATCTTTTCTTATTAATTATCTGATGCTCTTCCTTTCTTTACATAAATCTGAGTTTCTGATATATAATTTTCCTTTTCTGAAGAACTTCCTTTAACACTTCTTTCAAGGCAGGTCTACTGGCAACAGATTGCCTCAATTTTTGTCTGATAAACGTTTTTTTTTTTCTCCTTCATTTTTAAAGGATAATTTTGCAGGATATAGAATTCTAGGTTGGTGGATTTTTTTTCTCTCAACACGTTAAATATTTTACTTCACACTCTTGTTGCTTGTATTGTTTCTGAAGAGAAGCTGGATGTAATGCTTATCTTTGCTATCTATAGGTTTTCCCTTTGGCTTCTTCCAAGATTTTTGTCTTTATTTTTGCTTTTCTCAAGTTTAAATATGATATGCCTAGGTGTCTGTATTTTATATTTTGGCATTTATTCTTCTTTAACCTCCCTGGATCTGTGGTTTGGTGTCCGATAATAACTAGGGGAAATACTCAGTCATTATTGCTTCAAATACTGCCTATGTTCCTTTCTTTGTTCTCCTTCTGGTATTCTCATTAAGTGTATTTACAACTTTTGTAGTTGTCTCACCACTCTGGACTATTATATTTTTATACATCTTTTTTCTATTTGTGTTTTGGTTTCAAAAGTTTCTAATGTTATATCCTCAAGCTCAGAGGTTCCTTCCTCATCTGTGCCCAGTCTAATAAGGAACCTATGAAAGGCAAACTTCATTTCTTTTGGTGTTTTGATATCTAACATTTAAAAAATTCTTTTTTTAGAATTTCAATTTCTTTGCTTTACATTATTCTTCTATTCTTACATGTTGTCTCCTTTTTATTTTAAAGCCATTATTAATCATAGTTTTAAAAAAATTCCTTGTCTGAGCAAATGCTGAGAGACTTTGTCACCACCAGGCCTGCCCTAAAAGAGCTCCTGAAGGAAGCACTAAACATGGAAAGAAACAACTGGTACCAGCCACTGCAAAATCATGCCAAATTGTAAAGACCATTGAGGCTAGGAAGAAACTGCATCAACTAACGAGCAAAATAACCAGCTAACATCTAAATGACAGGATCAAATTCACACATAACAATATTAACTTTAAATGTAAATGGACTAAATGCTCCAATTAGAAGACACAGACGGGCAAATTGGATAAAGAGTCAAGACCCATCAGTGTGCTGTATTCAGGAAACCCATCTCACGTGCAGAGACACACATAGGCTCAAAATAGAAGGATGGAGGAAGATCTACAAAGCAAAGGGAAAACAAAAAAAGGCAGGGGTTGCAACCCTAGTCTCTGATAAACGAGACTTTAAACCAACAAAGATCAAAAGAGACAAAGAAGGCCATTACATAATGGTAAAGGGATCAATTCAACAAGAAGAGCTAACTATCCTAAATATATATGCACCCAATACAGGAGTACCCAGTTTCATAAAGCAAGTCCTGAGTGACCTACAAAGAGACTTAAACTCCCACACAATAATAATGGGAGACTTTAACACCCCACTGTCAACATTAGACAGATCAATGAGACAGAAAGTTAACAAGGATACACAGGAATTGAACTCAGCTCTGCACCAAGCAGACCTAATAGACATCTATAGAACTCTCCACCCCAAATCAAAAGAATATACATTTTTTTCAGCACTGCACCACACCTATTCCAAAATTGACCGCACAGTTGGAAGTAAAGCTCTCCTCAGCAAATGTAAAAGAACAGAAATTATCACAAACTCTCTCTCAGACCACAGAGCAATCAAACTAGAACTCAGGATTAAGAAACTCACTCAAAACCGTTCAACTACATGGAAACTGAACAACCTGCTCCTGAATGACTACTGGGTACATAACGAAATGAAGGCAGAAATAAAGATGTTCTTTGAAACCAACGAGAACAAAGACACAACATACCAGAATCTCTGGGACACATTCAAAGCAGTGTGTAGAGGGAAATTTATAGCACTAAATGCCCACAACAGAAAGCAGGAAAGATCCAAAATTGACACCCTAACATCACAATTAAAAGAACTAGAGAAGCAAGAGCAAACACAATCAAAAGCTAGCAGAAGGCAAGAAATAACTAAAATCAGAGCAGAACTGATGGAAATAGAGACACAAAAGACCCTTCAAAAAAGTAATGAATCCAGGAGCTGGTTTTTTGAAAGGATCAACAAAATTGATAGACCACTAGCAAGACTAATAAAGAAGAAAAGAGAGAAGAATCAAATAGACGTAATAAAAAATGATAAAGGGGATATCACCACCGATCCCACAGAAATACAAACTACCATCAGAGAATACTACAAACATCTCTACGCAAATAAACTAGAAAATCTAGAAGAAATGGATAAATTCCTGGACACATACACCCTCCCAAGACTAAACCAGGAAGAAGTTGAATCTCTGAATAGACCAATAACAGGCTCTGAAATTGTGGCAATAATCAATAGCTTACCAACCAAAAAGAGTCCAGGACCAGATGGATTCACAGTCGAATTCTACCAGAGGTACAAGGAGGAATTGGTACCATTCCTTCTGAAACTATTCCAATCAATAGAAAAAGAGGGAATCCTCCCTAACTCATTTTATGAGGCCAGCATCATCCTGATAGCAAAGCTGGGCAGAGACACAACAAAAAAAGAGAATTTTAGACCAATATCCTTGATGAACATTGATGCAAAAATCCTCAATAAAATACTGGCAAACTAAATCCAGCAGCACATCAATAAGCTTATCCACCATGATCAAGTGGGTTTCATCCCTGGGATGCAAGGCTGGTTCAATATACGCAAATCAATAAATGTAATCCAGCATATAAACAGAACCAAAGACAAAAACCACATGCTTATCTCAATAGATGCAGAAAAGGCCTTTGACAAAATTCAACAACACTTCATGCTAAAAACTCTCAATCAATTAGGTATTGATGGGATGTATCTCAAAATAATAAGAGCTATCTGTGACAAACCCACAGCCAATATCACTGAATGGGCAAAAACTGGAAGCATTCCCTTTGAAAACTGGCACAAGACAGAGATGCCCTCTCTCACCACTCCTATTCAACATAGTGTTGGAAGTTCTGGCCAGGGCAATTAGGCGGGAGAAGGAAATAAAGGGTATTCAATTAGGAAAAGAAGAAGTCAAATTGTCCCTGTTTGGAGATGACATGATTGTATATCTAGAAAACCCCATCGTCTCAGACCAAAATCTCCTTAAGCTGGTAAGCAACTTCAGCAAAGTCTCAGGATACAAAATCAATGTACAAAAATCACAAGCATTTTTATACACCAATAACAGGCAAACAGAAAGTCAAATCATGAGTGAACTCCCATTCACAATTGCTTCAAAGAGAATAAAATACCTAGGAATCCACCTTACAAGGGATGTGAAGGACCTCTTCAAGGAGAACTACAAACCACTGCTCAATGAAATAAAAGAGGATACAAACAAATGGAAGAACATTCCATGCTCATGGGTAGGAAGAATCAATATCGTGAAAATGGCCATACTGCCCAAGGTAATTTGTAGATTCAGTGCCATCCCCATCAAGCTACCAATGACTTTCTTCACAGAATTGGAAAAATCTACTTTAAAGTTCATATGGAACCAAAAAAGAGCCCGCATCACCAAGTCAATCTTAAGCCAAAAGAACAAAGCTGGAGGCATCACGCTACCTGACTTCAAACTATACTACAAGGCTACAGTAATCAAAACAGCATGGTACTGGTACCAAAACAGAGATATAGATCAATGGAACAGAACAGAGCCCTCAGAAATAATGCCACATATCTACAACAATCTGATCTTTGACAAACTTGAGAAAAATAAGCAATGGTGAAAGGATTCCCTATTTAATAAATGGTGCTGGGAAAACCGGCTAGCCATATGTAGAAAGCTGAAACTGGATTCCTTCCTTACACCTTATACAAAAATTAATTCAAGATGGATTAAAGATTTAAACGTTAGACCTAAAACCATAAAAACCCTAGAAGAAAACCTAGGCATTACCATTCAGGACATAGGCATGGGCAAGGACTTCATGTCTCAAACACCAAAAGCAATGGCAACAAAAGCCAAAATTGACAAATGGGATCTCATTAAACTAAAGAGCTTCTGCACAGCAAAAGAAACTACCATCAGAGCGAACAGGAAATCTACAAAATGGGAGAAAATTTTCACAACCTACTCATCTGACAAGGGGCTAATATCCATAATCTACAATGAACTCAAACAAATTTACAAGAAAAAAGCAACCCCATCAAAAAGTGTGCGAAGGACATGAACAGACACTTCTCAAAAGAAGACATTTATGCAGCCAAAAAACACATGAAAAAATGCTCACCATCACTGGCCATCAGAGAAATGCAAATCAAAACCACAATGAGATACCATCTCACACCAGTTAGAATGGCAATCATTAAAAAGTCAGGAAACAACAGGTGCTGGAGAGGATGTGGAGAAATAGGAACACTTTTACACTGTTGGTGGGACTGTAAACTAGTTCAACCATTGTGGAAGTCAGTGTGGCGATTCTTCAGGGATCTAGAACTACAAATACCATTTGACCCAGCCATCCCATTACTGGGTATATACCCAAAGGACTATAAATCATGCTGCTATAAAGACACATGCACACATATGTTTATTGCGGCACTATTCACAATAGCAAAGACTTGGAACCAAGCCAAATGTCCAACAATGATAGACTGGATTAAGAAAATGTGGCACATATACACCATGGAATACTATGCAGCCATAAAAAATGATGAGTTCATGTCCTTTGTAGGGACATGGATGAAACTGGAAACCATCATTCTCAGTAAATTATCGCAAGAACAAAAAACCAAACACTGCATATTCTCACTCATAGGTGGGAATTGAACAATGAGAACACATGGACACATGAAGGGGAACATCACACTCTGGGAACTGTTGTGGGGTGGGGGAAAGGATAGCATGAGGAGATACACCTAATGCTAAATGACGAGTTAATGGGTGCAGCACACCAGCATGGCATATGTATACATATGTAACTAACCTGCACATTGTGCACATGTACCCTAAAACTTAAAGTATAATTAAAAAAAAATTCCTTGCCTGATAATTCTCACATCATGGCCATCTATGACTCTGGTTTCTTGCTTGTTCAGTCTTTTCAAACTGTGTTTTTTGCCTTTTAGTGTGCTTTGTAATTTTTTGTTGAAAGGTAGGCATGATGCGCTGGATAAAAGGAACTGTGGTAGATGGGCCTTTAGTTAATATGGTGGTGAGGTATGGGAGAAGGGGAATTGTTCTGTAGCCCTGTGATTAGGTCTCAGCTATTTTTTAGCCTCTGTGCCTGGACTGTAAACTTCACTAGTGCTTCTCAGTCCTACTTCCCCCTTAGGTGGGGCGGGATGGCTACAGGGACTGGAGGTAGATATTTCCCTTCCTCCAGGTAGATTGGGCTCTGATAAAAGCCCTCAGGTTAGGCTCTGGTAAGTTAATTCTCATGATAGTAAGCCATATTAAGAACAGAATGGTTTGGCATAGTTCAAAATGGATTCTTTTCCCTTCCCCTTGCCAAAAGCACAAGGTGACTTTTCTCCAGTATTCACTGTGAGGACCTGATAGAGACCCTGGAGATAATAAAACATAAATGGTACACCTCTACCCTCTACCCCCTTCCATGACTAAGTCTTCCTGGATTTTTTAACTGTTAGATTTTTCCACACTGAGCCTCCAGCAATTTGTCAATTAGAGCTTATGTTTTCTTACCCCAGCACTGCTTCCTGCAGAAGTTTCTGGTTGTGGGTTTTTGCTCTAGTAAGCTGTGATGCTCTATATTCACCTGACCATTTTTGGAGCAGCATTTAGCCCTGTGAGCTCACTTCTCTGACAAATCTAAGAGGAGTTGTTGTCTTTCTGGTTTGTTCAGCTTCTTCCTTGTTTTTCTGTTTTATTTTTTAATTCCATTATTTTCTTTGTTCCAAGGTAAAGGAAGCACCTGATGAGGCTGAAGTGGTGTTCACGGCACATTGCAAAGCAACGGTGTCCTTCCAGGTGAGCGGGGACTCCTGGCGGGAGCAGAAGGAGAGGCGAGCAGCCATGATGGTGGGAATTCTGATTGGCGTGTTTGTGCTGTGCTGGATCCCCTTCTTCCTGACGGAACTCATCAGCCCACTCTGTGCCTGCAGCCTGCCCCCCATCTGGAAAAGCATATTTCTGTGGCTTGGCTACTCCAATTCTTTCTTCAACCCCCTGATTTACACAGCTTTTAACAAGAACTACAACAATGCCTTCAAGAGCCTCTTTACTAAGCAGAGATGAACACAGGGGTTAGAGAGACATGGGTAGATTTTAAGGAGGAAGGAACTTGGACTTTTTCGTCAGTGATCTGAGATTCTTCCCTCCACAGCTGAGTGCTAATGCTGTATTGAGAGTTATACCATTGGGCCTGGACTGTAGAAGCAGCAGAGCCAAGGTTCTCAAGAAAGACAGCAAAGGTCTGGCAGATGTTGTAACTATGCCTTCTTCCCATGTGCATGGCAGACATTGCCAATTGGTCATGGCTTGGCTCCCCACTGAGCAGGAACTTGGTCTCAGAATCCTTTCCAGGACAGCACCCTAGGCAGCTACTGTTGATTATTTAAAATTGATGCAAGACTTGAAGCTGATTTGTTTTTCCTTTGTCAATAGTTTATTCCTCAGAAGGGGGATTCTCTGCACAGGGCCCCAGTGATCTGTTTGGTGGCCCACTCAGGAGACTTTCTCCTTTGTGAAAGAGCCCTCTCTACATCCTTTATTCACCGTACTTAGCTTATCTTCCTCAGCCTCTTACGCTTCCCCAACAGGATAGTGTATCCCAATTTGTGAGAAGATGAGGATGCCTGAAGTTTTGTCTTAAAAAAAAGGTGTTCAGTGCAAACCATACCTACTGAATCAGGCTCTCAAAGAAGAGGTCTGGTAATCCATCTCTTCAGTTGTCTAGATGGCTTTCTTTTCATCAGTGAGAGATACTTCTGGATATTCAGGTTGCTCTTTAGGCCAACTAAATTAGTATTTCTGGGAGGTGAAACCCCAGGCAACAGTGTTTTTTAAAGCTTGCCAGGCAATTCATTTCTAGGCTCAGAATCATTCTTATGGTATACACACACCTGCATATGACACTGAGATGGGAAAAAATGATGCCTATTGTAGGATTCAAAACCAAAAACCCCTCACCCCCACCCAAAACTGCCATAGTGACTCATGGCCTTCCAGAAAATGTTAAATGTGGCCCAGATGTATAGGAATCCAAAGGATGGACTACATCATCTTGGCCACAGTCTACCTGATTTTGGAAGCAGAATAGCTGTCTATTGATTAGGCTTTTTAATTTGCAAAAAAGGGTCTGCTCCACCATTGTTTCATTTGATGTCTGAGTTATATAGATATTCTTCACCCTTACACTAAAGAGTACCAGTATTTTAAGGTTTATTAGAGAATACAGGCCCACAGTCCCTTTTCCAAAGCCTTTGGGACCAGATGTGTTTCAGAATCCAGAATTACTTTTTGGGTTTAAAAAGCCATATATAGTATGTAGACATGTATGGTATAGTCCGTAAGTTAGAAAACACCCTTGACTGGGTCTAGGACAGCAGCATGTAATCAGTAATTTGAGTATTTCTGCAGTAAGATGTATGAATATATACATTGTGAGAAAAGGACTAGAAATAGCCTCATATTAGTGCAGGTCATTTGAGTCAGATCAATTGTGTTGTAAAATGAGTTACACACACTTGTTTTCTCAACTCTTTGTATTTTCGCAATTGTGGATCATGGACCAGTATAACCGCAAGCCATATACAGTTCAGCCCTGATAGGTGCCAACCCTACTAAATGGAGGAATTCTGAAGAGAGTCTGGGAAGAATATATGGTCCAACCATTCCATTGTTGCTAGAGATTGGACATCATGAAGGTAATTAGTATGGTACCCTGGATGGCCTTCTTGGAGTTGTGTTTTGGAATTCTGTTCTTTTCATTGGAAGATACAGGAAACATTCTATATATATATATATATATACACATACATACACACACACATATATATATACACATATATATATACATATATATGTGTATATATATGTATATATATATACTTTAAGTTCTAGGGTACATGTGCACAACATGCAGGTTTGTTACATATGTATACATGTGCCATGTTGGTGTGCTGCGCCCATTAAGTGTCACTTACATTGGGCGTATCTCCTAATGCTTTCCCTCCCCCCTCCCCCCACCCCACAACAGGCCCTGGCGTGTGATGTTCCCCTTCTTGTGTCCAAGTGTTCTCATTGTTCAATTCCCACCTATGAATGAGAATATGCGGTGTTTGGTTTTTTGTCCTTGTAATAGTTTGCTGAGAATGATGGTTTCCACCTTCATCCATGTCCCTACAAAGGAAATGAACTCATCCCTTTTTATGGCTGCATAGTATTCCATGGTGTATATGTGCCACATTTTCTTAATCCAGTCTATCATTGTTGGACATTTGGCTTGGTTCCAAGTCTTTGCTATTGTGAATAGTGCCGCAATAAACATACGTGTGCATGTGTCTTTATAGCAGCCATGATTTATAATCCTTTGGGTATATACCCAGTAATGGGATGGCTGGGTCAAATGGTATTTGTAGTTCTAGATCCTTGAGGAGTCGCCACACTGTCTTCCACAATGGTTGAACTAGTTTACAGTCCCACCAACAGTGTAAAAGTGTTCCTATTTCTCCATATCCTCTCCAGCACCTGTTGTTTCCTGACTTTTTAATGATTGCCATTCTAACTGGTGTGAGATGGTATCTCATTGTGGTTTTGATTTGCATTTCTCTGATGGCCAGTGATGGTGAGCATTTTTTCATGTGTTTTTTGGCTGCATAAATGTCTTCTTTTGAGAAGTGTCTGTTCATATCCTTTGCCCACTTTTTGATGGGGTTGCTTTTTTCTTGTAAATTTGTTTGAGTTCATTGTAGATTCTGGATATTAGCCCTTTGTCAGATGAGTAGAGTGCAAAAATTTTCTCCCATTCTTTAGGTTGCCTGTTCACTCTGATGGTAGTTTCTTTTGCTGTGCAGAAGCTCTTTAGTTTAATGAGATCCCATTTGTCAATTTTGGCTTTTGTTGCCATTGCTTTTGGTGTTTGAGACATGAAGTCCTTGCCCATGCCTGTGTCCTGAATGGTATTACCTAGGTTTTCTTCAAGGGATTTTATGGTTTTAGGTCTAACATTTAAGTCTTTAATCCATCTTGAATTAATATATTTATTTATTTATTTATTTTTGAGATGGAGTCTCACTCTGTTGCCCATGCTGGAGTGCAATGGTGCGATCTTGGCTCACTGCAAGCTACGCCTTCCGGGTTCAAGCCATTCTCCTGCCTCAGCCTCCCAAGCAGCTGGGACTACAGGTGCCCGCCACCACGTCTGGCTAATTTTTTGTATTTTTAGTAGAGGCAGCGTTTCACCGTGTTAGCCAGGATGGTCTCAATCTCCTGACCTTGTGATCCGCTTGCCTCAGCCTCCCAAAGTGCTGGGATTAGAGGCGTGAACCACTGAGCCTGGCCCTGAATTAATTTTTGTATAAGGTATAAGGAAGGGATCCAGTTTCAGCTTTCTACATATGGCTAGCCGGTTTTCCCAGCATCATTTATTAAATAGGGACTCCTTTCCCCATTTCTTGTTTTTGTCAGGTTTGTCAAAGATCAGATTGTTGTAGATGTGTGGTATTATTTCTGAGGGCTCTGTTCGGTTCCATTGGTCTATATCTCTGTTTTGGTACCAGTACCATGCTGTTTTGGATACTGTAGCCTTGTAGTATAGTTTGAAGTCAGGTAGCATGATGCCTCCAGCTTTGTTCTTTTAGCTTAGGACTGTCTTGGCAATGTGGGCTCTTTTTTGGTTCCATATGAGCTTTAAAGTAGCTTTATGCAATTCTGTGGAGAAAGTCATTGGTAGCTTGATGGGGATGGCATTGAATCTATAAACTACCTTGGGCAGTATGGCCATTTTCACGATACTGATTCTTCCTACCCATGAGCATGGAATGTTGTTCCATTTGTTTGTATCCTCTTTTATTTCATTGAGCAGTGGTTTGTAGTTCTCCTTGAAGAGGTCCTTCATCTCCCTTGTAAGTTGGATTCCTAGGCATTTTATTCTCTTTGAAGCAACTGTGAATGGGAGTTCACTCATGATTTGGCTCTCTGTTTGTCTGTTATTGGTGTATAAGAATGTTTGTGATTTTTGCACATTGATGTTGTATCCTGAGACTTTGCTGAAGTCGCTTACCAGCTTAAGGAGATTTTGGGCAGAGATGATGGGGTTTTCTAGATATACAATCATGTCATCTGCAAACAGGGACAATTTGACTTCCTCTTTTCCTAATTGAATACCCTTTATTTCTTTCTCCTGCCTGATTGCCCTGGCCAGAACTTCCAACACTATGTTGGAGTGGTGAGAGAGGGCACCCCTGTCTTGTGCCAGTTTTCAAAGGGAATGCTTCCAGTTTTTGCCCATTTAGTATGATATTGGCTGTGAATTTGTCATAAATAACTCTCATTATTTTGAGATACGTCCCATCAATACCTAATTTACTGAGAGTTTTTAGCATGAAGTGTTGTTGAATTTTGTCAAAGGCCTTTTCTGCATCTATTGAGATAATCATGTGGTTTTTGTCTTTGGTTCTGTTTACATGCTGGATTATATTGATTTGCATATGTTGAACCAGCCTTGCATCCCAGGGATGAAGCCCACTTGATCATGGTGGATAAGCTTATTGAAGTGCTGCTGGATTTGGTTTGCCAGCATTTTATTGAGGATTTTTGCATCGATGTTCATCAGGGATATTGGTCTAAAATTCTCTTTTTTTGTTGTGTCTCTGCCAGGCTTTGGTATCAGGATGATGCTGGCCTCATAAAATGAGTTAGGGAGGATTCCCTCTTTTTTCTATCAATTGGAATAGTTCTTATAAAACTCATCAGTGCATTTCATATAAGGATGCAGTTAATTATCCTATTGCATTCTTTGTGAAGACATGTTTTCTTTTCATGATAATGAGGATTATTAATTGACTGTGTTTATGTTTTCATTTTGAGGAAGAAGAAGCACAGAACCAAATTGTTGGCTTAACTCTGGAATTTATATAAAACCCAGTAGCCTGCTTATTTGTGTATAATGTTTCCAGCCAGTCTATAATTCCAATTTTAGATTTCCCTATCCTAGTGTTTTATGTTCAGTTTATAGTTTACTGTTATTCTGCATGTTTCCTACAAGCCACCTCAAATCTCGTGAATTAAGGCAGGGAAGAAAGTAATAAGCAGGTGACTGACAACCTGTAGGAGGTGGAACAGGTAAGGTATGTAGTTACGAGTCAAATTATATATTCAGTCATCCATCATTGTTGTCTTTTAAGGGTCAGAGCTCAATCTTGGGTCTACTGAGGATTTTCCCTCATTGACTGAAAGATAATAGGGGGTATTAATAATCTCCCCACCTCTCCCTTCATAAAATGCACATTCAGGAATACATTTTTAAAAGTAGTGTTTATTGAGCCCCCATCATGCACAGCTGTTGTACTGGGTTTTATATACAAATGATCACTTACTCCTGCATTCACTCTGTAAGGTAAATATAGTCCTCACTTAACTATATTCTAAGAGGGTGAGTAGGCTGCCCATGGTCACATAGTGAGTACATAGCAGGCAGGTATTTGGACTCAAGTCTGCCTGTTTCCAAACATGAGAAAGATGAAAGGAACCTAATAGAAACCTGACTAGACTCCATGTTTCAACTTTGGCTTGCATTTTGCAGCATGAGATCTGCATGAACCTTTGCAGACTACACCTGATATAGTGAATCCTCTTGCATGATTCTAGTTGGATTCCAGGAAGAAGGTTTCAAGGAGAGTCTGGGTATCGTTGGGTAGGCACCTATAGAATTTTTTGGTTTACTCTTGCTATTGGATAGTGTGCTTTTAATGTTTATTTGGCAGGGGTTTGACTTAACGTGCTCTCATTGTGGAAGCATCTCAGGCAGACGGAATCACATGTATGTTTAGATTTCCTTAAAAGAAAACTATTTGCTTGCTAAGTTGGTGGCAACTTCTGCTGGACATTTTAGGCTTCAAACTTTTCTTCAGTTAGTAAAGCCTTCTTCAACTGCTCACAATAATTACAAAATGTTGAATTCCTGAAACGGATCAGTTGATGATTGACTTTATGCAAGGATGCACTTATGATTCCTTTTAATTCAGAGTATTCAGAATGGAATTCTATTGACAAAAACACATCTGATTTCCAGTTAACATTCTAGGAACATCCTTGGTAAGTGTAATGTCTCTGTCTTATCTCTGTCTCCTCTGCCTATAGAACATGACTAAGATGGAGTTGGGAGGCTGTTAGAGGAATTCATCTCTTTCCTGTGTGGATTTATTTTCTAAGGTATCACAATTTAATTTCACAAAGTTCCAGGTCTGTAGGATGGATGTGGCTAATGGAAGAGTTTTATTAATTTGGTCATGTATAATGTATAAAGTATGCTACTTTTCTCCCTTTGAATATGCCCTCCATGTTTCTTTTTTTTTTTTTTTTTTTTTATTATACTCTAAGTTTTAGGGTACATGTGCACATTGTGCAGGTTAGTTACATATGTATACATGTGCCATGCTGGTGCGCTGCACCCACTAATGTGTCATCTAGCATTAGGTATATCTCCCAATGCTATCCCTCCCCCCTCCCCCGACCCCACCACAGTCCCCAGAGTGTGATATTCCCCTTCCTGTGTCCATGTGATCTCATTGTTCAATTCCCACCTATGAGTGAGAATATGCGGTGTTTGGTTTTTTGTTCTTGCGATAGTTTACTGAGAATGATGGTTTCCAATTTCATCCATGTCCCTACAAAGGATATGAACTCATCATTTTTTATGGCTGCATAGTATTCCATGGTGTATATCATCTCACACCAGTTAGAATGGCAATCATTAAAAAGTCAGGAAACAACAGGTGCCCTCCATGTTTCTTTAGGCATGTCTGAGGGAATTTATTTTTTAATTTTTAAACATTTTTTTTAATTTTTCTTTTTATTTTTATACTTTTAAGTTTTAGGGTACATGTGCAAAATGTGCAGTTTAGTTACATATGTATACATGTGACATGCTGGTGCGCTGCACCCACTAACTTGTCATCTAGCATTAGGTATATCTCCCAGTGCTATCCCTCCCCGCTCCCCCCACCCCACAACAGTTCCCAGAGTGTGATGTTCCCCTTCCTGTGTCCATGTGTTCTCATTGTTCAATTCCCATATATGAGTGAGAATATGCAGTGTTTGGTTTTTTGTTCTTGTGATAGTTTACTGAGAATGATGGTTTCCAGTTTCATCCATGTCCCTACAAAGGACATGAACTCATCATTTTTTATGGCTGCATAGTATTCCATGGTGTATATGTGCCACATTTTCTTAATCCAGTCTATCATTGTTGGACATTCGGGTTGGTTCCAAGTCTTTGCTATTGGGAATAATGCCACAATAAACATACGTGTGCATGTGTCTTTATAGCAGCATGATTTATAGTCCTTTGGGTATATACCTAGTAATGGGATGGCTGGGTCAAATGGTATTTGTAGTTCTAGATCCCTGAGGAATTGCCACACTGACTTCCACAATGGTTGAACTAGTTTACAGTCCCACCAACTGTGTAAAAGTGTTCCTATTTCTCCACATCCTCTCCAGCACCTGTTGTTTCCTGACTTTTTAATGATTGCCATTTTAACTGGTGTGAGATGATATCTCGTTGTGGTTTGGATTTGCATTTCTCTGATGGCCAGTGATGGTGAGCATTTTTTCATGTGTTTTTTGGCTGCATAAATGTCTTCTTTTGAGAAGTGTCTGTTCATGTCCTTCACCCACTTTGTGATGGGGTCGTTTGTTTTTTTCTTGTAAATTTGTTTGAGTTCATTGTAGATTCTGGATATTAGCCCTTTGTCAGATGAGTAGGTTGTGAAAATCTTCTCCCATTTTGTGGGTTGCCTGTTCACTCTGATGGTAGTTTCTTTTGCTGTGCAGAAGCTCTTTAGTTTAATGAGATCCCATTTGTCAATTTTGTCTTTTGTTGCCATTGCTTTTGGTGTTTTAGATATGAAGTCCTTGCCCATGCCTATGTCCTGAATGGTAATGCCTAGGTTTTTTTCTAGGGTTTTTATGGTTTTAGGTCTAACGTTTAAGTCTTTAATCCATCTTGAATTGATTTTTGTATAAGGTGTAAGGAAGGGATCCAGTTTCAGCTTTCTACATATGGCTACCATTCCTTCTGAAACTATTCCAATCAATAGAAAAAGAGGGAATCCTCCCTAACTCATTTTATGAGGCCAGCATCATCCTGATACCAAAGCCTGGCAGAGACACAACCAAAAAAGAGAATTTTAGACCAATATCCTTGATGAACATTGATGTGAAAATCCTCAATAAAATACTGGCAAAACGAATCCAGCAGCACATCAAAAAGCTTATCCACCATGATCAAGTGGGCTTCATCCCTGGGATGCAAGGCTGGTTCAATATACGCAAATCAATAAATGTAATCCAGCATATAAACAGAACCAAAGGCAAAAACCACATGATTATCTCAATAGATGCAGAAAAGGCCTTTGACAAAATTCAACAACCCTTCATGCTAAAAACTCTCAATAAATTAGGTGTTGATGGGACGTATCTCAAAATAATAAGAGCTATCTATGACAAACCCACAGCCAATATCATACTGAATGGGCAAAAACTGGAAGCATTCCCTTTGAAAACTGGCACAAGACAGGGATGCCCTCTCTCACCACTCCTATTCAACATAGTGTTGGAAGTTCTGGCCAGGGCAATTAGTCAGGAGAAGGAAATAAAGGGTATTCAATTAGGAAAAGAGGAAGTCAAATTGTCCCCGTTTGCAGACGACATGATTGTATATCTAGAAAACCCCATTGTCTCAGCCCAAAATCTCCTTAAGCTGATAAGCAACTTCAGCAAAGTCTCAGGATACAAAATCAATGTGCAAAAATCACAAGCATTCTTATACAGAATAACAGACAGAGAGCCAAATCATGAGTGAACTCCCATTCACAATTGCTTCAAAGAGAATAAAATACCTAGGAATCCACTTACAAGGGACATGAAGGACCTCTACAAGGAGAACTACAAACCACTGCTCAATGAAATAAAAGAGGATACAAACAAATGGAAGAACATTCCATGCTCACGGGTAGGAAGAATCAGTATCATGAAAATGGCCATACTGCCCAAGGTAATTTATAGATTCAATGCCATCCCCATCAAGGTAGCAATGACTTTCTTCACAGAATTGGAAAAAACTACTTTAAATTTCATATGGAACCAAAAAAGAGCCCACATCGCCAAGTCAATCCTAATCCAAAAGAACAAAGCTGGAGGCATCACACTACCTGACTTCAAACTATACTACAAGGCTACAGTAACCAAAACAGCATGGTACTGGTACCAAAACAGAGATATAGATCAATGGAATAGAACAGAGCCCTCAGAAATAACACCGCATATCTACAACCATCTGATCTTTGACAAACCTGAGAAAAACAAGCATTGGGGAAAGGATTCCCTATTTAATAAATGGTGCTGGGAAAACTGGCTAGCCATATGTAGAAAGTTAAAATATTTTTTGTATAGAGACAGGATCTTCCTGTGTTGCCCAGGCTGGTCTCTTGAACCCCTGGCCTCAAGCAATCCTCCCACTTTAGCTTCCCAAACTGCTGGAATTATAGGCATGAGCTACCATGCCTGGTCTTGTCTGAGGGACTGTGGATTCTTATCATGATGGCTGTGCTCTGTGAGTGTCTATTCCACATGTAGGTCCCATCCCCAGAGGCTGCTCTTCTGGCCTGTCACCTGAGTGGTGTTGAGAGGTATCTTTTCAACTCCAGGTCACACCCTATCATGAAACCAATTTGGTAGTTGACTCAATCAGCGACATTCTCAATAGTCATGTGCAATTACTACGAAGTCTCTGTGACATATAGCAAGTCTTTATTTCTTGCTTATATGCCTGAGTTGGCTGGGATTTCACTGATCTAGGCAGGGCTCATCTAGGCTTGGCTTCAAGCTTTAGGTTGCGTCTAGGCCTGCTCTGTTTGTCCTTCATCCTGTCCTTGGGCCAACAGGGTACGTTCTTCTCAAGAGAGAAGGGCAAGAAGGTAAACCCAACCATGCAAGCATACTTTCAAAACTTGTGTCAAGTCAGCTAACCCATAGGACAAGCAAAAGCCCAGAGTCAAGGGGAAGTACATTCCACCTGCCATGAAAAGGCATCTGCTATGATGGGATGATGGAAAGCAGCACTTCAATGCTCAGCATTTTCAAAACAGGAAAAAAAATCAGAGTGTAGTATTAAAAGGCTAAGTATTGTCTTATAAAACTTTCCTTTCAGTTATATTTAAATCTGGACTATTTCAGGGGTCTCTTAACTGGGCTCCCTGCTTCTGCCCTCCCTATAGTCAACACAGCCCTCCAGAGGGATCCTTATTTTTTATTTATTTTTATTTTTTGAGACAGTCTCACTCTGTCACCCAGGCTGGAGTGTGGTGGCGTGAACATGGCTCCCTGCAGCCTCGACTTCCCAGGCTCAACCCATCCTCCCACCTCTGCCTCCCGAGTAGCTGGGACTACAGGTGTGCTCCACCATGCCTGGCTAATTTTTTGTATTTATAGTAAAGACGGGGTTTCGCCATATTGCCCAGGCTGGTCTTGAACTCCTGGGCTCAAGCGATCTCCCCTCCTCAGCCTCCCAAAGTGCTGGGACGACAGGCATGAGCCACTGCACCAGTGTAGGGATGCCTATTAAAATGAAGCCAGATTGGCCGGGTATGGTGGCTCACGCCTATAATCCCAGCACTTTGGGAGGCTGAGGTGGGTGGATCAGCTGAGCTCAGGAGTTTGAGACCAGCCTGACCACTGTGGAGAAACCCCATCTCTACTAAAAATATAAAATTAGCCAGGTGTGGTGGCACATGCCTGTAATCCCAGTTACTCGGGAGGCTGAGGCAGGAGAATCACTTGAGCCCGGGAGGTGGAGGTTGCAGTGAGCCGAGATCGTGCCACTGCACTCCAGCCTGGGCAACAAGAGCGAAACACCATCTCAAAACAAACAAACAAACAAACAAACAAAAATGAACCCAGATCACATTGCTTTCCTTCTCAAAAACCCTCCAGTGGCTCCCCACACAGGTCTCCTTCATGTTCCTCAAACTCACCTGCTGGGTATGCTCCTACCTTAGGGCCTTTACACTTGCTATCCCCTGTGCCTGGACTGTTCTTTACACAGGTATCTATATACTCACTCCCTCACTAGTCAGTGAGTGAGGCCTTCCTTCACTTCTCAATATAAAATTGCAACCGCCACCAAACCAGACACTCCTGATACCTTCCGTGCTTTAATCAGCATGTTGAAATACCACATGACAATATTTACGTATTTCTCTTGTTTGTGTGTTTTTTCCCACTGGAGAGTAGCTCCAGGAAAGCAGGTTCTCTTGTCTGCTTTTTTTACTGCTATATTCTCAGGGCCTGACACATAGAAGAAACTCAAGTATTTGTTGGTTGAATGCACAAGCTAACAGAGGTTCATTTTTCTCATGGAACAAGAATATGGAAGCAGGTGGGCCTCAGTGTGGTTGAGAGGCTCATCATGCCTTCAGAGAGCCAAGGCTCTTTCCACCTTTTCCCTCTGCCAACCTCAGTGTGTTGTGATGTCTCTTTTCATGGTCTCAAGATGGCTGAAGTTGCTCAAACCCTGTCCCCCCTCCATAACTTATCACAGGAAGAAAGGGTGAAGCTCTCCTAGTGCATCTCTCACTGATCATCAGGAAAGTCTTTGCCAGAAGTTCAGCAGTCTCCCCAAAACTGGTCATAACTGGGTTAGACATCCATCCGCAAACCAGCAGTTGGCCAAAAAAAGTGAGATTCCCCTGACTGGAAAAGCTGTCATGTTCCTCTCTTGGGGCTGACACACGGCCACCTCGGAGCTGGACAAAATCAGAGTTGTGTTGGTTTTTAAAAGAAGGCAGGGGTGGGGAAGGCTCACCCACAGCAGGTTTCTACACAAGATGGGCACGGCTTCTGGAGGATGTTAACAGCCCCCCTTGAATCATGACTCAGAGGTATGCCTATCTTTTGTACCCCAAAAGTCAGAGGACCAGGGTTGCACTGTGATTTTTGTAAGATGGACGGAACCCTGCAGCAGCCCGTCTGTCCCAGTGATTAGTCACATCACCATCCATTTCCCCATCCCCATCCCTCCCTCTGCCAGCCCAACATGCTCCCAGAGTGTGAGAAGAGCCAGCCTCTGCTTCACTGCCGCATTCTATTCCACCAGAAAAGGACACCTCCCTTTGCATGGCCCATTGCCTCAAGACCCAAGAAAGAGTCTCACTACTTTTGAATCAAAGGCTTTATCTTTAAGAAAGCAGATTTAGAGAATCAGAATTTTCTTCCATTTTGGTTCTATTAAGAAAAGTATACCAAATTAAAAATTAAGAACTATTTTTTAATAGATAATACATGTACATGGTACAAAATTCAAAAGGTACAAAAGGTGTACATTGAAAAGTCATTCCCACCCCTCTTCCCAGAGGCAATTCAGGCTGCCGGGCTGCTAGATATCCTCCCAGAGACATCCTAGGCATATGCAGGTGGACATATGATATACACGTGTATACGTCTGTGTGAAAACATATGCACACACATACATCTACACACTTTCTCCATTCCAAACATTAGGATACCATGGGCTTTTTTCCTCACTTAATCATGCATCTTGGGGCCCATTCTATGGTAGTACACACACACAGGATCCATTGTTTTAAATTTCTACAAACTATTCCATTGTTTAAGCTGGCCATAATGTATTTAACCATTCCCCTGTATTGGTGGCACTCTCCAACTTTTTGCTATTACAATGTTTCAACAAAAACTCTTGTACACAAGTACCTTGTACACAGGTACAATTCTTAGGAGTAGCATTGCTAGTTCAAAGAGCTTATGCATTTGCACTTTTGATAGACACCGTCCAGCTGTCCCCCATGGAGTGCCTACATGTCACACTCCTGCCACCACCGTATCTAGTGCTGCCACCCACAGCCTTGCACTGTGGTCCCACTTCTTGGTTCACATGGCTGAGACATTTCTGCCCATCAAGTTACCTTTAGGTTCATGACACATTTTGAGCCAAAACATACCTTATCTCTAACATTAGTGTAGTTCTTCCCTCTCTTTTTCCCTTCTTAGGGAATAAAAAAAAAAATCTGTAAAAGGCAATTCCTTTGAAAGATTCAAAACCTCTGACACCTTGTTTCATCTCAAACTTCAAGGTTACAGTATAACATACTCTGAGAGAGACCCTCTAAAGTTGTGAAAACTGTTCTCAAACTAAGCATCAAGTAGAGGAAAGGTTCAATCTAAATTTTCCTAATAGAGATGCAAAGTTGCAATGTGGAAAAGCCATTTTATCCAACCGGAATTTCCCAGTCAGTCATCTACCTTGAGCTAGATGCTGGGGAGAGTGTGGTAAGACAAGCCCTTACTTTTGTT
This sequence comes from Homo sapiens, assembly GCF_000001405.40. NCBI lineage: Eukaryota > Metazoa > Chordata > Mammalia > Primates > Hominidae > Homo > Homo sapiens. The sequence continues at coordinate 117,916,635 of NC_000002.12, forward strand.
GCGCAGGGCCACTGGACATGGGCAGGCAATGGGGACGGATGTAAGGCTGGCGTGGAACATCCACGGTATTCCCTGTGTTGTCAAGTATGCTGCAGATCAGCACCAGATTCTCCAGTTTTGCACATTTATTGAGAAGAGGGAATACTATTATAGCATTACCTTTTACAATGCATCTTCAGCCTGTAATAGAAGGAATGCTCTGGACTTCATGAAAAGGATCAAGAGAGGGCCTGGGGGATTCTGAAGATGCACAGAACAAGGCACTTTCCTTGGCAATCCCAACCATGGGGACAGATGATGGCATCCATCCTATGGGGCTCTTTATTGTACTGTTCTGCATTAAGATGTTCTTTTACTTTGAGGCCAACACCAGCCATGAGTAAATCATAAAGTGCTTCCTTAAAGTGTTCTTCCTCAATGCATGTTTCAACATCTGCACTTCAGAACAAGTGGTCAGGCTCAAAGTAACTGTGCTACTGCTAGATACCTACCTCCCTTTTAGGGTGATCAGTCACCTACAGAGTGGGCAAACAAGACCATATGAGGCAGCAGAAATATGAGGGCACAGGTTAGAGCCAGGGCTCACTGTCCGGAGTGCCCTTTCAGGCAGGTCTGCTTCGGTCACTAGAGACGTACTGGGGCCTGACAACATCAACAACGTCACAACCCTGAGGTCTGAGGTCCCGGGCATGGCACTTTGTGAGGTAGTAAAAGGACTGTCTGAAGGTCTTCTCCAGCCTCTGCTCAAGGTTTCAGGAGGTCCCGAGGGCTCGGTATTGTCAGAGAATGCTTCCCATGCCTGGACCCTGGACCTTCTGGTTGTGCTGATGGACTCAGCGGACACTGGCAGGACCCAGCTATCCTGAAAATATTAAGGGCTACGAGCTAGAACCATTAAAACCATGAACTTCGGACTCTAACAGAGATATGCTTGACAAACTGGGAATTTGCCCTCTGTTAAAACAACCCTCAGTGTGACTCTGACGACTGTTTAACATTCTGTACCTCCCTCTAGTGGTGTTAGCTAACCCAGTCATCCAACAGAGACGGAGCACAGGTCAAAGACATCAACAAATGTCCTAGCATCTCCCCACGCACCTCGTGATCACGCAATCTTGTCCTGCTCACAACAGCTCTGATCGCGGCTTAAAGCAGAGCAGTCCCATGTACTCCATAAGAAGCAAGAAGTGGGAGGGAGCCCCCAACCCAGAGGCTGGCGGAGATTCCACAGCACTGGGCAGCCTGCCCGCTAGCAACTCCCTGTGCTGATTGAGCAGGGAGCCTCTCTCTCCTGGGGAAACCTGGTTCCTCCTGAAGCGCATATTTTGAAAAAGTAACTTAAGGATGTTCTTGCTTCCTTTTAACTCCGGAGAAGCCTGTGGGCTTAGAGCACAATTCCATACTATGTCTGTCTAAGCACACAGAGCCATAGCCCTGGGAAGATGACCCCTTCTGGTGCTCCAGGTGGCTTCTGAAATGATCAGGGGCCTTGGGGCATCTCCTTACCCTATACGGCTTCACCAAAAAGTCATGTAACATCCTAATTACTCAGAAAGGCACTGTCCACACTGAGAGTTGTCTGCAGCAAGTGTGAAATTTGAGCTCAAACTGGCTTCTGTAGTCTAATTCAAAGTGTATTCAGGCAACAAAAACTGATTTATCCGTAGTAGGCCTTGTCGATAAAAAAAAAAAGGGAATAGAGATCTATGGACACCTCTCTATACCAAAACCAAACCAAATGAAACTCCTATGAAATACAGCTCAAAATAAATGCCTGCACTTTCAAAAAGAATTACTGGTTGCTTTGGATTCATCATGCCATACTTTCCCCATCAGCACAGAGGTGGACTCCAGTAACCCCAGAATGTCATCTGCCTCCCTACCACCTTTGGACAAATATTCAAATAACTGCCCCAACTGCTCACAAAGTTCAGTTAGCCAGGGGTGGGCCTACAAGCTGCTTAACAAGACAACGCAGATGTTTCCCTGACTGAAATAATTTCAAACGCAGTCAAACTTCTGTCTCCTTCCCCTGCCCTCAGAGTGCCACCTGTTCTTTTGCAATTACTTGCTTCAACTTAGCCCTTCAAAACCCCCACATGACCACGGCTCAGGGACCAGCTGAGGTGGAGCTGCACATGACCCAAGAAGCGCTCGCAGGTGGCAGTTTCTATTTGCAAGCTGCTGCTTCCGCCTGGCTCAGGTAGGCCTTGCTGGCCCTGGCACTGAAACCAGTGGCTGTTTTTAATCCAGCACGTGTGTGTGTTTTTAAATCTGTACACATCAGCCCTGCTTAATCACATCCATTAGGGACTAAAAATGAACACATTTCTGTGGCTGCTGAATGCCCCACTTGCTTGACATGTTTAAGCTTTTGTGTTACTGTGCAAACCTGCCACCTGGTATGTTTGCAAGATTTATGCAAAATGGAGCACAAACCTACAGAACATGACTGAGTTACCAGACTCCTGAGGACCAGGGCAGCAGGAGCTCCATGTTTGATCTGCACTGGTCATTTCCAAGGATTAAAATCAACCCTCAGCTGCCCTTCAAGGCCCTCCAAAGCCTAGTCTCAGCCCTACTTCCCAGACGGGTCTCTGAAGCCTCCTGCAGAGACTAGCTTATTCCCTCCTTTCCCAACATGCATGCCTTGTACTCCTCTGCACTCTCTTGGGTTTTTAATCATAGTGTATTTTCATTTAAAACAGTCTTCCTATCAACATCCGATTCTCCCTTTAGATAGGGCTCAAATGCTGCCTCCTCCAGGAAGTTTCCCTGGATCTCTGCAAACCCTACTGCTCTTCCTCCTGACACCCTACTTGCCTTGAGTGCAGGGAACAGTGTCTATCTCTCTCCTGGCTCAGACCATGACCCATCTGCAGCGTAGCCTCATCAAATGTGCCTTCAATGAGGGGGATGCACAGCCCCTCTGCATGCTGTGACTCACATGAACATTGGGGCAGGGGAAGGTATAATTTTTATTGACGTGTCCTCAGCACAAGGTCTGTTTTCAATTTTCTGAGAAATCAACTTGAGTAACGTATAAAAATTAAAACAACACTGAACTTTCGTTCCAGTTGCTGTCACCACCAAGCCTGCTGGCTGGCACCTGGAGGAGCTGGGAACAAAAGGTACCATGGCAGGTGAAAGGCCCAAGTGACCAACACTACATGGGCTGATCATTTCAGCTAAATGCCTTCTGTTTACTGAAAAACATCTTGGATAGCCCAGTTCTGCGGTCAAGTGTGCTGTATCTGCCTCCCTGGGCCACCTGCTGGGTACTTGTGCAGTAGGAACTGTGTTTTACACGTCTCTGAATCTTCCTCAGTGCTTATTTCTCAGTGGTTGCTGAACTAATACTTGCTAAACAAATGAATTCTTCTTTATTCAGAGTCCATACAAATACAGGTACCTTCATAAGCGCAATGTTACTGGAGACATAAAAGTTGAATCAACAGAGAACAAGTACTCCCTATATTCTTCATAGGATGATGGGTGTTATCCAAGCCACGTGTTTACTGTCTGACTCCATCAACAGCAGCCAACAGAGATGAATGGAAGCAAAGAGGAGAAAGAAAACATCCAGGTTGTTGAAATCATCACAACTGCATCTCTCTACTGTCGCTTTCAGAACCATTTCATGATCTTGTAGGTGATATACGGTGCTTAAAAGTAAAATCAATGACATACAGCCACGGCTGGGGATGTTCAGGAGGCCTTCGCTTTCACCTTGGACAGCAGCATCTCGTTCTTGCGGCCCTCCTGGAGGGAAAGCAGAGAGTATAGAGAGAGTGGTGACTACATTAGCACCCATGTGAGGCCAAGATGGTCTCAAAGCCCTTCCCATATCCCTATGGGAGACATCTCCTGGCCAACCCAGTCTCTTGGCATGCTGCCGCCAGGATGGTGAAGCTTCCTGATGACCTACTGACATCAACACCAATATAACTATAATGATGCTCCATTTCTGGGCTGTCAGACTGAAAATAGGATGAGAGGATAGGCACTGTCATTCCAAAAGACTTCATGAAGTCTGTGAAACTTCAAGGGGATAGAAGCAGAAAGCACACTTATCTGCCAGTCTTGGCCTACTATGGTGAGGGAGTGGGGAAAGGCTTTGGAGACAGCAGCCTAAAAAGAGATAAAAGGGAGCCCTAGTTTACATAGCAGGCAAAACACATAGAGTTCTAACAGTGAAAGTTAAGAATATTCTTGTCTTTAAGAAACTCAGAAAATAGGATAAGAGATATTCATCAAGAGATAATGGGGCCGGGCGCAGTGGCTCATGCCTGTAATCCCAGCACTTTGGGAGGCCGAGGCAGGCGGATCATGAGGTCAGGAGAGTGAGACCATCCTGGCTACTACTAAACCCCGTCTCTACTAAAAATATAAATTAGCCAGGCGTGGTGGCAGGCGCCTGTAGTCCCAGCTACTCAGGAGGCTGAGGCAGGACAATGGCATGAACCCAGGAGGCGGAGCTTGCAGTGAGCCGAGATTGTGCCACTGCACTCCAGCCTGGGTGACAGAGCAAGGCTCTGTCTCAAAAAAAAAAAAAAAAAAAGATAACCTGCCCTTCCTTAAAACCGAACTGTATGAAATCAATGGCACGTGCTACGGGTTATCACTGAGGGAGGTCACTGTCCCATCCTCTGCCTGTAGAATCTGACATCCAGTGGCACAAGTCACCTCTGCATCATTTCATGTTCCCTCTGGGATCATCTTCAAAAGCTTCTAACTGCGCCTCCTGCCCTTGTTCCACTGGCCTTAGTAGCTCATGATACCTCCATCTGCTAGCAAACCTCCAATAACTCTGACCCCATTCTCTGGGCAGGGTCACAAGGAGTCCTGCTTTTAAATTGGGAGATAAAAGTGGTAGCAGAAAGGGCCCGGAGAGGTAGAGCTCACAGGCTTGGCAGTGGTCAGGCCTCCAGGGGCTGTGTTTTCCTGGAGGTGCATTTATTGTGGGAGAAAAACTTTTACCCTTGAACCTTCTGCACTCAAAACCCCCACGGTCAATTTTTCCAGCTCCCTGGGCCAGGGTCAGGTGCTCCCAGCTCTCTGGAGGCCCTGATCTTTTGGCAGTGTGATGGCAGCATGACCACAACGACCTTGGTTTTGCTAAGACTAGTGCTGGCTCATCTACAGGATTCAGATGTGTCCTTCACTCAGGGAGCAAGGAAACAGGTGGGTGCTTGTCTTGGTGGTAAGGCTGAATACTTTGAGGCTGTCAGAAGCAAGGTGCTCTGACACTTTTGAGCACCTTTTTGGGGAGAGAGGGGCAGTTCATGGGCAGGGCAGTGGGGGGACAGAAATAAGGTGATGCTGGGTTCCTTTTAAAAATGGCTTGAGATGTACTTGGGGGGAAAAAAGACTCCAGCTTAAAACAAATGGAGTGGAAGAGATGGAACAAGAACAGAGAGCTACACTATTATATTGTTATACTACACTCTCTACTTGTATATTTTTTAAGATTTCCATAACAAAAATATGAAACAGTAAATAAGTTTAAACTGTCACCCACCTCACCGTTTAAATGAGGCAAAAACAGCATCAGAACTCTACCGTGGGGAACTGTGTGTGTCACAGAACCCTAGGCGATGCTTGTACTTTTCGGTAGAGACAGCCTGCAATGTCACCTAGTATGTGAGCCTACAGAATCATATTCTCCGTCTCTTCAAAGCAAATACAAAAGAGGCGCTTTGGGTGTTTGTTTCTAGAAGAAAAGGGAAAATGTCTCATCACCTCAGTCTCTTTCCTGCTGAAAACTCTATCCATGCCCACTAGGTGCCAGACAGAGAGCTAAGTTCACTCAAGGTTATGTACCGAAAGCCAGCTTCACAAAAATGTAGGGTTTGAATTCATCAGTGCTATTGAATTTAAATCTTAGTATCATGACCTGATGGCGCCCACGGTGCATAACTGTTGCCCATTTAACGTGGGGTAAATCAAACCCAACAAAGGCAACCGCTAAGGTGGCAAAAAACCATATGGTAGACAACAATGTTGTGTTTTCCATGAAGAATAATTATTGCACACTACAAGTGCTTGGGCCCAGGATGCAGTGAGAATTCAGAACGCAGAAGTAGAGGGCCAGTGAGGGGATGGTGAGAAGGCAAAATAGAGGGTGCTGGAGAAGGCTCCACCCTGGATGAAAGTACAAATTAAACTGTAATATATAAAACAGAAAAGCAGCAGAACTAGTCTGGCTGAAGATATGGGGTAGAGGCTGTGGAGTAGCAAGCAAGTCCCTATCGTCACCTCCTCCTCAACACCTGTGGTGGCCCCAAATTACCTCAAAAGAGCTTGTGGGAGAAAGATGCTGGAACACTGACATGTGGGTGCCAGTTTTAAATTTTTGCCAAGTAATATGTTCAAAAAAAAAAAAGGACTACCCACCATCACAATTATTTTCTAAGACAATTTTAACACCAAAAAATAAAAGGACATGCTAAATGTGAGGTGAAATATATTTAAATGAAATATGCAGGATTTTCAGGGGGTGGAACCAAGATGGCCGAATAGGAACAGCTCCAGTCTACAGCTCCCAGTGTAAGCGAGGCAGAAGACGGGTGATGTCTGCATTTCCAACTGAGGTACCGGGTTCACCTCACTGGGGAGTGTCAGAAAGTGGGTGCAAGACAGCGCGTGCAGTGCACTCAGCGTTAGCCGAGGCAGGGTGAGGCATCGCCTCACCCAGGAAGCACAAGGGGTCAGGGAATTCCCTTTCCTAGTCAAAGAAAGGGGTGACAGATGGCACCTGGAAAATTGGGTCACTCCCACCCTAATACTGTGCTTTTCCAACGGTCTTAGCAAATGGCACACCAGCAGATTATATCCCGCGCCTGCCTCAGAGGATCCTACGCCCATGGAGCTTCACTCATTGCTACCACAGCAGTCTGAGATCAAACTGCAAGGCGGCAGTGAGGCTGGGGGAGGGGCACCCGCCATTTCTGAGGCTTGAGTAGGTAAACAAAGCAGCCGAGAAGCTCAAACTGGGTGGAGCTCACCGCAGCACAAGGAGGCCTGCCTGCCTGCCTGCCTGCCTGCCTCTATAGAGTCCACCTCTGGGGGCAGGCATAGCCAAACAAAAGGCAGCAGAATCCTCTGCAGACTTAAAAGTCCCTGTCTGACAGCTTAGAAGAGAATAGTGTTTCTCCCAGCACGCAGCTGGAGATCTGAGAATGGGCAGACTGCTTCCTCATGTGGTCCCTGACCCCCGAGTAGCCAAACTGGGAGGCACACCCCAGTAGGGGCACATTGACACATCACACAGCTGGGTACTCCTCTGAGACAAAACTTCCAGAGGAATGATCAGGCAACAACATTTGCTGTTCACCAATATCCGCTGTTCTGCAGCCTCTGCTGCTGATACCAAGGTAAACAAGGTCTGGAGTGGACCTCCAGCAAACTCCAACAGACCTGCAGCTGAGGGTCCTGTCTGTTAGAAGGAAAACTAACAAACAGAAAGGACATCCACACCAAAACCCCATCTGTACATCACCATCATCAAAGACCAAAGGTAGATAAAACCACAAAGATGGGGAAAAACCAGAGCAGAAAAACTGGAAACTGTAAAAATCAGAGTGCCTCTCCTCCTCCAAAGGAACGCAGCTCCTCACCAGCAATGGAACAAAGCTGGACAGAGAATGACTTTGATGAGTTGAGAGAAGAACGCTTCAGACGATCAAACTACTCTGAGCTAAAGGAGGAAGTTCGAACCCATGGCAAAGAAGTTAAAAACCTTGAAAAAAAATTAGACAAATGGCTAACTAGAATAACCAATGCAGAGAAGTCCTTAAAGGACGTGATGGAGCTGAAAACCATGGCATGAGAACTACATGATGAATGCACAAGCCTCAGTAGCCGATTTGATCAACTGGAAGAAAGGGTATCAGTGATGGAAGATCAAATGAATAAAATCAAGCGAGAAGAGGGGTTTGGAGAAAAAAGAATAAAAAGAAATGACCAAAGTCTCCAAGAAATATGGGACTATGTGAAAAGACCAAATCTACATCTGATTGGTGTACCTGAAAGTGATGGGGAGAATGGAACCAAGTTGGAAAACACTCTGCAGGATAATATCCAGGAGAACTTCCTCAATCTAGCAAGGCAGGCCAACATTCAAATTTAGGAAATACAGAGAATGCCACAAAGATACTCCTCTAGAAGAGCAACTCCAAGACACATAATTGTCAGATTCACCAAAGTTGAAATGGAAAAAATGTTAAGGGCAGACAGAGAGAAAGCTCAGGTTACCCACAAAGGGAAGCCCATCAGACTAACAGCTGATCTCCTGGCAGAAACTCTACAAGCCAGAAGAGAGTGGGGGCCAATATTCAACATTCCTAAAGAAAAGAATTTTCAACCCAGAATTTCATATCCAGCCAAACTAAGCTTCATAAGTGAAGGAGAAATAAAATACAGAAAAACAAATGCTGAGAGATTTTGTCACCACCAGGCCTGCCCTAAAAGAGCTCCTGAAGGAAGCACTAAACATGGAAAGAAACAACTGGTACCAGCCACTGCAAAAACATGCCAAATTGTAAAGACCATTGAGGCTAGGAAGAAACTGCATCAACTAATGAGCAAAATAACCAGCTACCATCATAATGACAGGATCAAATTCACACATAACAATATTAACCTTAAATGTAAATGGGCTAAATGCTTCAATTAAAAGACACAGACTGGCAAACTGGATAAAGAGTCAAGACCCATCAGTGTGCTGTATTTAGGAAACCCATCTCATATGCAGAGACACACATAGGCTCAAAATAAAGGGATGGAGGAAGATCTACCAAGCAAATGGAAAACAAAAAAAGGCAGGGGTTGCAATCCTAGTCTCTGATAAAACAGACTTTAAACCGACAAAGATCAAAAGACACAAAGAAGGCTATTACATAATGGTAAAGGGATCAATTCAACAAGAAGAGCTAACTATCCTGAATATATATGCACCCAATACAGGAGCACCCAGATTCATAAAGCAAGTCCTTAGAGACCTACAAAGAGACTTAGACTACCACACAATAATAATGGGAGACTTTAACACCCCACTGTCAACATTAGATCAACAAGACAGAAAGATAACAAGGATATCCAGGAATTGAACTCAGCTCTGCACCAAGCAGACCTAATAGACATCTACAGAACTCTCCACCCCAAATCAACAGAATATACATTCTTCTCAGCACCACACCACACCTATTCCAAAATTGACCACATAGATGGAAGTAAAGCACTCCTCAGCAAATGTAAAACAACAGAAATTATAACAAACTGTCTCTCAGACCACAGTGCAATCAAACTAGAACTCAGGATTAAGAACCTCACTCAAAACCACTCAACTACATGGAAACTGAACAACCTGCTCCTGAATGACTACAGGGTACATAACGACATGAAGGTAGAGATAAAGATGTTCTTTGAAACCAACGAGAACAAAGACACAACATACCAGAATCTCTGGGACACATTCAAAGCAGTGTGTAGAGGGAAATTTATAGCACTAAATGCCCACAAGAGAAAGCAGGAAAGATCTAAAATTGACACCCTAACATCACAATGAAAAGAACTAGAGAAGCAAGAGCAAACACATTCAAAAGCTAGCAGAAGGCAAGAAATAACTAAGATCAGAGCAGAACTGAAGGAAATAGAGACATAAAAAACCCTTCAAAAAATCAATGAATCCAGGAGCTGGTTTTTTGAAAAGATCAACAAAATTGATAGACTGCTAGCAAGACTAATAAAGAAGAAAAGAGAGAAGAATCAAATAGACGCAATAAAAAATAATAAAGGGGATATCACCACCAATACCACAGAAATACAAACTACCATCAGAGAATACTATAAACACCTCTACGCAAATAAACTAGAAAATCTAGAAGAAATGGATAAATTCCTGGACACATACACCCTCCCAAGACTAAACGAGGAAGAAGTTGAATTTCTGAATATACCAATAACAGGCTCTGAAATTGAGGCAATAATTAATAGCTTACCAACCAAAAAAAGTCCAGGACCAGATGGATTCACAGCCAAATTCTACCAGAGGTACAAGGAGGAGCTGGTACCATTCCTTCTGAAACTATTCCAATCAATAGAAAAATAGAGAATCCTCCCTAACTCATTTTATGAGGCCAGCATCATCCTGATACCAAAGCCTGGCAGAGACACAACCAAAAAAGAGAATTTTAGACCAATATCCCTGATGAACATTGATGCAAAAATCCTCAATAAAATACTGGCAAACCGAATCCAGCAGCACATCAAAAAGCTTATCCACCATGATCAAGTGGGCTTCATCCCTGGGATGCAAGGCTGGTACAACATATGCAAATCAATAAACATAATCCAGCATATAAACAGAACCAAAGACAAAAACCACATGATTATCTCAATAGATGCAGAAAAGGCCTTTGACAAAACTCAACAACACTTCATGCTAAAAACTCTCAATAAACTAGGTATTGATGGGATATATCTCAAAATAATAAGAGCTATCTATGACAAACCCACAGTCAATATCATACTGAATGGGCAAAAACTGGAAGCATTCCCTTTGAAAACTGGCACAAGACAGGGATTCCCTCTCTCACCACTCCTATTCAACATAGTGTTGGAAGTTCTGGTCAGGGCAATCAAGCAGGAGAAGGAAATAAAGGGTATTCAATTAGGAAAAGAAGAAGTCAAATTGTCCCTGTTTGGAGATGACATGATTGTATATCTAGAAAACCCCACTGTCTCAGCCCAAAATCTCCTTAAGCTGATAGATTCAGCAAAGTCTCAGGATACAAAATCAGTGTGCAAAAATCACAAGCATTCTTATACACCAATAACAGACAGAGAGCCAAATCATGAGTGAACTCCCACTCACAACTGCTTCAAAGAGAATAAAATATCTAGGAATCCAAATTACAAGGGACATGAAGGACCTCTTCAAGAACTACAAACCACTGCTCGATGAAATAAAATAGGATACAAACAAATGGAAGAACATTCCATTCTTATGGGTAGGAAGAATCAATATCGTGAAAATGGCCATACTGCCCAAGGTAATTTATAGATTCAATGCCATCCCCATCAAGCTACCAATGACTTTCTTCACAGAATTGGAAAAAACTACTTTAAAGTTCATATGGAACCAAAAAACAGCCCCCAATGCCAAGTCAATCCTAAGCCAAAAGAACAAAGCTGGAGGCATCATGCTACCTGACTTCAAACTATACTACAAGGCTACAGTAACCAAAACAGCATGGTACTGGTACCAAAACAGAGATATAGACCAATGGAACAGAACAGAGCCCTCAGAAATAATGCCGCACATCTACAACCATCTGATCTTTGACAAACCTGACAAAAACAAGAAATGGGGAAAGGATTCCCTATTTAATAAATGGTGCTGGGAAAACTGGCTAGCCATTATGTAGAAAGCTGAAACTGGATCCCTTCGTTACACCTTATACAAAAATTAATTCAAGACGGATTAAAGACTTAAATGTGAGACCTAAAACCATAAAAACCCTAGAAGAAAACCTAGGCAACACCATTCAGGACATAGGCATGGGCAAGGACTTCATGTCTAACACACCAACAGCAATGGCAACAAAAGCCAAAATTGACAAGTGGGATCTCATTAAACTAAAGAGCTTCTGCACAGCAAAATAAACTACCATAGGAGTGAACAGGCAACCTAAAGAATGGGAGAAAATTTTTGCAATCTACTCATCTGACAAAGGGCTAATATCCAGAATCTACAATGAACTCAAAACAAATTCACAAGAAAAAAAACAACCCCATCAAAAAGGGGGCAAAGGACATGAACAGACACTTCTCAAAAGAAGACATTTATGCAGCCAAAAGACACATGAAAAAGTGCTCATCATCACTGGCCATCAGAGAAATGCAAATCAAAACCACAATGAGATACCATCTCACACCAGTTAGAATGGCAATCATTAAAAAGTCAGGAAATAACAGGTGCTGGAGAGTATGTGGAGAAATAGGAACACTTTTACACTGTTGGTGGGACTGTAAACTAGTTCAACCATTGTGGAAGTCAGTGTGGCGATTCCTCAGGCATCTAGAACTAGAAATACCATTTGACCCAGCCATCCCATTACTGGGTACATACCCAAAGGATTATAAATCATGCTGCAATAAAGACACATGCACACGTATGTTTATTGCAGCACTATTCCCAATAGCAAATACTTGGAACCAAGCCAAATGTCCAACAATGATAGACTGGATTAAGAAAATGTGGCACATATACACCACGGAATACTATGCAGCCATAAAAAAGGATGAGTTCATGTCCTTTGTAGGGACATGGATGAAGCTGGAAACCATCATTCTCAGCAAACTATTGCAAGGACAAAAAACTAAACACCACATGTTTTCACTCATAGTTGGGAATTGAACAATGAAAACACATGGACACAGGAAGGGGAACATCACACACCAGGGCCTGTTGTGGGGTGGGGGGAGGTGGGAGGGATAGCATTAGAAGATATACCTAATGTTAAATGACGAGTTAATGGGTGCAGCACACCAACATGGCACATGTACATATATGTAACTAACCTGCACGTTGTGCACATGTACCCTAAAACTTAAAGTATAATAAAAAAAAGAAATATGCAAAAACATATTTCATCCCCTCCCCCTCTTCTGACTTGCTTTGGACTGAAGGAAAGAGGCCTGGCAAGAATCTGGTCTAGGTGTCTTAGCTGGATCTGAAGGAACCACCCTCTGTGTCTGGTGTGACAATGACTGCCAGCACAGGTGGGAACCCAGACCCAAGCCACTTAACACCTCTGAAGGAACTGGTGCCTTGGAGGTCATCCTAAGCTCTCATCTGAGAGCCTGCAGGGCAAGAATGAGCTTTTCCATTTCATTTTCAATTGCTTTGACAGCTTATACTTATCCTCCTCAACTTGCTTTTTGTTTCTACACTGTCAAAAGGGTGTCTCCAAGCAGCATTTGAGATGCAGTTCTTCTCCTTTTGTTAGTTTTGATTAAAGGGAACGAGGAGCTCTGAGTAGGGCAGCAAATTCCTAATTGTTCCCTGCCAGTTCACTCACTGGCCCTTCTGGGACCTCAGCTGCAGCCTGTGCTAGCCTCAAAGGAGTCCCAGACTGAGCCGCAGACCCTCCGCTCCCCATTCCTGCACTGCTGTGGCTGAAGAACTCTTTCTTCCGATGGCTAGGTCCTGCTCACCCTAGAGGGCCCTCCTAGACCACACTACCTAAACCAGTCTCCTCACATGGCAAAGTCTGGAATTGTTACTACTTATTTGTTATGACTTGTTCTTAGCTTGCCATCCGTCTCTCCCACCACAGCGTATGCTCCTTAAGGAGGAGGAGGTCTGCGTTACAACCTGGCATCTGCCCAGGGGTATAGTAGGAGCTGGAACACTGGAAAAGATGAGATTTTGAAATGCCTATGGGATGTGGCTTCTAGAAGTTAAATCACAGATAAGGAAATATGTAGAAGACAAGGGAAAGATGAGGAAGGAAGAAAAGTCTTAAATTAAGAACAAAATTATGAGCATGGAAAGACTACATTTTTTATTCTGCAGACCAAACACCAGGATACAATCTACCTTTAACTCTGCTGTATTTTCAGCAGTCTCTAAACTCACTGAAACCACATGGATTTAGGTTAGGGAGAAGGAATTCCTTAAAATAAAGCTGCTGAGACCCTAGCAAGGGACCAAATGAAGTCTTTTTGGAAAATCTCTTAAGGGCAGGCACTTTTCTTTCTGGAACAATGAAGAGTAACTGCCCAAATGCAGGAAGGAAAAACAGGGAAAACCGAAATTCAGTTGAGTGTTGGGTGTTAGGAGGTGCCAGGCCTGGTGCTGGATGTTTCAAATTTCTCACCTGACGCAACGGAATTCACCAATGAGGAAACTGAGGCTGGGAGGGATTAGGTCATTGCCAAAAAACACAGCTGGTAAGTGGTAAATGTAGGATTCGAATCCAAGCCTGTGACACTTCAAAGTTCTCTCTTCCCACACAGCTTCTTGAGGTCCCTCCCCACCCTAAGATTGGCAGGAAAGAAGATTCTATATCTGAATCCACAACAAATGCTGTTTCCAAGTGGCCCTTGATACGGACTGATGGAGTCATTTTGTGAGTTAATGTGCTTACTAAGTGTTAGGAAAACTAAAGTGATGTGATGTCTTAAAACATTTAATTAGACCTCAAGATGGGCCACAGAAAAACGCAATCTTCAGCTACCTAGACGCCACACTTCACTGCCAGATCACACTCTGTCTTGTTATTTCCCTTCACAGACCAGAGGAAAACCAAAAAACTGCTGTTTTTTAGTGGCTACTTTTGAGGTGAACATATATCTCACGTTAGCCTTAATGTGCTACCCAGCCTTCCTCTTACCTCCTTGAACTCTTTCACAGTCTTAAAGTATAGCCTCTGCTTTTCTAACAGCTCCAAGTACTGGTCGTTCAACTGGTCTCTTCTCATTTTGTTCTCTTGCTTTTTCTTTTCCATCTGTTGAAACATTGTGGGAAATGGTGATGAAAAGACATGTTCTGCCCAAGGGCTACTGGCAACATCCAAAAGGCAACAGTTGTTAACAGTTTCATGGATTTCCTTACAGTAGAGGAAGCTTCAATATATAATTTTTGAGGTTGGTTAATTTATTTGCATATTACATGGAGGCTCTACAATTTATTCAGCAATTTTTCTATCACTGAGTATTAACTGTTTCCATTTTTTTTTCTCACTACAATTTCACAATGGACAGGTTGGTGATTCTCAACTAGGAGCTATTTTGCCCCCCATCCCCCACCCGGCAGTGTCTGGAGACAGTTTTGATTGTCACAACTGCGAGAAGTGGGTGCTACTGGAATCACTGGGTAGAGGCCAGCAATGCTGCTAAACATCCTACATTGCACAGGACACCCCCACAGCAAAGAATTATCTAGCCCGAAATGTTAACTGTGCTGAGGCTGAGAAACCCTGATTTAAAAACTGTGCTCATATAATAAAACCGTGTATCCTCTTTTGATTTAATGTAAGTATTTCCATGTCATTATAAATTTTCTACAAATTATCATTTTAAAAACAATACAATATTCCTGCTGATTGCTAACTTACCCATCTTCCTGCTGGTAGACAATTTAGGATATTTTCAGGATTTTGATCTCATAAATAGATGCTAGGCTTTGATTTAAAGAGACTTTTCTAAGGTATCCAAAAGCTTATTCATTCAACAAACATTGACTTAGAACCTACTGAGTAGCTACGTGTAGTGGTGAACATGGCAAAGTCACTGCTCTCACAGAGCATACATTCTAGAGATTCACATTAAGCAAGCACCCTGACAAACAGACACACAAAATATTCGCAACACTGATCGGTCCTGTGAGGAAAATGACACGGGGGGAGGTGACGGAGAGGAGGGTGGGTGCATGGCCTCCTCAGCCTGGAAGCTCAGAGAGGCTCTCTGAGGACACTAGAGCAGGGCTGGCAATGCTATGTGCTGTATGTCTGGAAGGTAAACCCAGAGAATCAGCCAGGAAATGAGGGCAGTAAGAGTTACGGTACAGACCGGGTGCCTGACTCATGGCCGGTGCTCAAAAGCTTGTTGAATCAAATTCTGAGAGATGCTTTGCTGTGGCTTTGCTGATGCCTGACCATGATTTCTGTGTTACACTTTGGGAGGGATTTGGTAAACACAAGCTATAGGTAAAATTGACTGCATTTTATTCAGTAGTTCCCTCCACACTATAGGCTTCTGTTGACTACACAGGACAAATGCAACTTGGTGTCCCCAAGGCCTATCCCAATGCTGTTCAGAGAAAGACCCACCACATATGGGGACTGATTTGCCTAGTCAAATCCTGACCTTGCATTCAGTTCCTGAGTCCCAAGACCCTGTGCCCTGCTCTTTCCACAGGTCTGCATACGGATGCCTGGTGCACACCCATGCTAGGTCTCCAGTTTGGTGCCCTCCCTTGTGCCTAGGTCTCCCAGAGTGGCCAGTCCCCTCTGGGGTGTCCTACCACACTTGGAGCCCTGGCTCAGCAGCAAGTCCTGATCCCTGTCGATGGAACCCCTAATGCTGCCTGCATGGGTCTCTGACACCCACTCATGATCCTGTCACAGTGACACACCAGCCCACCGCAGTTCCCACTACTGTTCCTTCGTGGGCTCCAACTCTCAAAGCAGCAGACATCTTTTCTGCTGCACTGGCTAGGACCTCACAGCTAGGTCCCTCTCTCTTATTAGGACAGCCAGCAGCTCTATCTCAGGCCTTTCCTCTCTGCTCTGCACTTTAGCAAAACACTTCACCGTGACTGATTATGTCCTAGTGAGGTAGCAATGCGCTTGAATTATGAATTTATCCAGGATCCACTGTGGGAGTTAGTGTGGCAACCTAGAAATAGTATGAGCTTGAGGCCAGAAAGGCTGGGTTCAAATCCTAGTTCTGCCACTCACTGTGTATCCTTGGACAGCTAATTTAACTTTTTTGAATGCTACGTCCTTTAGCTAAAATAAGAATATCACCTAGATAACCAGTTTTGTTACAAGAAGCTTGGGACATGAAATGGTAAGTGAATGATCCATCACCTGGTCTATAGTAGCTGCTCAATAAAGACCATTTTTCTTCTCAACATTTCACATCCTAGAATGCCAACTCACTATGAGAAGCAGGAGTTGACTCTTTGATTTAAGCTTCATTTTCACACTCTTCTCAGTGTCCCCTTACTCAGACGTACCATTGTTATTCCCTCCTTATCACCTCTTCACACCCTAGGTCTGTGAAGTGCTTGTGCCAAGCACTTGCTCACAGTATTCCAGAGATCCAGAGACCTTAACTCCTCTGAGTGAGGTCGAAATGCTGACTGATATGTGACCTCTTCTTTACTCAGAAACCCTCAGACGGGGCATAAACACCTATTCGGTCATTGTTACCCAGCGCTGGTCTACTATGTAACACTCTGAACCTGCTGGTTCTGAGAAACCTGTGCTTGAGAGGACAGACTCCCCTGCCACATCTATGAGAGCAGGACCCATTAAGGCACTGTTACAGGGAAAGCTTTTTTTTTTTTTTAAACAAACACAATAAAACACATCCATCCAAGTGACTGCTGTTCCATTCACAGTGTCTATCAACATTCAACATTCAAAGCGTATCTGGAGCCCTCTCTGAGAACTGCTCTTTGACTCTGTTGAAAGAATTCACTCATTCAACAAATAGTCCTTGAGGGCCTAACCATGGGTTAGGTGCTACATCAGCCACCAGGGATGCAGACCAGAGAAAGAGAGCCCACTCTGCCCTGGGTGCCATTGACCCATTTGGCACCCACCATGGAGGGGAGAGACAGATACAGCAGCGCCTTTCCACACTGGTCAGCACTGAGGGGCCAAGAGCACGAAGCCTCCTCGGGGAGAGTGAAGAGAGTGAAGGGGTGAGGCCCACTTCTTCCCCTGCTTTGGCTCATAGTCAACAACAGGAATTCATGGAGTTTTTTCCTTTGGCCTCCACTTCCTGTTTACACTGCTCTCTGTAAACACGAAGCAGAAGTCAAAGGAAAAAACCCCATGAATTCCTGTTGTTCTTGACTATGAACCAGAGCAGCTTCCTGCAGAGCAATGGCAAGGTGGAAGCGTCTAACACACTGACACCTGGGTTGTCAGAGGCTTTTGGTCAGCCAGGTTCTCTGCCCTCCACCTACTCATACCCCAGGTCACTGAGAGGGGACTGCATTCTCCCTCTGCAAGACAGCCTATCCTGGCTTGGGTGAGTGTGCATATATAGGCAAACACTGACTTATGTCGTTCTCATTTTTACGGCTGAATAGTCTTGAGAAATCGTGCTTGTTACTAGTGATACTTTTTTTCTCCTCCTTTGACATCGTTTTATTGAAGTCATTCACAGAGAGATTAATGATATTTTTCTACAGGGAAAGGGATATGGAGCACTTCTGCCCTTAGCTCATCTCTTGTGAGATGAGATTACAGGCAACTTGAATGTTTGTCTTCTGTAACAGGGTTTTTTATGATGACAGGACCTATGGACAATTCTTTCTTTCTCATGTGTTTACATTCTGGCATCACTCACTGGAGCCCTCTGCCCCAAGATCGTAAGAGGAGAAACCCAACGTCCCCGGAAGATTTTACTGCCATGTCGGAGAACCACTCTGGCGTGATACATTTTTAAAACAGGACCATAAGCAAGAGATATTTGGAGGTACTGTTTAGGATTCATCTGAGAATGGTGGTAGGAAACTGCAGCTGTCTCTGTAGGAAAATCCCATGCTGCACCCTGACTGAGTGGGGCCTCTCTGTTCTCTTCAGACTTCTGAGACTCAATTTCCTCTCAATTTGGCAGAACTCAGTTCAGCAATGATTTCTCTTTTTTAGAGGGTTCCTGAAAACCAAAATGCTCTCGAGATCCTAAGATTCCTAAGGAATGAATCTCTTGTGGCGGAATGTCAGGTACCACAGATCCACCGAGGAAGTGAATCTAGTCAAGAGCGGAAGCCTGCTGGTGAAAGGTGGTCTCCTCATCTGTAAAATGGGTGTGATACTGTTCACTTCAGAGGTCTTTTAGGAATGTCAGCACAATGCTTGGTACACAATAGGTGTTCAATACCTGGGAGCTACTGCTAACAGCAACTTTTGAACCCCTGGGTGTAGGCAGCTCATGAGACAGGCCCTGCCCATTACAGAGTAAGACGCATGGTGGGAATACCTCTGTAGAAATGTGTCTTTTCAGGATTGAGGGCACACTCCCCAACTACCAGAAGAGGCCTTTTCTTCCCAGGACCTTCCCTGTCACCACTATAAAACCTGGGCTGCATTACAGAAAAGAAGCCATCTGACCTTCATTCTACTTTGCTTAATTCCTTCCACAATCTGTTCCATCTGACGTAAAAACTGGTCCCGGGCAGCAGGGGAGGCCATGGCCCTGAAAGAAAAACCAGTAGAGTTATGACCGGCACACAGGACTCTGAGGCAGGGGGAAATGCCAAGCAGTCAGCTCTGTATCCAGATTATGACTCTTAGGAGAGGCAATCAGGTCTTTGTAACGCACAGTGGAGCCACGGGGGCCCCTGGGATCCCAGGCAATTAAGGATGCTAAACCTCTGAGAAGGCATGGAAATTAGCCTGGTCTTATAATTGCATGTTAATCTTTTTTGTCATACTTTCCCTGTAACTTTCATAACTAATATGTATTTTCTTGCAGTAAAATGTGACTAAAATTAACAAAAACATTATTTATTTGAAATACGGCATGTACTGCATAAGTAATGAATTTCATTTGGTTTACAAAATTTGAGGATTGGCAGATACTTGAAACTGGGAGACATATTCTGAGATTTCCTAAAACCAGGGGAAGCTGTGGTTTTTTGTTTTTTTTTTTAAGAAAAGAAGCTTAAAATCTAGAACCTGTAACTCAATAAGATGTCAGTCACAATGTGTCCGCTGTCATCTGCCAGAGGACAGCAGAGATTTGTGCCAGAGAGAAGGGCCTGCCAGAGGACAGCAGAGATTTGTGCCAGAGAGAAGGGAAGCATGCTCTCCAAGGAGCAAGTCCTGGGGCTGCTGGATGGTGGGTGGGCAAATGGACATGCTTGAGGGCTTGATTTGGGAACAGGTGGGCCTTGACATCTAGTTTTTAGAGAACAATGTACACATTAACCAAAAAAAATCTACCATGAGATTTAAAAAATCTAAAAAATTATATAAATTCCATTATGTAAATTTTAAAGCATCTCTATGTGTTCATTAACAAATATTAATTTGATAACATACAGAGAGATTTTAGTAGGTGGGTACAGTCAAAGTATTTGAAAGTTAACTTTTTTCGTCAGCTCTTCCTTCACTCTACTATCATTATAGTTTTGCAGGTACTCAAGGAGAGTGTAAACAAGATACTTAGCAGAAGGGCTAAAAGAGTAAGAATCACATACCCAGTGTTAAGTCTTGCATGTACCTTTGTCAAGCACATTATAGCAATGTGAGGTGGGCTGAATTCAAAGCGCAGGCCGGCAGGGTATTAGTGGGAAGGAGGACTGACAGTACTTACTGTGAGAAGTTCTCATGAATTGAGTTCAGCAGACTAATCTGGGGAAGTAAAAAAACAAACGAAATTATAAGACAGGCAAAAAGATTTCCACACTACTGCAACTGCTGCAAGCTTGCCTGTCTCCACATACTGCTTCTGCAAGGAACACATGCCTTGTTTATGAAGATTAAAGTAACATATGAAAAAAAAATTAGCCACATGTTCTGTCTCACAGATTTCCTCAGGGAATCCACCTTCTTCTCACAGAAAATTCCCTCTTCCTACAGGGCATTCCCACAGGAATGTAGGGAGAAGGTGCTTTGAAGGGAACTGGATCCCAGCTGAGAGGACACTAAGCTAACACTAGGGCTCTCTAGGCAAACTGCCACCACAGCCCTTTCTATCTTGCCAAACACTGCACTTTATTTTCAAGGATAACAGCTTACGGGAGTCAGACAGTGTGGAAAGTGAGAGTCGTTTACACCCTATTCCTTCCCACAGAATCTTCTCGCCAATGCAACAAGCTAAGCTGCTGGGTGGCTGAGTGCCTCCAAGGGGATGCACTGTTCAAGGCCCCGTGGACACTGCCTTAGCCCCGCAGCAAATCCTCTTATCTGCCCCAATGATACAGTCCTGGGAAGGGCTCTGAGGCAGGAGTAAGGAAACCTGGGTCATCTTTCTGGCCATAAAACTACTCAATTTGGGGCCTCAGAACTAAGTAATTACCATATGTGAACTTTAGGTTCACAGTCAGCAATGTAGAATATTTCTTGTCCTTAGTACTCCACAGGAAGGTTTTAAACTATCATAGGCATAAATCCATTTAAAATAAAATACCAAATTTATTCAAATGTAACATTCTAACTGGTAACATGGCTTGGAATTAGAAAGCCCAGCTCCCCAGTCTGCCTCGCAATATTCCTAGTTTTTAAACAGTGGAACAACTTTAAACACTGCTGATGAAGGAAGGTCAATGGGGTTTAAGGTCTTTGGGAAGGGGCTGGCCTATCCCTAAGTCAGGGTTGGCAAATCTTTCCTTTGCCAGGTAGGAGGGCCCCAAGGCCAGGATGTGGGACAGAGCTATTCCCCAGGTCTGATGCAAATCCCATGAAATGCATTCATCTATTCAAACATTTATCAAATGTCTGTTATACGCCTACCACTGTGTAAGCCCCGGATACAGAAAAAAATAAAACAGCTTCCCAAGGAGCACCCTCTAGGATGACAGAGATCTACCTGGTTTGTCTGACAGCAGGCAGTAAAGGTGACAGTAATTACAGATGCCTCAATTTGGGTTCAGGTAAAAGATACATTTGTAATATTATCCTTATTAAAGTGGTAATTAGTGTAGACTACAAGGTGACAAAATGAAAACACATTCTATCAACCTCAAGGTGAGGGGGAGGGTAGGAACAAGTATGTACTGAGAATCCACCATGTGTAAGGAACTTTACATTTTCTCATTCTGTCCGCATTATAATCATCATCAATGCAATTAGGTGTCATCCCCATTTTACAGGTGAGAAAAAAGAGGCCACATTAAAACCCAAATAAACCCAAATCTGACTGACGCCAAAGCCCGTGTTCTCTTCAGGACACTATGCTGCCATGGTGAAGACCAGGACTGTTCTCTTTTTTAAATTAAGACATATCTGCATACTGTGCTCCAACCGTTTGTCATCAACTTGGGAAAGCCCTGAGCCATTAATTTAACCTGAGTTTTTAAATGTTAAAAAGAGATATACCTAATGCTAGATGACGAGTTAGTGGGTGCAGCGCACCAGCATGGCACATGTATACATATGTAACTAACCTGCAAATGTGCACATGTACCCTAAAACTTAAAGTATAATAATAAAAGAAAAAAAAGACAAGAAAAAAAAAAAAAAAAGACGAAGGGAGTGACAGTGACCCTTTCACCCCTGCTTTGAATTTTACAAACCTTTTAGTTCACGCCTTTGTCGGCCACTGATGATTAAACAGGTATTTTCTCCCTGTAAACTATAACAAGCCCACCACCCCCATTTCATTCAGCTGGTTCCTCCCTTCCTTTAAATCTCAAACTAGTCTCACCAACTCCAGAGCTTCCATTGTGTTCCTTTTAACAATGGCATTTCCCCCACAGCACTCTAGAATGGCTGTCTACCAGTCTCACTTCACAGCAGACAGTCTGGGTTCCCAAGGAATCTTGCACTTTCTGACTGGGTATGCCAGCACTTAGCATATAAAATAGGCACTCTTTCTGCTAATGCTGAACATACCTGTCCCAAACATCAAGTTCATTTGACTTCCTGGAGTCAACTGCACTGTTAGCTGCTTAGCCATTTTCTTTTTATAAATGTTCTTACCTCTTTTTCCAAATAAACCTTTTTATCATCCAGGGTATTATATAAAGTGAAGAACTGCTTGGTTTCTTTGTGCACTGCTGAAACTGTAAAAGTAAAGAAATCAGCACACGAATAAGAACAGGTATCAGAACACCCTACCTGCCCCTCTCCTCCATGAATGCACTGCCAGGACAACTTTGTCAGGCCTGGGAGCTCACTCTGCAGAAACCCCACAGCGTGCAAACTGAATTGCCTGGGAAGCTTTTAACAAGTCTCAGGACCAATGAAAGGAGAATGTTGAAGGTGGGACCCAGGTGGTGACAGTGAGTACCCAAAGTTGAGAATTACTCCCATAAATGAACCAGCCACCCTTACCTCATCCAGCCAAAGAACTGGG
This sequence comes from Homo sapiens, assembly GCF_000001405.40. Taxonomy (NCBI): domain Eukaryota; kingdom Metazoa; phylum Chordata; class Mammalia; order Primates; family Hominidae; genus Homo; species Homo sapiens. The sequence goes on from NC_000002.12 coordinate 117,939,405, forward strand.
TGGGGGTTGTAGATATTTGATAATAACACATTGATACAGGTATTTTGATGTAACTGCTTGAAAATGTCCTTAGTGTAAACATGTCTTTATCAGATGATTTTAACCTGTGTGAAATTTGTTCTGTGAAATAAATAGATGCAGGTATTATTATTGCTAAAAGCTTTGAAACAAGCAGGAATAGAAAAGTAAAGGGAAAGATTTAACTTAAAGCAGAAACTACTTTCTGCTGAAAACTGTCACTGCTGATCCCTGCCTCTGATCATTTGAGTCCAGTGTGAGGACTGGATGAAATCCCAGCCTAGTGGGGCCGGGCACATGAAGGAAGTGTGATCTGATCTCCTCCAATAGAGCCAGTGCTCTACCAGGAAGGATGCTGGAGAGGCCAAGTCCTCAAGGCAAAATCTTAGGTGGATTTTGAAATACCAAGTGGGAATTGTAGGATAATGGCACTATGGACTCAGGTACCAGCTCACAGGCCAAGATGCAGATGTGCAAGAGGGGTGAAGCTGGGTGAAGTGGGCCAAGACGATGCAGGACTTAGTATTGTGTATTTAGGATTCTAAAGATTACCCAAGAAGTTGCAGGGAGCCTAAGTATTACAGCTTTTAGAGTAAAATGATCAAATATATGTTGAAAGAGATCTAATTAGACTCTGAGCAGCAAAGGAAGGTGGCTACAGCGCAGTCCAGAAGAAATAGACTTGAAAATTACTAAGACACAGAATTGGCGAGCAGCTTGAGTCAGAGAAGAAAGAGGGGTCCAGTTTGCCTAAGAGGAATACGGAGTAGGAGGGCCGAATTCAATTTTGTACCTGTTGAGTTTCAGGTATCATGGGGACATACAAGAGTAGGAGCCTGGAGAAGAGGTGGTCACTTCTTGCCTGGGGTGGGGTGCCTAGAATAGGTTTACAGGATCTGAATTGGGTATTGAAGAATTTAGCCTGACAGAAGAAAAAGGATCCAGGCACCAGGAACAGGAGGAGTCAAGGCTAAGACGTCAAAGCTCATGGTTTGTTCAGAGGCAGTGTGTGGACTGGCAAGGCCAGAGTGAGGGTTCAGATCAGGAAAGGGGCCTCCAGGCAGGCCACTCAGACTGGGGAGGAACCCAGGCATGGTAAAGAAAGAGGCTCTATTCAGTAAGGCCTGAGGAGTTCCTGAAGATTTGTTAGCAGAGAGAGAAGTGACAGAATCAGATGTGTGGCTAGGGGACTTGGAGGCACTGCAGCTAATGGTCATTTAGCTGAGATATGATGCAAGAGCAGATGTGGCAGGAATGTTAGGAAGAAAAAGGCAATGGCAGCCTTGAGGGCCATTCTGAGCCTCATGAGACATGATCTCTTATTCAGGCTGAGGGGGTCATGGTCCTGGGTTACTGGGTGAATATGATGCTGTTAAGGGTTAAGGACCACATCAGCAACAAAGTCTGTAGAGAAGAACAATGAATGAGGACTGATCTCTAGACACCAGGGTCACGATGTTCCGTGTGAAGTTGGAAAGTGGTGTGGGAGCTCAGGGGAAGGCTGTGTGGCTGACCAGGATGAGGGCTGCTTTGAAGCTTTAGTCTAAGAGCTCAACTGGTTCAACTATCTGTCCACGGAGAGGGCAGTGAGAGCACCACAGTGCTGCTCCCGGGACTGCCAAGTGGGCCTGCTGATGAAACGGAGCTTTCCGGTGGTGGCCTTTGTGGACTGTGCTCTGGTGCATGCTCCCCCATGCTAAAGTGGAACAGACCCCTCGCCTGTCCCTTCCCAGCCTCAAGAGCTTGTCTGTGGTCAATGCACCTACTCTGGCGGTAGAGTTCAATAAATCTCTTCTGATACTGTATTAGCTCGGCACGGCTAGGGACTTCATCAATCTTGCGGTGCAAAATTGCTATTTCTCGATTTCTTCGAGCCTAAATGCAAAAGGGAGACAGAGACAGTACTATTTGGTAAAAGGCCTTACATGTTCTCTAGGGAGCCAAAATATTGCCTGCACCCCGACCTGAGCCCAACCATGCGCCCTACAATGCAGGCACAAACTCCTGCCATGGGCTTAAAGGTCCCCATCTCAGATTTGGATTGACTTTCCCGCTTTCCTAGGAGTGGGAGGTGGTGTGACTGTGAACTGAATCACAGAAGGCACCAAATGAGTGGACCAGGAGGGAAGATACTGAATGGGAAGGGCTTCTATGGACAGAGCCGGCAGCTACCCACCAGGCCCCCAAGGAGTCTAGAATAGCCAGCTCCACCCTGCCAGGCAGGGACAGGCAACAAAAGGAATGCTTCAGATGATGGGAAGCTATGCCACCTTGCCGCCTCCACATACATCCCAAATTCCTCATCCTGGTTAAAAAGCTCCTGCAACCTACTCCTCAAATACTTTCTAGCATTTTCTCCCTTCCACAGACTCAGGAAACTGCCCTACTGACCGGGTCTGGGAGGCATGGCACTGCTGTGTGGTGTGGCATGGTACAGGGGCAGCTGCAGGGAGAGCAAGCCGCTCACTTGTGCATGGCTCCCACTGAACACGTGTAGACTCCAGACCAAGCGGGCTCTGAGTGCTGCCTTTCTTCTGTGCCTGCATCCCTTTGTCCACCATATCCTCCCACTCTCCTGCCTGCTTTGCCTGCAGCAGCAGATGTGAATCTCTAATTCACTGGGGAAATAGGAGCCTCCTGGTGGGAAACCCACATTCAGCTCTGGTGACCTAATCCAAAACTGGGTCTCTGCAGCTCCAGGGAGAGGGAAGGATGTATTTCTCCCTTAGGCCAAGGCTACGCTCCCCATGGGTGCTCAGGCTCTGACTCCTGGTTTTCTTTCAGGAGTCTTAAGATACAACTCTTCAGTCTTTTACTGCATCTGTAACTTTTCACTGGCTACTGACCCTTCTCATCAGCATTTAAATACATTCATGTCCTCACTCCTTAAAAAGCCCTTCTTTAATCGCCATCACCTTTCAGCTACCAGCCTCTCTCTTCCCTTTTACAGGGAAGAGAAATGTACTGAGAGCCATGCACATGGGAGCCTCTGTCCATGCCAGTCCCTCTTCAACCCACTGCAACTAGGCTCTCCCCAGTGCCCCACTGAACTGCTTTTGCCAAAGTCACTGCACACCTTCTCAGGGACACATCTAATGGACAATTCTCAGCTCCTAGCCTTCTTGATTTCTAGTGGCACTTCCCCTCCTCTCAGCTGAGCTCTCTGCTCGGCTCCCACAAGCCTCATGCACTTGTTTTCCCTTCTGGCTGCTCAGGTGCATCTTCACTGGGAGATCCCTTGTTTTGCTCTGCCTATCCTCACATGTGCTCACCAGGGTGTAGTCTCAGGGCCTCTTCCACATTCCACAGCCCCAGTCCTCATCAACACTGCAGACACCCAAATCTCCAGGCCATACTATTCTGGGAGTCAGAGCTGACAACAAAGCACTCCTTGGACATTTCAATGTGGTTGAGTATCCCAACTTTGAAAAGCCCCAAACAGATCTCATTAACACTCCTATTTATTATACTCCTCTCGCCCTTAACCCTAGTCCATTAATTCTCTTTTATGCTTCTCCTCTATGAATAACACAAATATTATTCACCCTTGTGTCAGAAATTCCAGCATCATCCTTGACTCCTCTTTTTATCTCAGATGATACTAAGTTCCATCAGCTACAGCCCTGCAATCTGTCCCATCAGTTCATTTCCATGCATTCTACAGCCACTGCCTAACTCAGGCCCTTGCCCTCAGCAAGCCACTGGCTTTACTGAAGCTTTCCCCTAGCCAGTCTGAAGCTGCCCTTAGAAAGCAATTTGCACATAATCTCCCTTGAACTTTGATGTATATATAGACATGTCTTGGTTCTCAAATAGCCAGCATGTCCAGGAGATGGGTCATCCTATTTATTAGTTATGGGACCTGATCCAATGCTGAATACATATAAAGCACTCAGTCAAAAAGTTTCCAAATATGCAGCTGTACTGTCCCGATTTTATTTAGTTCTGTGCCTCTTTAAAGATTAGTAGTCTGTAACAAGGACAAATTTGACTCACTCTAATTTAACCCTCTCAGCTCAGCAAAGTAAGTAGGTGCCAGAGAGAGGGGAAAGGGGCTCTCACTGGCCTCTGCAGCCTTTTGGCCACTCCTACCCGAGCCCGGCCTTTCCCTCCCAGGGAACAGAAGGTTGGCTTGAACCAAAGTGTGACACAAGGAATTTTTGGCTTTTGAGCTTCCATGAGCCAGATCCCAGCAATGTAGGGGATTTTAAATGTAATTTTGACTCTGCATGAATTAAATTTTAGAGCTAATTTTGAAACCTATCTCCCCCATATTTGATGTCACTCTCACAAACTGCCGGTTATCCAAACAAACAAGCCAATTTCTTCATAAAGAAAATGGGATGTAATATCCACTCTCCACCTGGGGTTAGGATTAACTCAAAGGAGTGGTTGTGAAAGTAATATACCAACAATGTGAGATGTTAATACCAACATCTTAAATCACTGAGTTACACTCCAGATAGAAAGAAGACTGGGGAACAGCAGCCTCATTACTTATTTTCTCTAGTTCTTAGATATTGAGACTTTCTAGTTATGTCATAGGACATTTATACCTAGTTAGAAGCATTTATGCATATTTTTGTCCTTCTTTTACTCACCTGTAGTAAACGTATCTTGTAAAGTTTCTCTTTCTCCATATTATACCGTCTGTCTAGGTCTTCCTAAAAATTGGAAAAGGCTGTAATTATCTGGGAATAGAAAACTTTCACTCTTTAATGGAGTCTTTGAAAGTTGAATATGTTTTTATCATATCTCCCCCATCCTAAGGCCTTAAATTTCTCTTCTTAAATGCCCAAGTTTACTGTCTGGGTCCTGTCTCATATGAGACCCTTGATACCCTCTCATATCATGTTATAACAACTCTTCCTTCTGGGACCCAGGGCAAATCCAGTATTCTTAAGTGAAGTAACCTCCAAATGTATATGCCCTTCCCCTGCAAAAACCTATGATGATGTAGAGACAAATCATTAGTTAAAGAATGTGTTGTACTATGCCTGTGTTTGGAGATGATGCTAGTTTTCTATGTTTCTACTTAGAGCTGTGTTATCCAATGTGATAGCCACTAGCCACAGCAGACAGTGCGGAACAGAACATTTCTATCACTGCAAAAAGTTCTTTTGGACAGCATTGATATAGAAAATAGAAACTAGTCCCTCATTGAACCCAGCAATGAGACATGGCTGGATGAGACATGGTAAGAGACATGGCTGGATGGTTTGTCGCCTCAGAGAAAGTTACAAAAGGGGTCAAAGGAGTGCCTCCTTCCTCAGCATAGGGAATATAAACACACCCCCCTACCCAACGCACCCAAGGGGCTCAGCTGCAGGCAAAATCCAACAGACTTCACTGGAAGAGTGCTGAAGCTCATTCTCCTGGGAGATTACGAGGGTACAAAGGGAAGAGGAACCCTTAAAGAAGGCAGATGCTTACAGTTTTCCTGCTTTTCCTTTCCTCCACTTCCTTTCCTATCTCTTTCTTCTGGAGGGTTTTGGAATGCGGAGAGCACTGGTTTAACTCAGAAGTGGGTGGCAAACTACAGCCTGTGAGCTAAATCCTACAACCTTTGGGCCAAATATGCCTTGTGGCCCATTTTTGTAAATAAAGTTTTATTGGAACACAGCCATGTCCATTCATTTACAGATCAACTATGGTCACTACAGCAGAGCTGGCTCACAAAGCCAAAAAGAGTTACTATGTGCACCTTTATAGAAACAGTCTGCTGAGTCTGGTATATAGTACAACAGAGAGAGAAGGTTTTCCCCTCTGTACCACCCCATCCCTCAGAGCCCGAGTGGTGACCAGCATATGCGGCCAACGCAGGCCTCTCCCCTTCCCAGCTGAGAAGCCAGCATGAAAACAACATGCTTGTACACAGAACTGGAAGAAAACCCATCAGAAAGGTGACCTTCAGGGCCATTCCTGGTGAGACCCTGCCTCCATCTGAGGCCTAGCTGTATCAAACAGGACAATGCCCTGGAACGCCTAGATGTGGAGTTGGCCATAGAGCACATTAAAGTAGGCATGAGAAGCCATCACAGGAGAGTGGAAAGCTGGCCGCCTGCCCTCAGGAGACAATGCCAGTCCTGAGCAGGCAGGTACTTACGTCATGAGTCATTGCAGAGGTCAAGGTACCAGGCGGCTCTCCACTGGAGAGGGTCTGAAACAATGAAAACATAATAAACACCTCTCCTGAGCATTCGGGAATAAGACAGAAGCCAAGGATCTAGATGTAGGAAGGGGCCAGGCAGGGGCATAAGGGTGCAGCTGAGAAATGTGTTGATGTCCCCCGAGCATGTCTGAAGAGAGCAGAAAGGGAACTGCCCTTAGATGAGCAGCAGATTTTAAATTGTTCTTAGGTGTCTGTCAGTTACACACTAACACAGTAAACCGTATAGCTCTTTTTGAATGTAAGAATCTCGCTAACAAGATGTGCTGAAAAGAGAAATGAGATCTTAAGAGTCTAATTTGTGCAGAGGCTCAAAACTCAAACTGATGATTTGAGCTTTAAAGGTTTAAAGTTTTAGAAACAACAGGAGAGGTGGACTGTGCGACGATGAGCCTGGGATACCACTGCCTCCTAGGCTCTCCTATTCACCCATGCCAGTCCCCTCACAGATGTGAAGAGTTGTATGGCTCGGGTGAAATAATGCAACCACTCAGGAGAGTGATAACGGCCCTGCAAGATCTTCGTCTCCCCGCTGGGCATGGCAGTGTCCTGTACAGCCATGGGCACTGTCCAGTGCAGAGTTCTGGGCCAGGCAGCAGGGCATGCGGTCTGGCGTGGGGTGGCTGGACACTCTTGTCCTCCCTAAGCCTCAAGTTCCCTGTTTCTTACAATTTAAGGTTCAGTGAAAATTCATGCTAGCTCCTTGGAAGATCAAGTCCTCTGTTCAGAGAACCAGCTGTCCAGGTGTGTTCCCTAAACCCAGACTGCTCCTGCAAGCCTAGGGTTCTTCTGTTAAATCCAACACTGCTCTCTCCTTCTTCATGTTTGTTGCTGCCTTTTGGGAGTGGGGCATTATCCCTGAGCAGGAAAGGAGAAAGGTGAAATGAGTAAACTGGCAGAAAATTTAAGGAACGGGTGAGCAGGAAATAGAGCTCAGACTTTTCCCAGAAACATCTCCCTAAACAGAGGGAGGCCAGAATTGTGTAATCTGGTAATTCGTGTCTGGGTTGCTGCCTTCCACACCCTCTGCTGCCTTCTACTCCCAGAGGAAAGAGAGAAGAGATGGATACAAATCTAAGAAGGTCACAGAAGGAAAACAGTTGAGGAATGTCTATTTACAGGATAAGTTAGCAACAGCGGTCTGCTCTTTGGTCCTCTAGAACTATCTTTTTCCCGTAATAGCACCTGAGAGTCTCAAGGACTAATTCAGAGCCTTTACCTTTTCATCTCCACGTGGTGCTCTCTCAGCTTTCAGGTTTTCAATTTCTTGCTGTAGTCGTGTCATCTCCTCCTTTAAAAGTGACATGAACTTTTACAAAATTCAGACAAGGAGTAATTAGACGCAATTATTCAACTATTTGGTCCACAAGTCTTATTTTCACATTTCATGAGTTTATTCTGGGACGAAAAGCTAATGAGGTAGCTGCCCTGATCTCCAATTATCAGCCTGGGAAAGTTCTTTTCAGGAGGCTACAGGCAGCTATTCCTCCATCAAAAGAGGTCCTTCTTTCTGAAGGGCTGGTGAGGTATACAGTAATCACTGGGCATTGAAATGAACAAGTGATCTAGAGCCTAGTTCCAGTTAGTCTTGTCTGTTTCCTCTCTCCAGCAGGCCTCAACCTTATTCAGCTGTCCATCTTCCAGCCTGGAGCTCTGCCTCATCAAGTACCTCCTCCACTTGCTGTCCTCCTTGGCCCTTAAGTAAGATCTAGCTTTTTGGTGGCTCCTGTGCTGAAGTGCCTTTTCCTCCCCTGGAGCTCACACAGAACTTGCCAGGCCTCATTTCCTATCTCACACTAGAGTTGCCAGAACACGCATCACCCCCACGACTAGACTACAAGTTTCCAGAAGATGACAGCCAGGACTTACACATAGGACATAGACATCCCAGGTTTTCAGGACAGCCCTGGTTTTGTATGATGTTACCCTTTTCACAAAGGCCGTCTGTCAACAAAATATATTTTTGCAAAAACTTCATAAGACTTTTCTTTCAAATACCAAAGTTAGGTGACATTGTTTGTTTTGGGGTTTGGCACAAAGTTACTAACCATGGTGCTCTATTCAGCTTATACAACTGACAAATAACTGCTGGATGAATCTGCTTTTTTTTTTTTTTTTTTGAGATGGAGTCTCGCTCTGTCACCCAGGCTGGAGTGCAGTGGCGTGATCTTGGCTCACTGCAAGCTCTGCCTCCCAGGTTCACGCCATTCTCCTGCCTCAGCCTCCCGAGTAGCTGGGACTACAGGCGCCAGCCACCACGCCCAGCTAATTTTTTTGTATTTTTAGTAGAGACGGGGTTTCACAGTGTTAGCCAGGATGGTCTCGATCTCCTGACCTCGTGATCCGCCTGCCTTGGCTTCCCAAAGTGCTGGGATTACAGGCATGAGCCACTGCGCCTGGCCAAATCTGCTTTTTAAACTGCACTGGATAGGATGCCACAACAGGACAACGGAGGTAAACCAAGAGATTCAATAAGCGTCCTGGTTTATTTGCTGACACCAAACAACACTTACTCGACAATGTGCTTTAAATTCCTGTTCTTGACTTTTCAGATTTTCATTCATGGCTACAAGTGCTCTCAGGTTCTGTAGGATACTGAAGAGAAAAGACAAAAAAATGACATATGGCAGGCCATTATGATTTTATGAATCGCAGCTAAAAGCAGGTCCGCAGCTAAAAAAGGACTCTCCTTTTAATTTCCTTTCTCAGCTCTAAGAGTGTCTCACAGATTCTGCACAAATGATAATGACTTCCATTTAACTGACATTATTATTCATTTATAAACCCAAGACCATCAATGCCGGATCCAAGAAAACATTACAGATTCCACAATTAAAATGTCAACTATAGAAACATCAATGAGTTTCAATAGTACCAGGTATATTTAATGATACCAATTATTCAACTGTATTCGGGGCATATACAGTATTGAAAACTATTTTTAAAATCCATTCTGAAAAGGAAACAAGTTGCTTAAGGTCATTAAAAGCACTAATTTGACAATAAAAATATCAACTATCTGACAGTGCTTTGCTCCATTTCATGAAACAAAGGTTTCTAATTATAGAGTCAAGTTACCTGTGGGTACTTTTTGCTAAAAATGTTCATCAAACAAGCACTGCTCATTCTGTGCCTGCAACTTTTTGATTTCATAGTCTCATTCAAATAAGCAGCTCCCAGGAGACTTTACCACCCAAATAGTCTGAAGCTAAAAAGGTCAAATGTTAAGTGCTTTCTCTCCTCTAATGCTCTAATGACAATTAATTCTACATGAAAGAACAAACAACTACAGCAGCAGCTGTGTCTTGACAGAAAAGACTGCACCTTTTCTACCAAGGAGGCACGAGCTGTTTAAAAACTTGTAACAATAGTGAACTCTAGGGAAGAGAATTGGGTGGCTGGGGACAGGAGTGGGAGGAAGATTTTTCACCATATGCCCTTTTCTGTACTATGAAGGTATGACCATTTTGAAAAATAGAAAAACAAAAAACTATGCTGCTTCTGTACACAAGGGGTATTGGGAAAAAGGTGACTAACCCAGGGCAGCCCAGGCACATCTCAGCATGGCAGAGTCACCACTTTCTGGATGAACAGTAAAATGATCTGACCTGCAGGGGCCAGACCAATAGCCTTTGGCTGCTTTGTTCTGTGTTTAAACAAATTAAGCCAACAAGTATCAGCAAAGTCACTTTCATCAAAGCAAAAATAAGCACATGCTGAAACCTCTTACCTTGGATCAGCTTTGGATTCTATCTTCTCGAGGGCTGCTTGCTCTTTGTCCAGTTTCTCACTGTAAGTCTTCAGCTGCAAGAGAGAATGAAGACATGGTTGCTGGAGCCTTGGTAGCAGAGGTGAACAACTTCACCTTCTTTTTGTGAGGCAGATAATGACACTTTTTAAAGAAGAAACTTAAACTTGGATTTTAATGTGTAAAGTAGGTAATTACATCATACAACAGAATACTAAGCCAATATTTTAAAAAAGAATAAAGTAGCTCTTTTACAATGATCTCTAGTATCTACTGTTCAGTGAAGAAAACACCGTTTCTCCAAACCTACACCCTTTGTACTTTTTGAATTTTGTACGATGTGAATGTGTTACTTATTCAAAAATTAAAAAAAAAAAGTTTTAAAAAAGTTCCAAGAGGTCTAGTTGAAAATAGTAGACTAAGCACAACTTGCAGCCACCCCTTCTTGCCCTAAGACCCCCAAACATCCAGACTATTACATTAGAACACAAGAGTTTAACCTCACAGGCCAAAAAGGATGGTTAACAGACAGGAATGGCCTCAGGAAGAAGCTGTGTGGAGTTAGCAGACGTAGGAAGGACTGGTGTGCAGTGTTGGGGATCTGCATTAGGAATAGCCACATAGGCTAGGCAATGAAACCTGACTCTCTTAAACACAAGAGCTGGTGCTTAAGTCTCAGAGGCAGGGCGGGGTCCCACATAGTTGGTGATACCCAGCAGAAATGGGGAGTTCCCCGACCCAGAACATCAGTTACTACCGGCTGATCTCAGCAAACAGTAGGTAGATCCCTTCCAGAATAAACACAGGAAGTGGGCTGCATAAAATGCATGGATCCACAGAGGTGGTAACCCGAAATTTTAAAATTAAAGATGAACATATAACCAAGGATCATCAAAGAGCTGAAGACAGACATAACCTTAAAAAAGATGTATCAATTCAACAAGTCAATTCTGATCTTAATAGTTACAGAGCAAGCAAAACTAGATACAATTAATGTACTTAGACATAAAAGAATACTGCATAAAAACAATCAGCCTCACACACACGAAATTAGAGTTGTGACTGCTGAAGTTACAAAGCAGCCAATCTCCTGGCCTTTCTGAAGCAGTCATGCAGCCTCCCCCACAGGTGTCAGGCACCACTGCTGTCTGCAACCCTCCATGCCCAGCTCTACTTTTCCCAGATTTACTGGAAAGACACAAGTCCTCTCTGCTTTTCAGTGCCACTAGGTTATCCTGGAAGGGCAGGTTTTGCTGAAGAGGTCAAATCTGGGAAGCCTGGAATGAAAGGGTTCAGAGCGCTCATTCTGCTTACTCCTAACCTTGATAGGTAAGGAGAACCAGGCCCAGAGGTGAAAAACATTAATTACGCACAGGCTGACCAAATCAAGCTTCTTCAGAAGTTGTTCAGTACTAGGTTTTATACAGCTTCCCATTTTTCTAGATGGGAATTAGTCTGATTTTCCTATTAGATAGTAAGCTCCCAGAGAGGGCTCTGATGCCAGGCTGCCTGTATTTGAATCCTGACACCCGGCTGCATGGCCTCTCTGCCTTAGCTTTCCCATCTGCAAAAAGGAACGACGACTGCAGGAATGATATGCCCAGAGCAATGTTGGCTGCTGTTTTCATTTGAGGATAGTCTTATTACTGACTTAAATCACACCCTCCACCTTTCTATAACATGAAAAGGGCTCAACAAATACTTGATTTAGTATTTAGTATAAAAAGCTCCTTTATAAGTCACTTAGTTTATATCCTAAGGCATATAAATGTCTTAGAAAGCTGATATCAAGATATTTTGCCTTTAATCTCTTTCAGATTATTATACAAAGACAGATCCACGAATTGGCAAACTTCATGCCAGGGGCTCTGCGGCATTAAAATATCACAGAGGGCTCCCAACCCGCAGAGCTTGCCATCTAATCCGTAAGGAACCCAGTCACAGAGCAATGTAAAGGAAGCTAATCTGTCCAAAGGCAAGGCAGGCGTCTTTATGAACAATGAGAAAAAAATTATTCTAATTGACATTCATGTGCCTGCCCTTTTGAAATATTCTGACAATAACTGAAGAGGTTAGTCCAGACCAGAATTGAAAAGCTTTGTCAGGTTTACATCAAGGTGGCAAATTAAGTGCTACATATCGCTACAGAGTAAGAATTTTAAATTGGTAAATGTCATGTGAATTCTAGAAAAGTAGGGATACTGGGTTGGTTTCGGAGACGTCTTTGAAGATCCTAGCTTCCAAATCGTCCAGGAAGTACGAGGTAGGGACCTTGCAGCGAGGTCCTTCCATAGTACGGCTATAGTCCAAGCACCAAAATCACAAGGAAGACAGCTTTTCAAGTCTGGATGAGGATAGTTCTCTGTGGAAACCAAGGAACAGAAATATCTACACACTGCTCATGACAGAGGTGGCAGCAGAGGTGTCTGTTCAGCAATCACAAGTGGGAAGTGAGCAGCGACAATGCTGATGTGAAGTAGCACACTTGCAACCTGGACTACAGATTGAATCGCAGGGTTCAAATGCACTCCCAGCCCTCCTTCTCCTCCTGCAGCCCTTCCCCCACTCTGCCTAGGAGATAACTGGAAATTCTGAACAATTATATCACTCTGAGGTTCTCTCATCTTTCAAAAGACATCTCACTCTCAAGGAATTCAGGATCTTAGAGTTACTATACAAGCTGCTGTTTGAGGGGCAGGAGCTATTTACTGAGTGACACTGTGAGTTCTTCTCTGTGCCCCACCCAGCCTATCAGGCTCACCTTCCCAGGAAGCCTTTCCTGACCCTCGCAGCCCACAGAGACCCCTCCCACCAAGACCACTAAGGGACTAGAATGTGCAGTGTGGGCAAACTGATGACATGGGTCACGCACTACCATGTAACTGTCCTATGTCCTCAAAATGACTGCAGCCTCTGAGAACAGGATCGTGTCTCCCACACACAGACCGATGAAACACATCATTCCATTAGTGGTTCAGGTCAAAAACAATTCTTGACAAGGGCCCACAGAAGAAGGAGAATCTATCTGCTCACCTCTGTCAGCGTTTTCTTGGCTTCATTATATCTGGCTTGTAGGCTGGTGTGACTTGCTCGCAGCTGTAAATGAAAGATAAAAGACATATGCTCTCATTTGATCCTTATGACAACACAGATGTGAATTTCACAGATGAGAAAATGAAAGCTCAGAAAGATTTAAACTGAGCAAATGTGAAAATTTTAAAAGGGTTGCCAACAACAAATGAAGAAAAAAACCTCATATTTAATTAGCACCAAGTACATGTCAGCTGATGTACTAGGAATTTTGCATAAATTATATCACTGAATCTTTATATTCAGTGAAAAAAGACACTTTTCTTATTTTACAGATGAGGAAATAAAGACTCAGAGCAGTCAAGTTTATTTGACTAAAGTCCCATAGCTGATAACTGATGAGGCCCAGATCCAAATTCAAGTCCCTCTGACTTTTCAGTGGGGCTACAATCAATGCAGTTAACCCACTTGCCTGTTTGCAGAATACAAACAGCATTTCAGCACTTGAGATCCCAGCATAAGACTGGTTGGCAAATGATGACACATAGAAGATAGGATTCAGGACTTCAACACCAAGAGAATGAAAATAAATTACTTTTACTGTTCCAACTTACATAACTGTAAACTCACATCTTGAAAAAGTCAATTCCCTTTCTCTTGCTAAAACAGTATATCCTTGTGTCTATCAACTTTTAGAAATTTGAAAACATTCCTTTAAATGCTCAAAAGGATTGTGTATTTTCACTTTTAAGAAGGATACAAGGCAGAAAACCACCTTCAAACTTGTTATTAACTGGGTTCAAGTTAACAATGAGAAATTTTAACCTATATCTCAATGGTTATTTCAAAGTAACATGCCCCATCCTTGGGCCTGTAAGCAGCTTATTAAGAGTTATGTCACCTTCAGAAATCATTACTCCAATCTAGCTACTAGTCTTCATGACTGATAAATAGTTATAATTCCAACAAGGCCTATCAAGAAGCCAACTCAAGCTGAGAGCAATGTGATAAAGGAGAGAGAAGCAGGTGGGTTCTGGTGCCCCCCTTTTCAAAGAGAGCCATCTGTGCAATGACAACTTTTATTAGTCTGTTTGTGTAACTGGGAGATAAGGGTACTCTGGGAAAAAGTTTAGTTTTCTCTTTAAATCCCAGTGTTTTAACTGTTGATGTTTGCTATGGTCTGAATGTTAGTGTCTGCCCCAAATTTGTATCTTAGAACCTAATACCCAATATGACAGTTTCAAGAGGTGGGGTCTTTGGGAAGTGATTAAGTCATGAGGGCTCCAGCCTTGTGAATGAGATGAGTGCCCTTATAAAAGAGGCTCAGTCTGGGCAACAAAGTGAGACTCTGCTGTCTCCAAAAAAAAAAAAAAAAAATTAGCCCGGCATGGTGGTGTTCCTGTGGTCCCGACTATGTGGAAGGCTGAGGTGGAAGGATTGCTTCATCCCAGGAGGCTGAGGCTGCAGTGAGTTATGATCATGCCACTGGACTCTAGCGTAGATGATGGAGTGAGACCCTGTCTCAAAAAAATGAAAATAAAAGAGGCTTGAGTGGGCTCCCTTGCCTCCTTCCACCATGTGAGGAAGCAGCAACTAGGCATCATCTATGGACATCAGACACCAGATCTGTTGGTGCCTCGATCTTGGACTTCCCAACCTTCAGAACTGTAAGCAACAAATTACCACGTCTAAGGTATTTTGATAGAGCAGCCTAAATGGACTAAGACAAGGCTCTAGGAAAGGTCCCCGGGATCTTCCCACCTGCTTCACCCACCTTCTTGTGTAGCCTCTCACCCCTGCACCCACCTACTCATCTGACATTTACCCAATGCTCTGCTCAAATGAGGTGTATGGGAGAAAGAAAAGAACATGACATTGTAACTGTGGGATTAAAATATGAGAAGAGATGGGGCAGAGCCAGGCCCAAGGAAAGAGAGTTAGCTCCCTCACCAGGGGGTTCAGGAAACCTTCACCAACAAAGACTTACCCCAGATGGATCTTGGCAGGGAAGTAAGAGCTTTCTAAGAAGAAAAGGCTCATCTCTTTTCTTTTCTTTAATTAATTTAACTAACAATTAAATTCTTCATCTGATCATCTTTTCTTAAATAGGAAGTGTCCCAGTAGCTTAGCTTAGTTTTTATCTTGCTGGAGTCCTCCAGGATTCTCTTACCTCTATTTTCTTCTTCATCATTAACCCCTACACTTACTCTAAAAATTCAGCTGCTGGTTAACACCACCTCTCTGGATTTCTCTTTCTTTCATCACTCTCAGGTTTCCTCTTAGCTACCTACCACCTGTACTCCATTCTATTCCTTTGCATATTCCCTCATTGGACCATGATATGATTTGGCTGAGTCCCCACCCAAATCTCATCTTGAATTGTGGTTCCCATAATCCCCACGTGTCGTGGGAGGGATCAGGTGGAGGTAATTGGATGATGGGGGTGGTTTACCCCATGGTGTTCTCGTGATAGTGAGTTCTCAGGAGAACTGATGGTTTTATAGGCATCTGGCATTTCCCCTGCTTGTACTTCTCCTTCCAGTCATCATGTGAAGAAGGACATGTTTGCTTCCCCTTCCGCCATGATTCTAAATTTACCCTGAGGCCTCCCTACCCATGCAAAACTGTGAGTCAATTAAACCTCTTTCCTTTATAAATTACCCAGTCTCAGGTATGTCTTTATCAGCAGGGTGAGAATGGACTAATATTTCCTTATTTGTATAATGAGGATAATAATAGTACCTCCCCTTCATAAGGATGTTGTGCGAACTGAGTCAATTTTGCAAAGTGCTTAGTAATTAGTAAGCAATAACAAAGCACTTATTAGCCATTACTATTACTGACAGATAGATGTCTGTGATAGAATACGTGAAATAAAAACTCAATTTTGTAACCATACAACTCACTCTCCCCAGGTGAGGGCATACGTGTCTGTAAAAGCCTAAAAAAGGATGCATCTCAGATGCCTTCTGCCTGTATGACCTTGTAAAAGAGGCTGTGGGATGTAAAGAGTTTGGAATCCCTCACATACTACAGGTAGAAGTAAATTGATAAAATAATTGATGAACAACTCAATAGTTTCTAGCAAAATCAAAAACGCATTTTTTGAGAAGTTAGGGAACAAGTTAAATAAATTGTGTTACATATATACTATGTCACACTATCCAGTCACTAAAAAGAATGAGGTAGATTTATTTGCTTAAATTTTGGTTCAACCACTAACAAGCTATGTGACTACAGACAGCCTGCTTAATTTCTGTGTCTCAGTATCCTTATTTGTAAAGTGAGGAAAATAACAGTACCTCCCATTCATAAGGATGCTGTGTGAACTGAATGAGTTAATTTTATAAAGCACATAGTAATTACTAAGCAGTAACAAAGCACTTATTAGCAATTACTATTACTGACAGAGAGACGTCTGTGATACAATAAGTGAAATAAAAACTCAATTTTGTAACCATACAAGTCACTCTCCCCAGGTGAAGGGGCATACATTTTTGCAAAGGCCTAAAAACAGGTTTGCCAGGAAACACAGCAGACACAAATAGTAGCTTGCTCTATTTATTCTTATCTTTATATACTTCTATACTATTTAATTTATATTCAGCTTATCCCTACAATTTAAAAAAAGCACTTGAAACATTTGAAAACTGACAGAAACAAAAGGAAAATGTGTTTAGTATATCTGCACACACACAGAAACATGGAACACAGACTCTGAGCAAGTCTCTCCCTTCCCTACCTCATTTTCCTCATCCAGTTGGCCTAGCTACATGGTCAGGGATTACTCCATGTGCTGGTCATCATCTCTAATTACATTAAACATTGCAATAATGATTGCTGTCTTTTAATGACAGCCTGCTATGTTAAGCAGTATGCTTGAAAAATGACAGCCTGCTATGTTAAGCAGTATGCTTGAAAAATAACAGACTCTGGGTAAAAGTGTTCTGAACCAACTGCAAAACAGACTCAAGAGTCAGGGAGGATTGCCCTGTCAGCTGGACCAAGAATGAGTCAAGACTGCCATTTGTGTTGAGGCTTAGTATTGCTTCTCCCCAGGTTTAGACAGAAGGTAGAAGCAAATGTCCGTTCCTGCTGGGATACTCTGGCTCCTGGAGTCCACAATAATCTCAAAACTATCTTCCCTCAGAGATAAAGACACCATAATAAGGAAGACTCATCCTTGTCTCCTGCTCCTGATTCTGTGATGAGTTCTTTTTGAACCATTCTTATCACCAGCAGGGGTCAGGAGTAGGGATGATACTGTCTGAGTTGACAACTCATTAAAATGTCTAAACAAATAACTGAACAGAAACCAAATCATAGGCTATCTTTTCATCCTTCTTTGATCCAGAGCATTTAGCAAACCAACCTATTATTTGTTCAGCTATGGTAGAACAAATTCTAATAGAACAAATTCAAATAAAGAAATGATTGGGCAGGACCATTTGATAGGTTAATACCTTTTAAATATGTGGGACTAACTAAAAACTAACAAGCTCAAAATGCCAACTGGTACCCATTTTTTTTTTTTTTTTGAGATGGAGTTTCGCTCTTGTTGCCCAGGCTAGAGTGCAACAGCATGATCTCGGCTCACCGCAACCTCCGCCTCCTGGTTTCAAGCAATTCTCCTGCCTCAGCCTCCTGAGTAGCTGGGATTACAAGCAGGCGCCACCATGCCCAGCTAATTTTGTATTTTTAGTAGAGACAGGGAGTCTCCAAGTTGGTTAGGCTGCTCTTGAACTCCCGACCTCAAGTGATCTGCCCCTCCTCAGCCTCCCAAAGTGCTGGGATTACAGGCGTGAGCCACCACACCTGGCCCATATTCATTCTCTTAATCTTCTTCTACGTGTATTCTTCTAATCTAATCTATTGCTAATGCAACTGAAGCATATAACTTTTTTATTGTCCAATGACTGTTGCTGAGTCAAACTTCCCAGCTTCCTCTTAGGTCTACTTTTCAGGGCAAATATATGAAGGTCTTTCCAAAACAGTCTCATATCACCAGGTATTACAGAACACCATCTCCTACAGCTCTTTTAAAAATGATCAAGTTTCCTCCATTTCCCTGCCATCAATAGTAGCAGTCCACGTCTAGACTATTGCATCAGCCTCCTACCTGTTGTCCCTGAATTCCTTCTCACCCAAGTCCAGTTAATTCATGCTCCTGCAGCAAACAGAATGGTCTTTACAATATGCAATTCTGATCATGCCACTCCCCTATTTAAACACGTCAATGGCTTCTGTTGTCCTTAACATGGCTTGGATGGTCCTGTTGATCAGACACTGCCAACCAACTGTCTTCATTCATGACTCCCTGGCCACAAAACAGACTGGCTAAGACCCTTCCTCCTCTGGTCTTTGTTCATGTTGTTCTGTAAGTCCATATAGCCCATACAGACTTCCTGCCTGGAAATACCCACTCATCTTTCCAGTCTCAGAACTCTGTGACCTGAGGCTAGGTCAGGTCTCCCTATTAGTCACTCTCCCAGCTTCCTAGACTTCTCCTTCAAGCATTTAACACACCTGTAATTAAATGACGATGAGTGTGGTAACTTCTCATTAGAAGTTAAGATCCTTGACAGGAAGGATCATAACTTGTTCTTCATTCATCCCAATAGCTAGTTCAGTGCCTAGCACACAGTAGTGCTCGGTAGATATTTGTTAACTAATGCTATTTATTCTTGCCCTGTGATCTTTTCCTATGACAGAAGTTAGCAAATTTTTTCTGCAAAGGGCTGGATAGTAAATATTTTAGGCTTTGTAGGTCTTATGGTCTTCTGCAACTACTCAACTCTGCCACTGTAGCCTGAAAGCAGCCACAGAAAATGTGTAAACAAATGGATGTGTTATGTTGTAATAAAACTTAATTTACAAAAACAAGTGGCAACTGGACTGGCCCAAGCACCACAGTATGCCAACCCCCGTTCTGGAATCTCCTTTAACCAATCTACCATGAAGATCTTGAATAAACTTACGAAAAGAAAACACTGACCTCTTCAAGATGTTTGGTCTTTTGCGCAATCTGTTTGTTCAAGGAAATGACTTTCCGGCGATGTAGCTGGGAGGTTCCTAATTTTTCTGGACTTTCTTCAGCTGATAGCTCAGACTGCTGTGGAAAAAAGGGATGGCAAATCCAAAGGATTTAGTTAGTTGACCTTGGTTCATGTAATCAAGCCCTGTTCAATGTGGGCAAAGCAGTACTGGGCAGCCAGTCACACCAAGCCAGGGCATTTACAGAGGCCTGTTCAAAACCTGGCGTACAGAAGAGATTCTGACACAATGACCAAAATCCCTATCAACAGAACCTGCATTCTGGGCTGAGGGAACAGCATGTGTAAAAAAGTACAGGGACATAACTGTGGTTATGTCAATATCATATAGGCAACAGGTATCATCAAAAAGTCTTAAATAGGGGAATAACATGGCCATAGTAATATCTTCATAAGACCATTCTGGAGTTATCAAGAATAATGAATTGATTCACTGTGATCGAAGTATTATAAGCAAATGGTTAAAAAAGTCTAGCCATTCAGCAGCACTTATAATGAAGAGTCTCCCAACACATTTTCCATCACTTGGCCCACTCCAATTTAATCATTTCCTATTTCTGATGTTCTGGAGTTAACAGGGGATTGATTGGAAAGGGATTAAAGGTGCTGAGAGAGGTCAGGTAGGAAAAGTTCTGCAACTCTATAAGGGAGGAGGGGGTGGAGAAGGATCCTCAGGACCAGGAGTGAGTGTGAGAGAGATCTCTGAACAAGATGATGAGGTGAATGTGATAACATTTTCCAGGAGGGCAAATGGCCATTCCTGAAAAACCACACAAAGAAGTAAGCAGCTTAGTGTAGATACTGAATACAAACACCGCCTCAAGACTCCTGTGAGAAGCCCCAGGAAAAAGAAATTAAAAGGTAGACCGTTTTGCAATAAGTGCAATTATAATACTTCTTGGATGATTATAGTTTTATTAAACAGTCAAACACCAACAATAAAACATCTTCTTTCTTATAGTAAGTACCCCAATTCCAAGCTAATCATTGATTCTAAACTCACATGCAACAAAAACCATTTGGATATTCAACTTTCCCTGAATGTTTTAACAGTGTCCTAGGCTTGAAAGTCTAAGATATTTACCCACAGGAAAAAGAAATGGGAAAGTGAGAATGAGGAGAAATTGGATGGCCATAACCATTTATTCTGGTTAAGGATTTCTCTGAATAATTCAGCAGGTATTATTAATGGATGATGAGTTCTTCTGCTACTTAACAATTTTGGAGTTACAAAACAACCAGCAGGATACAGCTGCATAAAATGGTAAGAAACATCACTTTCTGTCTCATGGGCTGGTAGGCCATAAAGGAAACAGAAAAACTAAGCATTTATTATTACAACACATTTAGCCTTGAAACCTGGGACTGTGTAAAATGTCAACATTATTTTAGCTTTTAGGATTTCTGGGAATTGGAATTAACTTTTTAAAATTAATTTTGGACGCACCAAGATATTCACAACTTGTAGTATGGAGAAGGACAAACTATTTCTGAAAATTATTTGAGAGTATTAAAAAAGGGTGGTGGAAGAGGAAAGACCAGCCCCACTCTAAATCACTTACAAAAACAGAATTACAATTAACTACATCTCCTCTACTTTGATTGGATTGACCTGAACTATGCTATTAATTTGGCCACTTTTGTATGTTATGTATTTAATAGCTTTTTTATAGTTAATTTTAGCTTTGAGTTTTAATATCCAGCTTAGATTCCTTGACTTTGACTTCCAAAGTGTCATAAGCATATTCTCAGAGCATTGTGCTTTACTAGCCGAATTACATAAGCCTTCTATTCATGCTTTTCTGATACCTGAAACAGAACTAATTTCCCATACAGTATGTCTCTATGTTTGGTGTGAGGATTATGCTTCAGTATCCTGACCTCCTCCAGATGCCTGTCAGGCTTCGAGACTGAGACGTGGGCAGGCAGGCTCCAGTGGATCCACGTATCACTCACCTTCCAGACTTCCTCCAGTGTGTGGGGGCTGAGTAAACTCATTCAATTCTGTTCTGCAGCTTTGGCATGGATTGGGTGATGTCTCTGACTGTTAGCAAGCTTTCTTGCTCATAAACTGCTTTTATGGCCAAAGTCCTAAGAAAATAAAAACTGCATTCCCCCACCCAGCTTCCATGCTCTCGTATTAGTGTATGTGGCACACATACAGCTTTGTTTTAAAATTATGACCTTCAGACTTCACTTACAAGAATTCTTCTTGCAGGAAAACCAGCAGCCATCTTGATATGTGGAAAGATTATTTCTGTTGATAGCTATCTAAGTCTCAATTTTGAGCCACATGCTCCCTCAAAACCCTGTCAGAAGGTCTCAGAGGCCAAATACCTTTTCATAATAATATGTTATTTGCCTTTTCACTCTCATTCTCGTGATTATACAGTGACATCTTCCAGATGTTACATGACATGTGATATCACTGATCTGATGTTAATATTAATGTGCTCATTATAATTTGTAAGTAAATACATAAGCTATTGGGTATGAATTAATACATGTTACTGTCAATGAATACGTAAGCTACTGTAAATGAATTAAAATACACAAGCTATTGAGTCCTCAGTTATTTTTAAGAGTCTTTAACTGGGTCCTGAAAGTATTATAAAATGTTGAGAACTGCTACTTTAATCTAAGGAGCCTGGTTCACTTGGTAACCCACCCATGGGCTGGGACAGTCAATGGGGTGGGCTCACCAACTGGCCAGCCATCGTTTATGTAACACCGAGAGGGAAAAGTTCTTTCTCATTCTGCTCTTTTACTAGACCCGTGATTCAGACAACCATACAGAGAGAAAATGCTCGCAATGCACAGAAAAATATCTTGAAATCTCTATAGGTACCTCTACCATATCTGTTATAGTAGTATATGTTCCAAGGAAACATGAGCTTTCAAACTGCTCTCTTTTATTGGTAGGTAATAATTCTTAGTCCTGTGTGGAGTCCTGTAAATGTACATTTACTGGCGCACAGTACTTATAAACTTGTAAGTTCCTCTGTTTGCCTCTGAGTTTAGAGACAGTGCTATGGGAAGCTGCTTTGTTTAATGGGAAGTTATTTTTAGTCAGATAAAACAGTTTATTACTGAGCTGAAATGAGAGTTCCTAACCTAGTAAACAGAAAGCTGACCGCTCTGTTTTTCAAACACACTTTTTATTAAGCAATCTAAATTTTTTGTTTCTCAAAGCCAAGAGAACTCAGACTGATGAAGACAGGAACAGGTCCGTAAACCAGCAGGTCTCATCTAATGGTTCATTCACTGAGAGATACGATGAGAAAGAAAACTAGATGACCAAGGTGGATTTTGAATGATGAGACAAAGTCAGACAGAAGGAGAAGAGGAAAAGGGGCTTTATACTAAATCCTTGACAGAAAAAATTTAAACCGTAGAGCATCTTAACAGATTTCTGCTGCCAAAATGCAACATCTGTCAAAGAACATCAACCATCTACAAATATTCCATTTGTGTTTACATTGCAGTGAGGGCTAAAGTGCCAATCTAATTTGTTCAACATTTTCAGATTAAGAACGTGCTTTCAAAACCACATTGTGGATTAAGATGACTTCTAGTGTAAATTTAGTGTTTTCTAATAACTGACAGATATTCACAACTTCTATTTTTAGAGGAAACAGATTTAAATGTCACCGAATAATATTAGTCTAGTTCAAAATGGTAAATTCCCAAGAGAAGCAAAAAATGATTACTTTAGCTAAAACTATATACTTTTATAATTGAAAGAAACCCAAAAGGTTATTTACACATCAACCTTCTAATACAGGGTTCTCTCCTATATCATCTCCCTACCCCACCAAAATATGGTCACTAAGCTGACAATAATAAAGAATTCCTATCTTACAAGGTACCAGGAGTTCTCTACACTAAATAGATGGACTTCAATTTTTGGTACCCTGACTGACCAATTAAGGACAAGTAGGCTGGGCGCAGTGGCTCGCGCCTGTAATCCCAGCACCTCCAGAGGCCAAGGTGAGTGGATCACTTGAGGTCAGGAGTTCAAGACCAGCCTAGCCAACATGGTGAAACCCTACTCTACTAAAAATACAAAAATTAGCCAGGCATAGTGGCATACGCCTGTAATCCCAGCTACTTGGGAGGCTGAGGCATGAGAATTGCTTAAACCCAGGAGGTGGAGGTTGCAGTGAGCCGAGGTCACACCACTACACTCCAGCCTGGGCGGCAGAGTGGGACTCTGCCTCAAATAAATAAATAAAGACAAGTAAACAGACTATGTGAAATATTTATTTAAAAATGTTTTTAAATCTAAGAACTAGCAAGAATGTTAAATTTCGGAAGGCCAAAAAGTAACTGAAAGTGGGAATCCAGGAATGTATATGTACCCACTGAAGTTGGCTTTTTTTCCTGAGAGTATTTGCCAAAACCTGATGATCACAAGCTTTGATTTTTACAATTCAGTAACAACTTTTTACCACATAAATCTTGATACAGCTGTAAGAGGGAAAAAATCCACAATGAGATTTTGTAACAACAGATTGGACCTCATGCAGTTCTGCAATCCTAATTCACACACTACTTTGGGGCAAAAAACCCATAAGTAAGGACTAGGTATAAAATGCACTTGGGCTGAAGTATCCCCAGGTGCTTGGCAGAAGCAAAAGCAGATCTTCCCTGAAAGAACAGAGCTTCAATCCTAGGCCTCAAATAGTTCCTACAGATAAACTTCTAAGGGATATGGGGCTCACAGTCAAAAATCAAAAGCAGACAAGAAGTCAAACTACCATAAACAAAAGCCAGTGAAAACAGACAGCAGAACTGCATCTGTAAAGACTTATTCAAATACACCCCCTCCCAATGCACACACCATATACATACAAGCATGCCCATTCCTCCCTAAAGCAACAGATTAAATCTAATCACTCTTTCAGATAACAGTTCAACTAAGTGTCTACAGCTCTTCCACCTGTCCTTTCTATAACAAGATGCTGACACCTTTCACCACCTTGGATGTTATCCTAGTTTGTAAGTGAACTTCTAAAGCACTCCTGATGATGTGTGACCACTGCAGATAGGAGGGAATCATCCACTTTCCCTGATCTATATTCTGCTTCCAAAAATGAAACTCAATACATGAATGCTCTTTTCAATATTTTTAAAACCCACTAATGAAATTCCATGAATTTCAAAAACCCATAGTTATGTAACCTTGTTGAGTCTAAGGCTTTGCTTTGGGTCCCACTGTGAGTAATGCGGTGTGCCTGCTCAGAATGCACTTAACATTTAGGAGGTGTGAACAAAATCCAAAACCTCCTCTTTAATCCCCATACACTACTGTCAGGTCAGATGGCATCCTCACCAAATCATGAATTGGTACAACTCACTTTTCTGAAATTCAACAGTTTTTTCATTTTTCTTAAGTGATGTTCCAATTATCTTTGCAAGTGATGCTTTAAGTGATGCTCAAATCTGGCAAGGCTAAAGTCCAAGTCTTTATGCAAATTGATACGGACTCTGAAATGTATAAGTTGTGCTGTGTGGCTTGAGATCATTTTACCAGGCTGACAATTCATTAGTTGATACCATTATCCTTGCAGTTAGGTATTGTATACTAATTACGTAAGAGTCGATCCGAATTCAGGAAATCTTAGAGCCGTTTGTAAACAGAAACATATTTAGCATTGTTCTCTCCAGATTTACAGGGTTCCTTACTCTCTTAACTCTGATTAAAATTTTAAATCTCTCTCCCCACCTTCCTTGGCTTATTTCAGCTAATCTTTACTCAGATCTTATTGTGTGGGGGCACGGTGGTATGCACTGGGGAAGTGGGAAAAGACAAAGACTGTACCTCTGGCCCTTCATAATCTAGCCAGACAAAACCAGCTAATTCGTAAGTAAAGGTGTTGCATCCTCTGCATTCTCCTCAATGCCTAAATTGTGTCACAGAGGAAAAGGGTTTTGAAAGCTGCTGTTGTTCCTTCCTCTCCCTCTCTTCCTTTCTTCTTTCCTTCAGCAAATATCTGTGAAAACCCAATTGTGTTGGGCACTGAGAGTATACTATAATCCTAGCCCTCCTGGAAAGCAAACATTCTAGTCCTGGGAGACAAGCAAAGAAACAAACGAAACAGTGCTTGAGGGAAGTGCTACAAAGGAGATAAAGAGCTGATCTCTACAACATCACTGAAGAGCCTCTTTTAAGAAGTAGAATTTTTTTTTTTTTAAGAGGGTCTCACTCTGTTGCCCAGGCTGGAATGCAGTGGCATGATCATAGCTCACTGCAACCTCAAACTCCTGAGCTCAAGCAATCCTCCTGCCTCTGCCTCCCAAGGAGCTGGGACTGGAGGTACATGTCACTATACCCAAGTAATTTTAAAAAAATATTTTGTAGAGATAGGGGTCTCACCATGTTGCCCAGGCTGATCTCAAACTCCTGGCCTCAAGCGATCCTCTCGCCTCAGGCTCCCAAAATGCTTGGATTACAGGCGTGAGCCTCTGTGCCTGGCCCAGAATCATTGCTAATGGCTATCAGGTGAGTCTCCACAAAGTCTTCAAGTGATCCATTATCTTCTACTGAGTATTTATTATGAATGAAGCAACAGGAATACAAAGATAAAAAATGAAATATTGGCCCTCTAAAACTTCAGAGGTTAGGAATATGATTTATGCAACACCTATTATGTTATGTGAGGAAATAGTATCTAGAATGAAGGGGTTTAAAAATCTACCTAGACCCCCACCCCTCCTGATTTTAGACCCCCAAACCCTCCTGGGTTTTTCTATCTGTGGCCACAATAGGAGGTTTCCAAGAGAGGAACACCCCCACCCCTTTCCTGACTCATACTACACTTCTCCCCAACTCCACAAACCGATGCTGCTAGCAAGTGGTAACATTTTTTGAGTTGGGCAGGATGATAGGATTGGAAACACTCACATCTAAGCTTATTAGAAATCACACAGGTGGCAGATCAGGCTGATTTTCTAACAAAGCAGTCGGGGTCCCCGGGCTGCTAAGCTTCCTGTTACTTTCTGGCCCAGGCAATGTCCCTGGGGTGTGGTATCTTCACTCAGTCCTAAGCCCTTCCCTTTTCCATTTCTAACCCCATGGTATAATTTTAAAAGTCATCCATTCTGCCTGGTTATTATCAGGCAAAAATATTTTAATATCAACAAAAATATCAACAACTTTTCTTTGGGCAGATACTGTCACTTCAAATGATAACACAAACCTAGTAGCACCCGGCAGCCACTTTATAGGCATACAAATTGTATTATTCTGTAATTTATGTTTTCACAGGTTGACTGACTCCTTACTGGAAGCCCCTCAGGGCCGCAACCCTGACTCACGCGTAACGCAATCCCTGCCCCCTACACCTGACACTGCCTGGATGCAGATCTACTCAACAGGTGTTTGCTGAAAGAAGAAATATATCTAATCACTCTTTCACATGACAGTGATTATGAGGTCAATTCCATCAGTTCTCTGGCAGAAAAAAAAAACAAAGACTTAAAATATAAAAAGATTGTATTAATTTAAAAATATATTTTCAGAAGACTTCATACGTTTGGAAAAAGTGTAAGAGTTACAAACCCAGGGTGGAGAAATAACAACGTGAAGGCAACTACTAAGAGGACAAACGATATATTAACAATTGATTCTTTTGGGTCAATTCCCTCCAACTTTGTTGAATAAATTTCCTGAGGGCCTAGTGGAAACGAAGGCCTTATGGGGGTGCTAGCCACCATGTGTGCCCCATATCTGTTGGTAGAAAAGTAATCCCTGTCTCCTACTCTTTCTAGTTCAGAGGGGCTGCCAGTCACACCCAACTCCTGGCAACAATGGGCCTGGGGAGAAATCTGTGACCTAAGCCATGACAGACAGAGGACAGTCCTTCCTTAGGATTTTATACACTGATGGAGGAAGGGGGCAGTAAGACAGAAACTGTCTACAGTCAGGCCTCCAAGGTGATGAAGCCAAGACAGAGACAAAGTGAAGCAAGGGTAAAGGGATATGGCAGGGCCATTTGAGTCCCCCACTAAATACTTCCAGTTCTGAGAGCTGATAAAGGCTCCCTTTTGCTTATAGCAACATGCTGGGTAGAATTCCTATTACTTGCACCCAAAAGGCTTAAAAGGCAAAGGGTCCAACTTAGTGAGTGACAGAACTGAAGAGGCAGTCTTCTCTGCTGATTGCATCATAAAGTGGAATAAAAATCATCATGATAGATGGGGACAAGATCTGCTCTAATCAAATGTGGCTGTCTGCTTTTTCTAGAAGAGACACTTTCCTTTGTGTTTTTTCATAAGTACATCCTTGACCATACCCAAGCTCTAATTATCTGGCGAGATTCCCCAGGTGCTCTGGAAAGATATGACTTCAAGATAGAGCAAAGGCTTCTAACTGCCAGAGAATGATTCTCAGAATCAAAAGGTCAGAGGCAATGGTGCCAGAATTTCTTAATTGCTGGACAGGAAAATTTCCAAAACCCATTAAGGAAAAATTCCTTCCACAAATAAGTCCCTTGATGATCTAAAATACACCTTGCTATGGAAATGAGATCAAGATGTTGACATTCTTCGGGCTAGGATATTACCTCCCACTGCCTTTTTTTTCTGAAACAAAGTCTCTCTCTGTCGCCCAGGCTGGAGTGCAGTGGCGCGATCTCAGCTCACTGCAACCTCCGCCTCCCAGGTTCAAGCTACCAATCCCACCTCAGCCTCCCAAGTAGCTGGGATTACAAGCATGTGCCACCACACCCAGCTAATTTTTGTATTTTAGTAGAGACAGGGTTTCACCATGTTGGCCAGGCTGGTCTCAAACTCCTGACCTCAAGTGATCTGCCTGCCTCAGCCTTCCAAAGTGCTGGGATTACAGGCGTGAGCCACCATGCCTAGCCAGATATTACCCTTTAAAGGACTGCATGAGACCACATTAATGTGGTATTCTCCAGAAACATGAAGAGTCACTTAGATACTCCAAATACAAACTTCCACGGCTTTCAGCAGCTTAGGTTTATGGTGTGTGAGTGCCTGGGCTGAGCTGCACCATTTTCACTTTCTCTTGTTTCCGTGGTTAGTTCCCGGTATGCCCTAGCTACCAATAGCCCAAGGTAGGCAGTTGAATAGTGGGACAGTCTAAGGAGGCACAGCCACAGCCAAGCCTGGAAGGCAGACACTAAGGATGGTAAAGGAGGCTGTCCCTGCTTCTCCCTAAGGAAGCTCCACCTAGCCAAGGAGAAAGATTGCAAAGTCAAAACAGTCCTGCACTCAAACCTGGAACTTATTAGCTGTATGGCACTGGACAAGTCACATAATCTCGTTTCTTTGCCTGCAAAATGGATATAATATCACGTACTCATTTATAGAGCACCAACACTGGTGGGCCCTTAGCGAGACTCTCAGATTACAAACAAGAGTAAAGGTGGTCCACAGCCACATAAACAGATAGTTTCAACTGCATATAAGTATAATGATGGAGGAAGGCAGAGGATTATAAGCAGGAAGGCAGCCTATACGAATTAAATGAGATAATTTTTTAGAATTAAAAAATAAGAACTAAATGAGATAATGGTACACAAAGAATCTGCATGGAGAGGCACTCAGGGTAGATTCAGATTCACCAAGACAAATCTGTGCCTCTAGAGCTATAAAATATTCAGATCCTTTAGAGCTACAAAATGTTCCAATATCCTGTCTTAGGGAGAAGTCAACCAATGAATGATTTAGTTGGCAGACTAAGTATTAAAGCGGTCAAAACGGTGTATGGTTAGTTAGTATGCAGCATTAGGGAAAGTCCCTTCCTGCCCTCCCAGGGACCTTGCAACTTCCCTGGCCCAGCTTCCTTTTCTTTCTTCTGGCTCCTATCAAGCTTAGGGGGTTGCAGGGCGGAAATATATTTTGGACAGTCAGGCATTTCAGTTTTCTGTAAATCAGAGTAATAGATTCTTCTTCCCTGTAAAAATAAATGCTATGATGCAGTGAGAATATTAGACATGAACACCAAAAGCACACTGGTACTTCTTGTAGCACATTCAGGGAAGGGTGTTACCCTTTGGAAACAATGGCAGATGGAGCTACTCAGCCTAGAGTCTACGGACACTCATGAATTATGTATCTGGAAGCTTCTTCACATTCCTCTTTCTGCTGCTCTACAAGAACCATATTGAGTTACATGTCTCAGGAACTTTGAGATACATGTTATGTTACACTCTTATAAGAAACTTGTGAACTTTACCAGTAAAAGAGAATACTGCACATGTTTTTTACCTTGTTTTTATATCCCAGTGCCTGTGAAGTTTCCAAACACTCACATCTGGCAGGCTATTCAATTTATTCCCTGGTCACAAAATCATTTTTACACTTGATCCTCCCCGCAAATTATCCTTTTCCCTCTCTTCATAAAGAAAAAAAAAATCCTGATCTCAGCCTAAGTGAGTTTTTCTCAGATACTACCAACAGCTTCCCTCCTGGGCATTCCTCAATCCCATCTCTATTTCCAAGGTATATTACTGAGACCCTGAAGGTGGCAGCATTGCCAGTGTCCAGTTTCAGCCCAATCTGTGGCAGTATGATTAAAAGACCAATAAGCAAACCATGGTAGACAACTCTACAATGGCCCCATGATTCCCACCTGCTGATGTTCACACCTGCCTTTGTGTAACCCCTTTCTTTTGGGTGTGGACGGAAGCTGTGCCTTGCTTCTAACCAACAGAATACACCACAGAGAAAAGGCAGTCTTTTGATTACATATATGTAATTACGTTATGTAAGTCTATAATGCCTGCCCTGCAGGGAGATGCCCTCCCTTGCTAGCTTTGATGAAATAAGTGGCAATGTAGGAGAGGCTCATGTGACAAGGAACTGCAGGTAGCCTCCAGCTAACGGCCAGCAAAAACTGGTGACCTCAGTGAGCAGGTTGCAAGGAACTGAATGCTGCCAACAACCATGTAAGCTTGGAAGCGAATCCTTCCCCAGTAGAGCCTCAGATGAGACTGCAGCCTTGTAAGACTCACAGAGGGTGCTGCTAAGCTGTGCCCAACTGCTGCCCCACAGAAACAGTGAGACAATAAATGTGTGTTATTTTAAGTGACTACATTTGTGGCAGTACTGCCACACAATAGCAGATAACCACACAAACAACGTGAGAATGAGAAAAGCAGCCCCTGACGTCTGAAAGCTAGCCTGGTACTATTAGCAAGGCATTGATGTTGGTGGGAGGCTGACTTGCACTCATAACCAGGCCTTGTTGCAAAACATAAACAATTTCAAAGAACACCAATACCAGACAAGGCCACCCTATGACTATGAGTATGTCCGAACATGGACGAAAACATAAACATTGTCCGAATCACAAAAATGACCAAATATCCCCTATACTAGCTATTACGCATACATAGCTTTAACCTTGATTCATTTTCCCCATGTCTTAGAGATAAGATTTATTAAGATACTCATTGACAGACTCACCCTTCCTTACAGCATCGAACCCAAAGCAAAGCCCCACTTCCTTGAACCCTCCTTCAAGTCACCTTACATAAGTCCAAATCCTATACTAAGTCCTTTCTGACACATTCTTACTGAAAGGCCCCATGATTCCCATTGGTATGTGTTCTCCCTCACTACAAGCAGCAATATACCCAACTTGTTCAACCACAGATATGTTCCTAATTGAACAAACTAGGTCTTTGACTGGAGAGCACTGACAAAACAAAAACAAATCAAGCAAATAACAAAAACACCATGCATGACTTTACCACAGAACTGCATAAAATAGAAGTATAAACCAATAATACAAGAAAGAGGCCATACTCAGTTTAGCTATAAGACATAAAAATAGAATCAAGTATCTCCAAATGAGTAGAAAGAAATTATCTGACAAACAGTAGTAGGATAAGTGGATATGAATAGGAAAACTAGGACAGGTCCCCACTTTAGGCTAAAGAAGAATAAATTCTACATAGGTTAAAGAATTAAACATAATTAATAAAAGACCAGCTGACATGCATTAACTATTTTACCAGATCCATGGAAAAACAATGAACCTCTCATTTGGAAACAAGAATAAAAAAAAAAGACTGACCAACTTGGGTACAAATTCCTTGTATATAATGAAAAACAATACAAAAGTAAAATAAAGTGCCTGAGAAATACTTGCATCACAGTGACAATATATTTAAATCTGAAGTATAGACTTTATTCAAATTCACAAGGAAAACGTTACTCGAGTATAGTCTATAACAGACAATTCAGAGAAGAAAACACAGTAAACAGTCCTGTATTCAAACCTGGAACTTATTAGTTACATGGTACTGGATGAGTTCTCTGTAACCTGTACTTACACAGAACCATCTTCGATCCTCTCAGTGGTCTACAGAGCTGCCATTTTATAGTTGCTACAGTAACAAATTAGACAAACAAAAAAATCAAAGCTGGAAATATTGGGGGCATATGCTGGGAAGTCCCTTCACAACTGTTAGTATTTTACGTAGTTGTAACACACAGAGGGAGTGATAACCAATCATCCAACACCTAGAAAACCTCTCAGCAGAAACTATCTGATCACATTTCACAATATTATCCACAATGGCAAACAGAAACAACTTAAAATTGTGTCTAACAAAAAAAAGTTTAATGAACTGCGCTGTATTAACACATAAATTATGTAGTTATTAAAATAAATGGGAACGGCCAGCCACAGTGGCTGAGACCTGCAATCCCAGCACTTTGGGAGGCTGAGGTGGGAGGATGGCTTGAGCCCAGGAGTTCAACACCAGCCTAGGCAACATGACAAAACCCCATCTCTACAAAAAATACAAAACTTAGCCAGGCATGGTGGTATGCGCCTGCAGTCCCAGCTACTTGGGAGGCTGAGATGGCAGGATCACCTGAGCCTGGGAGACCAAGGCTAAAGTGAGCTGAGATTGTACTACTGCACTCTTTGCCTGGGCAACAGAGTGAGATCCTATCTCAGGAAACACACACAGCCACCCATACACACAAACACACACTTAGAAAAATAAAAATAAATAAACAAACGGGAAGGCTAGAAAATATTTAGGATGTGATCTGACAAAACCAAAAAGAATGAAGACTACAGTAATGAAAATAAAGCTATCAACAGCTGAAGAGTGCCAGGCACCGTTTGAGGCATTTTGGTCACATTTCATTTAATCTTCCCAACACCTGTCAGAAAAGTAATATTATTCTCATTTTATAAAGCAGATACTAGGGCAAAGAGAGATTAAATATATGGCCGAGGTCACACAGCTGGGAAATGGAAAAGGCAGAAATGAACCAAGATATGGCTTCAAATGGTGTGTTTTTAATCACTGCACTCACTCACTGTCCTACCTCTTTTAGACATATATGATGATTACAACTATACACAACTATGAAGATCTGGGAACAAGCACTGCAAAATAATATGCAAATGTGAAATAACTGCAATATGGGAATAGGATTAAAGGCAATTTAATTTTGAAAAACCATCAGCTTTAATGCTATACTACCTACCCAATGAAAACAACACAATTAAGTAATGAATGTTTGACACCTCCGCTTCTCCATTGGAAGTTTAACTACAGTCATCTCTTAGTATATGTGGGGGATTGGTTCAAAAACCACCTGCTTATGCCAAAATCTGTGCATACTCTGCAGTCGGCTGTACGGAACCCACATATATGAAAAGTTGGCCCTCCATATACACTGGTTTTGCATCCCATGAATACTGTAGTTTCCATACACATCTGGTTGGGAAAAAATCCACATGTAAGTGGACCCACACAGTCCAAACCTGTGTTGATCAAGAATCAACAGCATATATGTCCTTAGAAAAAATCTTGGCACGGCTTCCTGTCCAAATTACTCCTAATTTCACTCTTTTCTAGAAGAATGGAATGGAGGTAGAGAATGGTCCAAGACAGATAAACCAGAATGTATCCATCAGAGTTGGATAGAGATCACTGGTCAAGAGTGAGGAAGAAAAAGCTTATTAGGAGATAAAGACACAGAGAGATCCAGAAGGAGACGTGTAAAATGCAGAATAACTGGGGAAGTCAGGTGAGCTTTAGGAGTCCTAGGCAGGGAAAAGTGTGGAAAGAGAGATGCACTGCCAACCACAGGGGGCTCTGCCTGCCTGCTTTTTCCTCTTACAATCATCAGAGCTCCTACGTGCTCCCTGTAGAAACAGCAGTGGGTGCTCTATCCAGTTGTCATTTTTTTTTTTTTCTGAAAAACTGGGTTCAGCAATGCTATGTGGCAACATAAGGGCGGGTATAAACTCACACTCTTGCCATTCAGATGTGTGTGCTGACAGGAAACGAAGACACTTTCTTCTCAGACAGTGAGTTAATACTGTTTCCATAATTACATCTTCATTTGTACTTTTAGGATAACAAACATCCTTTTCTGGTCAAATTTCAGATGACACTTTGAGCAGTGTCATCTTTCCTAGGTGGTAATGGAAAGACAGGACACTCTGGATTCTATGAGATTGGACTAGAAAGCCCATGTTAAGAAACACTTACTTGGGGGAGTGGGGAAAACAAAGGAATCTCACCCTGAGACATTCCAAGCTGTTTTACTCACTCATATTCGCTTGCACAAGGGTCCTTCAAGTCTCCCTCCCAGAGGTTCCCACGGATGGCAGCACTAGGCATTTAAAACTGTTTCCCAAAAGTCTTGGGGGTGTTATAGCTGATAACGCCTCCAGATTACTGGGGACAATTTTTCCCTAACTGTATCACCTGTGCAATCACTTCAGAAGAATATGTCACAGAGAGTCAGGGCAGAGCTAATTTGTAGTAAAAGATTCTGAGAAAAGGAAAGCAAAGCTGGATGCTTCAACAGACATCAACATTTTAGGGGGACAGGGCTGGGGCAGGAGGGATGTGCAACAATGTCCTGTAAATCTGATTTTACTGATACCACATCTCAGCCACACCAGAATCAGTTATGTGCAAAATGATTAATCACCGTCTCCCTGAAATATTCAAGGTCTTCCTGCCTTTTCTTAGGATGGAAAAAAAAAAAAAAAGCAAACTCTGAAATATGATTTCAGGCTTTCCTTCATTCTATACTCTTTTAATAAAGTAGAACAAAAAATTCTGCCTCGGGTTTGGCTGAGTTATGGGGTTTATCTCCTAAGTGGCAAAGCTTCATTCCCTAGCCCAATCATCAAACTGAGCCCAAGTTATAAGAGGCCTGATAGAAAAGAAAAAATGCTCATCCCATACCCTCAGGCATGAATTTATCAAATGTGATAACTGCTCTGTGAGACAGGTTTTCTCTTTATATTTACAGAAAAGTGGGCACTGCAGGACAAAATTAATTTAACTAACGGGCAAGTGCTGATAGCCGGTTGTGCATGGTAAAGCCCAGTGTGTTTCTGACTAACGTGGCTGGTGAGTTACAAGAGAACACGGGGCACTGCTGGGGTAGTGGGGTAAGGAAGTGGGAGAACAAAGCCATGGAGCATTATCTGGGGCACAGACTCCAGCTGGGCCCCCACCTACCTTCTCTGCATACTCGGACACAATCTGCTTGATCTCAGCAGAGCAGAGTCCCACAATCTGGCCCACGGAGCTTGCGGTGAGACGGCTCTGCAAGTATATGGAGGGAATGTTCTCAAGGCCAAGCCTTGTCTTCCATAGCACTGGAAAATCTGAACACTCTATTATGTCTGAACACTCTATTATGGTAAAACATAATATTCCCAGGGGAAATAATTTGGCTTTGCCACATATTACCAACAGAAAGGGAGAAAAGAAGCCTCAGGACAAACACGCAGCTACCTCCTGAGTCACTGAGCGGATGGTGCTAAATCCTCCTCGGACCCTGGGCACCCCTGGAAAATGGTCCTTCCCTTCTATGTACCACCCCAAGGTCTCACCTCCTGAGAGTCACCAAACAGAGCCTGCAGGGGATTTGGCAGGCCTAGGACACAGGGAATAGAGAAGAGCATGGGAAAGGACAAAGAATCTCAGAACTCTAAAATATCTCTTTACTACCACAGGTCTTCCCAGGCCTCAAAAAGAATGATCCTTTCACATTGGCTATACCTTCTGGACAGGCTTTGAGCTCTGGAAAGACCAACTATAATCTCAAAATCCCGCTTCCTACCTAGATAGTGTAGGAAGAAAGCAGAAGACAAGAGCTGCCTCAGCATGAGGCATAACTCACGGGTCAGCTCTAGCTCTTCCGCAGAGGCCCTGTGAACCTCCCAGCAGGAATATTCTGCTTTCACAAGGGTCCTTCAAGCCTCCCTCCTAGAGGTTCCCATGGGTGGCAGCACTAGGCATTAAAAACAGATTAACAAAAGGAACTCCCTGGGGAAGAGGAGGTACTGTGTGCTGGTGAGAGGCAGCTCCGGAGAAGGTGGGCTCTCTGGGAGAAGACCCCAGCAGAGCAGGGTGGTGCCAAGTCCCCATCCCCACACCTCCCCGACTCCCACTCACCTCCTCATTTGCCATAGCGGTCATCTTGGTCATCAGCGACTGAATACGCTGCTGAAAGAGGAATGGAAGGGAGCAGCAGTGAGTGGTTCTGAACATGTAAGACAGAAGCAATATGCCTACATGGATCTTTGCGGTGATATCCAAGGGTGTCTTCCTTGATCTCGTCTTATGTGAGCCTCAAAGGCAGGTGATAAAATGAAACTGGAAGGTGTGAAAGACCTGCTCACAGCAGCTGGCTGTGGGAGGTGGTGGCCATTTGGGAACGCTAGGGATAAGAGTACGATTTCTCCCAAAATGACTTACACAGAAACCTCAGAGGGCCTACATGGACCACACACCTCTTCAGCTGCTCGAAGCTCATCTTCCTCGTGGGCATCAGCTTTTTCTGTAGCTGACAGCCCTGCTGGAAGTGCCGTTTTCTTGTCCTCAGCCTGCAAGGGAAGATGTGAAAACAGCTGAGCACGGGAGATGGAGACTCAGTAGAGAAAGGACAATACTGACAAGAGGCATGAGTCTGTGAAAAAAACACAGACCTGCAGAGCAGCAGCATCCTGAGAGAGTGGATACTCCAAACGGCTGAACCTCCACTAGAGTATAGGGTGGGCAGGTTAAGCTTCAGGAACTGGCAAATGCCTGTTTCCATGTCCCAGCTGCTCACTGATTAAATTCAGGCCACACACATTTGCCTGACTTACCCTTGCACTTTGACTGGGGCTTCCCCCTACTTTAACACTTTCAAGAGCAGATCACTACTAAAGGAGTGTTTCTTCAAACTGCCTGTTAAGACCAATTAGTGGGACATAAAAGTAATTTGGCAGGTACAACTAGCATCTGTATAAATTAACACAACAGAACATGCCAGAGTGCTTTGTAGTGAGGGGTTAGGTACTGCTTACTGAAACTTTTGTTTCAGGGGTATTAGTGTGTGTGTACTGAATCATGATGAAAAATTATACGTTTACTGCTCAGAGTAATCAAAACAGTTTGAATACCACTGGTGTGAAGGATGAAAACTGCCTTATCTAATGATCAAGCAGCATGCTCTGGACTCAGCCCCAGGCTCTAAATGAACCAGGTCAAACTCAAGGCACCCTGGATTAACTGCTGCCTCCTCAATCATGGGCTATAGGTTTTAATTCTATCCCTGCCATCCACCAGCTGGGTGACCTCAGGCTTACCTCTGATCCCTGCATGTTAAGGACTTCCAGGGTCAAAAGAGAGGTTTGGTCTCAAATGCCCTTCTTGGACCATCCCAACTCTAGGATGCTTTTCTATAACGAGTCTATCACTGCCCATGGGAACACTCCGAGCTCCTAACTGCTTGGACACATCTACAGGGGATGAGACTGCTAATTCAAATGTGCCGTCTGACATAAAAATGACAGGACAAGCACAATTTGAATACTATTTCAGGGACATCTCATGATTTTTCCAATCATAACCAAATTGCCCAGTCATATATAAAGACAATCTTTTCA
Organism: Homo sapiens; assembly: GCF_000001405.40. Lineage (NCBI taxonomy): Eukaryota > Metazoa > Chordata > Mammalia > Primates > Hominidae > Homo > Homo sapiens. The sequence continues at coordinate 117,976,328 of NC_000002.12, forward strand.
GACTTAAATTACATATCAAATTAAATATACACATCAAACCCTTATTATATACCAGATAAAACATGATATACTCAAATCCAGAAAACACCCTGCTCTGTAGGAAATCATTATTCAGTTGACTAAAAAAACACAAATGGGGAAAAAATAATGAGAAAACTAAAAAAGAAGACATCATAATCAGTACATGACTAAGTACCAATAACTAATACTGATATTAATAATAATGTTTATTAAATGTTTACTATGTGTTGGATCATTCTAAGTCCTTTACATTTCAATCTTCACAATAATGCTGTGAGATAGGTACAATGACTGCCCCCATTTTACAGATGCTGTCAACTAATGTACAAAGAATCAGTAAATTATCCAGAGTCACTCAGCGAATAGAGGAGCTGGAATCCTAAACCAGCTAGTCTGGCTTTAGAACAGTGCTCCTAGTCACTGCTGGTGCCTGCAGCGACTGAGACAACAGTCAACACAGGAAGCAGAGGGGGAGCCTGGGGAGTGGGTACAATGGAGTGGGTGGCAGGGGAACAGCAGGGGGAGTGTGTCCTGTTCAAGAAATCTGGGGATCAGGTGGAGAATGAAAAGAGGTTAATAACCAATCTTTTTTTTTTTTTTTTTTTGAGACGGAGTCTCATACTGTCACCCAGGCTGGAGTGCAGTGGCGCGATCTTGGCTCACTGCAAGCTCCGCCTCCCGGGTTCACGCCATTCTCCTGCCTCAGCCTCCCGAGTAGCTGGGACTACAGGCGCCCACCACCACTCCCGGAGAATGTTTTTTTGTATTTTTAGTAGAGACGGGGTTTCACCGTGTTAGCCAGGACGGTCTCGATCTCCTGACAATAACTGAACTTTTTAAGAGGCCACTGACCACTATAGCTGACACTTTATTATTTAGAAGGCAGTGGCTATGAGCACAGGTTTGATGTCAGACCTCTAGGTTCAGATTCTTATTAAGTTCACTTTAGAGCTATGTGACCTTGGAAAAATCACTGAGCCTCTCTGAGCGTTAGCTTTCTGACCTAAAAAGCAGAAATAAACATCCTCCTCATAGAGTTGTTCAAGGCAGTAAGTGAAAACATACAGAGCCCTTAACATACAGCCTGGAACACAGAAAGAGTTTAGCACCATAACATTTATGTACCTGTCCTGCTGCTGACAATGAAGCATCATTAATAAACACATAAATTAACAGAAATCTTTGGGCATCCTTTGTGAAGTTAGAAAAGCCATCCTGATTTACCTGGCTCTTCCATGACTGGCTGTTTCAGCAGAGGGCAGGCCTGTAATTCACAGCTGTGCTCTACCTAACATCCTGTTCACATCTATTTAGAGTCTCACCTCAGATGAGGAGTGCTCTGGGAGCCCTGGCAGTGGACTTCACCTTCATACTGCAGAGCCACTAGACCCCAAGTGACTGACCCTAGGCCACAACTTTCAATCACCCCTCATTTCCAGCCCCAGGAGGAGACTGCTGCTTTGCTCCCCAGTCTGTAGAGGTGGCTAGCTAGAAAAGCCAGGACGGAGATGCAGGGGCCAAAGGCAGCTCACACATCCCTGGGTTTCCCAAGAAGCTGCTGCCCGGCTTGTGAGTGTTAGTCAGAGGTGAAGGGAGTCACTTCCATCTCTCAAGTATTCTCTCTTACTATCAATGTTTTTCTTACCTTCTCCATTTTGCTCTGGCGGCTAAATCCATATCTCCTGCAGGCCACAAAAAAGGAGTTTAATTACTACTTAAAAAATTACAATACATTCAGTGAAATGCATTTTGGTTGACTTTTTACATGAAAAACATCAAGAGAATTTATGCCATTTGGTGACTTGAGAAAACGTTACAAGTGCCTAAATTACAAACATATTCCACTGTCTTTTTAATAAAGGGCCAGCCACCCTACTTGCTATGCAAATACTATAATGTAAATTGGAACTCTCAGACAGTATGGAATGCAACATTTTCCTTAAGTGCAATTATGACTTTTTGAATCAGCCACTGCATTTCAGAGCCACGGTTTAAGCTAAAAGCCTTAAAAATATCTATATAAACAAATGTAAATGTGTTTCCTTAAGCCAAATATGCGCTTTAATGGCTACTTCCATAACTTAGAGTCTAGCACACTTTTTATTCCCAAACATAATCCAAGCATGATGCCAATAATGTGTACTCACTTCACACAACCTTAAATTAAAAAAAACACAAAAACACAATTCAGTTTCAAGTAGTTTATTTTCTGGCTCTAATTAATCTATGTTTTTTTAAAAAGCAAGTATAACAATGCAAAATCCATTCAACCCTCAACAAAAAGCAAAATGCAAACCACCCAGCCTCATACACCTTTAAGTGATTTGTAAGAAAATAAAGTTAATGCAAACATTTAAGAACAAATTGAGCCAGGCGCGCTGGCTCACGCCTGCAAAGTGCTGTAATCCCAGCACTTTGGGAGGCTGAGGCGGGCCTATCACCTGACGTCAGGAATTTGAGACTAGCCTGGCCAACATGGTGAAACCCTGTCTCTACTAAAAACACAAAAAGCAGCTGGGCATAGTGGCACACGCCTGTAGTCCCAGCTACTTGGGAGGCTGAAGCACCAGAATCACTTGAACCCAGGAGGCAGAGGTTGCAGTGAGCCGAGATCATAGCACTGGACTCCAGCCTGGGTGACAGAGCAAGACTCTGTCTCAAAAATAAATAAATGAAAATAAAGAACAAGTTTAAGGCTACTCTGTGCCTCACTTCTGGGTTGTGTGCTCACCTGGTCTTGGTCCTCCAGCTTCACTCCCCACACTCTTCCTGCCCATTCCTTGTCCAACTTCTGCATTGGCCTGATGCACATTTATCAATGGCAGGCCTCTTCCCTCAGAAGAAAACAGAACCTCCTCAGGAGCCTTATAAAGCCTCTCTTCCATGGCTCAGCCTAACAAGTGTTTCACCTCACCACCAGCAGCACCTTCTGTGTTCCTATTACACTTACTACCTGAACAGAGAGCTCTGCACAAACTAAGCTGTTCCCCTCTCGCCCCTGCTTCCCTACTCACCCTCCACTCCTCAGCTCTAAAGCTCCTCCCCTGTGAAGCATCCCCCATGCACATGTGCTCAGCCTGGCCTATCCATCCCTGCATCTGTTCATGCTCCTCTCACTTCCCAGATGGTGAATACATGCAACTGTTACTTATCTGTATCATTCTCCTGAGGGCAAAGATTCTACCTTTATATCTGGTTTTTCCAATATTCACTGAACAAACAAACTAAACATAAGTGAAAAAATGCAAAAATCAAGAAGCCAAAAGTATCATCTGACCTTGCAACAGATTGTCATATAACTGGGGAAACCAAAAAGTCACTGCTGGGCAGTATGTCCACCCTTTAGAAATAAACCTATAGGTCCAAAGTGTAGCAGACCAAGGTTAAATTTTGGCTATCCACACGAATTCTGTAAAGGACCTTATGGCAGATTCTGTGGACTGGCTTAATATCTATTGCATCTTCTAGTACTGCTGAGGCTGGAAAAGAGACTATTTTCCATACTCCCTTGCACCTAGGGTTCTGAATACTGTTAACGTTCCACCAATCAGATGCATTTGCTAGAGTTTTCAATATGGAACAGTTAAAGGAGGAAAGAGGGAAGCATAAAGGATCCATTGTGTTGGTGTGGATCACAGTAGAAACAGCCAGGTTCTGGGGCTAGCAGCTATCACAGTGGCTTCTTGGTTTTTCAGAGCTTCCTAATTTGACAGAAGCAGCGTGGTTTCCTTCCTTGTCAAGCCGCTATAGCACCAGCTTCCCAATCCTACAGGCTGCTAGCTAGCTTCCTGATTTTGGAGGCAGAAACAGTATCCTGGAGCTCCAGTTCTAATGTGAAGCTTGAGAGCTGACCCTGGCTCAGCCTAGTTCTCATCCAGCCCTGTAACCAATCCCTTCTGCTGAAACTAGTGGGAGGGTACTGTTTTTTCAACCAGGGAACCCTGAACAATACAAGGTCTTGCCCAAGTTTCCCACTCCTATAGTGTCCTTGCATCTTGAGTATTCATCTTTCCTTTTTTATGCCTTTAGTCTGTGGAGACTTTTAGGGCAGAAGACATAAAGCCCTTTATCTAAGGCCCAGGGACTTCACGGATTTTCCAAATAAGGAAGTGAACAACCAAATCTGAGTGACTTGATTCCTAGGACGAATCTACTCCTCCTTAAAGACAGAGGCTCTGGGAAGACTCTTTTAGTAAGCCCTCCAGATGTGAGCTTCTGTGACAGCCAACGCACTCATTGTATGGTGAACATAATTATCCCTCATGAGTAATCCGCTAAGCCTTTCTGTTGAGCCTCTGGAGAGGAAGAAATTTGCTTCATTCACTTTAAAAAAATATTTTAAAAACTGACATAATTCATATAATATAAAATTCACCATTTCAAAGTGTATTGCTCACTGGATTTTAGTGTATTCACTATGTTGTGCAACCATCGCTATTATCGAAATCAAGAAAAGCTCCATCACCTCAAAAAGAAACTCTGTTACTATTAGCAGTTAATCACAATTCTTCCCTCTTCCCAGCCCTTGGCTACCACTGATCTACCTTCTGTCTCTATGGATTTGCTAATTCTGGAGATTTCATAGAAATGAAATCACTCAAAATGTGGCCTTTGTGTCTGGCTTCTTTGACTCATGAGAATATTTTCAAAGTTCATCCAGGTTGAAGCATGAATCACTACTTAATTCCATTTTATGGCTGAATAATATCCCATTATATGAGTAAGCCACATTTTGTTTCATCAGCTGACAGACATCTGGGTTGTTTCTACTTTTTAGCAATTATGAATTGCTAAATTCATAATTGTGCAATATATTATGCAACATATTTACAGTGCTACTATAAATATTCATGTACAGCTTCATTCACTTCAATATCCCCATTGCCTGGCAGTTCAGTGCCTGGCACATAGTAGGTGCTCAATTAATGGTTGCTGCATGAATGAAGAGTCCACATGATTTTTCTAAAGGCCTCATCCATGTCACAAAGTAGTGAGATTTCCATGACAAAGCTCTGTCCTCAACTGCCTATTAACTACTGCCTCGCTTTCCTCTTTTCCTGTCAGCCCTGCCCGTTTCCCCCAAGTGACAGCTCTGATCCGCAGTGCCGCATGCTTCCATTTGCTCCTGCATTCCTCTTCTTTAGCTCTGATTCTTGCTACCTACACTGTTAGCACCAAAGAGCTCCTCCCATCATCCAGTTCACTTCTTCATACCTTAGTCATAGGACCCAGTCTTTAAATCAAGGATGTACATTTAGAACAGCACAGTACAAAAGAAATATAAAGAAGGACACACATACAATTTTTTAATTACTAGGTTAGTAGGTTCATATGACCAAGTTATTCCAAAGATAAACATTTCCCATTAACTAAATCAAGCACAAATCTTAAAATTTAAATTTAACTTAATTAAAATCAAAATTCTGTTCCTGAGCCACACTAGTCGCATTTCAATTGCTCAATAGCCACATATGGATAGTGGCTACCATACTGGACACCACAATTCTAGAAAACAAACTAACTTTCAAGAACAATTACCTCAGGCCAAACTAAGATGGTTATCTATTTGGAATATAAAACAAAATAGGGACATAAAAAGCCCTAAATACCAAGGACTGTGAACTTTGTTCTTTATTCATTTGACAAGAACTTACTAAATATCTTTTATGAGCATGTCATAGGCCTTATCATCATAGGAGACACAAACAGGTTGGGAGAGGTATGCCGTGTTTTATTTACTAACTACAGAATGCTGGAGTTAGCCTGTTCCTTAGTATTCAAGGCCTAACTTTGAGTTGCCTAGAATGACTTCAAGAACTCAAAATTAGGCTTTGAATACTGAGGAATAGGCTAACTCCAGCATTCTGGTGGCTGTGCTCCAAACCTCCTCTTGCAAGTCAAATATATGGCACATAAAATGCATTTCCCCAGAGTAGCAGTTTCATAGCACGGTTAGGTGCTTAAGTTAGCCTCTCAAAATTGACTGAACCCATAACAAAACTGAAATATTATAGGTGTGCAATTTTGTTTACATCCAAAATCAAAACTATAAGTCTTGTTTTCCTAACACCATTAACACTTAGAAAAATATACCCAAACTATGTTTTTAACAGATAAACAGTCCTTAAGGCCTTCAGCATAGTTGACAAGGTTCATAATTCACCTTTATTTAAGCAACTGAGAGTCAAAATGGGGGAAGGAGATGGAATGCGGACCTAAAAGCCAAAGGGCACTGTGGGTGTAACGCTGATGAGTGACCTTCAACCCCAAGGAAGAAATACTGATTTCAGACCTTCTTGCTCTAGAAGTCAAAATACTTTCCCCCTGACAAGAGGTAAGATAAGGTAGAAAATAGAAACACTGGAAGAGAGATCTGGACTCCTAAAGCTGTGATGCCATAGTGTAGTGGGGGGGGGGGTGCGTGAGGAAGTCAGGAATGCCGCAATGTTAAAGGGAAAGGGAAGATGGAGCAAAGTGAGTCCCAGGGCCAGCAGGGGGCCAGCCTTGTTTGACAGGGGCAGGGGAGAAAAGGCCAGACTTCCCATACACATGCTAGAGGGAGGGCTAGTGTGAAGGGTAATAAGTGAAGGAGTCCACGGGCTGTTGCCCCCAAATATGGCACCCTAATATGCTGAATAACTTGAATTAAAGGCACTTGAAGGTCACATGTTAGAACAGGGTTTTTTCTCTTATCTATATAAAGACTGGACCCGTTAAAGAAAACACAAGTGTCTTCCATCCACTCCCTGAAATCTCATTATCTACCACAGAGCAAGAGACTGAAAATTAAATACCACGCCTAGAACCCAAACCATGGTCTGTTTCCCATCCTATTCAATTTCCAGAAAGTCATTTATTAACCATGGTCTGATTCATTTCCCCTAAACATCATTTACTACCCCTCCAATTGGCGTATTTCCCTATCTGCCTTCCCCTGTGAAGAAGGACATATAGGCATCTGGACATCACTGGGTTACTGGGTAGTCACACTTCTGTGGTTTTCCCCCCACACAATAAATTATGTATGCCATTTTCTCCTGTTAATCTGCCTTTTGTCAGTTCATTTTCAGTGAACCTTCAGAGGGCCAAGGGGAAGCTTCCCCTCTTCACTCATACATAAACACACAAGGACAAGGAGAACTGTAAGGGGAAAAGGTCATATCTGAGGGCATTTGAAAACTGAACTGTTGCTGCTAATAATGATGATTATAATAAGGAGAATGATGACAGCAGCCAATGGTTAACATTTACTGTTTTCTACATTGAACAAACTGCTCAAAATTATATATATATATATATATATATATATATATATATATATATATATATAGTCATATAATCCTCATTTAATGGGAAAGATCTCCATGCAGTGGAGAATGCTGAACAGAACCTAGAGGAAACAGACTGCCAGAAAGGAAGGGAGAAGCCTTCCCAGGGAGGTGGAATAGAACACACACTTGTTGGGGCTGTACATTTTATCTGATTTGCTCTGTCAGTTTTAATAACCATTCTCTTCTTATTTAGTTTCAGACCAAAGAATAGACATGCCCAGTCTTCCTAAAACTCAGAACCTAAAAATATACTCTCACTGAAGGCTCAAACAGTATTTGCAGACAATGATAATGACATGCTTTTGAAGTTCAAGGTATCTTAGTTGAAGTGCCAATCTGAGCCTCTTTATAGTTTATGACCTTAAGAAAGTCATTTTTTAACCTTTCTGAATGTTGTCATTATTAGTCTCAAAGAGGAGAATGAGCTAAATATACTATCAGAATGTCCTAAGTACCCACTACTCCACCTGCCACAAACTTACCCTCTCCTTGCCAAAAAAGCTAAAAAAACAAAATAACATCTCTCTCCCACCCAAAAAAAACCCCCAAACCTAAAACCTTCAGGAAATGCCCACCCTAGCCGTAGAAATTAGCAGAAGTCAGCATGACCATACCAACAGGAACCAGGATTGGTATCAAGACACTGCTCTTTCTCACTCTCAGAGTTTGAGAAGAGTCAAGCAAAATCTGTCTTGCTTCCTTTCCTAAAGAGGCCAAGCCAGATTCTCACCTCAAACTGCATCAATCACTCCTGATGACAGACAGGGAGGTTCTGAACTTTCCCAGCCTTCAGATGGTGATACTAGCTACTATCTACAACATATATACAAAAGATCCCATTTGAACCTGAGAATTTCAGAACAAGAATACTGATCTAGAATTCTGTCAACATGGTCTCAGCGAGGTGGGCAATTTACTGAATTTCTAACTCCTTTTCACCCTCAGGAAAATCCTATTTTCCATGATGATGGAAAAATGGATGCATAAATAATACAAACTCACAAAATCCACTACATTCTGCCAAGAACTTCTTCATTCTGGGACACGTGACACCCACAGAGATTGTCTCTCCAGCTCTGGCTCTCCCAGAGCTGTGCAGCCTCACCTGCTCACTTACAGCTGGGCATGGCTAGACAGACTCTGTCATGATTCCCAGGGCTGGCTTCCTGAGCACACAACCCGTCCACTAGCACAGGGCCCCATGCTTAGAAGAGTTCTCACTTGGCTGTTGTTGTTGTCTTTAAATTCTTAATAATTAATCATCATTAATAACTGCTAACAAGTTACTTGGCATTTTCACTACATAGCTAGTCCTGGTGATGCCTGACTTGGAGGAGGCATTCAATTCACAGCAGCAACTAGTGAACTGTGGGGGCAGCCATCACACGCAGCCTAGGGCCAGAACTACTTCAATTTCCTTAGAAACAGACTAGTTTTTATTCTTAGGAAGAAAAAACAAAACAAAACAAAAAAAAAAAAACATAAGCAATTGCATGCAATTCCATTTGGAAACTAGAATAATTAAACCTAATTTCCTGCTGGTTCTCTCTGGTACCCTAGAGGGCAGGCAAAGCCATCAGATGCTCACTTAGGGAAACGCCAGTGGCAATGCAGTTAGTTCCAGCCACCCTACAAGGGTTGGGCTGTGAGGCAGAGCAGCACACAGGAGCCTCTCCCAACACAAAGGAAGCACAAGGAGACTTACTCACATCAAGGAATCAGTTACCCTGAGAAGAGAATGCGTGACATAAAAGGTTAATACCCAGTGACAAGCAAAAAATTCAATGGGGAGAAGCATGTCCTTGCACTTTTTTTTAAAGTAAAAACTAAGGATATAAAATAAGATTTTTTTTTTTTAAACTAGAGATGTTTTTAAGAAGTGACAAAACTACTTCTAAGTTCTTCATTTTCCTAGTTAGGACAATATTCACAGGAAATTGAAATTATTATTCTAACACTTAAAGTGAAATCACTGAAACTGTTTTCATTTACCTGAAGATTTTAACAAACAGGGGCATGCAGGACAGAGTACCTCAGCCTCTGTAAATGCCTGGAACACCCCAACTCCCAAAGGAAGGCAGAGCCAGGTGCACATTTCCAGAGAGGAATTGCAAAGGATGCCCACAGAAACAGGTAATTCATTACCAGAGAAAAGTCCCTGATGTTGGAAATCTCATGGCTGAAGGCAGAAACTCAATCGGGTAGAAGCTAGTCAAGTTAATCCAAATGAAGCAACTTAAATTAGCTTTTCTTTTAAAAGAGACACCTAGACTGGGTCCCACTCATTACCTGCCATATTCCAAAAGTGTAGCATGGATTCGAGATTCTTCATCAAGTAGCTCCTCTGCTCCCTGGTGGCGTTTGTATTTCCGACGGGGCTTGTACACTTCCTAAGTGGATGAGACAGCCAAGTTACTGAGTGTGAGAAGGCTCTCCTCCTGAATTGGCTGCTGGATGCCTCCAGCCATGGGGTATATTCTCTTTTTTTTTTTTTTTTTTTTTTGAGACAGAGTCTCGCTCTGTCGCTCAGGCTGGAATGCAGTGGCGCGATCTCGGCTCACTGCCAACAGCTCTGCCTCTACCGTGGGGTATATTTTAAAATTATACACTTGCACACATATATATCCTAAACGAAATACGTGGCATGTAGTAAGTGATCAATAAATGCAGGTCTTCAGCCCCAATGAAGTGGTCTGCCATGCTACCCCAAATCAATGTCCTTCTTGACTGCTAAGCTGGCTGTCAAATAATACCCTAGTAATATCTGCTCAGGTCTCCGGGTGCAGGTAGGCAGCTGCTATGCCAGCAAGGTATTCGGGCTGCTTGTCCCCACATCTCTCTTCTTCCCTACTACCCGGGTTTACTGCATCTAATCATTACCTGGATATCACCACAAAAAGCATTACTACCAGGTTTTACCAGATACTGGCATTTTATTTTAATTGGAATTGTTCCCCATGGATAATTCTGGTTAACTTTATTATTTTACTTTAGTATACAGTTTCGAGCATACAGAAAAACATTCTTTCTGTAACACATACGATATAATCTCAAACAATTTTGTGGAAAAGGAAATGGATCAGGGCCTGAGATGATGCTAAAGGTTGTTCTTAGAAATTCCTGCCACAAATATTCCCCAGTTTACTGCTGGTGTCTACACGAATAGGAAGCTATAAATAACATAAAACAGACTTGCAGGGAGATGCAAAATATAATCAACCTACATGGTGTCAGTTACTGTGCCTGGTTTAGCTTCCACTGAGCTCTACTATTACAGCTTGAGCTTAACTGCTATTGTACTTAGTTACAATTGAAAGAGTCAGTAACCCAAGGCAAGAAATTGGATTCTTCTATTAAAAAAAAAAAAAAAAAAAGGATTGACTCCAAAACAAGAGCATACTGACACCAACAGCTAAAAGGACCTTTTATTCCGCCAAACAATGACAATGTTGGCTTTTGTGAATTATTCCTTACATGTTAAAGTATAAATCTTCATATATATCTCACCTTTCTTTTACACTTTATAAACCACACTGTGAAGTAGAGACAGGGCACATACCATCAACCTTACTTTACTATTGAGGAAGCAGACACTGAATAATTTGTCCAAGATCCCTGGGACACTACGCGGCCTAGCCCTAGGTAACCTGGTTTCTCATTTCAAGGCTTGTCCCTGACACTACCTTGCCCCAGGCTGCCACTCTAGCCACCCACCAGCCATTTCAGCTAGCCCTCTCACAAGACTCATTCTACAATCTGAAGCTAAGTAATGCAACCTAAATATCAGGGGTTTACAGGCCAACTATAAAGAGCTATTGCTAAGTCACCCTTTAAAGCAACAGGGTCAAGAATGCTGATGTCTAGCCCTATCTCTGCCACTAATCAGCTGCATGACCTTGAGAAAGGCAGTTCCCCTCAATGGGCCTCAGTTTCTGTATCTATAAAATGAAGTTGTACTAACAGATCTTGAAGGATGCTCCCAGGGTCTCTTCCTTTGTATTATTTTAATCCTGTAAAGATACTGGCTTGGTAACATAATTCCTTAAAAAATGTAGTCTGAGATTAATAAAAAATCTACCATGCTTTCCATGATGTGCTCTTAAAAAGGAATATAAAATCAATTTATCCTTCTGTCATTAATAGTGGTAGCAATTGTAATAGTTATCACTTATTGAATAGTAGGTATGTGCCAGGCACATTCTGCTGTATCTGTGCTGTCCATTTGATCCCCACATCTGAGTGTAGTTATCCTTGTTATCTTTCTATAGACGAACTTAGGCACAAAGAGGTTAAAAAACTTGCTGATGGTGAAAAAGGCAGTAAGCGATAAAAACAGGATGACTCCAGAACTGAGACACTTAAGCACTCTGCAAAATGTCTCATACCTGTACTTTCATCACCCTTTATCTAGGTTCTGATACATATATATATATCAGATATATATATATATGATATATGTATTTATTTTATTTTATTTTTTTGCAGATGCTAAAAGGCACACACACAGGGTTAAATATTAAGGTGACCCTTTTGTAAAGCAGAGAACTCTTACACTGTGAGAGTCAGAGCTCTACTTTGCCTGTCTGGGTTACAAGTCAGGTTCACCTGTCAGAGTAATTACTCTAAGTTCACATTCCTCAATGCAGGGAAGGGAGGTAGAACAGCACAGTACCATGGCAGTGTCTGCAGCAAATCCCTGATCGCTTCCCTCACAATTACCATAGACAACTTTTTTATTGAAATAATGGAGCAGGCAGTGAAACAGCCACCGCCAATCTGGCATTCTACACTCAAAAGCTCCTGTGGGCCAGCCCATGCCCAACTCAACAGGAAGCGATACTTTCCATTGACCTTAACAGTTCATCTTTGCAGCCCAAACCCAACTCCAACAGATCCATCTTACTTAGCCTATGTGTCCCGTCAGTAATTCTGCCTTTCACCTAAAGGGACCCCATAGATGTTTTCACCACCAAGTGCAATGTCCTGAAAGATCTCATAAGAAAAAGTTACTATAAATGGGACAAATAAGTGCTTCTTAAAAATTCTCACATTAATAAAATAACAAAAATGAAGTGCCTGGGTATTGACTGAAAGAAATGATGAAAGATGGATGGATGGCAATCATTTCTGTAGAATTTCCTCCAGTGACACCCCTCACCCCTGTTCTTCCATTTTCTTTTACATGAGCTCTGCTATGTAAGTATACATCTTCTGCTCTTTGAAGTATGGCACAAGCCCCACCTCAGGTCTCCTTGAGTCTGCACTAAACAGTATGACTTGGTGGGTAAGAATAAGATCACTGAGGGTTATATAAATGAGCTAAAGATGGCTCCTGGGTTGTTTACTTCTTCACAGAAGACTGACAACTATTGGCTCAAAAGTTGACCAGCACAAACTCAAATTTTTACATATCAAAATGTTTTATACATAGCCTAAATAATCAGACTTTTTGTCATTTAGAGCCTGCCTACTTTGCAAACCCTTCAAAACTGTTGGCATTTTCCAACCACGGATAGGATAAACCCTATGGCTAGGTAGACCTCAAGCCACTGGGGCTCTTCATAGGTCTCTGACCACAGACTCCCCCCTGTGTGATGCTGAGCAACATCACCAAGACACATGAGCCTCCTCTATGATCTTGGAGAGTTCCTTTCCTCTCCTCCTACTCTGGATGTGGCCCTTGCATGCAAGCTTCTGGATGGTCTCATGGTATAAGGGACTCCTCTACCCTGCAAGCAAACCTGTCAAAGCATCACCCAAAGAAAGCTTATATATGCTACTGCCACCTTGCAGTCAGGTCGTTCTTCTTGATCAGTCCTCAAACTCCTCACTAGCTGGAATGTCACTACTGTTGCCTCAGCTCCTTGAACATGGTCTGGCATATAGTAAGTGTTCAATTAATATTACTGAATGAATACATGGAGTCAAACAAGCTAGAGTTTTAATGCTTGCTCCATTGCTTACTATACCTCTCTGACTTGAGGCAAGTTACTTTAACCTCTGTGGTTTTCCATCTGCATATTAGGTATAAGCAGAGCTGTTACGAAAATAAACTAATCGGTATATTTAATAGTACCTGACATATAGTAAGGGCTAAGATATATACATATTTACATGCATATGGATGTGTACTATTATTAACATTGCTTTACTTAGTTCACTACATTTATATTTTACAAGCTGAATGAAAAGGACTTCCTCACAGCATTCCCTATGGAAGAACACACTGGACTGGTAACTTTAAATGGCAGTCTCTTAGATGATCCGGTAAGTTCCACAGTGCACTTCTTTCCAACTAGTCTGGAAGCTCTAAGAAGTCTTTTCTCTGTCCCCTCTATTCTCATACAAAAGTCTAAACTACCAAAAAAATGCTGACAAATAGTAAATGAATGTATCTTTTGGGTCTGGATAAAACTGTGTGGGCACCTGTTATTCAAGGTTAAGAGGGAGTAAAAGACCTCACTTCACAGGACAGACACTTCATGGCTATGGAGGGCTGACATCTCAGAGGAGGAAGCTGTGTCACAGCACAGTACATGAGACAGAGGAGCTGATTATGATTATGATGTGAAAGTGGAAGGTGGTAGTTTCCACTCCTTATGTCCTTTGAAAATACCACCTCCTGTTGGGCAGGCCTTCTACAAAGCAGCCAGCTATTCTGTGCAAAGGAGATAGGGAGAAGAAAGTAATGCACTTCAAAGAAGAAAGCAGGTACTGGGAATAATCTCCTGAAGGAAGAAAAATAAAGCCAAGACAAAAACAGAACACGCCCATCATAAGCTCGGATGATAAAGTTCACAGCGGCCTTTCTGCCTGGCAATCTGGCAAGAAGTATTAAAAGCCTTAGGTATAATCTTGACCAATTCCACTTCATGGAATAAATCCTAAGTAAATAATTAGAAATAAAAGAATAAATTTAGCTATGAGGATGTCCTACATAATGGCCAAGTGAAGAAAAAAAAAAAAAACAGAGATACAAACTATAGTTGAACTAGTTCCACACAATTAATAATCTACAGCCACTAAAAATGCTATGGAGGTATCTTTATTGGCATGGAAAGATATCCTCAATATACTACTGAGCAAAATGAGCAAGCAACAAATGAGCAAGCAACAAAACAGAATATATAGTACAATGCCATTTTTTTTTTGCAATCTCTGATTCTCCATACTGATATTCACAACTCTTTATTTCCTGCTTGCAGTATCAGTGGTTATCCCTGGCTCGTGGTATCATGGGTGATTTAGTTTTTGTTTTTCTCCATTTCCTAATTTTTCATTCTTATTACAACAGCATTAGTACAAAAGAAAAAAAAAACTTTGAAAACAAAAAATCATGCACCAAAAAAATGAATGGGCCACATAACCAAAGATGAATGCAAAAAATTCAAACAGTCTTCTAAGGATGGCTAAAGACAATAAGCTAAAGATTCAATATTTAAATACTTTTATGTTATGTCTAAACAAGAATAAGTAAAAGCCTGTTGGTTGAGACACAAAGGCATCATGCTGATCAAAAAGATAACAACAGGACAGCTCCCACCTGGCATCCATTCTTTGGCTGGGCAACAGGTCTTCAGATGAGAAATCAGCCAATGTTCTCGTAAGGAAATGAAGAGGTGGTAGGAGAGGACCCAACCACTCTGTAGGCATTTGAGTCTCTGGGACCCAGAGAAGCAATATCCCAGGGCCCTGAAGTAAGTCAGTAATAGTACTGCAAAACTGGTGCTAGGAATATGTGGGAAAGCAGAGAGCAGGTGAAAAGCCAGAAGAGAGGAGGAGTGCCGACACCTGCTGTGTTAGAGTCAGGTGTAATGTCAAAATCTGACTCCCTCTTCCTAGCTCTGCAGCTACACAGGGAATTTATCAACCTTTCTAAGCTTCAATTTCCTGACTTGTAAAATGGAAATAATAACATATAACTCCTGGAGTGTTAACGAGGGATAAAGGAGCTAATGCTTGTTAAATGCCTATTGAGATGCCAAGCACCTGGTAAGCACTTAATAAATACACAGCAGCTCCACACCTATTTTATAAAACGCTGGGTCTAAAAACTAGGCATCTACATGTCTGACCTTATTTTATTCCTTAATTTTCCATTCACAACTTAAAATTAAGGATTTCCTTTCCTTTATTAAAGGAGGGATTTTCCTTGAGGAGCATGACAATAATTAAAGTTTTGAGCTGTTTAATTTTTTGTACTGACTCACAAGAATAGGTCAGGGATATGCACCACAGCCCTAGAGTTTCTGAGACCTTTTGGGACTCTCATTTCAAGTCAGCTAAAGAAGGGCTTGCAGAAGTGGTAGAAGGGAGGGAGGAAAGTTAATGGTGACAGAGCTCGCTAAGAAACCTACGCAGACAGCTCCTGGAAGTGAGGGGTGTTTAAGCAGATGAGGAAAAGAAAAACCCAAAGGCAACCTTTAGCCATCCATGAAGATTCTTTATCATTCCTGCTGAAAATGTATTGCCAATCAACTGAGGATTAAGTTCACTCATAAAAAAGGAAATAAACTAAACAATACAAATTATAACCAGGGACTCACAATTTTTTTCCATTCCCCTTTTTATTTATTGTTTTGAGACAGGGTCTCACTCTGCCACCCAGGGTGGAGTATAGTGGCATAATCACAGCTCACTGCAGCCTCAACCTCCCCAGGCTCAGGTGATCCTCCCACCTTAGCCTCCTGAGGAGCTGAGACTACAGGTACATGCCACCATGCCTAGCTAATTATAGTATTTTTTGTAGAGATGGGGTTTCACCATATTGGCCAGGCTGGTCTCGAACTCCTGGGCTCAAGCGATCTGCCCACCTCGGCCTCCCAAAGTGCTAGGATTACGGGCATGAACCACCAGGCCGGACACGTTTTCCTTTATTCTGATACTATTTTCTCATCAGCTGCGAACACCATTTTATCTAGAGGCTCACAGCAGCACAGTTACAAGACTGGGTTTGAATCCTGCCTCTACCATCACCATTGTGACACTGGGCAACTGATATATAACCTACCTGTGTTTCAGTTTCCTGATTTATTAAAAAGCAACAACAACAACAAACTACTACTTCATGGGATTGTTGTGAGGACTAGATGAGTTAGAGATGAACACCCAGAACAATGTTTGGGGCACTATGTAAATATCTGTCATTATCACATATTCCTTAATTCTCTGCAACCACATTACCAAGCAGAAGTGGATTAAAAAAAAAAACCTCCATTAAAAATGAGAAGAAAAAATAATGTGCCTCTAGGGGCTTTAACTAATCCATAGGCATAGAGATGCCAGGCTCAGTTTCATTACCAGGATGATTGACAGCTATGCTGGCTTTTGCTCTATGGCCGAAAACTGTACCATTTTCTCATTCTCTACCCAGGGCTCAGAGTGAGATTTACACATAAAGATATTCGATTAAGCATTAAAAATTTTTAATGTTTGGGCCGGGCACTGTGGCTCACGCCTGTAATCCCAGCACTTTGGGAGGCCGAGGTGGGCGGACCTCGAGGTCAGGAGATCGAGACCATCCTGGCTAACACGGTGAAACCCCATCTCTACTAAAAAAACAAAAAGTGAGCCAGGTCTGGTGGCGGGCGCCTGTAGTCCCAGCTACTCGGGAGGCTGAGGCAGGAGAATGGCGTGAACCCGGGAGGCAGAGGTTGCAGTGAGCCGAGACAGCGCCACTGCACTTCAGCCTGGGAGACAGCGAGACTCCGTCTCAAAAAAAAAAAAAAAAATTAATGTTTGAATGTGGCTTTTGTTACCAAAAAAAAAAACAAAAAACACCTTAATGTGTACTTACTGTTTTGAATAGGTAATGCACAGACTTAGAATAAAATTCAAATAGTACAGAGATTATAGGAAAAAGACAATTTCCCCTTCTCTCCTGCTGCTGGCCTAGCAATTTCCTGCCTCAGAGGTAACATGATTATCACCTTGTTTTCATATCATTCCAGAGATGAAGTAACATTTAAAACAGGGGAAAGCAATTATCATATCCAACTAACTGGTTACTATTTGTCATGAGAAATGTAGTTAGCAGGAATCTTTGTTGTGTTTTTGTTTTTGTTTTTGTTTTGAGATGGAGTCTTGCTCTGTCGCCCAGTCTGGAGTGCAATGGCACGATCTTGGCTCACTGCTACCTCTGCCTTCTGGGTTCAAGCAATTCTCCTGCCTCAGCCTCCCAAGTAGCTAGGATTACAGGGGTGTACCACCACATCCAGCTAAATTTTGTATTTTTTGTAGAGATGGGGTTTCACCATGTTGGCCAGGCTGGTCTTGAACTCCTGACCTCGTGATCCACCCGTCTCAGCCTTCCAGTGTGCTGGGATTACAGGCGTGAGCCACTGTGCCAAGCCAGCAGGAATCTTTTAACAGCATACAAAAGCCCCTACATTGGTAAGTGAAAAAACCACAAAATTATCTTTAAAGTATGATTCCAATTCAGTTTAAAAATGCACAATAAAAACATGGAAGAAATATGTCCAAAAATTAAAAGCGGTTGCTTCCGTGTTGTGAA
Source organism: Homo sapiens (assembly GCF_000001405.40). NCBI lineage: Eukaryota > Metazoa > Chordata > Mammalia > Primates > Hominidae > Homo > Homo sapiens. Next base: position 117,994,193 of record NC_000002.12, read on the forward strand.
ATTAAGGTGAAAAATCAACTTTAATTTAATTCCCCTACATCTATCAATCTTTTTAAAAACTTGAGGATGCTCTAAACTGAACACCTATTTCACAACCAGGAAAGAAAATTACTCTGAGGTCATATCATTTTTTCTTGTTATTGTTTAATACTGCCACCAAATCTGAAAACAGTATCTGGCTTTTGAGTGTCACCTTCCCAAAGGTTTTCCACCTCTAACATTTCCAAAATGGAATTGAGAAAAAAAACAAATTACAACCATAAAGTGATCAAGATTTTTTGTTTCATAGGAGATTTCCATGTCTTTCATTACCAAATGATTGTTCTTTTCAGAGTAATCACCTTGGTAGACCACACATTTATTTTTAAGATAAGCCAGTTTGGAATTCTTTTTCTGGAAAGACTCTGTAGGCAGTTCACAAAGCCACAAACACCAGGCAATGCCAATCTTTACAATGACACAAGGTATGTAACCCATGCCATCTGTATAAGAAGTACATCTGATATTTCATTTGGGTGGCATATTAATACAAGAAACTATGCAACTATGAAAACCAACTAGATGTATGACATAATTTAGATGAAGTAAAAAGCATGCAAAACAACACAACACATTATTTTCAGGAGAGAGAGACTGTGCACACAGGCACCTAGGCTTCATTCCCTTCAGCTCAGGTAGGAAGGCTGGGGGTGGAGGGTACAGCTAACAAGGTTCCACAGCTCTGGCCCAGAGTGTTTTATAAAGGGTCAAAGGTTCCACTAACCCTTGTGCTGGCGAAGTTGGGACACATGTGCAGACTCATTGTGATTAAGACGTACTGTGAATGGGGACAAACGCCATCCCAGAGCTTCCCGCACACAGCTCAGAGGCTACTCTGTCTATGCAAAGCCATCAAGGGGGTGGGGGACAGAAACCTCAAGTTATCATCCCCATTCATCATCTGCTCTTCAGAGCTATTCAAAGTTTATACCTGCCATTGGGATAAACTAGGAAGGGCTCTGTGTTTGGCTATTCCTCCCTTAAAAGTGGAAGTGAGGGGACAGAACAGTAGTGTGGCAGGTTCTCCCTGTGCATACTGGTGTCCTGGCCCTGAGCAGTAAAGCAGGCGGGGCTTCCCTCACACAGCCATCTGAGTCTAGCTCCTAAGCGATCCCCGTAGATGGAAGCCTCAGGAGCAGCGCTTTTGTGATTTAACAAAGGGCTATCTGAGGCTACGCAGGACTCTGACAGAAGAATACGGCCAGGGGACTTACTGAGAGGTCCACAACTGTCTTGATGGCCTTTTCTTTTCTCTTTATGAAGTCATCATCCTACAAGACAAAACAGAGCGATTAAACAAATCCCAAGGGAAAATTAAAACTCAAGTGGACCACTCAGATATGTCTTATAAATTGACTTCTCATCTCATCACTACTTTGCCTGACGAAGTCTCAATTTTCGAACAAATTGTAATATATTCTCCATGGGAAAAGGCTACAAACCCTGCAGATGGCTCCAACATAGATCCCTACACAGCCAGTAAGAAAAAGGGGGTCATAAGGAATAGTGCTTAAGACGAGAGTTCTCATTTCAAATCCTCTTAAGCACTGAAACCTCAGGTAAGTTACTTAACCTCTAAGCCTCAGTTTCTCTGTCTATGAAACAGAGATAAAAACGCCCATCTCAGGTTGCAGTAAGGATTAAAGAATAAAAGCCATAAGATGTGCTGAGACTAGCATGTAGTAAATACATGATGGCTATTAGCTATTATTGTTTTTAATTATATTATTATTATTATTATTAAATTGTTACTATAGGATGTTCTGGGCAAGTGGCCTCTCAAAAAACTTAATACAAAAATCAACTATTATTCTTGTAAGTTAATAAAAGCTCTAGATCAAACACTAAAATTCAGAGAAGATGACAAAATTATAGAGCTTTGCACTCAGTGGCTATGTAAAGAAGCACTAATGATGCCAAGTGGGGCTGAGAATGTAGGGGAGCCTGAGCTTACTCTGCTCCTTGCTAGAGAGTCTCTTAAGTGTGCACTCTGTTTCTCAGTGGGACAAGAAAATAAAATCACAATACTGACCTCAGGGAGACTGTAAGTCTTCTGGAACTGGGATACAGAGTAGGAGCGGATATAGTCACCCATCTCTTCTTTTGTTTCTATAGCTCGTTTCACCAGCCACTGGGGAAGAAAGTGAAAAGACAAGAGTTGCTAAGGACAACATCCCACTGAAGTGAAGGCCAGTTCAGACATGGCCCAACTCATGAACTCAAATCAGCATAGTTGAACTGACTAGGTGATAAGAAGCTATCAACACATGCTGTTCTATAGGAAAAGCAACCAGCTGGGTATCCAAGATGTTAAGATCCAATGGGACCTAGTGCTGAGTAGCCGTGCAGGAGCTTTAAAGCCTTACTTCACATCCTTGAGCCTCAGTTTTCCTTTCTGTAAAAGTATATCAGTTCCCTTCACCTCACAGAGCTAACATGGGAGTAAATGAAATCACAAGTAGTAGAGTGATTTGTAAACACCTGAAGCACAAAACAAACAGAGCTATCTCCCAACTTCCTGGTCCTACTGGCAGATCTTCATGTAAATCTCTTTTTCTTGTGCTCCTTACACGACAGACCAGGGAAAAGGGAGAGAACCACAGAGAATGCTAGTGTAACTCCCCATTTGACAAGTGAAAAAATGTCCAAAATACTCAGATTTGACAATGGTGCATACTGAGTACGCAGTTGAAGGCACTGGTTTATCCTGACATTCATAACATTCTCTCTTAATCCTCACAATGTCGGATGGTACTGGCTGAGTTTTACTGAACCTGAAGTGCCGGGAGACTATATAACTTACTCATGGATCCATAGCTAGCCAGCTGCAAAGCTGGGAGTCACAACTCAAGAGACTATTCTACACCGAAGACTGGACAAATGGTTTCATGAAATGTTTCCCAGCTTTGTTAGGCTGATACCCAGAAACAGCTGCTCTTCACTTCTCCCAACTGAAAACTCCAGTTATTATCATTAAAACACCACCCTGCAGAAGATCCACCTGCAGAAGATCCACCCGCCCTGAGGGTAAAAACCTGCAGAAGATCCACCCGCTCTGAGGGTAAGGGTGTAAAGTGTAAAAAGAACCTTTGCTTCTCCTCCCCGGCTCTTCATTCACTCCCTTTATTACTGAAGAACATCACAGAAGGGGTGCCACTCCCTCTCCAGAGAAAGCTACTGCATCTCAAAAGCAGTTTTGGGATAGTAGCTGTGTTTCGCCAACAGCATATCACACTTGGTGAGGGTTAGCTACCTAGGAAAGCAGGCACATGGCACATAACACTGTGCTGCACGGTGTTCCCGCAGATGTTTGTTCACAAAGCGCAGCCAGCTCAAGTAAAGCACATGTTTAGGAAATAGCTGCTCAGAATAGAGCAAATAACTCTGAGGAATATTCCTTGCTGTCAGTATCTTCTATATATTTCTACCACTTCACCCCCAAACAGTGACCTCAGGCAAAGACTAAAATCCAGAAGCAGAGACAGAAGATCAGAGAGTATTGAGAACGATTGTAGTCCCTCACCTGTACTCCATCCCAGTAAAACTAAGTGGTCCAGGACAACTAAGGGCCAACTAAGGCAGTTGGCTCATTGCTCAACTCAATTCAGCCCTGCTTTCTTTTGAATTGGGAGACCCAGTTTCTGGCTTTTCACATCTGCTTCCCTTTCAGAGCTGCTCCCATTAATCCCAGATCTACCCTGAGTTACAGCCTGGCTGGATCCTGGAGAGCATGATCCCATTATGAAGGGAAAGCTTGTTGAGTCCTAACAGATGTTTTGGAGTTTCCAGCATGAAAGGCTATAGAGGGAAACTCTTGGACAGCCTAGCTCTGCCACAGGTTCCCTAGCACTCAAGAAAAATATTGACCTTCACAGGAGTCACATGTCCAACCCAGGAGAAAAAGATATGATCTAGAACTACCAGGGGCCAGAAATTAGATCTGCTTTTTTCTTGGCTGCATCCAGAGAAAGTTACTACAGCTTTGCTAAAATGGTGTGAACACGGATGATGGGCTTCTAGAATCACATAAGAGAAGTAGGTCAATGGCTTACAACTGCTGGCCAGTGATTATTCTTTCACGAGTGCCCGGGGGGAAAACAAAACAAACAAAAACAGGCAAAAGCTACAGGCACATGGTGAGTTTCATCATAGTTAAATGTATTTAATTTCAAGGACTGCTTTTTTTTGAGTTTGAGAATTAAATGGCCATTATTTTATGAAATGATAAAGCAAGATTGTAGTTATTTTTTAAAGTGTCCTTACCTGGAAAACTACAGGTGGCAACCCTAGGCCAATCTCCATTTTTGCTTTAAAATTTTACAGGTCCATGAAATTAAGAAATTGTAACCACTAGCCTGGGCCCTCCCATCCAGACAGACCCTCTAGCATTCCACTCACAATGGAGAACATTCAGACCTTCAAAACACCCAACTGACTGCAGAAGATCACTTCCAATTCTTCTCACAACCTGACTAGATTTTTTTGCCTCCAAAGTCCTAGTTAAAAACGGTCTAATCTCTAGAGATCCATGTTTTGGGGGAAAGGTAACAACTTCACAGTTTGATGATATTGGAGGTTTCAATAATAATCAACACAGGGCCCCAACTTCCTATTTTCATAAAAATGATCAGGTAGTGTCCCCTTGCATAAGAAAGACAGAAAGGCTAACAAACATACAAATAAATTTTAAGGTAAAGTCTTGGCCTCGAATTTACAAATTTCATGGAATTCGGCTTTGAAGTCTAGCAGAGGGGAAGACTCAACACATAACAGTAACAAACTATGTAACACTTAGAGAGCACTTACTAAAATGGTCAGTCTTTCAACTAAGTGCTTTAGACATACAACTAACTTAATTCTCATCCTATCAGGTAGGTGCTATTATTTATTTCTATTTAACAGACGGAAAGTTATTTACCCAAGGTCACACAGCTAGAAAGCGACCAACTTGAACCCAGGAGGTCTCCAGGGTCCATACTCTTGACCCTATATTTCAAAATCTTAACACAGAACTAGAGAACTTCTAGCTTCAAGGGCTGTGTAGCTTCCTTCTCAGCAGCTGCATGAATGGTGGAGTGGAAAAAGCACAGGCTTGGAGACAGAGTTTAGACTGGAACCTTTGTTTGTCCACTCTCCGCCCTTAAGCAAATCAATTACCTTCTCTCAGTCTCATTTTTCCCAAATGTAAGGAAATTACATTTCTCACTTTCCTCAAATGTAAGGGATTATAATAAACGCTTCAAAGAACTCTAATAGAGTCAGATGGGAAGTAGTGTTCACACAGCGGGCAACACACCTGAGTCCCTTTGCTCCTCCTCTTTCTAAGATGCCTAGAGGGGAAGAGAAGAACTGCACAGAATGCAGTTGTCCCAAGGAATCTGTGGTGGATGGGTTCCAGGACCCGCTAGATATTAATCCACAGATGCTCAAGTCCCTGATATAAAATGGCACAGTATTTGCATACAACCTAAACACATCCTCCCCTATATTTTAAATCATCTCTAAGGTTATAATACCTAATACAACGTAAATGCTATGTAAATAGTTATGTTATACTGTATTTTTAAATTTTTATTACTTTCTTTTTCCAGCTTGCTAAATTTATATTACTTTTTATTGTTGTATTGTTATTTTTTATTGTGTTTCCCCCCACCCACCCCCAAACATTTTTGATGCATTGTTTGTTGAATTTATGGATGTGGAGCTGCGAATATGGAGGGCCGGCTGTTTGGGAGCTGTACAGCACGAGCCACTTAATCATAGGGGTTTGGGAAACAGCTGGAGGCAAAGAGAAGTCTCTCCCTTAGGCATTTAGCCATACGGACTGAATATCTACAAATTGTAAGATGTTCTGGTAGGTACTGGAAACAAAGCAATAAGCAAGACAGCCATGCAGACTTGCTCTCATGCAGCTTAAGAGTCTAATGAGAGAAGCAGATAAACAATCACACACACATGGATACACATGATTATGAACTGCTGTAAGATTCTGGTGAAGGAAAGGAATGTGGCCGTAGGAGTGCATACCATAAAGGAACATGCTGTGGATTAGCGGATGAGGGAAGGCTTTCTTGAAGAGGTTTGGTGGAACTGAGATCTGAAGGGTTGAAGTAAGCCATATGAATTAAACAGGTAAGGAGAGAATGGAAGAGCATTCCAGCCCAAGGAACTAGCAACGCAAAAGCACTGTGACAGGTGGAAGAATAAACCTGGGGAAATCTGAATGAATGCCAGAGAGTGCTAGAACAAAAAGAACAAAGAAAAGCAAGGAATGAAATCAAGCTGGATAGGTCAAAAGGGAACAGAGCATACCAGGCTACAGAGTTCTGTTTTTACCAAAAAGGCAATGAAAAGTCAGATGAGAACATTCAAAGATCTTATCAGGTGACAGCATGAAACTAGAGTATATGCAGGACTGGCAATCTTCTGAAGATGACGACAACGAACACCACCATGTTCTGCTGTACCAAATCTAAGCCACACCCATTACATTCAGGATCCAGGACAGACGGACCCATTACAGGACAAGCCAGGCCCATCACAGGAATTCTGATGTTAAGAGGACAAGAAACCACACAGAGGCTCTCACCTGAACAACAGGAAATATGTGAATAAAATCCATCCCCTGGATCTGGTGGGGCTCCAGCTGGTGTGGGCATTTCATCCTTGGCAGGACCGAGACAATTTTTTCTGACAGAGCTCTGTTCAGAAAAAGTAACAAGCAAAGAGTGAGGCATACTAAGTAGCCTTTATGGCATCTCTAAAGTCTGGGCAGCATCACAGACGGATCTGGGACTTCTCCATGCCAGGCTAGTCCAGACCATGACAAGTTTCTCCTAGATGACTGCAAAATGAGAAAAATAAGCACAATTTGGTGGTGTGTAGGTGTGTGGTCACAAAACTGCCTTCATCCTTTATTCTATAATGTTTTTCTTCCTACTTTTTTGGATGTAAAATATTTTGTGAAATGATGGTAACATTAGAGGTAGTCGTTACTATTTTTTAACTTCCTTATGTAGTAAGATAAAAAGTTATTAGTGCCCCGTATTCTTTTTACATTTCGTTTTACTGATCTACTCTTTCTAACAGTTTGAAAAAAGTATTCTAAATATCAGGCAACAAATAATTACCAGACCTTACACCAGGTACCCAGAATATTAACATGAAACATGGAGCCCCATTTCCAAAAGAGATTTGGAGTTCTCTACTCTCTGGTACAAGGATATTTTTAAAATAAATAGTAGCCTTTAATTTTTTGATACTCTAAAATAAATTCTAGAGTTGAAGGAACTGTATATCCTCACTCTCATTTCCATACAGAAGAGATATTTTCTGCTTCTTATAAGGGACACCGACCTTTCTCTAACACCTCGCCTCAGTCTTCCTCCTATAGAAGACCACAAGGTGGGACTGAGAAGGGAGGAACCAGGCTTCCTGAGGCCTCAGAGTTTTCTTCTCTGTAGGTCAGGAGGAAAGCATCCTCTCCTGCTAGGGAGGTTTCTCAGCTCAGCCTGAGCTGGGGTAGGACAGTTTATGGCAGCACTGGTGGAGGGATTTGTATGCAAGTCTGTTTTATTGCAGCCTGAAACCTCCTTCTCGAATCAGTTGGCATTTCATCTCTAGCTATGTGATTCCTGTTTCTTATACTATCTTAATTGGATCAGACTCAAGGGGAGAGAAAAGATACTATTCAGTGGTGTGCCTGACCCCAAAGCCATGGTATGTAGCCTGGGAACATTGAGAAGCAGTCACCAGGCATGGCCTTGTGGACATCTGGAGAAATAGGAGCTTCTGGCTCAGCCTACATGAATAGGTTACATTGCCACACAAGACCCTTTAAAAAAAATCTTAGCCAGTCACAGCAGCTACTGTGGCCTTATAAACAAATACAGTACTATGTTCTAATAGACAAAGGTCCAGGTAAACAAAGGTCACTTAGAACTTACTAGGTGCTTCAAATTCAACAAGTTTTGGGTCTCCCAAAAGTGTTTCTTGTTCAGAGAAGTCTTGTCCACCTTTATCTTTCTGCAGTTCAATAATCCTTCCAAGGAGACAGATACCCTCAAGATGAACATCTGACTCAGGGCTGGGTGAGAGTTATTACTGTCTTATCTATGATTCACTTAGTAGGTTTCACCCCTCAGTCTTAGTATTAACAGTAACTAGGTGACCTAGGAACTAAAGTTAAAACAGCCCCCCAGGGAATGGGCACTAGAGAACACATTAAGAAACAGTGTCTGGTATCTGGAAAATAGCTTCACAAGTTGGGACCAAGGTTAAAACTGCTGAGGACAACAGTAATACCCCACTGATCATAAGATCAAATGTCAGATCCAATGTGTTAATAGAAAAAAATATGGAAGGGGGGAGATTAATCCCTCACTGCACACATTCATAGAAGAGAGGGAGTATCTTCCTCCTAGGAGGGAAGCATATAGGAGAATATTTGCTGCCTCTTCCCCCTCACCCTTCCTCCCTAACAGAGGAAGGGGTGAAGAGTGATTTATCCACAAGTCCTGAGAGGGGCCAGGCATGGTAGCTCATGCATGTAATCCTAGTGCTTTGGAAGGCCAAGGAGGGAGGTCACTTGAGGCCAGGAGTTTGAGACCAGCCTGGGCAACATAGTAAGACCTTGTCTGCATAAAAAAATTTAAAAATTAGCCAGGCATAATGGTGCATTCCTACAGTCCCAGCTACTCAAAAGACTAAGGCAGGAAGATCACTTAAGCCTAGGCGTTTGAGGCTGCAGAGAGCTAAGATCACGCCACAGCACCCTAGACCAGGCAAGAGTGGAACTCTGTCTCTTAAAACAAAACAAAACAAAAGTCCTGAGAGGAAGAAGAAAATTTTCATGCAGCTCTCAGCCACTCCTGGTGCCCTTCCTTTCTGGGCAGCCTGTCTTTGGGACACATGCATCTTTTCTGCCATAAGATATGTTGCCTGCCCCACAGGGGAAGCCAGTGGTTGTCCAGGTCTGCTTGGGACTCACATGGGATAGCTTGGTAGTGAAGCACTAACAAACCCATTTGGCAACATATCTAAGGTTCTCTGTTAAGCTTTTTTTAAAATTTTGATCTCCATCAGACTCTCATAGCTTATTTAATTTCCTTGAAACTTGTAAGAAGAGATGAGTGTTCAACTGGTACTGCTGCCTAAACTCCAAGCTTAGCAAATGAAAATGAATATCAGTTCTGGTTTTGCTCAATGCAGGTCCCAACTAACTATGCAGGGGCACGTGATCAATACAGCCTTTCCTTAGTTACATTTTGGTTCAGCAGGAGGAGAGCTCCCTCTTGTGGCTACAGATATATTGGTTTGCATAGAGTTACCAATTGCCTAGAACCATACATAATAGCTTAAAAACAAGAGGCTGGGACCCACACCACCATCCAGCCTAACCCCCTGCCTTCAGACATGGCATTTCCTGGCCACTCTTCGGAGCCAGCCTACTCACCCAGTTCATAAAGGTCCAGAGAGAAGGCTATCACGGGTCATCCTAGGATTTACAACCCTCTTAAACCCACCTCTCAGAAATTACTGCCAAGTCTGGACAGTCTTGGCAGCCAAGGTGAGGACATGGAGGAAAATGCAGGCAGGCTGGGGGTAGGGAAAGAAAGTGAGAAAGACTTCTTCCAGAAATCTAACAATCCCCTTTCAGCTTCTACCTGCGGCTCTAGGTGGATCCTTCAGATTTCCTAAAAATCACAGAAATTAGCAATTGCAGAGGTCACCAGGCCGGTTTCCTAGACTAAGATTTTAACATGCCCAGCTGTGACTAGTTTGACTCCTTTAGTTTTTAAGAGTGTTCAGTGCACTGCTTTCTTCTCCACTGCAAACAGCTTGAAAGACAGTGAATTAAACCTGGGTCTAAATTCAAGTTCCACCACAACTCTGAAACTTTTGGCAAGTAACTTGGTCCAGGTCCAATACTCCTATCATAAAACTAGGGATAATCCCTACTCAAAGCGGTAGTGAAGGTAAAATAATAAAATACACATGCAAGTGCTTGGAACACAGATGCCCAATAAAATGTTTGTTGTTGAAATGAACTCAGTTATAAATGTAAAATCCCATTTATGGGCCTCTGGCCATAGGACCCTCTGTTAATGGGGCTTCAGAAGAAGATAGAAGTAGAGGATAGAAGCTTATGGAACTCTCAGCAAAGAAAGATGACAGAGAACAAGGCCTCAATTGGGCACATAAAGAAGACAGCTTGAGAGACAACCATGCCGTCAATAGGCAAGTGTGCTCCTTGGACATACGTCCAGCCCACCCATTAAATTGACTAGATATACTGGAAGACGGCAAACATAAGGCAGTTTTAGTCTAAACTGCACCTAACCAGAAACTCTATGGTGGGGGGGAACACCAAACAGAACACATTCCAAAACCAAACAGAAAAGATTTTTAGATGACTCAGTACCCTGTGGCTGTAACATGTCTTCTACAGATAATAAAGAATGAGCTACCTGATGCACTGCTGACTCTGGTGGGTCCTTAGTCACGTAAACCCGTCTCCAGCTTTGCCCACAGTTACAGTTCATGGCTCTGCACTTAAGAGACACACATCAAGCACTTACCAGGGAATATAACACATCCTCAATCCCTTATCCAAACCCTTTGGGTCAGATGTGTTTCAGAATTCTGAATTTTTTAGATTTAGTTCCTTAGAATACCTAAGGGATACATATTATATATTATGTAAGAACCCAGGAAAATCTAGAGTCACACTCTATAATAAAAAAAAATTTATTTAGCAAAACTTATAAATAGTCACATAAGTGGGATCAATAAAGCTATAAATTCAGTCAATTCAGGTTATGTTTTGCTCCCAAATAAGCTTTGTATCTAAACCTAAAAGAAGAAAAAACAGTTTTCAGTGTCTTTTAGATTTCAGAAATATAGACAAGGAATTGAGAAGACATAGAAAAATACTGTGTTCCCATATCTATTAAAAGTATAATGGAATGCTGCCACTGATGGGAGTCTACCATATTCCCTAAGGATATCGAAATGAAAACAGGGCCTAACGACCACTGGAAAACTCAAGGGGAATTTAGGAAAAAAGCACACGTGGGATCCAAGAAATGGTAAAACTAGCACAGAAAAAATGCAATGAAAAGAAATACCAGCACATCAAGAGTGCCACAGGTATAGGAAGCAATCAGCTCAAAGACAGAAGCTTCCAAGAAAAGCATCCTCAAGAAGACAAAGAATTCATGCTAATGAACAGCCTGATTAAGAAGCATAGGCCAGGTGCGGTGGCTCACACCTCTAATCCCAGGAGGCCAAGGCGAGAGGATTGCCTGAGCCCAGGAGTTTTAAGACCAGCCTGGACAAGATGGTGAGACACCATCCCTACAAAAAATTTAAAAATTAGCTGGGCGTGGTGGTGTATGCCTGTGGCTCTAGCTACACAGGAAGCTGAGGTAAGAGGATCACTTAAGGAAGTCGAGGCTGCAGTGAGTGGTGTTGGCACCACTGCACTCCAGCATGGGTGATAAGAGTGAGACTCTGTCTCAAAAAAAAAAAAAAAGCTGGCTGATCTGAGCTACAGCTAAAGGCATATGCTTCTTTTGTCAACAAGAAAAAAACAAAGGCAATTAGAAACTTACAGGGAAAATGCTGTATAAATATAAAGTAAATTGCAACATTCCTGATGCTCAGTTACTCACAGATACCACCTCCACTTGGCTGCCAGAAACACAGGGGCAAATCTTTGGCCAACAGTAGGAAAACAAAGCATTTTGTGACCCATCACTGTGGCAGTCTTACCCCAACTCTGCCTTTTGTCCCCACTTTTTTTTCCCCCTTTGCTCCATTTTCCCACCATTATTGCTTCCTGTTATTTATAAGACCCCTTTGTTCCTTTTGGAAGTGTTTTCTCTTGGGAGAAGGTAATACTTCAGAAAAATGAATAAACAGACTGTCACAGAATCACACATATCTGAGGTCAGGAATCTCTCTTCTGACGGATAAAAGAACTGAGGCCCACAGAAGGAGTGGCTGTTCCAAGGCCACACAGAGACCCACTGGAAGGCTGGGAGAAGAACCAGGTATCCCAAGTGGTCTAATGAAATGGCCAAGCCCCTGGTGAGCTGCTGTGCTACAAAAGACTGGGCAGGGTATGCTCAGGTGAGATCTCTAGCAAGGAGACCATGCTGCTTTCTCTCGAAGACAGGCAAAGTGAGACTCTGCCTTACACAGAGGCAATGGGGAAGGAAAGCATCTCCTTTCCTCTTTCTAATCAACTTCCACTGATATGAGCTGTCTTTGAAAGATAAACTAAGTAGTCACTACAAACTTTGATCTAGCTGTGTGACCTTGGCTTCTTTCAGTCTCAGTTTCATTTGTAAGGCAGGGATAATACCTCTTGTAATAAAAGTTAAAATAAACTATGTAAAGTGTCCAACCAACTTCTGGCACACAGTAGACACTCAAAAGTTAGTTCCCTTCTCCCCACCTTTAGGTTTTCCATAGAAAAACTTACATTTTTTGACCTATCGTAGAGTTTTCTTGAAAGAGCAAATCAACATCTACATCAAAGTTGCAAGTGGTGATACACCAAGTCATTCCTCCTACTACCTGCAAGACATAAAGAAAATATTTGTTTTCTCTTTTTAGTTTGGGGAGAATGGAAGAAGTGGAAGGTAGATGGATTATAAATAGCTCTAATAGACTCAGTAAACATACAAAATTATATATCTTGAGAGAGAGAGTGTGTGTCCTCCTTACCCCATCAAGTACAATTAATCTAAAATGGCACCGTTACAGAAAACTTTCTGCAGTGACAGAAATATTCCGTTATCTGCAAGGACAAGTACAGTAGCTACTAGCCACATGTGGCTGCTGAGCAGTTGAAATGTGGCTGGCATGACTGAGGAGCTGACTTTTATTATTAAATGAACATACTGTACATAGATCCTCTTTATAGTCAAAAGGACAGACATTAATTCTGTGTTTTATAGACCAGACACATGGGCAGCAAGGCTGACATTTTGTTTCCATACATCTTATTTTTCTTATCTACCTGAGAATCCCTGGCTCTACTTTTCCCTCAGGAATTCTCTGAGATGCAAATGAGAGTAAGACTAAAAACCCATTTTGAAACAAAATCCTTTTCAGACACAGCTTGATATTAGAAAAAAATAACAATAAGGCTGGGCGCGGTGGCTCACGCCTGTAATCCCAGCACTTTGGGAGGCTGAGGCGGGTGGATCACGAGGTCAGGAGTTTGAGACCAGCCTGGCCAACGCAGTGAAACCCCTCTCTACTAAAGATGCAAAAATTAGTCGGGCATGGTGGCAGGCACCTGTAATCCCAGCTACTCGGGAGGCTGAGGCAGGAGAATCACTTGCATCCCGGAGGCAGAGGTTGCAGTGAGCCAAGATTGAGCCATTGCACTCCAGCCTGGGCAGCAGAGAGACTCCATCTCAAACAAACAAACAAACAACAACAACAAAAACAGTAAATCTTACCCCTGGCTGCTTTAGACTCTTACAAGTTGCCCAATAAAAATGCAGATTCCAGGGCCCAAGCCCAGACCTAGCTAACCAAAATTTCAATGAGTGAATCCTGGGTTCTGTATTATAAAATAACCCAGAGTGATTCTGTTAGGCACAGCCAGGACTGTGACCCCGTGGAGCACTCAGCACTGTCTTCCACAGCCTGCCCTGTGTGATTTGAATGCGTCCTTTCTGTGCACAGTCCACGGTGGCACTTTCTGCATCATGCCATTTATTCTGTGCATGTTGATTCACTTGTCTCTCATCCCCACTCTACAGAAATTGGGCTCTTTGAGAACTGTGCCTCTGTTTTTTCTCTGTGTCCTCAACACCTATTACTATGATTTGTGCATCATCATTCAAGGTTCTGCTGAATTAAAAGATTTCATTGCATAGCGATCTCTCTCTCATCCTAAATCAGAGCATTTACTATCCGCAGAATATCTGGCAACCGTCTGTGAGCACGCTGACTTGGGATAGCTCATTATTAACTCTGATTATTTTATTTTCCATAAGTTTTATAATCCCCACCCAAACTGTAAATTCCTTGAAAGAAGGAACTATTTATTTTGCTTCTTTGCATTTCCTAAAGCTTTGTGCACAGAAAAGGAACTGACGTATTCACTGATACATCATTTCTGTCTTTGAAAAGAAGTTTGAACACTTCCATAATGAATCTGAATTAGGAAGAAATGGAAACACAGACATGGAAGAAGTTAAAACATCATCTTTTCCTCCTTTCTTTGCCATGATTAACCATGTCATTCTGACAAAAGATAGTGTAATGGTTAGAAAGATTTCCCCTTACCTTGTCAAAGGGTGATAAGCCTTTAATTCTTGCCCTGAAATACCCAGCTGCAACCAAGAGCTCCAGAATTTCAGTCAACTTGACATTTTGTTCTTCATCTTCTCTTGTTTCCACCTAAAATAAAAGGTAAAACTTTGGCTGGTAAAAGATATGCTGAATAAAGGAACACCAGGTATATCCCCTGATGCCACAAGCTCATTGCCAAGGAGTAGATGACATTGGCTACATCACCACAATAGATTCTCTGAAAATTCAGCAAGTGTCACACAGAAGTATGTGGACAGTGTTGTTGGAGTCACAAATGGGTCCGCGGTCCTCAACGGGCTGTTAATCTTCATAGCTGAGGGAGACACATGCCCAAGTAGTATATACTACTCATCACATGCTGAAGGAATCCAGGGAAAAGGAAGGTTAGAGCACAATACTTCCTTTTTCTCTAACCCATGGTTTACTTTGACAGTCTTCTCAAATGGATTATGACTCCTTACAAACAGGAACAAGGTTTTATGGTGTTTTCTAAAAAAAACTTTACACTTAGGACTTAGGGCCGGCGTGGGGGCTCACACCTGTAATCCCAGCACTTTGGGAGGCTGAGGCGGGCGGATCACTTGAGGTCAGGAGTTCAAGACCAGCCTGGCCAACATGGTGAAACGCTATCTCAACTAAAAATACAAAACTTAGCCAGGTTTGGTGGCCCATGCTTGCAATCCCAGATACTCAGGAGACTGAGGCACAAGAATCGCTTGAACCCAGGAGACAGAAGTTGCAGTGAGCCAAGATCGTACCACCGTACTCCAGCCTGGACGACAGAGCAAGACTCTGTCTCAAAAACTTTATACTTGGCCAGGCACAGTGGCTCAGGCTTCTAATCCCACCGATTTAGGAGGCCAAGTGGGGGTGCCGATCACTTGAGGTCAGGAGTTTGAGACCAGCCTGGCCAACATGGCAAAACCCCACCTCTACTAAAAATACAAAAAATTAGCTGAGCATGGTGGTGCACACCTGTAACTCCAGCTACTTGGGAGGCTGAGGCACGAGAATCACTTGAACCCAGGAGGCGGGGGTTGCAGTGAGGTGAGACTGTGCCATTGCACTCCAGCCTTGGTAACAGAGCAAGACTCTATCTCTAAAAAACAAACAAACAAAAAAAGTTATACTCATCCAGAAGTTACTGACAACAGGCATAGAAATGAAGAAGGGAATTCAAAAGTGCATCCCTCACTGTACTTCCCTTTTCGATCTCGAAAACAAATATATGAAAGGCTTCCAACCCAGATACATTAAAGGGTGATTATTGCCACATAATAGGATTGCCTTAAAAATAATAAATTCATCTAATATATGTATATCAGTATTTTGCTTTTTTTTTGTTTTTTTGTTGCTTTTGTTTTTGTTTTTGAGACAGAGTCTCGCTCTGTCACCCTGGCTGGAGCACGGTGGCGCAATCTCGGCTCACTGTACTCGGATCCCAGAGAGAACCTCCACCTCCTAGGTTCAAGCGATTCTCCTGCCTCAGCTTCCCGAGTTGCTGGGACTACAGGCACATGCCACCACGCCCGTTTTTTTGTTTGTTTGTTTGTTTTTGTATTTTTAGTAGAGATGGGGTTTCACCGTGTTAGCCAGGATAGTTTCGATCTCCTGACCTCATGATCCACCCGCCTCAGCCTCCCAAAGTGCTGGGATTACAGGCATGAGCCATCGCGCCTGGCCGTATCTCAGCATTTTGATTTAAAATTTTTAATTTATATCCTCCTTTTACCCCAATCTTTATCTAATACTTAAATCCATCTAAATATTCTAATACTCTTTCATCTATTTACTATCATGAACTACCTTTCCTCTCTTCCTTTGCTACCAAAAATAAAAAACCATCTCTCTATATAAAACACCAATAAGATATCCTGGTTCACATGCTCATAATCATCTCTGAGTCCTCCCTTACCCAACAATGCCTGTTAAGTCTTCCTTTACTATGCATCTCACATTTATCTTCCCTTCCCTTTCATTCATACTTCATTCCAGAACTCTTGCAAATGCTTCTTCATCTTTCTTCCTTTAATTTGTTTTGCTCATCCCTTCCTAAATCACAGCTTTCATGTTATCCCTCTTTAGCTCACCCTCCCAGCCCTTATCAACAATGCACCACACACACTGCCTGTAAGATAAACTCCAGATGTCTGGTTTCACATTCAGATCTTTGGCCACCAAACTATCTTTTCAGGTTCATCCTTTAACTACCCCAAAAACAATCAAGACAAGGCCATGGCTATATTCTCTAACCACTGAGAAATCACTTTCAAATTCCAGCTCCCATGCAACACCATCCCTCACAAGTCTATCCTGAAATGGCCACTCTCCTCAGCATTTCTGTACATATAACTAAGTATCAACTATATACTGTACATATAACTAAGTATCAACCTCTTCAAAGTGAGATATCTAGTGTTATACACATGCTTGTCTTTGCAACTGGACTACTGATTGATTAACGAGAGGACTATATATTATATACTTGGGTTTACTCCTCTGAATCCAAACAACATTAAGCTCCAAGGACACACTTATTAAATAAAGAATGATCTACTAATGCTTACATAAAGTAAGTGAACCTAAACCAGTCATGTATTAATAAAATGTTTCAGTGATCACATCCCTGACAATGGAAAGTTTATTTTGATGTATAAACTGCCAGGAAAGGGAGTATACATATTAAAATATAGTTAATACAGAATTATTAAAGTGACTGATAATCCCCTGCAATAGAGTAGGAGTGGCGTGGGGGAGGTGACAGCACTGAGCTACATCCGTCTCTGAAATGACCCTGGTCCAGTCCATTAAGGATCCTGAAGATCAGCATTCACTAGTTCCTAGTGGACATAAAAATTTTCTTAAGTAATATAAATAATTCACACCTTCTCTCCCTTCTGCAAAAAATCTGGGATGGTTGAGAAACGTCTACAAGTGAAAACACTCTAAGAAAAGAGAAGCTAAAGAGTAGTTGTAGTTCAAGTCAGCAGAAAAAGAAAATGAGATAATATAAGTACTTTCTTAAAACTTCTGGGGTGTAAAACAGGAACACTTCATTTGTTCAATCATTTATTATGAAAACATGAGAAGAAGACAAAAAAAACCAAAAAAAAATAGGATCATCACTGCCTCAACACCTATCTAATGGACACCCACTGGCCACCCCACCACAGATGCAGGGCCCAGGCTTCCATCCACTCACCCCTAGCATGGAGAAGTTTACTTTTGCAATATAACTTGTGAAGTAATTTTGGCACAAGACACTAAATGGGAATGTATGACTCCAAATTCACTTAGCAGATTAACACTGAAATCAAATGGAAAAGGGCCACTGTCTGATCTGCTGGGAATGAAAGACCCTCTCTTGAAGCAATAAAAATCCACCAGGCTGGTTAATACATCCAGTTGTTGAAGCTAAATTTCTGACAAAGACAAACAACAATGAGCTCTTACACAAAGCCCAATAAACTTTCAATTTCCGTCCACTATAGTTGTTGTAAGCTGGAAGGCAGGCCAAGTCTAGCTATCTTTGTAAAGGGTTAAAAAGAATGAATTCGGGCAGGGCAGTGGCTCACATCTGCAATCCCAGCTACTGGGAAGCCTGAGGCATAAGAATTGCTTGAACCTGGGAGGCAGAGGTTGCAATGAACCGAGCTCACGCCATTGCACTCCAGCCTCGGTGACAGAGTGAGACTCTGTCTCAAAAAAAAAAAAAAGAATGAATTTAATGAATTAACTGGTCTAGTGACATCCTAATAACACAGACTATCCATATTTATATTTACTAGCTTCTGAACTAAATGATGATAAGTTATTGCTTGACCTGGTGAGTGTGGCCTCTTAGCAGTCAGTGAAAGTTTAAACGAAGGACATACAGCAGCAGGTTGCTCTTCATTAATTAATTTATTTATTTTCCCCCCAGAAAGACCTCCACTGATAGTACTGTGGAATATTGGGTTGGACGGATTTAAAGTAGAACGTGGGAGACCAGACAGAAGTCTACAGCAAAAGGCCAGGCAAAAACTTGATGAGAGCCTAGAATACAGAAGTGGCAAAAAAGAAAACTTCAAATGTCACAGTACAAATCCTATTGTTCACTATCCTGGGTCCCATCCCAGGCAACGTGCATGTAAGATTTTACCTAATACAGGGGTTCTGACAACATTATGCTTGTCAGGTTTTCTTAAGACAACAAAATGGACTTGCATTCGGGGAGCACACACTGACAAACAAATCTGTCCTTTCAGACTATATATATTCCCAGCTTCTGGACACAGAACACAGTGATCCCTCAATTAGTGGATACTTGTGATATGAAAGAACTGAGGATTTGGGAGGAATGCAGAGGAGTAACATTGGTCACTGGCAGGTAAGTGTGAAGGGACGACTCACCACGTCAAGCAAGCAGTCACCCTGCCCAATGCCTGCTCCAGAACCTTAGGAAAAAGGCAGAGGTGCGGCGTGGCTTCCATTTCTCTCCAGAATCCAGTAAACTAGACTAGCCTTTGAGTAAAATCAACTGAAAGGGACGACAGATGCAAACTACCTATGAGATGCTAAGTGGTATTTGCAGCCAAAAGAAAATGAATACACTTTCCCTGTATTCCCAGCAAACGTGGAAATCCGCAAACCACTCATGACCCCCTCCCTAGCACTAAGTGAGTACTTAACAAACACCTTTGGAAAAGAACCCCGCCCTCTTCTGGAGAAGCCGCAGCCTTTCCGCCCAGAGCCGGGTCCCCCGCCACACAGCACCCCTGGAGTGCGTCCCACCCCGAACGCCCCGGCGCGCTGACCCAGCGGGACACCTCCCTGGTGCGCGCAAGTCTCCCAAACTTCCTCCCGCCGCCCCGGCCCGGGTCCACGCAAGGAGGGTGGCATTCCCTCCCGACAGCAAGGCGGGTGGGGCGGGCCGCCGGGACTCTGCGGGGTGGCGGTAGACGTCCCAAGGTCACCACCCGAGCCCGAACCGCCTCGGAGAGCGGTCTCGTGACTCCAGCGCCCAGCAGCCTCGGCCCTCGGGGCTAGCCCTGCGGCGCGGGGTGGGGGAGCCCGTCCCGGACAGGGAGAAAGGTGGGAGCCCAGGACCCCGCGGCGCGTGGGGCTGCGTCAGAGCAGGTGTCGGGCTAGGAAGGCCACCTGCGCCCCAAGAGACCCGGGAGCGGCTTAAGTTTGTCCTCACCCGCCCGCCGCCCCCTGCCCATGCAGGGGTACCTGCTCCCCGCCTCCAAGAAGAGGGTCGGCGCTTCCCTGAGGTGGATACGCCTGAGGAAGGGGGCGGGGCGCCCCTAACGCACCCAGGGCCCGCTCAGCCCGCCGCCCCGCGGCTCGGCCCTCTCTTCAGGAACCCCGACGTGTCAGGGAAGGAGGAGGCGTTCTTACCTCCGGGAGACCCTGGCCCTCCGGCCCCCTGGGCAACCCCATGATCCGACCGGGCTGTCGTAAGGCGAGAGCGAAGCCCGCCAAGCGTCCGGAGGAAGCTGTCCCTGCCGCGGAGCTGCTACCGGGGTGGAGTACAAAGCGGAAACTCCCTCTGCCGCCGCCGCCGCCGCCGCCGCCGCCTGCCCGAAGCGCCGCAGCCGGGCAGAGCATGCGCGCTGGGGCCGGAGCGCGGCGCCACTGCGCCTGCGCCACAGCAGCCCGGGGAGAGGTGGGCTGGGCTGCAGGTCCTGGCGTTGTGCTGGATCATCGCGCCCGTACTCTGAAGTTTTCTCCGTGGCGCTCTTTGAGAGGGGTTCCTCCTGCATCTTGAGAATATTTTGCATTTCGGCTCCCTTCTCTTCTCGCTGCCATCGGATGCCCCAAATAGGTCCTGTCCCCTCGGTGAATCAGACTTCGGAAACCGCCTCGCTTCAGGGTCAGAGTCCAAGTACAGATGAGCTTGAGGATTCTGAATGCACGCCCGGCTCTAGACCTTACAGACACACGCTTGGACAGACTTCTCCATATACGACCCAGGAACGGACCCCTTGAGAAGGGATTCTTCAAGCCCGCTGCCCTCTCCAGCGTCCTGGCCAGTGGCATCGCGTTCCCAGGAAACCTCGCTTCAGATATTGCCCACCACCCCGCCCTATTCACGGTTCCTGGGTCTTCCTGGAGGAATGACATCTCAGAGAATGCGGACTCCTATGTTCATGTCATTTGAGCCGCCGCGTCCCTTATTTGATGTACCCCTTGTTGGTCCCGGAGGATGGCAACTAGACAAAAGGTCACAGGCCCCCACACCCGCTCCATAACGGCTTCTTGGCTTTTTGTTTCTTTTAAGCAATGAGGAAAGAGATGACTTTCGTGAAAACTTTTGCTGGAGAAGAGATCCTTCCCTCTGTATATGTGTGTGGGATGGGAAGTGTCAGACTCAGACCTTTAGTTCCTTGAGATCAAAAAGGTTTCGTGTTTGCTTTCGTCTCTTCTTTGCATCCCTAGCGTCTTTAAAAGAGTAGGCAGGCGCGGTGGCACATGCCTGTAATCCCAGCACTTTGGGGGTCGAGGCGGGAGTATCACTTGAACCTAGGAGTTGGAGACCAACCTGGGCAACATAGTGAGACCTCCATCTCTACAAAAAATAAGAAAATTAGCCCGGTGCCAGTGGTCCCAGCTAGCCGGTAGGCTGAGGTGGGAGAATTGCTTGAGCCAGGAAGGTTGAGGTTGCAGTGAGCTATGATAACACCACTGCACTCCTGCTTGGGTGACAGAGCAAGACCCTGTCTAAAAACTATATATATATACGTGTATATATATATATGTGTGTATATATATATACGTGTATATATGTGTGTATATATATACGTGTATATATATATGATGTTTTCTATTTTATTTTATTTTTGCACCTTTTGTACTCCTCCTGGAGTTCATCCTGACAGACAGAGGTTTGTCTGGAGCCAGAGCTCACAAATAGTTGGAACTGCCCTAAGGATGCCATTTTGTTCTTAAATATAACTAGCAAATATTACTCAAAGCTGTGCACGATCCCCAAACCCTGGTCCCCAATAATTTGAATAATCTGAATATGCAAGTTAAGGTATTGAGATGGGAACCCTCCTGTGTGGTATATCTTGCTCTTATCCTTTGTGAAGCCAATAAACTTCAATTTCTACTCTCATAACTTCCCAAATGTGTTGTTTTTGTAGTTTTAAAACTGTCATTCACTGAAATGGTATAGGTTGATGGGGAATGGAGAGTGATAATAATTTGTGGCCACTGTTGAGTGACCAGACAGGTACTGATGCCTAGGAACAGGTAGTAAGATCTCACATAGCAGGCAAGCCTAAACAGCTGTATATAATAGCAGCCTGGAGAATAACAGGACTCAGGCCACACCCTGAGTTCCCTGTTATAATGCTTTTGCAATGTTTTAAATAAGCATGAGTAGCTAACTTCCTCAGTAAGAAACTGTCCTTCCCGAGCGCGGTGGCTCATGTCTGTAATCCCAGCACTTTGAGAGGCCGAGGCGGGTGGATCACCTGAGATTGGGAGTTCGAGACCAGCCTGACCAACATGGAGAAATGCCGTCTCTACTAAAAATACAAAATTAGCCGGGCGTGGCAGCGCATGCCTGTAATCCCAGCTACTTGGTAGGCTGAGGCAGGAGAATCACTTGAACTGGGAAGGCGGAGGTTGCGGTGAGCTGAGATTGTGCCACTGCACTCCAGCCTGGGCAACAAGAGTGAAACTCTGTCTAAAAAAAAAAAAAGAAACTGTCCTATGTTACAACAGGTGTAGAGTGACAGTAACAGAGTTGAGGGGCATGGGGCATGCTTAAAAAAAAAAATCTCAGCAAAACAGCCATAATATCGTCAAGAAAGTTTGAACAGGGCTAGGTGGCACCTGCTTATGTCCCAGCAACTCGGGAGGCTGAGGCAGGAAAATCGCTTGAGCCCAGGAGTTCTGGGCTTTAGTAAGCTATGCCAATCAGAGATCTGCACTAAGTTTGGTATCAATACAGTGACCTCCAGGGAGCAAGGTTGCCTAAGGAGTGGTGAACTGGCCCAGGTCAGAAACAGAGCAGGTTAAAACTTCTGTGCTGATCAGTAGTGGGATCATGACCATGAATAGCCACTGCACTTAAGCCTGGGCAATATAGCAAGACACTGTCTCTTAAAAAAGAAAAAGAAAGTTTAAGCAGCCCATATTTGAGAGCAGAAACCCTTCACAGTCTTGAAGAAGACCTTTAACAGCCAATGCAGACAAGGAGGCTTGTGAGGAATCTCTCAGATCAATCCATCTCTCTCCCTTTCCCTTCACTCCAGGCACCCTCACAAATTGTGTCTCCCAAGTGTGATATCTGAGGACTAGAAATCAGTCATTCTGTCTCTCTTCTGTACACTGAGTACAGAGTTGTGTGATGTTCCTCTTTGGAGCCTCACAAATACTTTCCAGTTCGTGGGTAAAGAGGTACCATAGTGATATAGTTTGGATATTTGTCCCACCCAGATCTCATGTCAAAATGTAATAGCCAGTGTTGGAGGTGGGGCCTGGTGGGAGGTGATTGGCTCGTTGGGGTGGATTTTTTGTGAATGGTTTAGCAACATCCTCTTGGTGCTGTCTTCCTGACACTGAGTCACTCATCACGAGATCTGGCTGTTTAAAAGTGTGGCACTTATCCTCTCTAGCTCTTGCTTTCACCATGTGACATGCCTGCTCTCCTTTCACCTTCCACCATGATTGTAATCTTCCTAAAGCCTCCCCAGAAGCCAAGCAGATGCCGGCGCCATGCTTTCTGTAAAGCCTGTAGAACTGTGAGTTAATTAAACCTCTTCTTTATAAATTACCCAGTCTCAGGTATTTCTTTATAGCAATGGGAGAATGGCCTAATACACATAGTAAAGAGCTTCCTGTTAGGCTTAGCTTTGTTCTGGAGGAAGTTTTCTTTCTTTTTTTTCTTTTTTTTTTTTTTTGAGACGGAGTCTCGCTCTGTCACCCAGGCTGGAGTGCAGTGGTGCGATCTCGGCTCACTGCAAGCTCCGCCTCCCGGGTTCACGCCATTCTCCTGCCTCAGCCTCCCGAGTAGCTGGGACTACAGGCGCCCGCCACCACGCCCGGCTAATTTTTTGTATTTCTACTAGAGGCGGGGTTTCACTGTGTTAGCCAGGATGGTCTCGATCTCCTGACCTCGTGATCCGCCCACCTCGGCCTTCCAAAGTGCTAGGATTCCAGGCGTGAGCCACCGCTCCCAGCCGGAAGTTTTCTATAAAGCTTTAATTATTCTGTCTTCAGGCTTCTCTCATTCCTTCTACATGTAGTGCAACAATGGGTGTTCAGTAAAGTAGAGTGACACAGCGAGGTCACACAGCACATTAGAGGGAGTGCTAGAACCAGAGCCCCAAATTTCTCATTCCCCATGTTCTTTTGCTCACCCATCCAACCATCCATCCATCCATCCATCCATCCAACAAATATTGCTGAGTTTCTTCTATGTCAGTAGCTCTCAAACTTGGCTGCACATTGGAATCACCTGGATTCCACCCTTAGCAATCCTGATTTAATTGGGCTAGGGAGAGGCATGAATATTGAATTTTTTGCCTTGGAACATATTGTTTTATATACAACACAGTAGTGAATAGTGACTTCATTATGGATTTGTTTCTTTATAGATCACAGTGGCATATAAAATTCAAAATCCATAAACAAAGAGCTCTTAGGTTAAATGAGTTCTTCCTAAAAATTCTTAATGGCATGCTGGTCTATTCTCAAGCGGTACAATTTTATAATGCACCATCCTATATTTAGCATGTCACATTTCTACAGTAACATAATGGAGGCACAGGCAGTGCAAGCAGATTTAAACCCCTTCTACTTCTGGACTGAAGGTTAGAAAAACACAGCGTGTACACACACACACTTGGATGAGTTCTTCCAATACGTTTTCCCCCAAAAATGATAGTTTTATCAAAGAATTTCAATAACTTTCATAGTTTGTACAACCACACTCTATTAGCTACATTAAAAAGGATTCAACAAGGGGCCAACTACACAGTAGTAAATAAACATGTTTGAGAATATCTGCTACATTCTCTATCTCCTGGAGAAAATAATATTTACATTTTTTTGTAAAGTGATTTAATAACTAAACAATTCTTTCTTTTGGTCGGGGGTAGGTAATGGGATTTTCAAAGCTTCACAGGTGATTCCAATAAGCAGTCAATTTGAGAAGAGTTTCTCTGTGCCAGAAACTGTTCCTGATGCTGCAGATACTGCAGTCAACACACCAAACAAGATAATTACTGACAGAAATTAAACATGTAATTAATAAGATAATATCAGGTAGAAATAGGTGCTATTAAAGGGGGGAAAAACAGTGTAGTTTGGGTGTGGTGGCTCACACCTGTAATCCCAGCACTTTGGGAGGCTGAGGCAGGCAGATTGCTTGAGCCCAGGAGTTCAAGACCAGCCTGGGAAACATGGCAAAAACCTGTCTCTACAATTAACAACAACAACAACAAAAAAAACAAAAACCAAAAAACAAGCAATGACAACTACAACAACAACAATTAAAAAAAACCAGTGTAATGCAATAAAGAATAGCTAGAGTCAGAGTCACTTTTAGATGAAGGGGCCAGGATTAGGCTTTGCAGTGCCATTTGAGAGAGACCTAAATCCCAAAAGGACACCATAGAAGGGCCTCAGGGGAAAGCATTGCTGGCAGAAGGAGCATCTGAGGTGTTCTGGACAGTTTCCCATTACCCTTCCAGTCCTGCTCTCAGTCCTCTCCTTGTTTGTTTCAGCACAAGGCTGACCAGTAAGGACTTCAGCAGCAGGGCCTGGGGTATGAGGATCTGGGATGTGGGTCTTGGGATGAAGGGGTGTCTGGGATGTGAGTCCTGGGGTTTGGGGGAACTGAGTTATAGGGACTAGGAAGTAAGATTTCAATAGTAATTTGACAAAATATATTAAGAACTTAAAAATTTTCTTTGATATGATACTTCCACTTTCAGGGCTTATATCAGATCTTCATCACAATGTTACTGATGAGAAAAAAAACCTATAAACCATCTAAATAGCCCATAATAAGGGACTGGTTAGGTACATTATAGTCTGTCCATTTGATATAGTGAAAATGTGTGCTTCAGCAGGCCATGAACAAAAACAGTGAGAGATGAGGCTGTATAAATGTTAACAATGTCTGCCTGCCAAAAAATTATTACAACATTTAAAAGGCAAACTGGAAAAATATTTGTTACCTGTGACAAGAATTCTTCCAAATGAGGAAGAAACATTTAACAGAAAAATGAGCATAAGACTTGAATAGAGAATTTCTAAAAGAAATTGTCACTAAATGTCTGAAAAAAAAAAAAAAACTCAGCCTTATTCTAAAAGGTTAAAATGTGGTATCTTTTTGCATGGAAAAAATAATTAATGCTTAAAAGACACTAAACAAATGCCAGTAGCATTCCC
This sequence comes from Homo sapiens, assembly GCF_000001405.40. Classification (NCBI taxonomy): domain Eukaryota; kingdom Metazoa; phylum Chordata; class Mammalia; order Primates; family Hominidae; genus Homo; species Homo sapiens. Next base: position 118,019,966 of record NC_000002.12, read on the forward strand.
TAGTCAGTAAGGTTTTACAACAGTTCTTGGACGGCAGTTTGGCAAAGTTAATTTTTCACCAAATATTCATTCTGTGCCTCTTCTGTGCCAGGTACAGAGAAGGGCTCTCAATGTGGGTGAGGGTAGAGATTCAGGACCAAGGAGCAGTCTGGAGTTTTCACAGAGCATGGGAGATTGTCTTAGTCTTTTTAGGCTGCTATAACAAAATACTATAGAGTGGCTTATAAACTACAAAAATTTTATTTTCCTCACTTCTGGAGGCTGGGAAGTCCAAGGTCAAGGCATCGCCAAATATAATGTCTGGCGAGGTCCCATTTCTTATGGATGTACAGCTTCTCATTGTCACCTTACACGGTAGAAGGGTGAGGAGCCTCTGTAAGGCCTCTTTTATAAGAGCACAATCCTATTCATTATGGTAGAGCCCTAATCACCTCCCATCTTCTAATACTATCACCTTGTGGGAGTCAGGATTTCAACATATAGATTTTGGGGTAACCCAAACATTCCCACCACAGCAGAGGCATTACCAACATTTAGCACCCAGTTGTTAAAGACATCAAACTTCCTGCATTGATTTTAGGTCATAAAAATTTCTTTGACCAGAGAAATGTAAGCAGATAGGAGATTGTGCCAGTTCTGGGTGAGGTGTCAAGAACCATTCTGTGTTCCCTCACTCTCCTAAGCTCAAGCCATTCACCAGGAGACCGCATACTCAGGCAACCATACCTCCCTCCACCTGGGCCCTCAAGCAAGAAACACCAGTGAGAGACCAGAGCAGACCTGAGCCCCAAGCCCAGCCGAGTACCAAGCCCACGAGTGAGATATCAGTGTTGGTTGTGACCAATGAGGTTTGGGGGTTATTTGTTAAGCATCATTATCATGCATAACCTTATAAACTGTACAAAGAATTGTTCCCCCAGATGCCATAAGCATGCCCAACCCTCTGTCTGAAAAATGCTGGATACAGAAAAGAAAGAGAACAGAGCTCTGGGATGAGCATGCACAGTCAACCAATCATCACAGCACAGATGACATGACGCATGTTGAAATAAGTGCCTTTAATAATGAGTTGAAAAGTGGGATGAAAAAGAGGAACAGGAGTAACAGTTTTGAGTGGGAAGTTAATGAAAGTTTCTCCAGGGATACAACATGTAAGACTTGAGATGAAAGAGGGTTAGACCTGGAGCGGGATAAAGGTTTCCAACAGAGAGGGGGCCATGAATAGGGAGGAGCTTGCACCTGAGGGGTTGGAGCAGGAGCACTAACTAGGTGCCAACTGGATGGTCTGGCCCCATCAGGACCTTGGGGACCACCAGGAGGGGATTGGATTTTACCTAAGTGCAATGAGAGCCATCAAAGGGAATTTTGTTGGTTTGTTTAAATCAAAATTTGTTTTGTAAACATATTAGTTTTACCACTGGTGTGATTTAGCCTTTGATCTATAGAAATGGAATTTGAGTTTCAAATGTCTCCAGTGGCAGGACTGCCCACAAAGAATCCCTACTACCATTCACATTTTGGGGAGGGGGTTAATAGCACCAACTCAAGTACTATCCTTACACTGTCTAGAAATGAAAGGAAACAATTGACTCAGGAATTTCACTTCTAAATAGCCTGCATTTACATAACAGTATCCTTGGAATTATAGTTCTATCAAGCTTTCATGTGAAAACTAAATGAGAGAAAATGAAAATTACTTTAGAAGAGAGACCAAAAAATACTGTTTTCTGGATTAATCAGAGACTTCCTGTTAATAAATAGCAATAAGAATACAACTTTCATTATCCTGAAATCAAATAAGATGAAAAGAATTATACTAAGATTCACACATATATTTGTGTGGATATATATATGGGAAAAACCTAAGCATGTTTCCCTACTCTCTACTCACAATCACAGAGTACTTCTGACACCAGATGTGTGGGGGGTTTTCTCCACATGCCAACCAAGCAACTCTGCAGCAAACACCAGCTAGGTGTCCTGTTATTCTGATCCTACTTACTTGGAGACAGCCAGGTAAAGTTGGGTTGAGAGCTCAGGATAGGTGAGGGCTCAGTCCCAGGAGCCTGACCCCATTTCACATGCCAATTACAAACTCAGATTTTGACCTCAGCTTCTGGCCCACTGACTATAAACCAGGGTTCCCATGATTCCCTCCTTGGGTTGTGGCATTGGGCATTCTGGTGAGCTCTCCATGTGATCTACACATCAGGCATGAGACTTTATCCCTGAAACTTATGTCAAATTGTCCAGCTTAGCAGTTTTTGTTCTTGTTTGGAGAGTTGTAGCAAGATATTGAAGTAAACTAGAGGAATTTAAGATCCAATCCTAAATAAATAACAAAAACTTGAAAACAATCAACAGGGCTATGATCTAACAACAAGTGTACTATGGTTTTCTTCTGAAACTTAATTTTTCTCTCTATTGTCATCCCCACTTCTACTAAAAATAATCACAGTAACACCAATTTGTTTCTAAAATAAGTTTAGTCTCAAACTTGGCCTAATTATTTGTATAAGTACAGCAAGAATAACCATATAGGCTCCTTTTAAATTTGCTTGATGATAATTTTGACAAGAAATCTTAGGCTGGACTTTTTTTTTTTTTTTTTTTTTTTGAGATGAAGTCTCGCTCTGTACCCCAGGCTGGAGGGCAGTGGCGTGATCTTGGCTCACTGCAAGCTCCGCCTCCTGGGTTCACGCCATTCTCTTGCCTCAGCCTCCTTAGTAGCTGGGACTACAGGCGCCCGTCACCACGCCTGGCTAATTTTTTTTTTTTTTTTTGCATTTTTTGTAGAGACGAGGTTTCACCGTGTTAGCCAGGATGGTCTCGATCTCCTGACCTCGTGATCCGCCCGCCTCGGCCTCCCAAAGTGCTGGGATTACAGGCGTGAGCCACCGCGCCCGGCCTAAACTGGACTTTTTAAAACCTCTCGATGCTAGGAAGTCAAACCAATGCAGACATCAGACTTTGCCCTTAAAGCCAGACTCTCTATGCATGTTTTCAAATATGACATTCCAGTCAAAGCTTTGATAATATAGTCAATGTTTTCAGTTGTATCATGTTAAAGAGAACAGATTCTTGTTGAATTTATGCAAATAACCATATCATCATAAACAAAAATAAGGATACCCATGAATTATTTCCTGAGTTTTGGAGGGATCAGGTAGGGAACAAAAGCAAATGTTTCAATTTTTGTTTACAAAAGTATGCATTAGCAAATTGCTATAAGTTATAGTTAGCTTAAAAGAAAAAAAGTTCCCTTGCTGGGTGCGGTGGCTGACGCCTGTAATCCCAGCACTTTGGGAGGCCGAGGCGGGTGGATCGCGAGGTCAGGAGATCGAGACCATCCTGGCTAACACGGTGAAACCCCATCTCTACTAGAAGTACAAAAAATCAGCCAGGTATGGTGGCGGGCGCCTGTAGTCCCAGCTACTCGGGAGGCTGAGGCAGGAGAATGGCGTGAACCCGGGAGGCGGAGCTTGCAGTGAGCCGAGACAGCGCCACTGCACTCCAGCCTGGGCGACAGAGCGAGACTCCGTCTCACAAAAAAAAAAAAAAAAAAAAGAAAGAAAAAAAGTTCCCTTAAATCGGGATAATGAAACATTAAAAGAATCAGAAATACTCCCTTTTTAAAACGCCATTAAGCCCCATTATTCTTTCTTGTCAGTTCATTCAGTCTCATGTAATAAATTTTTGTTCTGTTTGATCTTGGTTAGCAGTTTCACAAACCCATCAGTCTCATTAGAGTTCTAGAAATTCTTACCCAGTCCAATGGTATTAAAAAAAAAAAAAAACCTTAAAGTTATCAGAAACCTGTACTTGCCAGGGTTCTTTCTATCCTTATTATGAACCTCCTTAAAGACATACAAATATAACTCGAAGAAGGTTAAATTCCATTTCTTATTTGACAAAGTTTCTCATGTAATTTAAGGAATCAAATAAGCTGTTTAATCTGTTTAATATCTCTCTTTTGCATTTCCAGGGGCCCTCTGGGCTGTCCAACAGCTGGTTCAAGGTCAAAAGGACTTAATTTTATAATTTGATTTTAGGAAGTTTGTCGAAAATAAACTTTCAAAACACTTGATCAAAAGTAGGATCACAGGCCACTATGAAACAATAATTATTCCTTTAACCAGAGTTTTAATTAAGAGAAGTTGCAAGGCTGGGGGAAGTGGCTCACACCTGTAATCCCAGCAATTTGGGAGGCCTAGGCGGGATGATCGCTCAAGTCTAGGAGTTTGAGATCAGTCTGGGCAACATGGCAAAACCCCGTGATATGGTTTGGCTGTGTCCTCACCCAAATCTCATCTTGAATTCCCATGTGTTTATGAGAGGGACACGGTGGGAGGTAATTGAATCATGGGGCAGGTCTTTCCTGTGCTGTTCTCATGCTAGCAAATAAGTCTCATGAGATCTGATGGTTTTAAAAAGGGGACTTTCCCTGCACAAGCTCTCTTCTCTTGTCTCCTGCCATGTGAGATGTGCCTTTCACCTTCAGCCATGATTGTGAGGACTTCCCAGCCACGTGGAATTGTAAGTCCAATAAACCTCTTTCTTTTGTAAATTGCCCAGTCTCGGGTATGTCTTTATTAGCAGCGTGGAAATGAACTAATACGCCCTGTCTCTACGAAAAATACAACAACAACAACAAAAAATTAGCCAGGCACAGCGGCATGCTCCTGTAGACCCAGCTACTTGGAAGGCTGAGGTAGGAGGATGGCTTGAGCCCGGGAGGCAGAAGTTGCAGTGAGCGGAGATCATGCCACCACACTCCAGCCTGGTGAACAGGACCAGACCCTGTCTGGGAAAAAAAAAATTGCATATTTGTAGGAAAAAACCCTTTAACTCAATTTTCTTAAGTAATCAGAGACCTAATAAAGACAGTATGAAGCATAGGAAATTAACTTGATAAAACACAAAATCTCTCTTTCTCCTGCTTACAGGTTCCCTCTTTCCTTGCTTCTTTTTAGTTCCTAAGTCCATATTTTGAAAGAACCTTTAAATAATATCAAAATTAGACAAAATTACTTTTTTCCCAAAGGGAAAAAAGCATACCTTTATGCCTTTCTTATAATTTTTCTCAACAAAAACACTCTCACTTTCCTGCTTAGCATACTGAATTGTTCCCTTTATTTCTAGTAGTTTTAATTATGTATACTAATTATACTTTTTAATTCTTAGCAGTTGCAAACCAATTCTGTAGAGTAGGACCATTTCATAATTCCTAGAAATATGTGCTTCCTGAAGGTACAAATTTTCTTTTTTTCTTTTTCTTTTAGAGATGGGGTCTCTGTTACACAAGCTGGGCTCAAGTGACCCTCCTGCCTCAACCTCCTGAGTAGCTGGAACTACATGCATGTGCCATCTGTTTTATCTGGCTAAAGTACAATTTTTCAATGTGGAATAGAACACATTTACTAACAGACCTAAATGCATTTTGTCTTTTTGTACAATTCAAGAAGCCAAAAACAAACTTAAACTTACGTGCAGCAATTAATGTTTCAGCATTTTATCATACTTAGAAATGATTCAGACATTTCATGAGAATCTATTAATTATAACACAACTTTAAGTTATCTACAAAGATTTTTGAAACCATGAAAATTTTATTTATAAACTTTTATCCTGTCTATATTCACCTAGTCTACTCATTCTTAACAATAATTCTTGAAGTGCCCATTAAACAAGGCTAGCCATCATTTAAGTTATTTCTGTGTTAACCTTTTTTGTTTTGTTTTGTTTTGTTTTTTGAGACGGAGTCTCGCTCTGTCACCCAGGCTGGAGTGCAGTGGTGCTGTCTCCGCTCACTGCAAGCTCCGCCTCCCAGGTTCACGCCATTCTCCTGCCTCAGCCTCTCGAGTAGCCGGGACTACAGGTGCCCGCCACCACGCCCGGCTAATTTTTTGTACTTTTAGTAGAGACAGCGTTTCACCGTGTTAGCCAGGATGGTCTCGATCTCCTGACTTCGTGTTCCACCTGCCTCGGCCTCCCAAAGTGCTGGGATTACAGGCATGAGCCACCAGGCCCGGCCCGTGTTAACCATTTTTATAGCATGCAAATGCTAAGCATGAACTCTAAAGTTAAATGCATGGGTGTTTTCCTGATCACAAGACACAGTTGTTTTTATTTAAACAACAATAGTAATAAACTAATCCTATTTACCGAAGATTTACGCAGATCACATGAACTAAAAGGCATTAAAATATTTGATCTAACTGCTTAGGTTTTCTTCAAGCAAATTAGAGCTTTTTTTCATATATTTTAGTAGAGAAATATCACATACACGTAATACATATAGACATATGGACACACAGAGAGAAGCAGATCTTACAGCTTTTTAAAGATTCTTCTAGGCAGTCATGGTGGCTCATGCCTGTGTAAACCAGAGTATCTAAGACAAGTCTCAATCAATTTAGGAAGTTTATTTTGCCAAAGTTAAGGATGCACCCATGATACAGCCTCAGAAGGTCCTAACAACAGGTGTCCAAGGTGGTCGGGGCGCAGCTTGGTTTTATACATTTTAGGGCGACATGAGACATCAATCAATATATGTAAGATGTACATTGGTTCAGTCTGGAAAGGTGGGACAACTCAAAGTGGGGAGGGGGCTTCCAGGTCACAGGTAGACAAAGAACAAATGGTTGCATTATTTTGGGTTTCTGATTAGCCTTCCACTGAATCAAAGGAAGCAATCAGCTGTGCATTTGTCTCCTGGGAGCAGAGGGATGACTTTGAGTTCTGTCTGTCCTTTGTCCACAAGGAATTATTTTGTGGACAAATTGTGAGGGAGGTATGTAGGTTTTTATCTTTGTAGCCATCCTATTTAGGAATAGAATGGGAGGCAGGTTTGCTCTTTGCAGTTCCCAGGCTGACTTTTCTCTTTGGCTTAGTGATTTTGGGGTCCTGAGATTTATTAATTTTTTCATACCTATAATCTCAGCCCTTTTGGAGGCTCAGGTGGGAGGATCACTTGAGGCCAGGAGTTCAAAGCCAGTCTGGGCAACAAAGTGAGGCCCCGTCTCTACAAAAAAATAAAATTAGCTGGGCATGGTTGTGTGCTCCTGTAGTCCCAGCTACTCCAGAGGCTGAAGTGAGAGGCTTGCTTGAGCCTGGAACTTCAAGGTTACAGTGAGCTATGATTGTGCCACAGTACTCCAGCCTGGGTAACAGAGTGAGACCCTGTTTCAAAAATAAATAAATATTCTGCATTTTCTAGTTTTCAAGATCTCTCTCTCTCCACTTTAGACTATCAATCTTATGATTGCTTATTCCTTGCTCTAAACAATTGTTAGGTAGGTGACCTTAAATTTGCATTGCCAAAGGCATGACATTTGTGTGAAACAAGGTGAAAAATTTATAGAACTTAGGTCTAAATGCCATTATTTGCTGAGATAAAGAAGGGCATAGGTAAGAGACTCAGTTAAGACAAGATGGTGAGGAAAATTACCTTAAACAAGAGTAAAATTTGTTATGTAAGCTTTAAGCCAATGTCTTTCCTATTGTTGTTTAGGTACAGAAAGGAAGATACCTTTAGAAATGCAGATTTCATTTATAGATGTAAATTTATTTTTACAAGGAATTTCAAAATAGCTAGCTAAATGCAGAAAGTTATATTTTGGAAACCAAGTTAGTTCAACGGGCAGTCTTTTCAATTTAGCTTGTTTCTTAATTAGATTACTGACTTTAGGATGGAGTTCTTCAATGAACAGGGCTAAACAAAAAGGTCAGTAGATTTAATTTTCTTATCAATCACTTAAGCTTTTTATTTGGTATTTTGTAAAAAGCCATTCAAAAGATGCAATAAATTTTTTCTGAAATACTTTTAGAAGCTTATGCCTATTGAAGGCATCCCTGGATGGGCCTAATTTGGGAGCCCTGTAGATCAGCTCTTCATGAACCACTCCCAAAAATCAGCCAAAAACCCCAGAGATTTAAATAATGCCTTGAGAGCTGCAACAGTTGAAGCGGCCTCATTGTCTGGGGTGACATCTGAGGTCCGTTTTCTCTTGGCCATGGAGAGCAAGGATGCAGACACACAAAGAGTAAGGTTAAGAGTGGAAATTTAACAGGCAAAAGAAAGAGAATAGCTCTCTGCTACAGAGAGGTGTCTGGGAAAAATGGGTTGCCGATTTGTGGTGAAATGCAGTGGTTTTTATAGATGACTTAAGAGGGAGGCGATGTCTGATCTACATAGGACAAAAAAAATCAGTTAGGACCAGGTGTGCCATCTGCATAGGGTGTGAATCTCTGGCAGCCCCCACCCCAGTCTTTTATTATGCAGGTGAATTCTCTGCCTGAGCTTCTCCATGTTGCCCATTTCATTCTTACTGTGCATGTGCTAACAAGAAAGGGAAGATGGAGCTTCCATGGCAGACACACCTGTCTCCCAGGTAGCCCTTTTCTGTTGGTGCAGTTGCTGGCATTCCTCCGTGCAAGCTTCCAGCTTCCTTTTTTATGTTTTGCATCCCTATTTATCAGGCTGCTCTTTGTTAGAAAAGACATGATTTCTAGGGCTGCTTTTTGTTAGAAGGGAAGTTCTGCCAAGGACTCTTTGCCATCACTATCTGCCTAAATAATTTCTTTATCTCTCCTGTATCACAATCAGTCTAGCCGCAAATAAGGTTCAACCCACATTTCTGTCTGGCCATATTTTGCTAGCTGCAAATGGGATGCAGCTCCATTTCTGTCTAGCCATATTCTTGAGGCTCCTAGCCTTTTGATTGGCCACCTGTATACACAGGCCCAACAACCCGTGTACCCCTGACAGATGGAAAGTCAAGCCAAGTTCTCAGGACAAGAAATGAGAAGATCAGGAAAGTGATTGCTGCTCATGGAAGGGAAAGGATCAATCTTAAAGTATAATTGTTAGAGTAGGTAGTTGTCAGATATGAGCAGGGCAGAAGAGGCCCCCCTCTACCAGGAACGTCAGGCGACTATCAGGTGATGGTCAGGCAGTTGTTAAACTGTCTCTCTAAAGTTATAATTGGTCACAGCTGTTGCCAGGGAAAATGCCAACTCTCAGTAGATAGAAAACACCTGAAGCTGATGAGCAGCCACTTCCCAATAAGATCTCAGGAACTGGGTGAGTGGGCCCAAGCATGCAAGCTAAGAGACAAGATGGCAGTTTAATTGGTATATGACCTTCTTCTAGGAATACGTGACTGCTAAGGGAAAAATGCCTCAAATGAGCATGTGCACAATTTCAGTAAACACACTGTACATGTGGCCCCTCCCAAGTCCTGGCAGGCCACTGCGCATGCGGACAGCCCACCCCAAGGGAAGAATCGGGGAGAAGAAATGCAAACCCTGGAATCATACCGACATATAAACCCCAAGTCAAGGGGAGGCGCTTGAATCTCCCAAGTTGCATGCTTGGCCCTTTTCCAAATATACTTTACTTCCTTTCATTTCTGCTCTAAAACTTTTAAAATATACTTTCACACTGTGCATTATGCTCAGATGAATAGTTTCTTTTAAGGAGGCAAGAATTGAGTTGCTGCAGACTTGTACAGATTCACTGCTGCTAACTCAATGTTGAGCCAGGTGCAGTGGCTCTTGCCTGTAGTCCCAGCTACTCGGGAGGCCAAGGTGGGAGGATGGCTTCAGCCCAGGAATTTGAGCTCAACCTGGGCAACATAGCAAGACTTCGTATCAAAAAAAAAAAAAAAATGAAATAAAGAAATTTTTTTAAGTGTGGCGTTGTTCATCAGGAACATTCTATGCAATGGCCCCTATAATTCTGATTTTTTTTTAGTGTTATTTTGCCACTGTTGTAAAATTTGCAGCTTCCAGACTCATAATTCCCATACATAAAAAGGAAGGTATAGCTGGAAAGCAGAGTACTTGGAACTTTAGAAATTAGGATCCCATTTTTACATTGCATCTTGGGTCTCTTGGAGCTGAGATGGCTTTGACCCTGACATCTTGGCCTGCATGAAGAGAAGAAATAAAGAGGACTCTCAGTAAAAACCACTTACTGCCATCAGTTACCTTAAAAACTGCCATTTTTTTGCCAATGGCTTGTCAGTCACTGTAGACCAAAAGACCATGTGTCCTGTAATAGCACAAACTAACCCTTGCTATCCCATGGTCAAATGCCCTCTCACAGTGGAAACTAACTTTTGGTACCCCCCAAAAGGCAAAGAGATCAGGGCACCAAATGCAAAAGCGAGCAGAGCTCAGATCTGAGACGGACTTATGAGTCTTAGGGCTCCTTGGGCTCCTTGAGGAAGACAGAGGACACCCCTCCCACCGCCCCCTGCTCAAAGAGGTGAGTAGTACCTTTTCTGTGTTCCTCATGGGGTCTCAGGTCATCAGCAGTCTCCTTCAGGTACCTTCGTGGTCACCAGATCTGTCAAAAGACAAATGTAAACACATTGAGTTGAAAGAAGTCAATTGGCTTTATTGTGATTCTAGAGTTGGACAATACTTCATTCCATAAAATAGAATAAGAGTTCCAATGAGCTGAACAGAGGTGGTTGGCTTTATAGCCAAAAAAGCGGGCCAAATAAAGCAGAAACAAAAAGCAAAAAGTGGATTGATCATTTCAAAGTTACTTTCTTTGTAAGGTGGGGACAGGGAAACAGAACAATAGAAAGATAACTAATTATTTAACATTGGGTTACTACATGTTACTCTTTGTTGTAGGGTTAAAACAGAGGGAACTTTATTAGCATGCTGATTGGAGATTGAAACTGGCCTATTTGGATCATTAGGTTGTTATCTCTTTCTCTCCTGATTTCTTGGAAGGCTAGATAACAACTCAGTTTCCGGTTGGTGAGCATTGGTGATTGCATTCTAATTTTTAGTTTGGTCTACTGGAGCCTAGTGTAGGAGTTTAGTCCAAAACAATGGCCTCCTATAGTTTTTGTTTAGCAGTGGAGAGGAAAAAAATAGTCTTGCTGTGGTTCTGAATCTTCAGAAATGTTCTTATTACCCGGTGGAATCAACTTAGGTGATTAGGTGACTCACCTCTGTTACCAGGTTGTGTGGACAAAGGACAAAATTTAGTGCAAGAACTGGCACATTTCTTGTTGCTAGTGGAAGGTGTCATGGGCCATTGAATATCCTTTTCTTTTTTCTTTTTCAGGACTGAGTCTCGCTCTGCCGCCCAGGCTGGAGTGCCGTGGTGCGATCTTGGCTCACTGCAACCTCCGCCTCCTGGGTTCAAGCAATTCTCTCTGCTTCAGCCTCCTGAGTAGCTGGGATTACAGGCCCCTGCCAACACACTTGGCTAATTTTTGTATTTTTAGTAGAGATGGGGTTTCGTCATGTTGGCCAGGCTGGTCTCAAACTCCTGATGTCAGGTGATCCACCTGCCTCGGCTTCCCAAAGTGCTGGGACTACAGGCGTGAGCCCTGGCACCCGCCTGCTATTGAATATCCTTAATGTAGAGAAGTCCTGGGGGTAAGACGGGGGTCTTCTACTTAAACACTGCACATGTGGACAAGATGCCCATGAGAGTGTTCATGGCAAGCATTGTTTGAAATAGAAAAATAATGAATATGACCTAAATAGTCATCAAAAGAAGAATAGATATATCATTTGTGATAACTTCATATGGTGGAATAATATACAGTTGTGAAAATGAACTAGAGTTTGTATTGAATATGGATAAACATGAAAAAATATAAATAGGAAGTTGAGTTTTAAAAAAAGCAGCATTCATAATGATTTGCCAAATTTACAAACATTCAAAATAATATCCACTGCTATGGATACATAAATGGGTAGCAAAAATGTGAGCACATGCATGAGAGTTATGATCATGACCTTGCTTTTCTCTGCAGAAACAGAAGAGGAGGGAGCAGGAAGGGAGCAGAAAGGAGGAACTGAGAAAATCACCATCTGTGATATTTTATTTCTTAGGGCAAGAAGATCTTAAAAAAAAGACAATGTCAGTGATAAAAAGTGGGTGATGAATACATAGGTAATTATATTATGCTTCTTTTCTGAATATTCTTAATTATTTTACAATAAAATATATTAAAAATAAAATGAAGAAACAGAACCACAAAAATAAGTTAGAGGCAAGGAAAGGGTTTCAGAGGGTATAGAGTCCGCTTTGAAGAAACTTGGCTGTGAATAAAAGGAAAGAAATAAGAAAATGGTTAGGGGTAGCATGATTTATGAAAAGTTTGTTTGTTTTTTGGCTTTTTTCCCCTTTAATATGGCAAAGACTTAAGTATCTCATTAAATTCCAGGGAAGAAGCCAGTTGAGATTTTTTAAAAAATCTTGAAACACAAACTTGGACATTGGAGCCTTAGCTTTCAGAATCCTCCCTGAAAGAAGAAAAATACATGTTTTTCTCCCCCACTATATTGTCACTTCCTCGAGGAAGGACAAGGGCTCATGTATTCTGTTTATCTGCATGCCTGGAGCCTAACCCAAGTAAGTGCACCATGCATGTATGTGTAGACAGATGGACGAAGTGATGATGGATGGATGGGTGAATGAATATGAGTGATGGGTGGATGGATGGATGAAGGGATAATGGGTGGGTGGGTGGATGGATGGCTGGATAGATGGATGGGTGAATGAATGAATGAAGGATGCAGGGGTGAAGGATGAAAAGGTGTAGGCTAAGTATTAGCATAATGTGTGCATCAGAGTGGCCACTAGGTGGCAGATGTGACAGTCAATGATTATTCTTTCGGAGAAATCAGTTCAGATGGTTAGCTACAAGATAATGGACCACAGTTATAGTTTTTCTTTCTTATTTTCTTCTTTGTTTACTTTCTTTTTTTATATTGAGATTGGATCTCACTCTGTCAGTCACATTGGAGTGCAGTGGCTCAATCATGGCTCACTGCAGCCTCGATCTCCCAGGTTCCTGAGTAGCTGGGACCATAGGTGTGCACCACCATGCTTGGCTAAAACTTTTCTCTTAAGTGAACTTATGTAAGTGGAATATGCCCAATATTTGAAGTGGGAATTTGGACTATCCTGTTAGCTATGGATTTTTCACTCAAATATCAGTAGGTCAACTTAGTGTTTCCTGGAGAAGGAGCTTTTGGGCCAAAAACAAAGAAAGAAAGGAAGAAGGAAAGAAAGGAAGAAGGAAAGAAAGAAAGAAAGAAAGAAAGAAAGAAAGAAAGAAAGAAAGAAAGAAAGAAAGAAAGAAAGAAAGAAAGAAAGAAAGAAAGAAAGAGAAAGAAAGAGGGAGGGAAGGAAGGAAAGAGAGAGAAAGAAAAAAGAAAGAAAGAAAAAGAAAGAAAGAAAGGCAGTTGCATTGACTCGTTGTTTAAAAAGGGACTGAGCACATGTGTCCATATTTTCTCTTGCCTGAAATCCCACTGAAATGATGGCAAAAGTATGATTCTACAAGGACACAGAGAATGGAAAAGGAAACAAAAGTGCTATTATAACCACTTTCTTAAATGGATTGTACTTAATAAATAACAGGCAGGAAACAACCTGGTCATCTTTAAATTTTCTCTGTCAGATTTCCTTTCTTCCATGCTAGGATAATATCTTGTGCAGAGTCTAAGGCTTTTCTGGGCACTTTTGGAGGTTAGAATAGTATCATTTTGGGGTATTGAAAAGTACACTCTAATATAATCTTCCATCTTTTATCTAATTTACATCTTCTCCCACTTTCTAGCTTGGGTCTGATCCTGAATTCTGCCGGATGGAAGTGGGGGTTCATGGTCTATTCTTTTTGTTTCCATCATAACCCTTCTTTCTCTATTCACCAACTGATGCTTCTATGCCCCCCTTAGTATTATGCCCAAGGAGAGCAGGGATTAGAAGAGAAAAAGACAGTCCTATATTATTGGGCAGTTGTACCTGACATTGGTACCTCTGTGTGGCAGGTGCTCCAATGCTGACCGTTTCTGCTGGGGGTGCTTTTGCGTAGTTATTTTTTGCTCAGTCTCCCGTGGGACTTTTGACTTCACACTGTTCTCTCCATACTTCACTTGGTGAAACCCCATGCAGCTGAGCTTTCATGATTTCCCCTAATTCTCTTCCCAAGTACTCTTGATGCAAGCTCATTCTGTTGAGCCAGAACTCTTGGGTGGAAACTCAAGCTCATTATTACTTTCCTGGTTTCTTATTTAGTTCTTGGAAAAACTCATGAATCTCTGTCCATTTCAATGACGAAACTTCAGACCATTCCCACTGCAGTCCCTTCTTTGTTCTACACAAGCATCTCCAGGCAGCCTCAGGTGATTGGAAGGCACTAATCCTTCTGCCCTACCACCCATCTGACCCCCTAAATCCAGAGGACATGGGTCTAGATCTCCCAAGAATACTCTTTCCCCACTCTCTGCTCAAGTAGAAGCACAGAACAAGTCTACACATTTCTGCAGCTCAGCAGCAGCTGACTGGGGACTGAGATGTTGGTCTCCACTCCTGGCAAGTAACTGAGTGTCTTGAGTGTGCACCATGAAGCCTCCCCTTGCTTGACCCAAGAGGTGGAGAGAAACTTCTGCTTTAAATGTTCATATGCCCACATATGACGCTCTTCGAAAAAAAAAAATCCTAACTCACTCTAAAGAGTCTCTAGCCTTTTTATGGATTTTTCTTTCTTCAGACATGGACTAAAGTTGGGAGGTGGGCTACGGGCACAAGACTTATTTTACCGTAAATGCATGGTATGTTAGTCCTTCATGAATGTCTAGCATCTTCTTTTGGAATACGGGCATACATGGCATTCTAGGCTTTGAGCCTCAGACACAACTCCAAATTTATGAAAAACCTCACTTAAAAGCTTGTTATACTATAATTAAAGATAATTATTAATTATAATTAGTAATTGTATTAGTTCATTCTCATGCTGCTATGAAGAAATACCCAAGACTTGGTAATTTATAAAGGAAAGAGGTTTAATTGACTCACAGTTCCAGAGGGCTGGGGAGGCCTCAGGAATCTTACAATCATGGCAGAAGGGGAAGCAAACACATTCTTCTTCATATGGCAGCAGCAAGGAGAATTGCAGAGTGAAGTGGGGGGGAAAGCCCCTTATAAAACTATCTTGCAAGAACTCACTCACTATCATGAGAACAGCACAGAAGTAACCACCCCCATGATTCAATTACCCCCCACTGGGTCCCTCCCACAACATGTGGAGATTATAGGAACTACAATTCAAGATGAGATTTGGGTGGGGACACAGCCAAACCACATCAGTAACAATTAGAGAAAAAAAAAAGGGGCTCTTGGAAATTAAAAAGTGATAGCTGAAATTTAAAAATTCAGCAGAAGAGTTGGAAATAGAATGAAGAAAATGTCCAGGAGGTCAGATATCCTAGTATAAAACAGTAGGGGAGAGGATTTTCACAGAAATAATAAAGCAGTGTCATGATTGAAAAGATCCTCCCAATGCCATGCATAAGAAATGGAAAAATGATCTACACAAAGGCACAGACATTTCAGAACATTAGAGATAAAGAGAAGAAACTAAGATTTTTACAGAGAGAATGATCACATCACCTAACAAAGAAATGAGAATCAGAGTGGCATGATTTCTTAAGAGTAACACTGGAAGTTGGAACAAAATTGAGCAATGCTTCAAAGTTCTAGAAAAATTATTTTTAAACCAGAACTTATACTCTAGGAAGCCTTTAATCAACGAGAAGGATATAGTAAAAATATATTTATTTATTTTATTTATTTTTGAGACAGGTTCTCACTCTTGTTTCCCAGGCTAGAGTGCAGTAGTGCAATCATAGGTCATTGTAACCTCAAACTTCTGGGTTCAAGTGATCCTCCTGCCTCTGCCTCCTGAATATCTAGGACTACAGGTGTGCACAACCACGATTGGCAAATTTTTATTTTTTGTAGAACCATGGTCTCACTCTGTTGCCTGGGCCAGTCTTGAACTCCTGGTCTGAAGTGATCCTCCTGTTTTGGCCTCCCAGGATGCTGGGATTATAGGCATAAGCCACCATGCCTGGCCAAAAATATATTTAAATATGCATTTCTGTGGGGTCCCTGGTGATATCCCCCTTATCATTTCTGATTGTGTCTATTTGATTCTTCTCTCTTTTCTTATTTATTAGTCTAGCTAGCAGTCTAGCTCTTTTATTAATTTTTGGCAAAAAAACAGGCTCCTGGATTTGTTGATTTTCTGAAAGGTTTTTTCACGTCTCTATCTCCTTCAGTTCCCCTCTGATCTTGGTTATTTCTTGTCTTCTGCTAGCTTTGAGATTTGTTTGCTCTTAGTTCTCTAGTTCTTGTGATGTTAGGTTGTTGACTTGAGTCTTTCTAGCTTTTTGATGTAGACATTTCAGTGCTATAAATTTTCCTCTTAACACCACTTTAGCTGCATCCCGGAGATCCTGGTATGTTGTCTCTTTATTCTCGTTAGTTTCAAATATCTTCTTGATTTCTTAATTTAATTTAATCTAATTTAAAGTTCTAGGATACATGTGTAGGATGTGCAGGTTTGTTACATAGGTAAACATGTGCCATGGTGGTTTACTGCACCTATTAACCCATCACCTAGGTATTAAGCCCTTCATGCATTAGCTATTTATCCTGATGTTCTCCCTCCCCTCACCCCTCCAACAGTCCCCAGTGTGTGTTGTTCCCCTCCTGTCTCCATGTATTCTCATTAGAACTTCTTGATTTCTGTCTTAATTTTATTATTTGCCCAGGAGTCATTCAGGAACAGGTTGTTCAATTTCCATGTAGTTGTGTGGTTTTGAATGAGTTTCTTTATCTTGAGTTCTAACTTGATTGCTCTGTGATCTGGGAGACTGTTATGATTTCTGTTCTTTTGAATTTGCTTTTGAATTTGCTGAGGAGCTTTTTACATAATTATGTGATCAATTTTAGAGTAAGTGTCATGTGGCGATAAGAAGAATGTATATTCTGTTGTTTTGAGGTGGAGAGTTCTGTAGATATATATCAGGTCCACTTGATCCAGAGGTGAGTTCAGGTCCTGAATATCTTTGTTAATTTTCTATCTTGATCACCTGTCTAATGTTCTCAGTAGGATGTTAAAATCCCCCACTATTATTGAGTGGGAGTCTAAGTCTCTTTGTGGGTCTCTAAAAACTTGCTTTGTGAATCTGGGTGCTCCTGTATTGGGTGTATATATATTTAGGAAAATTAGCTCTTCTTGGTGAATTGAACTCTTTACCATAAAAGTGTAGTTGCTAGTTGTCTAGGCCATGTCCATTCTTTCTTGCCTCTTTTCTAGAAGAACTTGTTAGGCACAAAAATATGCTCAGTTAAAGTCTACATTTCCCATGCTTTCATGCAGACTAGGAATAGACATGTGACCCATTCTGAAAAATAAAATGTAAGTGGATGACTTTGAGGAAAAGTCCTTCAAAGGGAGTAAGATTAACATACATATTGTTTGCCATTTTCCATTCTTGTCTTCCTGCCTGGAAAAGTGACATGAAGCTTGAGTCGGAGCAGCATCTTTTCCCATTTCTTTGCAAGTTCTTGTTGACCTGTATGTATTATCCTGAATTTCATGACTTTCCACTTTTGAGGTCTGTTAACTAACTTTGAAACCTTTCCCTGCTTGAAGATAATACATTCCCTCTTTGATCAATGCTGTTGACTTCATGTGTCTTATTGGTGTTTGCCTCCCCAGTGCCCAGCGCAGTAGGTTCTGAATTACAGGCCTTTGAATGAGTACATGAACCAAAGAGTGAACAAACACTATCCTCATCTATCGGCTTCCTAGACACCTCCAACTTCTTTCAAGGCTTTAGCACTTGATTTATTGTGTCTTTTCCTCACCATCATTTGCTCACAGCTTCCATGACTTCAACGCCCACAAGATCCTTATAATTCCTTGACCTCAATGTGCCGTGGCTTCTCTTAAGGGGATAAACTAAATGATTCCCAAGTTCTGTTTCTCCTTTCTGCATCCTTATTTTCCTCTCCCATAATTTTTTGTTGCCTCTCACGAGGGCAATTGCAATATCTTCCAGTAATTCCCTCACCCGCTATGGCACTGCAACCAGGTATATCACCTGAACAACACAGCTTTCTGGCTTAAAACCCTATTTATTAAAAATTGTCTGTGCACTTTACATCTCTCCTTCACAATCTGATCCCAACATACCTTCCTCTCCAACCTCTCACAGCCAACCCAGGCTTCTTACATCTCCTCACACCCACTTGGAACTTTCCCAGCTCTTTGCAATAGTTTGTATATTTTCTCCACCTAGAATTGCGCTTGCATTCTCTCAAGCCCACAGCCATTAATCTCGCCCAATTGAAAGACCAACTCTCATGTCACTTTCTCCCATGAAGCATTCCCCAGTGATTTAAGCAGAATTAATCCCTGGAGCTGCTATGACTGCAAAAATACTTTGCAAGTATGTCTATTATAGCATTTATTAGAACAGTTAATACTGTATATGGCTACCTGCCCATGTACACTCACTGAAGAAGCTCCCTTTCTATTACCTTCACAGACTTAGCACACAGTGCCAGGCATGTAGCACACTATCAAAAAACTGTTAGATGAACTGAATTGAGATTCAAGGAGCTATCCCTGACTGTGAGTTAAGTCTAGTGTATTCCGGAAATAGGAAAGGCAATGAATATCTACTCCCTTAGGAACACTGCCTCATAATTATTTTTAAAGTTTTCTATTTTATCAAAGAGCCTTAGAAATCACTCCTTTTCAAAGCTCCACCAAAGCATTATTTTCCTAATTAATTATTGTGGAGGGATAACTATTGCATAAATCAATTCCCAACTTAGTTTGATCATGATCACTAACGAAATAGATTGGAGATCTGGAGACCCAAAGAGAATGTTTTCAGATGAATAATATATTTTATTTGTCAGCAGTCCTCAGGCTCAATTTATGGTGAAATTAACTGAAAGTGGATTGCAAATAATTGTCAGTTCATTGTCAGTCTGCATTTCCAAGGCGCTGAATAGATAGAATGACGAAAGGTAATTTCGTTTTTCTTCGTAATTGCTTCTGGGTAATACCAGAGCCTTTGAAAGAGAGTGTGAGGCTGTGCATGTTGAAAATTGCAAAGAAAATGCAAAGCTTGAGTTGAATACCAAAAATTCTCCCTATGTCAGATGTGGTAGAATTAACATTTCTAGGATTCTTTGCAGTCTATTCCGCTAAAATTATCTACAACAGATAACATGGTTTTGGACTTAAGATATGAAAAACACTATTTTACGTGTCAATGGTGATAGTTAGAATGGTGATCTGACTCTCAGTAGTTTTATGGTAATTTCTGAAAGGGGTTAAAAAAATACAATTTCTTTCACATAATATGAGGAGTCAGTGGAAGGTTTTTTAGCTACTTAAAATCACCAGAGAAGAAAGTAATCAATAGCCAATGAAGACGAATGAGGTTTCAAAGACAGGTGAAGAAAGTGAGCAGGTAATGGTGGTGGAAGAAACAAGCATTCATGAAAAACAAAAGTAAAAGAACAACCTCAGCTTTCTGTCATTTCTTTATATTTATTCTAAAATTAATTAAGATAAAGGAGGTTACTGTGTGACATAATGCCACAAATCACTAACTAGTAGGGATTACCTATGCACCGTGTTGTAACTCTTCAGATTAACATAGTATCTTGACTTGCTAATACCGTTCACCTCACAAAAGGGTCCCATGGTTCAAATAAATTTGGGAATGTTGCATGTAATTTCCCCCTCTTAGATAATCATAGTGCACATTAACATAGGAAACTCTATGAAAAGTCCTGCAATAGGAAAACTGTGTAACTTTGTCTGAACAAATATTTCCCAAGCATATTTTACTGCAGTTTCTAATCAATGCCTCATGGACCACTGTCTGAGCAATGGTCCACTGGAAGATCGAGCTGGCTGGTTCTGCAGAAGAGTCTTGGTCTAGATGTTGTCCATTCTTAGAGTTATGTCTGGGGGAGGTATATGGGCACTATCCTGTGTGTATGTCAGACACTGACTCAGTGGTACTGGTGTCTTGAACAGAAGAGACAGGAAAAGCGAAGAGAGAAGTCATGGTTTAAGTTTATTCTTGCACTGCGATGAAGAAATACCTAAAACTGGGTAATTTATAAACAAAAGAGGTTTCATTGGCTCACGGTTCTGCAGGCTGTAGAGGAAGCATGGCTGGGGAGCCTTCAGGAAACGTACAATCATGGCAGAAGACAAAGGGGAGGCAGGCACATCTTCAAATGGCCAGAACAGGAGGAAGAGAGAGAGTGGGGAGTGGGGAGGTGCCACACACTTTTAAACAACCAGATTTCATGAGGACTGTATCAGGGGAACAGAACCAAAGGGGGAAATCTGCCCCCAGGATCTAATCGCCTCCTGCCAGGCCCCACCTCCAACACTGGCGATTACAATTTGACATGCGGTTTGGGTGGGGACACAAATCCAAAGCATATCGTGGTCTATATGAAATGAGTGCATACCCTAAATGCAAATTGGAAAATAAAGTATTGCTACAGAGACACACTCAGTTGCTAACTCAGCTAGTAAAAAAAGTACTTGAACATTCGTTCTTTTCAGAGTAATCTATGACATGTCTCCTGCTTGGAAGCCCCTCCATAGGTCTCAGAGATGAGTGCAATGTCTTTATCATGGGCTACAAGTAGGTGCCCTCTCTGGCCCATGCCTGTTTCACACCACAGCCCCCCGGTCACCTCCTGTGATCAACCTCTCTGGTGTTCTCTCAGATCCCACATCTCAGACCAGGCCCTCTTATGGAACACTGTAACTTTTCTTGATAGCACTCACTGCAAATGATTAATGCTATGTAGAACATTGGTTAACATTGTATTGAAGTATAACATATTCTCTACAAAGTGCCTAACCTTGAAAAACTTTTACTTGTGGATAAATCTGAGGAGCTACCACCCTGATCAAGTCGTGGAACATTTCTAGCATCCCAGAAGGCTCTGTTCCTGCTGTTTAAGCCACTTAGTTTGTGGTACTCAAACACCTAGTTAGTAGTTAGGGGTGTTCTCGCCACCACCACCTCCACCTCAGTGATGCAGGTGACCTGCCAAGGAAGCCAGAACATTTCCCAGCAGAGCTGTGCCATGCCCCACGTGGAAGGAAGTCTGTGGGGGCAATGGAGCTGTGGGTCTGGCAGCCCTGCTATAACACCAGAATGAGCTAGCCACCAGTGACAATGTTTGCGGGCTGTGGTGGCACCTAGCACGCTACACCCACATTCAGAACATGGCAGAGGCAGCTTCCCTTTTCTGCTTGCCAAACTTCACACAGATCGTCTTGTCAGCCCAAGCAGAACCACCCAGGGAAGGGGATTCTGCTAAACATAGTTCCCATTTAGCTAAGTCGCCACTGTACCAACCACCACAGGGGCATCGTTTCTGCAGAGAAGCTCTTTCAATGTCTTGCGTGGGGAGCATACAGCAGGCTCCTGGTGCCCTGGTCAAAGACGGGAGACAGGATGGGGCTCTGGCCATGCGTACGTGGACCTCTACTAATCTTCAGTTTGGGGCACAGAGCCTCATCCATTGCCTCTACTCTGACACATGTTCCAGAGTTGGGATTCTGGCCCTCTCAGGGTCTCCAGAGAACAATTCTCTGGTTACTTGTGAGAATCAGGGGGTTGGTGATGCAACTGTAAAGGATGGGATTGAGCCGGGATGGGTCCAGTGGCTCTAACAGAGGCTTTCAGACTACCTCCCTGTTTTCAGCTTTGCCTGAGCCTTAACTCCTGCTCTCCAAGCTACCTGTGCCTCAGCCCTGAAGTGGTCAGAGTTCTAAGCGGTGAATCGCTCTCTGCCATTACCCCCACTGGGCTCCAAGGTGTCTCTACATTCTCTCCTCTACAATGCCAGACACCAGTTCTCCATCTCTTTTTCCACTTCTAGAAATTTGTTGACATTTTTCACTTGCTGTTGCTAATTTTTATCCACTGTGGTCTTTTCGCTTGTTCTCATTGTCCTTGCAGGTTAAAGATACATATATATTTTTAATTATTTTCCTCACACTTCAGTTGTGTCTCAGAAGGAAGTCAATGCATACACCCAACCTACCATTTTAAACACAAGACTTAAAAATATATATTTTTTCTATATGTTATTGGGGTATAGGTGGTGTTTGGCTACATGAGTAAGTTCTTTAGTGGTGATTTGTGAGATTTTGGTGCACGCATCACCTGAGCAGTATACACTCACCCTATTTGTAGTCTTTTATCCCTTGCCCCCCTCCCAACCTCCCCTCCAAGTCCCCAGAGTCCATTGTATCATTGTTATGCCTTTGCATCCTCATAGCTTAGCTCCCACATATCAGTGAGAACATACAATGTGTGGTTTTCCTTTCCTGAGTTACTTCACTTAAAATAATAATCTCCAATCTCATCCAGGTCGCTGCAAATGCCATTAATTCATCCTTTTTATGGCTGAGTAGTATTGCATTGTATATATGTATATATATACACACACATATATATATATACACACACACATATATATATATATATACACCACAGTTTACTTATCCACTTGGTGATTGATGGGCATTTGGATTGGTTCCACAATTTTGCAATTGCGAATTGTGCACCTATAAACATGTGTGTGCAAGTATCTTTTTTGTATAATGACTTCTTTTCCTCTGGGTAGATACCCAGTGGTGGGATTGCAGGATCAAATGGCAGTTCTTCTTTTAGTTCTTTAAGGAATCTCCACACTGTTTTCCACAGTGGCTTTACTAGTTTACATTCCCACCAGCAGTGTAGAAGTGTTCCCTGATCACTGCATCCATGCCAACATCTACTGTTTTTTGATTTTTTGATTATGGCCATTCTTGAAGGAATAAAGTAGTATCTCATTGTGGTTTTGATTTGTACTTCCCTGATCATTAACGATGTTGAGCATTGTTTCATATGTTTGTTGGCCATTTGTGTATCTTCTTTCGAGAATTGTCTATTCATGTCCTTACCCCACTTTTTGATGAGATTTTTTTTTCTTCTTACTGATTTGTTCGAGTTCGTTGTAGATTTTGGATAGTAGTCTTTTATCGGATGTATAGATTGTGAAGATTTTCTCCCACTCTGTGGGTTATCTGTTTACTCTGCTGACTCTTCCTTTTGCCGTGCAAAAGCTCTTTAGTTTAATTAAATAGCTATTTATTTTTGTTTTTATCGCATTTGCCTTTGGGTTCTTGGTCATGAAATCTTTGCCCAAGCCAATGTCTAGAAGGTTTTCCAATATAATCTTCTAGAATTTTTATAGTTTCAGATCTTAGATTTAAGTCCTTAATCCACCTTGAGTTGATTTTTGTATACGGCTAGAGAAGAGGATCCAGATTCATTCTACATATAGCTAGCCAATTATCCCAGCACCATTTGTTGAAAAATGTGTCCTTTCCCCACTTTACATTTTTGTTTGCTTTGTTGAAGATCAGTTGGCTGTAAGTATTCGGGTTCTTTTCTGGATTCTTTATTCTGTTCCATTGGTTTATGTGCTTATTTTTATACCAGTACCATGCTGTTTTATTGACTATAGACTTATAACATAGTTTGAAATCAGGTAGTGTGATGCCCCCAGATTGGTTCTTTTTGCTTAGTCTTGCTTTGGCTGTGCAGGCTCTTTTTTTGCTTCCATATGAATTTTAGAATTGATTTTTCTAAACCTGTAAAGAATGATGATGGTATTTTGATGGGGATTGCCTTGAATTTGTAGATTGCTTTTGGCAGTATGGTTATTTTCACAATATTGATTCTACCCATCCATGAGCATAGGATGTGTTACCATTTGTTTGTGTCATTTATGATTTTTTTCAGCAGTGTTAAACACAAGACTTTTTTTTTCTACTCGTTCTTTAACCCACAGCCCCTTGGCTTTGTTCCCAACAAACTCCTGGTGTAATTCTCCACCTCCTAATTTCCAGGTCAGTAGACTCTTTCCAACCATCACTTTGCTTGAACTTTCTGCATATCTGGCCTTGCCCACACCCACACCCCTGTCTTCTGCTCCTACCTAGTGGATGCTGTCTCCTGTGCCAGGTCTCCTGGAACCCCCGATCACTCCCTCAGTTTCCTTTGCTGGCTTTTCTTCCTTTTCACTCTCCTTAAATGAAATTCCCTATAGCTTAATCTTTGGATCTATTTGCATTCTCACCATAGTTTTAATGGTCATGTTTACAGAATGATTCACAAACCTGTATCAATCAGGACCCTTTGTCTCAAGTAATAGAAACCTGATTTCAGAAACAGAAACATAAATTTGCTTTGCACGCAGAAAGAAGGCCGAGGCAGCCCAAGAAACGTGAATGACAGGAAAGCCTACTATATGCTGTCTTATGTTACTTCTCTGTATTGGCCAACTACTTATATTGAAAATGATGACATAGAAGTAAAGAGAATTGTAATTCCTTACTCATCAATAAAGTGAGCAATGTTGGTAGAATGTGCACACATCGAGTAAGATGAAAACAGTCGAGTAACAGAAACCTGATTCAAATTTTGCTAAGAAACAAAGGGAGAGGTTGTTAACTCATTTATGTAACTCAGGACTCAACTGAGATGCTCAAAATCTGTACTCCTTGAAGGGTTTGTTTTTGTCTGTGTCTCTCAGCTCTGCTTTTCTCCACATTGGCCTCATTCTCAGGCAGTCCCTCTCTACCTGGTGACAAGTCCAGTGCTCTATGATGTCATGGTCCTCATGTCTCATCATCCCAGAGGAAAAGGGTGTCTCTTTCCCCACAGATGTAACCAGGTTCCTGTGGAGGACACGGCTTTGCTAAGCCTGCCTGGCTTCTGTGTCCTCCTCTGGGCCTGAGTGCAGAGGGTGAGAGTCCACATCCCCAGAACCATGGGGACTGAACAGGATTACTACAGAGCAGCAAAGAAGTGGGGCACCAAAGGAAAGGTGGGTTGTGGAAGGGATGGAAAGGGGAAGGAGATAATACATTCATTTTGACAATTTGAGGAGGTCTAGATTCAGGACATCAGGGCTGTCATCCTGGTTCTTTGGGTTTCTTGTCTTTTGTCTGTAAAATCGGAAGGTTGGAATTCTAAGGCCCTCTGTCCACCATCATCTTTCTTTAATTCTATGAATAATGGACACATAAAGCAGAAGCTTTTGAAGGTGCCTCTGGGCATAATCTGAGGGGCAGCAGAGCACAGTGGTTAGAAGTGTGAACTCTGGAAACAGATGTGTCATTCTGTGTGTGTCCATCATCTCAGGATCTGCTCAGTGGGCGTAGTCTCACAGAGCCCCAGGCTCAGAGAGCCTCACACTTATTTTAATGCTCTGCTGTCACTGTCTTGAAATTCTCAACAATTTTATGTTTGAACTTATGTTTTGCAAGTGAATTCTGACAGACATTGGAGCATACATGAGAGTAGGGAAGATAAGCACAGTATGTTAAGCCCAATAATAATAATGGAGTATCTGCTGTTCCTTGCTACCTTATTTCCTTACAGAGTACACAACACCTTGTGAACACAGAATTCTGGTGGACCCAGAATATGTGGGAGTTCAGTGAGACTTAAAGAGGAAAAGGTGAGCATGGCATATTGGCATATCTGCATATCTACCACTGACTTTTCGCTTGGGCCAGAACTTGCTTTGAATGCAGAAAGCAGGCCAAGGCATTCCAAGAAACATGAATTACAGGAAAGCCTACCATATGCTCTCTTATGCTACTTCTCTGTGTTGGCTAACTACTTGTACTGAAAATGATGACATAGAAGGAAAGAGAATTGTAATTCCCTACTCACCAATAAGCCCAAGGTGAGCAGTGTTGGTAGATTGTGCATATATCAAGTGAGATGAAAATAGTTGAGTTGGTTTTGTGCAGCATTTCTACCATTCTGGAGAGAGTGAAATACACACACATGAGCGACAAAATAACGAATTGTGAAATTTTGATTATTCTGTATATGAGTTACATGCTCTTTTATTTGCATTGAAAACACATTGCACAATATAAAAATGAATGGTAAAACTCATACAATGACAACATTAAATTTTTTATTAAAATAACATTAAATAGCAAATTAAAACATCATAACAAGTTGAGAGAGAGACTTAGAAAGAAAGGAAAAAGCTTTATATTTTCATACTTTTAATGGCACTTCTTTCCCTGCTTTTGGAACAAAAGGCTCCACATTTTGATTTTGCACTAAGCCTCACAAATTATTTAGCCTCCCCCTGAATCAGCAAATGACTTTACCTCCTGGTGATTCCGTTTCTCTATTTGTAAAGTGGGCACAAACACAGCAATGTCTCCATTATTGGACTGTTGCAAGAATGAACAGTGCTTAGCATTCAGTAGTTGCTCAATAAACATAAGCTTTTATTATAAAAATGAGTTAGTATAAGACATATCTTTATGATGTGAAATAGTCAATCTTTTTTTTGTTTGTTTGTTTTTGAGATGGGGCAGGGTGGGTCTCACTCCTGTTGCCCAGGCTGGAGTGCAATGGCATGATCATGGCTCACTGAAGTCTCAACCTCGGGGCTCAGGTGATTCTCCCAACTCAGCCCCCTGAGTAGCTGGGACTACGGGCATGCACCACCATGCCTGGCTTTTTTTTTTTTTAATTTTTTTTATTTTTTTTATTTTTAGTAGAGACAGGCTTTCGCCATGTTGCCTAGGCTGGTGGATTATTAGATCTTAAATTTCCCTCGATGGTGACTTTCTGTAAACCAAACTTGATAGCAAACTCCCCTCTTCTATACTTTTCCTATGTTGGAAAAGTTTATTGGAGTAGTTTGAATTTTTCACTGTAGTTTCATTAATAGGCTCACTTAATTTACTACTTAAATGATGCCATTGGCATTAGCAGAATACTTTATGTAGTCAGCAGCAGAACAAATAAAGTTAAGAAAAATATTTTAGGGGGAGAATATTGGGGATCAATCTTTTTTAATTCCAAATAAAAACTGAGGTAAGGATTAAGCTATTAAGTGAAAAAGCAGAAAAGGACATTTTCTACTTCTCAACAACAGATGGCGATGTAGCTAAGCAAATAGAGGACATTGTTCTCGGAGAAATTCTGTCTTCAAGTGCGAGGAAGCAAAGCTATAAACAACATATGGAAAACAATGAACATTTTAATTAGGTGTTAATAACTGAATATTGAATCTTTGTCTTCCACCTAACTCACAACAATGTTATGACAGCTAATTAATAAGTGATTGTAAAGGAAATGATTAATTATTTAGAGTAATAATTAGAATAGCTTACATGCTTGTAATCATAAAATGGTTTTAAAAGTAGACAGAGGCAAAGCAAGTTATTATTCTGTTGTTACAAAAATATTGCGGTGCCTCTTTCAGGATGATTCCTATTGTCATTCTGCATTGTCTGGATTTAATAAACAGGCACCATCATGCTTTTTTTTCCCATCAAGTTTCATTTCAGCCATGGAATAGAAAATCATGTATGTGTGGTTTTTAAAGGATTTTCTGTCATACTTATTTGAAATTATGTACA
Organism: Homo sapiens; assembly: GCF_000001405.40. Taxonomy (NCBI): domain Eukaryota; kingdom Metazoa; phylum Chordata; class Mammalia; order Primates; family Hominidae; genus Homo; species Homo sapiens. The sequence continues at coordinate 118,047,322 of NC_000002.12, forward strand.
TGGGAGTAAACTGAAGGCCTACCCATGTGGGGGGAACTTTTTGGAAAGATATTAACCACAGAACGAACCAAAACAAAACCCTGGACCAGAAGAATAAAGTCTCCCCCTAGAGTCTCTGTCTGTAGTGTCTGATTCTCATATATAAAATCAAAACTAAAAAGCAAGTGTATAATCCCAAACTTCTCCTCCTCCGCCTTCTCATTCTGTATTTCAAATCTCTTTGAACTGTCTCATGTCTTCAGGATATAATGAAATCCCTTGCTCTGGAAGGAAGCCACAATAGATATATTTCAAGACCTTTCCCTTTCCTTTCTGCTGGTAGCAGAGCTAATGTAGTTTACTTACTAGATGAGTCACCATGGATGCTGATACACTCAAGCCAAGTCTACCCTAGTGAGGGGAATTGGAGAATTGTGGCAATTATCTCATAATTTAAATAAACAAAGCTTCCCTCATTTTTGTTTCGGTTACCTGAATTTTTCAAGTGAATGTCTAATTTTAGTTTTGAATTATTAGAGGTTGTTCTTGCCTCAACCCTCTTAGTAGCTAGCAGAGCTCTGGACGGCTTTGAGGTGAAGTGCTTTAAGAATGTGCACCCAAGGCAAATGTATTCTGTGCTTTCTATTTTATCATCCCAAGCATTTCTACTTGGCATTTGGGGAAACAATGTGAATAACTCAAGTCTAGGATGAAACATTTCTGGAAGGCAGACAATATTGAGATCTGGAAATGGTTGTTTGGAGAGCCTAGATATTTCCAATCAGACAAAGACATTCATAATACCATGTCCTTCCAGACAATATGGACCCCAACACGTTTTGTGTGGACCACATGTTTCTCGGCTGGCCCCAGTCCAAGCCACCACCTGTACTGAAACTTCCAATTGGGAGTTTACGGCTGATCCTGGCTACCTCTCTTAATCACATCTTTCTTCTCAGACCATGTCCCCACCTTGCCAATGTGAATTCCTCCATCTTATTACCCCTCACTTAATGCGAGTGAACATTCGAGGGAGATAGAGGAGCTTTGCAAGTGTAAGGCATGGCTGTCATTTCCGGGTCCTAAAGCATCATATTGTTATTTAATACTTATATTCAATGTCTTAATTATTCAGCACCTTTAAGCCACAATTGTTTGGCTTCAAATAGAACCTGGGTGATGGTAGTTGCTAAGGTGTGAGCCCAAAATGACTATGATCTGCATTTCTTTTCATAGTGTGCATTTTTGAAGACTGACTCTCAACTTTCAGCTTTTGCCACTGCCTGTGATATGTCTTGCTCTATGTGACTCAGCATGAAAGGCTCATCTGGCAATCCCATCTCTAATTTCTTATCATTTGCCAGCAGGAGATAGCTATGTTGCCTGTTCAGAGAAGGAGCATCTATCTGATTGACAGGATGCTGTGGGTAGAAGTGGACGTTGGCAGTTGACGGACCTGGGTTTGAATCCCATCCTTTCACTTCAGTCACGTGCAATATTTCTTACCTTCCCTGAACTTCAACTTTTATTTCTGTAAAACAGGGATAATAATATATATCTGGCAGAATAGTGATTAGAAATAACTTGTGTAAAGTGCCCAGCAAAAGGTGAATGCTTAATAATGGTAACCATTGTTAAAACTTCTCTTTATGCAACAGGAGAGAAGATATTTCTATTCTTTTGCTATTATGCCTCATTCTCCTTTCTCCACCGTAGCAGGACTTTACCCCTCAGTTACATATTTTCTAAAAACATACTGTGAGCCCAACACTGTAGGGAACACAAATAACATGTGGTGCTGTGACTCTGTCTTTAATCAATTATGCTCTTATGAAGAAAAGACAAAATGGACATGCATGAAACACAATAATAATAATATCTAATATAGATGGAGAATTTTACTCTGTGACATATTTGTGTTAATGCTTTACAAATTAGATCTCATATCCTCATCACAATCATCCAGTCAACAAAAGTATTGTTGTCATTCCAATTTTACAGAATAGAAAAACCTCAGAGAGGTTAGGAGTCTTGCCCAAGGTCACACAGCTAATAGTGGCAGAATCAGGACTTAAACTTGGGCCATCTGACTCTGGAACCTGAGCTCTTAACCACGCTGTTTAATTGTTCACATGGACAGTATGAAGTGGTGCAAACAAAGGGCTGTCAATTTTCAGAGACTGGACAGACCATAGTAGGGTGGAATTTACCCAGAACATTTTTTGGAGGGAGTGTACCTTCATCTGAGTCCCACAAGGCATTCTTTAAAAGGGAACGGTTAACAGTAAAATATAACAGTCACAAGAAGGTGAATTAGAAGTTCCCCATGAAACCACATGTCCATCATTTTTCTGCTTGGCTTAATGCCAGGGCCTGAATCTTCTCAAGTAATTCATGGCTGGTTCAGGTGTCCCCAGCATCCTGTGATCTCATTTCTCTTACATCAATCATTTGGACATCATTGTTTAAGGAATCAAAGGATTTCTGTGCTGGAAGGGATGCCAGGAGCCCCGTCATGACCTCAAGGGAGAGGGTGGCAGTTGCCCAAGGTGACACAGCTGCCCCAGCTAGGAATTGGGTCTCTTGACTGCCATACTCATTCTCTTTCTGCTTTGACACATTGGGACCCTGCCTTTGATGGCATCAAGGATGGTGGTATAGGTCTTACACAAATTCTCCCAGTTCTGTTTCAAGTGGTTAGCACATAGCACTGTGCAATACTCATTTCCTCATTGGTACTTACCTTCTCTTTATCAAGGCAGTAAGAATTTCCCCAAAGACATTATTGGTCAGTCTGCATCTCCCTCATCAAAATGCTACTCTATTGTCTTGTTGAGAATCAAACACCATATGCTGGGGGCCCCTTCTCTCCTCCTCAGAAGTCGTGCTTCCCCCCAAACTGGAAGCAAAGCATGTTCACACTCAAAATCCTGAGCGTTTGATTAGATTTTAAAGTTGGCTGTACACCCTCTTCCTGCCACCCAATATGTTATGGGTTTGGCTGAAGAGGCTTTTGTTTTGAACTAATGTCTTTATTTAAAACAAAAATTCAGAGCCTGGTTCGACAAATGCATAAACAGGTATCCGATTTAGAGTGACTTCTTTGAAGAGGCAGCCTCTCGCCGGCTGTCAGTGGGTCCCTGCTGAGTTGTTTGATGCATTCACTGCATTTTATATTACTTAATGTGGCTTATGTATCTGCCAATAAATCTGAAATACAGGTCACAGAATATGTAGCTCAAGGAAATCCATAAAAGTAGTAGAGAGAGGCTTCACTAACTGCATCAGATTGCCAAAAGCTGAGGTCATTTCCTCTTGATAAAAATGTAGGGCTCCATAAATTATTTTTATCACCTCCAGAGTCAAGCAAACAGTTTTGCACAGATGCCAAAGGGGTTTCATTGCCTTTTCTCCTCTTTAAGCTGAAAACATTTTCCCAAGTCTTCTGCAAAGTGATTGTGTTTATCCTCCCTGCACCACCCCCCGCAGCATTATTAACATCCTAGTTTATTGCATGTAAATCTAGGAACATAAACACAATTGCACCTGGCTAGGGTCTTCAGTGAAAGTGACGCAAACACCTGAGCCTAGAAGATGGTTCTGATCTTGGTTTAAATATTCCCCATGACTGGGAGTTGACATTGTTTCCTTGAAGATATTTTTAAGGAGATGTTAGGTATGCAGAGACAGTAAAAATGAGCAGTGAACATTCAGTGGAGAACTTTATAGAAAACACTACTGAATTAACTTACAGTACATTTGTTAAACATGAGCACCTCTAATAATGACATTTCATTTAACAATGCCCTTTGTCTTTTCAGTTCATCAGTTACCTATTTCAGTAATGAACTGCAGTCATACCATTCTGATTTTCTCCTAATGTAAAGGCTCAGCTCACTTCACCGCCAGTGAAGCATGATGCTATTATTCAGTTCCTGGCTTAGGAAAAAAGCTGTAGAATATATCACAATTCTAATTGGCTAACAAATATTAAGCCCTACAATTGTTAAGGGCACCCAGTGATTCTGTTTAGCTTTTGATGGGAATAAGTAAAATAAAGAAAGGGGAACGGTTTGAAGGAAAAAAAAAAAGGTTAGTATGTATACTTTATGAGCAGTAACCGAAGTATCCATTGAAAAAATATGAGCACACATTATATTTAATAGCTCAAATGTTATCTTAATTCTTTATCAACAATTCATGCAGATAGTTTAATACCAAATATTTTAGTTAGGATTAACAATCTGTGAAACAGAAGGTGCAGCAAATGAGAGATGGAATTTGTTCTACCTGCAGCCACACGAGGAGGCAAATGTAAGCTACTGGAAGGCTGGGTCACGCGTGAGACATTCTTTTTCTGCCAAGTAAATGCAGGCAGATTTGGAAAATATTATGTCTCTCGTAGCCCCTATTTATACTTCCCATGGAAGGTAATGAAGCCTGGGTCCAAATTTATTTTTGTCCCTTTTGCAAAGCTTTCTTCGGAATGAAAGATGGGCCCCTTCCTTGTTTTCCTTTTTCCACGTGGCAGAATTCACTAAGGCATCTCCCCGCTCTCTTTTTTGAACTCACAACAACATCTCATTAGTAAAGGCAAGATTCAGCTCACCATAATCTTTCCCCAGCTGAGGCAAAGCTGCACAATTTACAATAGATCTTTGGAAAACTGCTTTTAACCGAGTGCTGCTGCACCTATAGATCTCTCTCAATTACCCACAGTAAATTTAGGCATTGTACAAGAGCAAATTTTACAGTCCATGAAGAGATGAAGTGAAATCTAGATGAAATTCATAGTGACAGATTCCCAGTTAGTGCTGTGATGTGTCTGTATTACAGAAGATAGACATTCTATTAGCATGGAAGCTCCCGTAATGGACTGTGAATCATCTCAGGTAATAGAGATGCCAAGCAGAATGACTGAAAAGCACTATTGAATTCCATTAGAGCTCTTTGTTTTTAAATCAGTCATTTCTTGTGAATAACCAACTATACACTTCTTGACCCTATCTCCAAGTGATAATTGTGGACTAATATTACAATACATTAATCTGAGTTACTGTGCAATTAGCATTTCAGCTGCAGGCTTATTTGGGGTCTCCTAAATGCAAAGGCCCATTCCTTTGGAAGCCAGAGCTTATATTTCAAATGCGCAGTTTCAGAAAGGGCCTCTCTTCCATGATGCCATTTCTAGTTCCGTTTCCACATTCTGGAGTTGTTCCTTGGTCGTCTTGTTTTCAAGGATTTTGTATTGTAACTTTGTGACTTCCTACCCCTTTTCATTTAAAGATTTCTGCCTACACCAGGCCAGACATCAAGGGAAAACAATTATCACAAAGGTAAGTCTATAAAGGAAACCATTTTAAATAAGCCAAGTCAGCAAGTCTTTTCTTCCTTTTTAAAATCTCAAATATGTAGCTAATCTTTAGGAAAATAAAGAACATCACATTCTACTGCATAAACAGCCCCATCTAATCTATCAATCAAATATGATTGATCAGACACAGTGATTACTTGGATAATTAGTACAGGGTTTAGGTTTATGCAGTACTCTGAAGCCTTTGGGATGTCTGCATAATTACCATTTGTACAGTAGATCGAGTTATAGGAATTCTGCTAGTCGATTATAAACATGAAGCACTTAGAATAGACAACTCGAACTAGCACAAGTTTCTTAATTCATTGCATTTGATACAAATGCAATAGCTTGTCATGAGGCAAAGCTTTATTTGGCCAAAAGCTCTGAAGTTAGCATATATACATTTAAAAAACAACCTATCTCTTCTTGTATCTAGTGTCTTCCACCAGATTTGCAAGGCAGGAGAGAGGTAATTTCACAAGGGGACTGTGGCATCCAAAGCACAGCAACTTGAGTTGAGCCACTTCAATATTCTCCCATAAATTCCCTGGGACAACTTTAAAAAGAGTCGACTTTACATCTTCTGTCTACAATCATCTATTTTCACATCAAGATGAACAACATTATCCTCATCTGCGGGAGGATCTGAGACTAGCGCCTCGACACGAGGCTTTCTACTTAATGTTGTAATGACAGGTGTAAGATTAACTTTGTTAGGTGTCTAGCCACTCATGCAAACTAAATTAAATTAATGGAACAAATTTCTCTCATAATTAAGATAAAAATTCATGTCAGCTGTAACCTTGCTGTACACTAATTATATACAAATGATTTATCATCTGCTTCGCCCAGAATATTAATCCTTACCTCATTGATAACTGCAGCCAGTGTTAAGAGATGAGAGTTGATTAACTATGACAGATTGGGCAACCACAGCCCTCGGTGCCGGCGCTACCAGTGAAACCAATAACACTCAAGTAGCTCTCTGTGTTTAAAATGCATTCCCATGGAAACAGATGCATGCTTAATGAAGGATACTGAGATTATTTTCAATAATGACTGATATTGGAACAGTGGGCAGAGCTGATCAATAACAATTAACCACTTAGTCTGCTAAAGACATGGTTAGAGAAAGCAGGTTATTTCCACATTAGCAGAACCTTATTCGAAGCCGAGTGCTCCATAATGTCTCTATGCTGCACCGTTTCCCTTTTTCCCTGCCTGGGAGGGGCTCCATGGTGGAGAGATGGTATTGTGCCAAGCGCCCTCCTGTCGCCTCTTAGCGCCTGCTTATGAAATGAGTGATTGATGTTGCCAGCGGTTCTTTGGATGCTCTCAAGATAGCTGCCAAATGTATCAAGGAAAGTCCAAAAGCAACTGTGACCATGAAACTAATATTGCTTTGTATGGATTTGGTTTGGTAGAAAACTTTACTGCCAAGGCGTAACTCAATTGTACAGAAATTTCTTTTGATCTTTCATTGTATGCTTTTTAATTTAATTTTAAAGAATCCAAGACGAGTCGTGTAGATATTTAAGGAAATCCTTTGCTTTGGACTCCTGTCATACTGGCTGGAAAGGGCTTTAATAACATAAATTTAATAATAGATATGGCTTTCAACACTATTTGGAAATTTGCACTTTTATTTTGTATTAATTTGAATCACCCCAGGAGTCAAGATCTTGCAATGCTAATTACTAATATAGACTCCCAGAATCCCTACCCTGACAGTCAGCTTGGAGAAATCCCAACTCCCTGGGCCAAAAAGTGTTAATAAAAAGTGATTAGCTACTTAGGCCAAGGCATATTATAATAATGCATTATATTTCCCTTGAATGGATGATATGCATTCTCATTTCTCTGAATGAAGAAAATGGTTGAGGGAGATGAAAATTCAGTCACTTCGACTGACATTATTACTGAAAGAATCAAGCTTTTAAAACAAATAGAAGAATGCTGCTTTCTCTGCACTTCTTAGATTTAAGACTCCAATCTGAAAATGCAAATAAACAGAAATATACTCTATTTACCAGTCTAGTTCATCTGTTTGTTCTATTTTGCAGACCTACGTGTGAACTAATGCAAGCAGCTAATGCCAAGCCTAACATGCTCCATATGTGTTAGAAGTTTTAAGGTGAAGAAAAGAACTGGCCTTTTTCTTCCTTTAGCCCTGTGAGACAGACATTCTGCACTTAAATTATCAGCCACAGGGCATCCGTGGCTGGGAATCCAAACAGATGCTAATGAATTTGGAACAACATTTAAGTGGCTGAACAAAAATGGATCCTAAACACCCCCAAATCAAGTGCAACAAACAAGAAATAGGCTGACACATTTCTATCAGGAAGGCAACCAGAATGTCAAACTCTTGAATGATACTGGGTGATCTCAGCTCTGTTTTATCATCTCAGTAAATAAATCTAGAGATGATAAACAACCATAAATACCTGCAACAAATGCTCCATAAAAACCAAATCTTAAATATATTCCACACATTCCTCTCCAATCACCATCCTCCACCCCGCCCCCATCAAAAAATGACTAACCTTTTGCCAAACCTCTAGGTAGACATAGAATTACATTTAACACAAAGGTAGTAATAATAATACTATATTTTTGACCTACAGAAACTAGAGTATCAGAAGAAAACAAAATGACATTCTCAGAGTACAGGCTCACTGATTGTTCTTATTAGGGGTATCTGTTTACTACCTTTCTGAAAACACCATGATCTTCCCCCAGTGCTGAGGACTTGAATCCTTACTACAGCTAAAACAGTTACACCCCTCCACCCTGGCTGGAAATGCAGTAGAGGCAATTACCTTTTCCCTACCATCTGAACAACACAATTATTGGGAAGATAATAAGATTATCCAGGCTTTTGCTTCTTAAAATTATACTGAGGAACACAAACTGAATACTGTTTCTTATGCATTCATCTTAAAAACAAATAAGGGAAGTAAAAATGTGCCTCTAAGCTAATGAGGACCTTGAGACGGAGCCATAGATACATTTTCTCACTTGCCTAATGAGCAAAGTGACAGACAGTGAAACAGTTCACACTTGAGTAATTCTCTAGTCATCAGCAACTGCAGAGGGGCCCCTCCTGCTAGGGTTGTGGAGGCGGGTGGTCAGGAGATGTAATAAATAGACCCTGGCTCTGCTGGCCAGAATAAGTTATCACAAAGAGAGAGGTCTTAGGGTACACTCCCCAAGGAAATTTAACCTGAAAAAAGAGCCCATCGAAGGCATCTCCAGCCTTACATTCAATTAGAATTAAATTAAAACAATGGAAAAAAGAAATCACCTGCTCCTCATCAGGCCAGCTGCCTGGAGCGGGTGGGGTGGCTAGGAATCCGGAAGGCAATGACCCCTCCCCACTGGGATCTACACACTGTTTTTAAACGGCGCTGTCTTCTCTAGACCTCGCTGTCACGGAAGCATCCTTTCCGGGGAAAATGGGGAAAGTGGGCAAAGGTTAAAGCCAGTCAAGGTGGTGAAGAAGGGGTGTGTGTGTGTGTGCACAAGCACACATGCGTCCAAGAGATAGGTAGAAAGCATCTTTTTATTGACTACTTTCATGGGCCTATGCAAGTGTGCATAGGGGAAGCAGATCTTGCAAATCCACCACCTTTCTGGTTTGATCATTAGAAGGAAGGGAACTGAAACTTGTTCCTCCACAACTATGCACCAGGCCCTGTTTGTCCTTATTGCGACCTCCTGCTGACACTGGGTGTGGGCTCTGTGCTAGTTTAGCCACTTTAAAGGGGAACGAACTGAGGTCTCAGTCTGCTAAGCTATTTGCTGAAGCTCACATGGCCAGTAAATGGAAGCAGAGATCCAAATTTCAGCTTGCTTGGCTCCAAAGCCCAAAGCCTATGCTCTTTCCACTCAAAATCTCCCGGTATCCCTCACCAGGAGGCTGATAAAGGAAAAGTGCCGAGTGAGACGTTGGCCAGAGAAATGGGAGCTGAGCTCAAAACATGATGTCTCTTGTCCATTATCACTAGTTTATCCCTGGGCCCTAGCAGGTTGGTGTGATTCAGGACCAAAGCTCAACACCAGGGTTCCCAGGATGCCAAATATACAACATCTGCAATCTTCAGCCATTTATTTTGATATCACTTAATATCACACATACATATGGTTTAAAACCTGTTCAAGATATTTAGCACATTCTGTGTCTTTTTATCTTTAGTGCTTTAATTGCCACAGTATCTTCAAAATTAGTGGGCCGATTCTAGCACTTAGAAGAGAAGCCTGTTTAATGCGTGCCAGTGCTCCGTCTTCTAGAGGTTCTTTACTTTATTCAAATTACTAATCATTTAGAGCATCACTAAAAGCCTTTTTCCCTTGCTCCCCATGCATGCTTAACCTAATTAACTATAAATGAGGAAAATGCTATCCACATTAAAAGGAAATGTTAAACTATAAATTATCCCACTAATTCTGGTGAGGCTAAGGCCTCCTTTAGAAAGCTCAACTGTGGGGCAGAATTTCAGTTTGTGTGCATCCTCTGCCCTACCTCACTAGAATGGGCTGCAGAATCTCCCATTTCTGGTGGATCCCTTTGTCTGTATTTATATTTTCTCAAATTGACTCCCTTTGTGTTTGTTTACATACTCTCAGGAAACTCGAATAATCTATAAAATGCCCCCAGGAGCCCACTGGGGTGGAAATCTATCAAGTGACAATCTAGATTTGTCCCTCAGTGCAGAAAATTCCTCATACACTTCTCCCAGACAGATCCAGCCATAGGAAGCCAACAGTGTCTTGAGAGCCTCAGATCATAGATCCCAAAATATTCTCCCTCTGGCTGACCACATCTGACCGGGCCTTGTGATGGCTTCCTTCTGAGCCACTCCATTAGGGGGGTTGACACAAATAGGGCAACTCTCTTGAAAATTCTTGTTAGAAAGAATACCCATTAACACATTAATCTGAAAGATCAAATTAATTTGTCAAATTATCCTAGATTTGACCTTCGAGAGCTGAGGGCAGGCCTCTGTCAGAACAGAGTATGGAACATGAAATTGGTTATGGAGCCGGACGAGAGGCTGAGAATGTGGATCGTCCTCCGAAGACGCTGTCCAGGGAAGACCTGGAGTGAATCATGGGCCAAGGGTGGAGGCCAAGTTACGGGGACAGAGAGGCGAAGACAAGGGCAGCAGTGCCCACAACAGGAATTCCTACCCTTCAACTTTGTTCATAGTGGTCCCTACTTTTAATATATGTAATGTATTAAGACAGACAATTCTGAGGTTGTAGTAACAAGGGAAATGCAACTGGCACAGACAACCACTGATTCTTTTTTTCATGACTCCCCTATTCGTGCTAACCTTTGTTCTGTGCCAAGTTCATGACAAACCCCAGTTCATTCCTGCAGCAATGGGGGAAACTCTAATCTTTGAGGGTATTGGAAGGCTTCTGCCCTGCAGTCTTGTTGTGGGTTTACGCCTCCAATTCCTACCCTGGGCTCTGTGAGATGGGGAGTAGTAGAGGCTGTGATCAGGCCACTGGGGAATACCCAAGTCCAAGCAGGCTTGACATCCACATGTGCAGTCAATTCTTGATTATCCACACCAATGGTCTGTGACCCAGGCCCAGGTAATCCCAAATAATTGACAATCCAAAAGGAATTTTCTCTTTGGTTTTGGAATATGCTTTGCTTTTTCCAGCTGCAGATCCCCTCTCCCACTTACACTTTCCTTGTCGGATATTAAGAATCATTTATGTTCCTTTAGTTGGGCACTTGGTCTGAGCAATGGCTTGAAGTCAGCTTCATATTGAAAATTTGCCTACTCCATAGACAAATGATTCCCTTGCAGGCAGTTGAATTTGACAGTATCATATATTGCATAAAGAATCATCTGTCCAGGCTAGTGTTGTTAATTCATTCATTCACCCATTCGACACACATGCATTGAGCTCCTACTGTGTTCTAGGACTGCACAATAAATTAGAGCTATGGAGATGAAAGATGGAGCCCCAGCTCTCAAGGGATGTACCTTCTAGTGGGGCTTAATGGAATAGATTTTAGTATTTTCCTCCGGACCTGCACAGACCCACTGCATATTCACTTATTCCCATTTTCAGCTCCTCATCTAACTCCTTTTGTGTCAGGAGTTTCAATATTTTTGGGAAAGTGCTGTAGATGATTGCTGGGTTGGGCAGTGTTTCCCAGAGATGGAAAGAACCCAGGCCACTTTCATTTTTGAGGGTCCAGATATATTAAAAATAGAAGAGATGCCAAAACAGGGGTGCAAATGTGTGGTGGATTTTAAATGTTTACATTTAATAAATTAATATTTTGATACTGCAAAATTATAGTGATCATATAACTGCATTTGGAGAAAATGTCAGAAGTCTAAATTCCAAGCCCTTTATGAACGTGAGATCTGGCTCCTCTCTTTCCCATTCCCTGCTCATGCTCAACCCCTGCCAAGAAAAGCCCTGATTGTGGGAAAGGAAGTCTAAATGGGACTAAATGGGGAGCCATTTTAATGCTCAAAGGAACCTCTACAGACATGAAGCACAGTTGGTCCATGGCTCTGTGCCTTGTGGTCACAGGGAATAGTTCTCAGCAAGGCAGACACATCTTAAGCTCTTTGACTCAAGAGGCATCAAATCAATTTGTTTCTACAAAGTTCTCCCATTCCCATGGCATCAAAAGGACCCTAGCGGAGTGCGTGGCTAACAGCTACCACTCTGTTAAGCCCATCCCTTCTGAGTATCACCATCTTCTTCATTGCCACCTCCACACACCCCAGTATTTACCCTTAGCCCTCTTATTGAAAAGTCCATGGAAGATAAGGAACTTCAGACATGAAAATTGGAGTTAAGGCTCAGAGGTTGCTACTCATCTTATATTTTTATGTTTCTGAACATAAAACAATAAAGAGAGCATACGAAATAAATTTCTGGTGACATTTCACCCACTCAGTTATGATGGATGCTGTATAATTATTTTTATCTTAGTATCCATTGCTTATTAGGAACTTAACAGGAATTCTCTCCCAGAGAAGATCAGTGTAATGTTTGTAAACTTTTTTTTTCAGATAATAGGAACAGGAAGAGGCATTTTCTCTCTGTCTCTTTCCTCTTCCTAAATGTTCTGTGTTTGTTCGTGTTTGAAATCAGAAATATTAACTCCCACAACCAAGACCCTGGGTCCCCTGTGGTCTAGAAACACAGACTAGTTAAGGAGTGTAAGTTGGAAAAGGCCTTGGGATGCTTTCATGACTAATTTGGTTTATTTGAAATATCTGTCTAGGAGCCAGGATTACAGCTTCAGCTCTGCCTGTGGCCCTATTAATACACAGCTTAGCTCTTTGCTTCCTGGAAGAATCAGGCATCTTGTTCTTTTTTCAACTTCCTTCAGAGTGTCTCATGCTTCATTGCAAAACATCTACTCTTCCTTTGCCTGATACTTTAGTCTTTATTTCTGCTCCCAATGCCTAATTTCTTTATTTTTCTAGTTATTTCAAACAGGAGTGATTCACAAGTCATGCAGACTAGAATCGAAATGCTTGTGGTTGCTAACAGGGCATTCAGAACTCAATCCTTTAATACACACATTTCCCACAGGAGAACTTGTGGTTTAGAAGCATTCTCTTGTTCCGTGTGTGTGTGTGTGTGTGTGTGTGTGTGTGTGCGTTTGTGTATGTGTGTATGTGTGTGTGTGTATGTGTGTGGTTAAAGGTTTGTAGGTCGAATAGTCAGAACAGGAGGTTGGAAGCCACAAAAAGAACAAAAGGAATGGACTTGTGCTTGTGAAGGAGCAGGTGAGAGGAGAAGGCCTCATTAGTCCCTACAGTGGGGAGAGATGAAGTTAGTGCAAACTTTTGTGAAGTCAGACTCATTTTACACAGAATGTGACGATTTGCCGTCCATTGAGAGAAAAACTCATGGTTTAAATGAAAGCTAACATTTAGCAAGCATTTATTGTGGCAGGCACTGCATAAGTGCTTTACATAAATGCATCTCACTCAATCTTTCTCAACATCTCTCTGAATGGAACCTGTAAAAATCCCTATTTTACAAAGCCACGAAGTAGAGAGGGTAAGAATTGACCTTGGGTCTGTACGACTCTAGAGTCTGAGGGCTTGACCATCACCATGACACAAAACACATGCTTAGGAGCTACTCTCAGAGCAGAGGTCATCCCTGTCTTTGTATTGACTGGGAGAGGGAAAGCAGGACTAGTGCTGTAGTCTGTTCCAGGTCCATACTGCTGGGTAACACACTGCTATAAAACCTACCACTTTATAGTATCTCACGATTGTGTGGCTCAGAAATTTAGGCAGGGCTCAGCTGGCAATTCCACTTCTAGTAGCTTTGACGTAGGTCACTCACTGGTATTCAGCAGGTGGATGGGCTGGTCTAGAGGCTCCAAGACAGCTTCAGCTGCACGTCTGCTGCCTGGCAGGCACAGCTGAAATGTTGGGTTCATTTGAGACCATGATCACCGTATGGTGGTCTCAGGCTTTTTGAACGTCTCATATGGCTGCTCAGGACCCCAGAGAGAGTATTCCAAGATTCAGAAACGAGAAGCTTGAGTCCTGGGCCCAGAGCTGGCACAGCCTCACTTCTATAGTATTCTCAAGCTTATTGAAAGGAGAGTCACTCCCCGCTGACCCTCCTCCTATGCTTTCCACATGTTCCCCACCCTCAGGCTCCTGCCCCTACCAGCCCTCTGACACTGCCCTACTTGAGGTCACCAAGGATCTCTTCATCACCAAACTCAAATATCATTTTGCTCCTGTCTGTATCTTACACAATTTCTCAGCAACAGCTGACTTTGCCAATCATTTCTTTCTTGCAACTCTGCTTTCTTGGCCGTTCACACTACCTTCTCCTCCTCTGCTTTGTCTTCCCCCAGGGAGATTTGGCAATGTCCAGAGACATTTTTAGTCATCACAACTGGGGTGCTACTGACATCTAGTGGGTAAAGGTCAGTGTTGTTGTTAAATATCCTATAAGGTACAGGATGGCCCCCACAACAAAAAAATTACCCAGTCCTAAATGCCAGTAGTGCTGAGGTTGAGAAATCCTGCTGTGGTTTTTAAAAAGAGGGTACTGGAGACAGGATGAATCTTGGCACAAAGGAAACTCACTAATGGCAGAGTTTCTGGCCTCCTTGGGGAGTTATCTCTGAAAAGGGACTCCTTTCTGGTAAACAACATGGTGTAATGGAAGGGGAAGGGTTTTGTGGTCAATAGATCTAGGTTTAAATCCTAACTTTCCTAAAGTGGAGGTCATAATTTCTATTTTGTGGAGTTGTCTTGATGAACAAATCAGATAACCTATATAAAGTATACAGTCAGTTCATAAATGGTAGCCCTCCCCCTTAAATCACATGATATAGCAGATGTCATGATATAGCAAGAGGTGGCTGGCACATAATAAGAGCTGAATAAATATTTGCAGGATGAAATATGAATAAACTCATTGCCTTACTCCTTTAAGAAGTTGGTTGCCATGAGAGCTCTCTAGCTAGAAATGATTTATTTTTTTCTGTCCTTTTTGGACCTAAGGTTTAGAGATAAGTTTCACAACTCTGCATCATAGTCTGGCCCCATCAGTATAATAGCTAGTGAGGTTTTATGAGGCCAGGCCATTGGCTTGGCATGCAATCCTCCAATTAGAGGGCATGTGACTGCCCATAATATAAAACAGGAAATATGGATAGCTTTATTCTCTTGTGGACACAGTAAAATTGGCAGAGAAGAATAATAAATTCAGAGACCTATGTGGTATCTCTTGTCCTCAGTATTGATACTAATAGTGAAAAGAAAAGTTTGTATATTTGGGCATGGGGAGTGGTCTCTTCCCCTTTATCTTTTTGGTGTCTATGAACAATGCATCAACCTAACTTTCTGCTGAGATTCAAAGACAGAATTACCATGGAGACCACCTCCTTGGGATTTTCTGTAGTACAAAATCATTGACATTAACATCTCCCTATAACTCCTTGTCTTGTTCTGATTCACCTTCCATATTGTAATCAGGGTAAGCTCTTGGAAACACACACTTTATCATGATACAATCCCCTACTCCCTATTAAATACATTTCAAAACATGTCATACAAGCCCCCATGTGGTCAGGCCTTTCCATCCTTTGCTTCAGACTTCAACTTACCTCCCTACATCAAAGCCCCTTCACAGAGCTGTGTCTCTCTCCTTCACGGTCCTTGGCAAAGCTATACAATGGTTCATTTGTTAGTGTCCTTCTTTGATTAGCATCAGTCTCTCTCTCGTAAACTCTTTGCTCCATGACAGCTGGGATTGTGTATCTTTTAGCTTTCATAGTATCCCCAGAGCCTGGCACATCCCCTGAGCCTGGCTCAGTCAAGTCTTCCTAAATAAATGAATATTTAAACAGAATAGATGATATCATTAGTAAACATTACTTTCCTACTTCAGCCTAGGACCTAACCAAAACCCACTTTTTTTTCTTCCAACTTTTATTTTAGGGTTGGGGGCTACCTGGTGCAGGTTTGTTACATGAGTAAATTACATGCCACTGGGGTTTGGTCTACAAATGATTTCATCACCCAGGTAGTGAACATAGTACCTTATAGGTTGTTCTTCCATCCTCACCCTCCTCCCACTCTT
Source organism: Homo sapiens (assembly GCF_000001405.40). Taxonomy (NCBI): domain Eukaryota; kingdom Metazoa; phylum Chordata; class Mammalia; order Primates; family Hominidae; genus Homo; species Homo sapiens. Next base: position 118,063,274 of record NC_000002.12, read on the forward strand.
CACCCTCAAGTAAACCCCTGTGTCTATTGTAGTTCCCCTCTTTGGGTCCATGTACATTTAATGTTAAAATCTACTTTTGTCTAAATATGTGACTACCACTTCTACACCAAGGAAGCTGTGAGATATCAATAGTACAAGTTTACTGATGATGATTACAATGATGATGATGGTAATATCTATGTAATACTAATATACAATTAAATAATAAAATAATTATATAAAACAGTTAAATCTTCATTAATATTTGTTGAGTGCTTGCTCTATGCCAGATACTATACTAGGCAATGGGGATAAGCTCTTGAGCAAAATCAGACATGGTATTTTTCATGCATTATCTTATTTAATAGGTCTATTAATTAGGCACAATTATTTTCCCATTTTGTAGATGAGAAATTGTGACATTGGAAGCTTAACTAAATTGCTCATGATCATACAGCCCATAAATTGGTGTGATATAGCGGTTATTTGAACCCAGGAGTGACTCCAAAGTTATTAACCATTACATTGTATAATTTTAGAAGAAAAGAGATTAAGTTAGGCCTAAAAGGTAACATCTATTGGCAAGTGCAGCAGATACTAATAGATGCACCAGCATCCTCCATGGACTGGGCATTACTACACACCAGACACTGTTTAACATGTGGAATATATGTTTTCTCTAATCTTCACAGCGATTCTAGTGGTAGGTATTATTATCCTCATTTTACAGGTGAGTCAACAAAGGCTCAAGTAGGAGAAAGAGGCAGGGAACAGGGCAAAGTCAGGTGAGATGCTTGAAAACTTCCCAGCTCTTGAAGTCTTTACGGCATAACTTTTGAATTATATTTTAAAGACAGGAAAACTTTCTGAATTCAGACTCAATAAACCCAGAATTTGTAATATTGAGACACTGAATCATAGACTTTTACAACTGAAAAAGACCTGAGAGATTATCTGGTCTAAGCTCTTCATGGGACTTCGGATTGAGTATAAAATTGGATAAATCTTAGGTAGCTCAAAACTTTTATTTTATTCATATGTTATGATTTGTAGGCCAATCACGACTTGCTATTTTGAACAACCTACTCAATTTGAGTGAATTAGTAGCCATTTCAATCAATTTATAACTACATTTGTATGTAGGAACAGTATAATTCATTATAAATATTTTACATTTGTGATATTAACTAATTCAGATAGGAGTTTACAAACAAGGTTCCTCTTGGTGGAAGAATGAGATATGAATGATATTTTATTATCCAAAGAAGTCTCAGGACCTGAGGCACACATATTCCAGGGTAGAAAAGCACATTCCCCAAGTGAAATAAAAGTCTTCTCTTTCTCTCTCCCTTCCCCCCGTCTCTATTTCTATTTCTTTTATTTCCATGCCACTGCTGCATTGTATTGTCTTGGACAAGTGAGGCTACATTATGTTTTAAAACTTTTGTCCTCTGGTCATCCATAGGACCTAGAATGCTTCCCACTCCCAGGTCATTAAAAAAAAATAACTTGGGTAGAAAAGATTTTGTTATTGGTGAAATTGAAGGCTCACCTGAATTTACTTTAATGGAGAACCCTAACTCCCTAGAGCAAAATGTCTGCAAAGATATCACTGGGAGCTCAGAGGAAAATATTATGTTCTAACCTTTTAAAAATTAATCCAACTATTAAGAGGGATCCCAACTGTATTTCATTCAAGCCATAATCTGAAAGCTATGATGATTAAAGCAAGACAAATGCAGTGTCATAAGCAAATGTCATGCCATAGATTTACCTACCAACAAGACATTGGCATGGTTCAGGTCAGAGGTTAATTAAAGACATCGAAAGGTCATTCTGTGATTAGGTGAAAGCAGGGTTTTAATAGGGCATCAGTCCGACCCACACTGACAGAAGATTTATGCCAGCCGTGATGACATCGCCACGAATCCTGCTGATAACAAGAGCCTCAATATTGGCCTGAACAGAATGATGAATGGAGCACATATCTCCTCACACTTCTCATTACAAGCTCTTTCACTCCTGGTGGCACTTAACAGCATTTATTTACTGAGGTTTGAAGGTGTGGGACAGCAGAACAGGATATCTAATACTTTTAAATGTAGACTTGTGATATAAAAATGAAACAAGAGATAAGATTAGGTCTTTGAATAATTGCACAGCTTTTCTTCCAAGATTATATTCACTAGTACTAACATTATCCCCCCTCCATGTTCTGCCAGTGTGTGAGCAGTTCAAGAAAATTAATTGTCTGAGGCAGAAGGTCAGAGGGAAAAAATTACTGATAAGCATTAACCATGCTATAAAATAGCACCTCACCACATTTTGCCTTCCACAGCCCTCAGCATGTGAAACAAAAGATAATATAAAGAAAAGGATATACATATTTCCCCCTATGCCATATTTAGAGTTGTTAAGTGCTGTTCTTATTTGGATTAGATTAGGTAAAGCATCTAGAAAAAAGCCAAATAAATGAAAAAATAAATAAAAATCAAACAAACAACTTACAATATTCTCAGCTGAAAGCAAATATAAGAGAAACTAAAACCCTGATGAATAACGTTTACTTTTCCACGAAACTCCCTTTCAACATGTTATATATTTATCAAACCACCAGAGTGTAAATTCCATGAATAAGTCCTATCATCTCTCAACCAGTAGACACCATGAAAATTGTAACTACAGAAAATTGTTAGTACTATAAAAGCGTACTTTCTACAGATCTACATATATCTATTTCTGTAATTTCACAATAGAAAATAAAATCATAATCTTTTTGCTTGGGCCACGAACAGGGGCAGGCCAGGATAGGATCCCATCACATCTAACCCCAAGCAATGCTCCCATTTATTCGGAAACAAAGATGAGTCACTCTGACGGAAGTGCTGGAGCTGGTGACCTGCGGCAGGAGAGCTGTGAGAATCTTGTCTTTCCTCTTTTGAGGCAATTGTATTTGTGGATAGAACAAATTTTAGGTGGCTTTACACCAATTAATAATCCAGCCCAGCACATACAACTGCTCGGAGCCATGAAAATGCACATATGCATGTGTCAACCACACACACAACTTTCAGTCCTGCTCCTCGGCACTGAACAAACTAAACAGACATTTTCAGTGGTGGATTTAACCCCACCTTGAGCATATAAAAGCCACTAATAAAGAGGGGGATTTCCTGGTTGACTTTTTGAAAAGAGACTTCTTTCGGCACTTTTAGCTTAGGATTTTCATTTGCCCTGACAAATGTTCATGGGAGAGGTCTAAAGAATAGATAATAAGGCCTTGCAAAGAGCTTCTTGTCCCTTCCAGTCTGATCCATTGGAGGTTTATTTATGTAAGCATCCTCCAGCATTAAGACGACAGGCAGTTGGAGAGCAGTCTTGCCTGGGATGATAGGTCTCAGCCAGGCTACTCATTCCACCAGATGCACGGAGCTGGACCGGGATTCCAAGTGGCCATTAGGAAGATTGGCGTGACGGCCATCAGAAAACTGTATTGATCAATTTTTGCCAGTCCACATTCTGTCTGCTAGTATACATGGAGAGCTTCAGTCTTGTGTGTGGCGAGAGAGGGGATTGTAAATGCTTTGGGGCAGTTGGAATCAGTGTACTGTATAGTTTATGGAAAAAGTACTAAGGTTATATAATTTGTGTAAAAAAAGATAATGTTTCCCCAGCTACCATGGAGAAATACAGTCATGTGTCGCATAACAACATTTTAGTCAGTGATGGGACGTACACACAATGGTGGCCCCGTAATATAATGGAGCTGAAAAATTCCTATGGCTTTGTGGTGTCATAGGCATCTTAATGTTGTGGCACAATGCATTACTCACATGTTTATGTTGATGCTGGTGTAAACAAACCTACTGCACTTCCAATTGTATACAAGTATAGCACACACAATAACATACAGTTATGTTCCGTACATACTTCATAATGATAATAAATGAACATGTTACTGCTTTACTGTATTTTTGTCATTTTACTTGTACTCTTCAACTTATATTTTAAAAAGTTAACTGTAAAACAGCCTCAGATAGGTTATTCCAGAAGAAGGCATTGTTATCCTAGGAGATGACAGCTCCACGCATGTTACTGTCCCTAAAGACCTTCTAGTGGAACAAGATGTGGAGGTGGAAGACAGTGATATTTAGGACCCTGACCTTGTGTAAGCCTAGGTTGGTGTGTGTGTTTGTGTCTTAGATCTTAACAAACAAATTTAAAAAGTTAAAAAATATTTAAGAATAGAAAAAAGCTTATAGAATAAGGATATACAATTTCTTGTACATTTATACTCTTTAAAGCTAAGTGTTATTACAAAAGAGTCAAAAAGCTTAAAAAGAAGTTCAGAAAGTTAAAAAGTTACAGTAAACTAAAGTTAACATACTATCGAAGAATTAAAAAATAAATTTAATGAAGCTTCAGTGTACAGTGTTTATGAAGTCTACAGTATGTACGGTAATGCCATAGGCCTTCTCATTCACTCACCACGCACTCTTACTCACCCATAGCAGCTTCCAGTCCTGCAAACTCCATTCATGGTAAGTGCCCTACAGAGGTGTGCCACTTTAAATCTTTTGCACTGTATTCTTGCTGTACCTTTTCTATGTTTCGATATGCTTAGGTACACAAATAGTTACCATTGTGCTACGATTGCTTACAGTATTCAGTACAGTAACACACTATACAGGTTTACAGCCCCGGAGCAATAGGCTATCCCATACAGCCTAGGTGTGTAGGAGGCTGTGTCATCTAGGTTTGTGTATGTACACTCTATGATGGTCACACAATGATGAAATTGCCTAATGATGTGTTTCTCAGAACATATCCCCATGGTTAAGTGATGTGTGGTTGTAAGTTGCCACCCCTTTGAGGTTTATCTTATTTTCAGAGAAAATTTGAAGCTAACCAACGTAAACAGCTTGTGTACACTTCCCATCTCAAACCACTAGACTGAAGTGGTATGAAAACAACATGACATATTTTACTTTCTCCTTGTTGGCACCAGGAATAAGCATTCTTTTGCAGGGAATTTTGGGTTAATTGTGCTTTAAAAAATCAATTAGCTAGCTTATTGATAACCTATTCTGTGCTAGATACTACAAAGGACTCAAAAAGTACAAATCATAGCCCTGCTCTTAGTGGGCTTGAAACTCATTGAGAAGACCTGTGGAAACACTGAAGTATATGTATCAATAAGAAGCAAGGCTGCATGTGATTATTAGAGAAATGGTATAGACCAGAGTTCAGCAAGTTTTCTTTGTAAATGACCGATAGTAAATATGTTTGCTTGCATGTTGTATGTTCTGTCTTAGCTACTCAATTCTGCCATTGTCACAAGAAAGCTGCCACAGATAGTATGTACATGAACGGGCATGGCTGTGTTATAATAAAATTGTATTTATAAAAATAGGTGGTAGGCTGAATTTGGCCAGAGGACCATACTTCCTGAACTCTGTATCCATGTTAAATACTATGAATATTCAGGAAAATGAGGACGACATGTTACAGTGGGTGGAAAGGGAAGTCTTCATGCAGTAGCAGGGGATTGAAGACTATGTAGGAATTAGCGTAAAGAGGAGACATTGTTGATGGGAGCACAGTGTAAACAAAAGCTACATGTTCTAGGAAGGCTCCATGTAGTGATTAGCTGGAGTAAAAATGGAAAAAGTGGGCCTCTCCGTGAAAGCCACCCAAGAAGGAAGGGCATTCCACTTCTGTTAGACAACTGCCCAGAAATTATGTGTGTAAGTCAGGTCCTCAGCTGTATTTTCCTAAAACCATGGTGCCCTGGTTAGGTCCTTTTGCCTTTCCACCTGGCTGTTTTTCTAGCCTATCTCTTTCTGCAGCATTGGCATTTCCGGCTCCAGAATATAGAGATGCCAGCCCACAGGAGGGATGACTTAAAGTTTTATGAGTATTTGGGAGTGTTTCTTTGTGATGTTTTCTCCATATTGTCAGGAGCTTGGTCACCAATCCAAGTGATCAAGGTAATTCTGAATGTCTGTGTCTCTGATGACAAGAGCTCCCAGTTTAAGCCAAACCCTTAAGTCAAATTGGCAGCATTTCTCAAAGTATATCAATAGAATACTAGTTTGCCCAGATGATCCCAGGAAAGAGGGTTCTTTGGTGCAAACCATGCTTCCTCTTGAAGATTGACAAGGTACACTGCTACATTAAAGGGCATGAGAAATCCTTTTGCAAAGACATCTTTTTAACTTGTACAACTATAACTTTTCCCAACATTTGACCACAGAACCCTCTTCCATGTAGTGTCTATGAACATCTCATAGAACTTAATTTGGAAAACAACAATTCAGGGAAGCAGATGTGGAAATAAATATTGGTAACAGTTACTAGTCATGGCTTCAAGTTAACATGAAACACACATGCACAGAGACACACATGCACAGGGGCACACACAGAGGTGAGAGAATGAGAGGGATTTAAAAACTCCAGTGACTCTTGAGGGATATAAGCAAAGGGTAGAATTGAGCCTTCTTATTTATTGTAGCTACTTTAAAAGTCTATCCACTCCTCATCCCCAATGTGCCAAGCAATTGTGGGTGAACAGGAGTACTAAAATGCTGACATATGATAGCAAAAAATGGAGAGCAGAGTATTTAAACTTATTTTCTTCTTTTTTCCTTCTTGTTGATGTTAAACTTCTGGCTTTGTTTCCTTTTTTCATATCTGTCTGGAGCCTTTGTTTGACTGAAAACATGAAAATGATTGTCATCTTGAGCTATTCTTGGCAGGCAGGACTAAGCTTAGAGGGAAAACAAATGTATGATTAGCAAGTACATCAATATCCCAATCCAGGGCTAACTCCCCTCATCTGTAGAGCGGAGAAAGAGCTGTGCAGAGGAGCAAAGCAACCATGAATTTCATTGAAGCATCTGGAGAACTCACTGGGAGATTCTGTGAAATTTGCTGCAAACAAGTCAGACATTATAATCTAATTAAACATAATCATATGTCGAAGAGGCTCTAGGTAGCATCTCATAGAATTTTCTTTTCCTTCTTCTGTATGCTTTCGGGACATCCTAATTTTTATGCACTGCATTGTTCTCTAGTTCTGTCGACTTGTTCGCCTAGTATTTATTAAGGACCTACTAGATAACAAGCACTGGCAAATTAATGAAGGATACGACATGATCCCTGCCTTGGAGAAGCTGATAATCCAGATGGGGAGAGAGACACAGAAACCAACAAATGTAATCAAGTGTTATAAACGTTACGTGGATATCTGCATAGGGATAGGACAATCCAAAAGAGACAGTTGTCAGTTCTACCTGAAATGACAGGAGAAGTTTCATGCAGGGATAACTGTAGAACAGAATCTGGAAAAATGAGCAAGTGTGAAACAACAAGCAACCTATACCAAACAGATCCTTGCATCCTCCAGAAATATTTTGCTGGTTGGTTCCACGCACATTCGGATGATCAGAACATTCTTGAACCCATTCCATTCCTATAACACCTTGTAATTGAGAATACTGTAGCACCAGGGATCTTTAAAGTGCTTTATGTGAACCCTAGGGTGGGGGGTGTTCAAGAAGATCCACTAGACTGGGGAAAAAATGCCAAAACTTTAAAACTTTTATCTTATCTTTATGAAACATCTATTTTTGAGATTGTTTCATAATGTGCATATAGCAAAATAGTACATGTTTATAACTTATAAATAAATATACCTATTGACGGTGCATAGTGTATTTTTTTTAACTAATGGAGCGCATGATCAAAAAACTTGTAGACCATCAGTATTCATTATTCACCTATGAAGTGATTGCATGCTGAAGTTTTAGGTGGACATGGAGTTTTGAGAACACTCTTCAGCTCAAACCAATTTAAGTATATATGATTATCATTATTATAATTTTAGAGACAGGGTCTTACTCTGTCACTCAAGCTGGAGGAAAGTGGCACAATCATAGTTCACTGTGGCCTCAAACGCTAGGGCTTAAGTGAGCCTCACTCCTCAGCCTCTAAGTAGCTGTGACTACAGGCGCACACCACCATGCCCAGCTAATTTTTAAATTCTTTGTAGAAGTGGGGGTCTCATTATTTTGCCCAGGATTGTCTCGAACTCCTGACCTCAAGTGATCCTCCCACCTTGGCTTCCCAAAGTGCTGGGATTACAAGTGTGAGCCACTGTACCCAGCCCTAAATCTGTATTATTGATATGCAAAATGCTATATTAAGTTGAAAATGCATTAAATAGCAGTATGCCTGGTGTGGTTCCATTTTTGTATTAAAAAGTGTATGTTAATATTTGTGTATACATACATAGAAAAATGTCTGGAAGAGCATACACCAAAATGCTAATGATTATCTCTGTGTGGCAGGATTATGAGTGACTTGTTTTTCTCTCTATTCTTTGCCATACAGTCTGAATGTTTTGCTATAAAGAGAAAATTTAAAAAAAATTCTAATTCCTTTTTTTTTGAAACAACTCCATTTTTGGCTCAACATTTCCCTAACATTTTAATGATGAATTATGAATCCTTATATCATTGTAAGTATCATTAATACTTTTGATGCTTGCAGAAAATCACTTGGGGAAAAAATGGTTAGAAACGATTTTCCTTTATGTTTGTAAGATAGCACTTCATCAGCTATGTCTTTTGTCACTATGTGTATCCCTCTGTCCCCCAATTAACTACAAAAAGTCCCTAAGTCCAATTTTTAACTTCTTGGTTATGGTTGTACATCTTTTTCCTCAAAAGAATCTTTAGATATCAGGCAAAAGATTTTAAAAGCATTTTACAGTGTGAATCAATATCTCTTTAATTTTTCCACATGCAAAAACTTCATCTTCTCACTAATATTGTGACCCAAGGAAAAGATTGTCTTAGATTTCTTTGCCTTCCTACTGTGGCAACCTAGCTCTGAATAGAAATCAGCTAAAAAAAAGTGGTTATCTGAATGACCAATCTCTATATATAAAGATACCTTTTAAAAATAAATGTTTGGGCCAGGTGTGATGGCTCACACCTGTAATCCCAGCACTTTGAGAGGCTGAGGCGGGTAGATCACTGGAGGTCAGGAGTTCATGATCAGCCTGACCAACATGGCGAAACCCTGTCTCTACCAAAAATACAAAAATTAGCCAGGCGTGGTGGCACATGCCTGTAATCTCAGCTACTCGGGAGACTGAGGCAAGAGAAGCACTTGAACCCAGGAGGCGGAGGTTGCAGTGAGCTGAGATCACACCATTGCACAACAGCTTGGGCGACAGAGCGAAACTCCATCTCAAAAAATAAATAATTAAATAAATAATGTTGGGTTTCCATAATTATCTAATGTTTCATGAGAAATGGAAAGGTTTTCCCTAGTATATATGTCTTTTATTTGCCGCAAATCTGTTTTTCTCAACATCTTAGTCGTTGATATGATACAGTCAGCTATTTGGATGGAATTATCTCTCTACTTGCTATTTCTATGTTAGAGTTCCAATCCCTAGGAGTATTTAGACTATTTTTGTCACTACCTTTGCAATTTTAGTTTCATGTTTTGCAACATGAAAAACTTTGGAGACTCTTAAAATTAAGATTAACGCTGAGAATATTAACAGATGTATATACAAAATCTGCTATGAGTCCCCTACCAGGCTGAGAACTCTTCGAAGGCACAAACTGGATTTCTTTCCTTACTATAACCCATATGTAGCACCTTACTGTGTAGATATTTGCCATTTTTTACTCCCCTGCATAGCTGCAGATTTTTTAATAGGCCCTTGAGCCCTCTACACAGTTGACCCTGGAATGACACAGGTTTGAACTATGCCGGTCCACTTATATGCAAATTTTCCTCTCCCTCTGACACTCCTGACACAGTAAGACCAACCCCTTTTCTTTCTCCTCTTCCTCAGCCTCAACAATGTAGGATGAGGAGGATGAAGTCCTTTATAATGATCCACTTCCACTTAATGAATAGTAAATATATTTTCTCTTCTTTGCAATTAATATCATTTTTTTCTCTAGTTTACTTTATTGTAAGAATAAAATATATAATACATATATAAAATATGTGCTAAACAACTGTTTAATGTTATAAGTAAGGCTTCTGGTCAACAGTAAGCTATTGTAATAGTAGTTAAGTTTTGAGAGAATCAAAAGTTATGCATGGATTTTTGACTATGCGGGGAGCTGGTGCCCTTAACCCTGCATTGTGCAATGGTCACCTGCATTTGTTTTTTGTGTGTGGGGAGAGGAAGGCTAATATCTCCTACTGAACCATCTTGGTGATGTCACTGCTCTGTACCTAGCACCATATCTGGCCCACGGCGCTCACTGAATGTACTTGCTAATGTGACTTCTAAGACTCTAGACCTCTCAACAGCCTTATTAGACTGAAATTCTGAATATTCCTTTCCCATCAGGGATGAGCAGTGACAGTACCTGGCTGAGGCCAAGGAGAAAGAGGGCCAGGAATTTCTTCTTACCCTGCTTTTGAGCATGCAAACTCTCCCTTGGGATATAAAGCATGCAAGTGTCTTGTCCCTCAGCTCTGGACACACTTACCTCTAGCCTGTGATTTAGGGATGCAAGAAGATAAGCAGTGGGAAAAGGAATTTCTCTAGTGAGTATGAAAAGAATTAAAGATCAAGAATATATTGCCAGCTCCCTATGTATCCCACCCACCTCAGTCATCAGCCAGACACAGCATGTGAAACAATCCCTCTGCCTCTGCACCTCTAAGCCCTGCCATACATATTCTCTAAAGGGACACCATGTTTGAACACCATGTGTGGCTCCTGGGGTGAGCAAACCCATGACACACATGCTCAGACAATGTCCATGAGCTCCACCAACCTCTAGGAAGAGTGTGGTGATGGACTGTGCTCACATATTATTTGGTGAGTGTGTGGTGAGGGGGTGGTTGGGGATAGCCAGGGCCAAATAGGCTCAGTGTTTCAGGAGAGGCAAGCACAAATACTGGATCCCATTATTTCCTGGAGAGACTGTGAGGACCCCAGAAGAACTTTGGTTTACACAGTGGGGGCAGCTGTTGCCTCAATGCCAATGGTAATTTCTTCAGTGGAGATAGTGAGACAGAGTCCTAATTGTAGAGGGAATTCTCCATCCCTTTCTCAGACTACATAAAAGATACAGTGCCAAAGCCTGCTGGCTGTTATCATTGTGTGACTGCTGGCATGCCTGAACTTGGTATTGTTTTAGCAATTATCTCTCAGAGAAAGGAGGTAACATTTGTTAAGAGAGGAGAACAGATTACCCGGTGGCTTCATTTAGAACAGTCTTCCAGATAATATCAGAAGTAGAGCACGCCTTCTTGCTAGAATATGAAAGAAAAGAAAGCAGCTGAATCAATTGGGAAGCTGAATAACTGAACAACATCCCATATAATTACTGGAGCAGCAAAGAAATGCCTATGTTAGTTATTTGCAACACTTCTTGCTTCAAAAAAAGAGAAGCTTAAAAACATCAATAAAGACAGATGTAAAATCTCTGTTTCAAGACTCCCAGTTGACACTGATAGATTCCTACTGAAAAAAAAGATGTTTCCAAAAAGTAAAATAAAATCTTACTGCAAATATAGTAAAATTGCAAAGGAGGGGAGAAAAGTAGCCTCAGATCTGTGAGAAATGTCAATCTGCAAAGTCCATTATCCAAAGACCTTGTACATCAATACTAGATTTGAATTATGGAGCTGAGTTGCGCCTTCATTTAGACGGTGTTTCCCCAAGTAGCCAGATAATATCAATATCTTGCATTTATATGATGATCATCTTCCCAGATGGCTTCATTAAATTGTATGTTTTATGAGACCCACTTTCTGAAATGTGGTCATCTCTGAATGAGAATGATGCTCCTGGGTAACTTGGGGCAAGGGAAAAATCGTGTTTTGCATTTATGCTGTCTTTCTATCAGTGATCATAAAAATCTTCAGTTAGCAAGCATTTCCTGAGCATCTGCATGGGCAGAGCCCGAGACGAGGCTCTGTGTGGTAACATACAGAAGATTAAAAGGTGTGGTCCCAACCCTCCAATACCTCAGTCTCCATTAAGAACAATTTTTCTGTTTCACAAATGTGAAAACTTGTGGCCAGACAAGTTTAGAGAATTGGAGAAGATGATGTAGTAAATTTGTTCCAGAGATAGGAGCCCTCATTTCTAGGATTGGGTCTACATGGTTTTGAGAATAACATCTAAAAATATTTAAAATATGTCAAACCTGCATTTAAGTGTTAACACTTTGGTTTTTGTTAAGGGAGAAAAGACTAGTTCCCAATTAGGAAAATGAAAAAGGGTCTGTTACGTTGTCAATATGAATTTGTAAATATTTCTAAATATCTAAGTCTTGTGGTAATTGTAGTGGAGGGACAAAAGGAGGGCAGGCTTCCAACTCTGAAGAATTTGGCTGATTTTAGAAGTAAAATCATTGCTGATATGTGGTAATTTCAAAGAAATAAGAAGTCTCCCTTGTGCCTTGAATGAAGATTCACTTTGTTGGCTTATTTCTTCCTACCTTGTAAAATTGCTAGTACTCTAGGAGAAGTCCCACATTCAGCCAACCCAGAAAAATGTCTGGCACACAGCAAACACTCCATGAACAATTATGAGGAATTCACGCTGTGTAGATGAGTTTCTCATAGCCTTTCCTAAGAACCTAGATTTTAATGGGTTTGGAAGTAGGGTGGGGTGGGGAGAGGTCAGAGGTAATAGGTGCCAAGGAAGGAAAGAAGAAATAAACAAGAGTGAAAAGGATAGCCTAGGGGATGGGGAAAACTTGTCTTTTTAATCTTGTTTAGGGACCATGGTGTGCAATGTACTGTATATCTAGAGATACGGAGATATAAGACTAGTATACTTAAAATACCTGCAAGCTCAGAGATTAGAAATCCCAACTCTAATTCTGATCGATTTGGGATTTGGGGCAAGTCACTTCACTATACCTGGGCTACAGATATTCCATCTGTTAAGGATATAGACTAGATAATCTCTAAGATCAATTTCTGTTACATAGGATTCTGTTATTCTAGCTATATGAGAATATCGGAGCATTTGAAACAGGAAGTAGACGAGTTGTTCTGATGCTTACTTATCTAGATGGAGAGAAGAGACAACATTAAAATCCAAAGGCTAATGATCCTTTCTTAATGTAAGTCTAGTCTACCAATCAAAATATATTGGATTCTATACTGTCAACCATAAAAGACCTCAGCCAACTTCGGATGAATTTGGGTAATGGAAGATTCATCTCTGTTCTAAAATTCTATACTTTTTTTCCTTCTTAAATTAGAATTTTTTTAAAGAAATGTCTAACTTGTGGCTCTATCAGTTGGTAATAAAGCTTTTAAATGTTTACTTAAAAATTAAACGTTATCTCCAAAATATTCTACATTTCAAAAACCTTTCCCACGAAATAAAAATGCTAGATTATGTATTAAAATTACAGGTGCTGCAGGAATTCAGAAAGTAGAAAGATCCTTGTGGTCAATAGGTAACCAAGAAAACCTTCAAAGTAAAAATGAGGTTCAAAGTTGGGCCCTGAGGGAATTTAAGACTGGGATTTTTGGAGAAGGGGGCTTTCCAGATTTAAGAGGATCTTCCAAAGAGCAGGGCTTTCCAAATGCACACAGATGAACTATTCTGCTTGAGGATGAAGTTTTCACTGCTCCATGACTACTAACAAAACTAAAGGGCAATGTAGTCAGTATGTCCAATAACTAAATCAAAGCAATTAAAGGACTACCCCTTATTCTGAGACAGTGTCCTTCCTTGTTTTAGTGTTAAAACATCCTTTTATAAATGATAGTGGTAGTAGATAATAGTTGTTTTCTTCTTATTATTTTTTTAGACGGTGTCTCTCTGTCGCCCAGGCTGGAGGACAGTAGAGTGAAAGTGCAACCTCCGCCTCCCGGATTCAAGCAATTCTCCTGCCTCAGCCTCCCAAGTAGCTGGGATTACAGGCGCCTGCCACCATGCCCAGCTAATTTTTGTATTTTTAGTAAAGATGGGGTTTCACCATGTTGGTCAGGATGCTTTGAACTCTGACCTCAAGTGATCTGCCTGCCTCGGCCTCCCGAAGTGCTAGGAGTACAGGCGTGAGCCAGATGTTTTCATTTTGAAGTGATGGCATCAAATTTGTCTTCCATATGATGGTCTCTCTTGTTCTCTCTTTCTCTTCCTTTGAGATTTTGCTGGCCAATGAAATCTAAAGATCTGTGGACTACCAGGTAGGCGAGTATTTCTAAAATGTTTCCTTCATTGTAGCCTTTATCCATGTACACCAAGAAGTCAAGCACAGCTTTCTAGCAAGAGAAAGAACCATTTAATTTTAGAATTTTGTTTTGCTGTTCTTGTGATACTGTCATGGTAGTAAATGCTGGTCAGGCTTAGCTGTGATGTTGATAGAGTCAAGCTTAATATGCCAGACCTAGGATGTGTTTCAGGCCTTTCGGTGATATAGCATCCTAGAAAACAACATCTGCTCCGTTTTCAACTTTTACTTGGTTTCCAACCTACATTCCACGTTGGCAGCAGATCAGCTGCTAAACTGTTTACCAAAGTCCTTGCTTTGTAGAGATTAAATAAACGATTTCATAATTCTCTCTCATTCCATTGATGTAGAGTGACTAGATCATTAGATTTGCAGTATAAGCATGCCAAGTTTCTTTCTCAGAAGCCAATCTTGGGCATTCAAAGTACTGCTTGCCTCCTGGACACAGGGTATTCCCGCCCCTCTAAGCCACCAGGTATATACTCGTTTCCCTCTGGAGGAAACTATGAGGACACAGTGTTTTAGAACAAAACGTTATGGTCTTCCATTTCCACAGTTGCCCTTCTATCTCCTGGTCTCTTACTAAGGAGTACAGGGGAACTTTTCATTATGGTAATAGGGCTTGTGCTCTGAGAAGAGATAATGAGCTTTCTATATTTTTAATTGGCAAATTGTATATGCGTTTTTATTAGCTCACTATGATCGCTGAGCTGATATGGGGAAAAAAATGGAAACACAAACTCTGATTACATTTATTTCAACCGAGAGATGAAGGAAACAAAGGTCCAGATTGGGTACTAACTGGCTCAAGGTCACCTAGCTAGTTAGCTGAAGTACAAGGACTTGAAGTTGATCTAATGTTCTCTCTCCTACCTCCCTCCAATACCCCATCGGAATTGAAATCATTGCAATAGCCACTGCCAAGTACTTAACAATGGATATTTGATCGTGGTCCTTTAGGTCTGTACCAGGGTGGTTTTCAGTTTTTTACTTCATCAGCACAGGAAGGCAAGGACATCGCACTGACTCTCATATTTCATCCTTAGCTCTCGATTCCCTTGGTTTTACATTTCTGACTCTTCCTTCAGTTTCTTGTAGGGCTTTATGATTTAATTTAATTTCAGCTTATGGCTGGCTTTGGTACCCAGAAGAGTGGTAATTTGTCCTTTAAATTATTCACCCAGGGGAGTCGGTGTTCTTAGAAAACGAGGCGGGGAGAACCTATAAGCTTCATCCCAGCAGAGGGACATATGACACACACTGATGCCTCACTCACTTGTTCTTCTCCCACAATACCTTATCTCCCATGTTCAGCCTTGGTTCCTATAATACCTTGTATTTCTGCAGAGCTTTTCACATTAACAAATAAAGCAATTTACAGCATATTTATACACTGACTAGTGACTAATTATACACCTGCAAGCACTGCAATCATTCCAGACAAGCAACATTCCTCTACATTAGCTTCCCTGTAGGAAGGTGTCTTAGAGCTATTTGCAGAGAGAATTTGGGGCAACAGTCAGTCTCGGCTCTGACACTCAATTGTTGAATGTGGGGGCAGTTATATAATCTAGGATGCACCTCTAGACATTTTAGCTCGGAGCTGAGCTAGGGGCTAGAAAGATTACGAAAGAAAAGAAAGAGTGGATGAATCTGACCCTAGTAGAACTCACTAAAATTGTTGATAAAACCAGGCAAGGCCAGGCACAGTGGCTCACGCATTTAATCCCAGCACTTTGGGAGGCCGAGGCGGGCAGATAATGAGGTCAGGAGATCGAGACCATCCTAGCCAACATGGTGAAATCCCATCTCTACTAATAATACAAAAATTAGCTAGGAGTGGTATCATGTGCCTGTAGTTCTAGCTACTTGGGAGGCCGAGGCAGGAGAATTGCTTGAACCAGGGAGTCAGAGGTTGCAGTGAGCCAAGATTGCACCACTGCACTCCAGCCTGGTGACAGAGCGAGACTCCGTCTAAAACACAAACAAAAAACCAAAAACCAGGCAGAAACATATGCAACAACTCACAAAGAAAACGACATTACAAAATCACCTGCCAGGGTGTTTGGTATGTTTTAGGTGGAACTGAAGCACGGAATGGAGGAGACTATTGCAGTTGTCAATTAAAAAGATAAGAGATGAATATTGGTAAGAGCTACCATTTAATGAGTGCCTACTATGTATTTATATTTCCTCAATACCACTGTCATTTAATCCCCTCATAATCTCCAATTATCACATAAAATTAATTGAAGTTCAAAGATGTAAAATAATGTTCTCAAGATTAAACAGATATTAAGGGAGAGCAGGAATTAAAACCCAGGTCTGTCTGACTCTTAACCACTCCATTATACCCTCTTCAGCCTAAGAAAGGGATGGCAAGCATTAACAAGATGCGAATATCTAGTGTGTAAAAGTGGATTGTACAGAGAGAATAAGAAAAGGATTAGTAGAATCCATTTAAAGGGGTGCTAAGAAAAGAAATTAAATATTTTCAAAGTTTAAGTTTTGGCAATACAGTGGGGTGGAAGCAATGGAGGAGCTCCTAAGAAACTAATATGGGCTCAGAGGATGTTCTCTGATGAATTTAAACAGAAAATAGACAAGTAATCACATTTAAAGATAAAGTAGCAATATAAGCCTGTAAGAATATTAGATGCTAATGTCCAGAATGTAAGTGAGCTATATGAAGAATGCTAAGTTAGTAAAAGGAAGCCTACACTTCTACGGAGAAGGGAGAACAAGTAACAAATATCTTTACTGCATGGAGCCTAGGCTCTGTTTGTTGGGCTCTGCTAATCCTAGTGTGGAGGCTTTAAAACTTGTCCGCAAATGTTCTCACTCTCCTCTCACTGAAAGGTGGAGTCCAGATCTCCTCTTTTCTCCTCTCTGGGATAATCTCAGTGACTGGTTGGCCAACACAGTATGGCAGAAGTGCCCATGTGTAACTTAAGAGGTGATACAGCTGCTACCTGGTTTGATACAAAGCAATGAATAACTGAAACACCTGGTGAGAATGTCAGAGCAGAGAAAAGCACACATTTGCTGATGTGAGGCATTTACTCCTGGGAGACCGAAGAACAAATTCAAAGTGTGATAAGTATCAGGTCTAAGGAGTGAAGTAAGGATGAAAGATGAAAGTAAGTATTAAGGTCAGGCTGGAAACAGGTTAGGCTGTGGAGTGCAAGCATTCATGACTGCACACTACAAACAATACCAGTGTAATTGGGTCAGGACTGATGTGATGAGCCATACAGGGCGCATTTTTATGTGTGACACAGAAATATTCCCAAGGTCAAAGGAGCCTGGTAGTCCTAGACACTCACAATGTTAACAGATAACAGGAGGAAAGGAGAACTCCCTAACCGCTTTAATTCCTATTTTCTCTCCAGATGAACAATTGTCACATAGAGAAGGGCAACATTAACACTGGTTTTTAAAAAATAAGGTAGGTGAGGAATCTATAAGTAAGCACTGGCTACTGAAGCTGTGTGTAAGTCTCACAACCTAGATGAGTTACGTTTCTCAGACACTAAAAGAACTTTAGGATAAAACAGAACTCCTGTCAATCATCATGAAGAATCTTGAGAATTAGGGAATCCTGAAAATGGGTAAATGTCTTCTTCTAAAAACAGAGGTGAATCCTGTGAATGCTAGGTAGGTGGGCATCAGATCTGGGTTATCTTTCAGAACAAATCCTCAAAGAGATGATTTATAAGCCTCAGCAAAGGAGTCAGCATGAGTTAATGAAGATGAAGTGGTTAACCTGAATTTCTATATGAATTTACCAATCTCTAATGACATGATTCTGAATACGAGCTGGGCACATAGTGAGAATGGCTGTAGGCAAATAATGATTTCTGATGAATGGATTTATGTTAACCAAAAGGCACACCTCCAGAGTCCACCACAGGCCCCTGTCCTTAGTGTTGCATTATCGAAAATGTTTATTACAAATAAGGTTCTGATGGCAGGATGGCGTGCTGACGCAGGTTGCAATGCGCACTATTATACTGAATGCTGGAATCTGTACCAAAAGTATCTTGATAGGTAGTAACTATGGACATGTTTTAAAAAGGAGAAATTCAACAGGGAAGCCCTTTTGTTTAGGACCTAGCCTTCACTCCCAATAGAAAAAAAAATCCAAATGCCCCCAAAGTTTTACCCCAACAATAAAAGAACAGGATAGAAAGAATATGGTTTGTGCGCATGGAAAGGATTTAAGAGTTGTCTAAATTTAACAGCTCTATACAACTTAATAGTGGGATGTGGCCGACAAAAATGCTACTGTGATGGGATGTTATGTTAAAAGAAGTATATAGAACAAAAGATGTGATGGTGCAGCTCTGGTGTTTGTTCTGAAAGTGGTCCTGTGAAGGGATAGTGACAGACTGAAGCATATCCAGAAGAAAGCAACTACTATGGTTAAGGGATGGAGAACAAGTCATATGGAAAATGACTAAAGAAATTGGGTATATTTAGACATGACAAGGATCTTCGGGGAGCATGGAGCAGGAAGCAGATTTAACAATTTAAAGGCTGGCACACAGAATTGAGTGGCAATGTGTGGGAGCCATAAAGAAGCTGGAGAGACTTGAACCCTAGGAAAAACTCTCTTGTACCTGGACCTATGCAAAGATAAAAGCAGTTTCCTCAAGAGGTGAGGAATTCCCAAACTGAAGGCATTCAACAGACATAGGAAGGTCATTTGTCAAAGATAATATTAAAGCGAATAAGAATAAATCTGCAAAACTATGACCTTTTACCACTACTTTATCACACTTACTCCTTACAACAGGAGGCACTTGTATGATGAAGAAATTGAAGAACAGAGAAATAACTTGTCCAAGAATATGCAGCTGGTAGTGGAGAGCACAGCCTGCAAGGCAGATATGCCTTATTCTAAACAGTGCACATGCCCCAGGCTTCCTCAAATAAAACTGAGCTCTTATTTCCAGGAGAGGACACTGGATCAATCTCCAAAAGGAGAAATGGGATCCACTGAAGCTAGAGTAGCTAATACATCCTCTGAGAATATTAAACATCACCAGGAGTCTTCAGGCCATTGATGAGCTACACATACTGTTTCTCAGTTTGGAATGGCTTTTCTGATGATGGTTCTATTACAGCTCAATACCAAAATTAATTTTATAAATCTAAGATCTGCTTCTTAAAGTTCTTTCAGTTTTCTCCAATCATTACCAAAGTATTAATTCCTAGCCTTTAAAAAAAGTAATGCTTCTCAAATTCCAAGAGTATTAAATTTAAAATCATTTCACATAATTTCTTTACTTTGATGGGAAATTCTTTTGATGGTTTTTGGTTTTGGCAAGTCTCAATCCCAGAACAAATCTAAATTCAAGTCCTTGAGTTTCTATAGTGTGTTTTATGTCTGTTACATGAGCTAGCTTTATACATATTTCTTTTGGGTAAGTTTAATTATTGGATCATCGTGTCCTTCATCTGCTATCAAATGAAACCCTCTGCTTTTGTGAACCAATGCATATAAATGTATACATACATATAATTAGCAAGTCAGAGGAAATTCTCTGCTACTTCCATCAGTGTCTTATAAAAATAATATACACTCTTAGACAACCATGAGTCTAGCTTAAGTTCAGTTAGAGATAAGAATACATACATTGTCTTCGGGAGGGACCTAACATTATATAAACCCCATTATGTGTGAGTTCAGTTTGAATGGCGTGTCCCAGAGATGAAACAACAGTACGGTGAATTAGCAGGACAAAAATCTTTTAGAGAACACCTTGTTATGTTTTCTGACCTCAAATTGTATGGGCCCTTGTAATAATTAATAGCTAGTGTCGCTTTTATATTCTGGGTCTCTATCATTGCCTCTGTGACAAAGAGTTTATAGTCTGTAATCTTTCCAGTTGTCTTCTCACTCTGATGTTTTACACCTCAGTAGCTTTGTCTTAGAGGTGTATTTTGCATTTGCTTGCTCATCCATAGTGACCTCGCTTGGGCTTTGTTTAGTTTATTTGTTGCCTGATGATACATACCAAGCCTTACAGCGACCATTTGACTTTATATACATTCAATTTATTGACTTTAGGTGTCATTGCTTCTGTACAGACCCATCCAAAAATGCCCCCAAAGTGCTATGCCACTAAAAGATAAATGTCCTCATTCTCCTTTTTTGGAGCTGTTGATGTGCAAACCTCCCCCTGCCCCCTACCATCCACCTCAATATTGATGACATTATACATCCATTTCAAGATGTCCTTTACATTACTATACTTTTAAGCTTACTTACGTTATGCTTTTCTTCACAGTGAGTTTGCAAATATTTTGCTTTTATGATGTATATGAGCTTAAGCCTAAGAATTCTCTCTCTAGTTTTATGTTTAGAACATTGTAACTTTTTTAGGTTTAAGTAATATTATGATCAAAATAATTTAAGTCAGTATGAGGGGTACATAAAAATTATTTGTGTGAAAACATTGTTCTAGGATATTCCTATTACATTTCTGAATGCATCATATAGCATTATTCTTAAATATTTAGCCAATATTTAAAATTGGTTTGCATTCTCTGGCTATGTCTCATCTATTACATTTGCTATGTGGCCAAGGAAAGCCTGGAAAGTATTAAAAACTCATCATGGATAATCATGAATTGATTGTGTTTAATACCACTGTAGATAAAAAATAGCTTTATTGACATATTCAAGTATGGCAATGTCAGGGTTTTTCTTTTCTTTCTCGTATCTCTATTGTCTTTTAAAAAATTCCAAACACAGCATACGCTTTATGCAAGGCATGTTTTCAACTACCTCCTATTAAGTCAATAATTCCAGATCTTCATTTCTAGACCAATTTGGGGATTCAAACTCCAGATGCACATTTCCACTGCTCTACTGGACATTTTTACCCGAATGTTCAACAAGTATTTCAAACTCACTCAACCTGAAATTCAATTCTTGTACTCTTGTTCTAGATCAATGATGTTACTTTCACTCAGTCTCTCAGGCTCAAAACTTTGAAATCAACTTCCACCTTCTTTTCTTCACTCCTAACATTAGCAGTTATCAAGTCCTGATGATTCTTTGTATCCTCTGCCATTGCCTTTGTTAAGTTTGCACCACCTCTCAGCAGACAATCGCACTAGCTGCCCACGTAGATTCCCTGTCATCAGTTGCCTACATCAATCTAGCTTAAAATAGGAAAAATATATCTGATCTCATTGAGAGTTCTCAGTTGACTTGCTTCTGTAGAGGTGGGCTGACCTAACTTCTGCATTTCCAGGCTGTGAATTTATTGATGGCAAGAGATCTGTCTTATTCATTGTTGTGTCTCAGTGTTTAACAGAGTTCCCACATGTAACTGCTGCTTACTACGTGCTTGTGAATGTTGACAGGGCACTAGTGAGTGACTAAGAGCATAGGGTTTAGAATCCAATAGATCTAGGTTCAATTTCTGCCTTCTCTGCCACTTAGCTATGAAGTGACCTTGGACTGATTAACACTAAGTCAGTGATTCTCAACGCTCAGGTGGGGCTCGGGCACTAGAACTTTTAATAAATCTATGGGTGATCCTAATATGCAGCCAAAGTTAAGAATCACTGCTTTTAGCCTTAATTTCTCATCTGCTATTTGGTATCTATTTCAAATGGGTTTTGAGCATGTGAAATGAGATTTAACTTAGCACAGTGCCTGGCACACAGAAAGTGATTACCATCAATCATGATGTTAAAATACAACTTCAATTTGCAATTTTCTTTTCAATTGCTACCCCCAGCTCTGCCTTTCTTTCAATTCCCAGAATGCACCAAGTTTTTCAGCTTTTGTGCCCTCACACCTGTTCTTCATCCTGCTCTTAGCAGATCCCTCTCAATCTTCAGCTCACGCATGGTCTCCAGGTATTCCCCTTTATTCTCCATCACAATATGGAGATGTTCCATCTTCATGGCACTTGTCTCAGTTTGTAATTACATATGAATTCCACCATTTACTGTGTTTCCCCCACAGGACTCTAGCTTCACAAAGGAATGTGGCTTGTCTGTATTGATTTCCTCCTAAAGTCCAGTGCCAAGTGTCTGGTACCTGCCAGGTGCTCAGGTGATAGCTGGCTTAGTAAATAATCCATTCTGATCTCTCAAAAAAGCAAAATTCCTTGACTTTCTATGTCCCTCAAACATATTTCACATCAAAACACCGTAACAAAAACCAAAACCAAAAAAGTAGAATGGTCTGTAGTGTGTGGGGTTCTAGCTACTGAATAGGAAAATTGCAATAGTAAAAAAATTATCTTGGATGTTTTTAATTTGGGTAATGTTTCCAAGTCCAAGGTTCTTAGAGGCTTACTGAATGGCTTAGTCATCAACCTGTAGGCAATAATTAATGTGACTCCTACAATATCTCACTCCAACAAAGTCAATAAACTTTTGTGGGTGTTTGTATTAGCTAAGTAAAGGGCTTTTTGTTTTCTAACTTATCTTTGATCTTCTTGGTTGGGAGACCAAACAACATATAAAGCTAATGGAAAAAACCTTTCTTGAGGTCAAGAATTATCAAATTGTTGATACTTCTACCTATAAAAAAGACCTCAGAAATCATCTAAACCAATCTCTCATTTTACAGATGAAAAGAAGAAAGCCTAAAAAAATGAATTTATTGCAAGTGATTACACGCATACTGTCTTAGTGCTAAAATACAATCCAGGTTTCAAGGATCATTCACCAGCGTTCCATTGACCACATTACACCAACTTCAAAATAACTCAGTTGTTATGATTTCTTGATGTTCTTAACCAATTTATATTCTGGCATCAATTAATTTAGGATTTCCATGTTTCCATAACAAAAATTTAGTCCAAATTCATGAGCCTGATGTTTAGAACTCACATGTCTCACCATACCTCTTTGTACATGCCAGACTCTGCAATCTGTTTCATGTTTTTCCAACTCTGAGCTTCCACCAGAATGCACAGGCTAACCATATCTGCATATTTACCCTCAACGCCCACTGAAAGACCACATCTTCCATGAAAACTTTCCTCAAATCTGGTCAAAGAAGACAATGGCCTTTTGTATTTCTCCTAGGGATTTTATATTCCTCCTTGTACTGCAGTAGGAGTAACTGCATTAGATATAGGAACCTTGGAACTGGTGCTATATGGTTTTTGCTTTTTAGGTTCTGTCACTACTTGCAATTAATACATATTTAAACGAAAATAAATGCCCCTCTAGGTTACAATGTTCCATAAGGATTTTCTTGAAGGCAATTTCTAAGTGTCTGAAAAAAGCTCGGTTGGAGTAGACATGAACTGGACATACAGGACTTGTATTGCTTTAAGGAAATACATGATGTCAGAACATTTTCAAATTATTGTCTCTTTTCTGAATGCTTTCTCTATTCTTTTAAAAATCATCGTCCATTCTGTATAATTGGCCCAGATCTTTCTTACTGGTAGTGTAAAAACTTACAGGAGTGAAATTTGAAAGCTACAGAAAACATTAGAGAAAACACTAAGATATAGGAAATGTTAGAGAAGCATCATGCAAATACTTGCCTAGAAACATTTTGTTGGAATTCAGATTCTTTTTCAATTTTCAGAAGTAAATGTAGATAAAAAGGTCAAAAAACAAAAATCCATCTTATCGTTTATCAGTTCAAAGTAAATGAAAGGAGTTTACCATCTGACAGTCCTTTGGAAAACTATTATGCAATTACTCTCGGCCCAGATTTCATCTAGAACATTCAAGTCCATTGTAATCTTACCACATCCATACACGTTTTGGGTTAAGCCACCTCCAAATGGAATAGCTCAATAACTAATACACTCAAGAGAGATTATTTTTTCTCTCTTTTTAAAAAGAGTTGCTTAAAAAAAACAAATTCAGGGGGCAGCTCACGCCTGTAATCCCAGCACTTTGGGAGGATGAGGCGGGCGAATCACGAGGTCAGGAGTTTGAGACCAGCCTGGCCAATATGATGAAACTCCATCTCTACTAAAAATACAAAAAGTAGGCAGACATGGTGGCATGTACCTGTAGTCCCAGCTACTGGGGAGGCTGAGGCAGAAGAATCACTTGAACCCGGGAGGCAGAGGTTGCAGTGAGCCGAGATCATGCCAGTGCACTCCAGCCTGGGTGACAGAGAGAGACTCCGTCTCAAATAAATAAATAAATAAAAATAAATAAAAATTCAGAATAGGGAAGCAACTCCTCCTTATGACGAGTACCTTTCGGCACTTATATGGGCTTGCTTTTGCATTGATGGCACCACTTTCATTCAAAAAAAAAAGTTCGCTTGCACAATCTGCAAAGATCTGTTTGGCTTGGTTTCATGTTCTAAAAGTATGGTTTTAGATTAAATGAAAAATAATACTTCTGAAAAATAAGCGGTTATAAGGTTTTTAAGTTTTCTTTATGTTGGTGTAAACTTATAAAGCCCTTCCTATGAAAACTGTCCCCCAAATCACATTACTTGGTCGTCCTCGAGGAACGATTTTGAATGAAAAGCACATAAAGTGCTGTAGCATGGAGACGAGAGACAAATAACTATGCCCTTCTCCCAAAATAAGTTATGACTTACTAGGGGAGGAAAAGGAGCAAAGAGTATAAAGCCCGGTCCTCTGCGGGAAGTACCCGGAGGCCTGCCCCGGAACGCGCTCCTTTCGGCTACGAGATGAGGGGCACGCAGACGGACGCGCCCCTCGGTGAGTGTGCGTGTATCAGTGCATGATTCCTTTACTCCGCCCACAGGGTCTGGGCATCCGTCATTACCTACGGCTGCCTGGTCAGCAAACAACAGCAGATCCGACAACCGCCAGTCACCTCGACGGTCCACGCCCACCGCTAGCCTCCAGTTTCCCGCAGACCGGAAGCCCTTTTGCCCCGGCTCGCAGGTCCACGTCTTATTGACAGCAGGAACCGGAAGCTCTTCTGCCCCGATCGCCTGCGCGCGGCCTCGTTGGCCGCACAGGCGCAGTGGAGCTCGGGCGGAGTTGTGGGAGTGGAGGAGGAAGAGGCGGTAGGGGGTACGGGGGCTGGTCCCAGAAGATGGCGGAGGCGGGGGTGAGTTGGGGGTCTCCCGGCGAAGCGCGGGTGACGTGGTGCTGAGGAAAGCGGCCTGAGGAGGAGGGTGGCCCTTGGGAAGAAGAACTACTTGTGTTTTTGCAGCCTGGGAACCCTGGTGGCAGGTGCGGGGAGCCAGGACCACTGATGGGCCTGCAGGGCAAGGGGCTCCGCTTACCTGAGAGGGGTCCGCAAGGTCCAGAAGGGGACTGCGGGATCGGGGAGGGGGTATAGGAGGGGTCGAGGCTCCCCGGACAGTGGATGAGTGTCTGAGCGGGAAGAAGGCTGGAGGACGGCGAGAAGGGCGACCCAATGGTCTGATGAGGTGGAGGTCAGCGAGCTGTCAAGCATAGAGCTGCCAGGACTTGGGGGCTTGTAGCCTGGGAGAGAAGACTCAGACTTGGGCGGGGATTGGATCCAAAGAAGACAGGTTGTCGTAGTAAGTTTATAATCCACTAAGGAGATAGGGCATTGGGTTGAGGAGTAATACTCTGGCATTTTTGACTGGAATTGGTTACCTATGGAATAGGTGTTTCGGTAAAGCCAAATAATTCTTGCCAGGGCCTAGAAGTGGATTTGATGATAATTACTAGATTTTAGGGTTGCTTAGTGGGGATTGGCAATATGGAGAAGGAAAGCAGTGTGGATTATGGGAGTGGGCGCGGGCAATGGCGCTAACACTTAAGTGATAATGACCCATGTCCAGTTAACGTTGGAAAAAGTTGTTAAAGTATGATATTAGCTAGATGCTCTAGGAAAATATACCATGAAGAACTTGCTGTTTTGTAGGATTGATGAAGAAATGCTTTAAAAAGGAATGGTTAGGCTTGGCAGCTGGGCCACTGAAACTGTTTGGTATCAGTATTGCGGTGGAGCTGAGGACTGCAGGGGAATGCGTGCTCCCGTCCTGGTGCAGAAAAAATAAAAGCAGCCAGACAGTAGCTAGATGGTGTTTTGTAACTTTTGGGTTTGGCCCTGATAGTGAACCACTGAATGAAGATGGATGAAGGGAATGCTACTAATGGGGGCCCCAAAGAAAACAAAAATCAGACGTGTGCTCTTCCTGTTTTCTGTCTTTCATTCTTTCCCTGTACTTTGTGCTCAGTACTGTGTTTTGTCATTGTGTTATGTCGTAGTTCTCAGTTCACATCTGCTGTACAGTGACCAAGCTGTGAATCATGTCCACTCGGGAAAGAGGTTGATTCTGTTTAACTGACAACTGTTGCTTTTGCAGATGGTCACACGGAAAAGGAAAGAATAAAATGCAGTTCAGTAGTTTAAAGAGTTTTCTTTGTTCTCAGAAACTTATCTCGAAACGATGGAGTAACTTTTTTAGGCACTGAGATGTGACATTTAAAACCTGTAAGGGGCTGTAAATGCAGCTAACTTACTGGTTTCTATGTTTGGGTTTTAATGTTGAGAGGAAAGAGTTGCAGTGTTTATAAGGCAAATATTGCTTTTCTTCCTAGAAATTTTTAACGTCTCTAGCCCATGATACATGTAGATGTGTTTTTATTTAGGGAGCATTAAACTGTTGCATTGATTTAAGTCTGTTTTTTTCTAATGTTAGTGCTTATTCTATTTCAAGAATGCTATTCTAATTAAGAGAGCATATGATGAAAAATATGTGAGGTAGTAATTTAACTTTATTATTTAGTAGCTTACGTGACCTAAGCACCTGAAGAAACAGGGTTATCTGAGGGAGTAAAAATACTTCTTTTACGGCTAATCATTGGAAGAGGAATGGTCTTGTCATTTGGTTTTAGGGGGTGTTGCAGTTGTTACAATGCAACAGGTTCTTAAGGTTACTAGAAGATTTTGTATGTGTGTTTGTTTTCAAATGCTTGTTGCCTCTAAGTTGTTTCAGTGGCCAACATGAACCTTGATTTTTATTCACGAAGCTCATAATCACTTATAACTCTTTTTTAACCTGAAAGTAATAATATCAATCCATTAATAGGCAGCCATACACCTGGAATAATGTTTTTCCAGTATTGATGATTCATCATTGATCTATGCAAATTATTTCAACTTTTTTTCTTTTTGTTTAGTATTGTACTTTCCAGAAATTTTAGGCCAGGGCTCAGCGTAGAATTTTTCAAGTCTGGTGGAAAGTTTTTCTTTGTGAATTGTTGAAAACATTATTTTGGTATTAATAGTAGTTTACCAACATGATTTTAAAAACGGTTTCTTGTGTGGCACTTAAATTGTTTTGTACCATGTTTGTGAATGGAAGCAGTGTGGTGAAGCAGGAAGAACTCCGGACATGGGGTCAGAGTGGGTGAGCCTAGTCCTGGTGCTACCTGGTAACAGTTCTGTGATCTTGGAAAGTTACTTAACCTATTTTATTTTGTAAAATGGAAACTAACAACACCTGCCTATTTACCAAGATTGTTTTCGAGAATCTATTGACATATTGTCCTTTAAACAGTATCTTTATACCAGAGACTTTTTCCCTGGTCAGCAAATTATTTGTCAAGTAATCTAAATTTTTCAAATATAGATTTTTAAAAAAAATTTTGGAGCATCAAGTTTATCATTAATGTAAGACTAATATTTAAAGATATAGATCCACTTTGTTTTAAGAAAATGGTATCAGTACAAAATCAGAAAAACAAACTTCAAAGTAAACTAAGGGAGCTTACTTTCCCTTGAAAATAACCCACTCCTCTGACTCCTCTAGTGTGCAACTGATATTATAAACATGCTTTTAAAGGAATTTCATTGTTGCATGGTAGGGGGTGAAATGGTTTTGTGGACGCCTCTATCCCTTTGATGAGTCTGGTCATTTTCTGGCATTCACTATACACGTTTGTGGTAATAAGAACTGATGGTACTGTCTTAATCTTGTTAATCCAGTTGACTACTTTGCATGTCATTGGCCTTGCTAATAGAGTGAGAGAATTGTTAGATTACTGATTCTTTACTTTGTTTGGATCATGGACTTTTTTGAGTACTTTATATAAATTATGGAACTTTCATCCCAGAAAAAAATGCATATATATACAACTTTTTTGTTTTGTTTCGCATGGGGGTCTCATACCCCTTGGAATAGATGATTTCCCAGTTCCCTGCTATTTCTTAAAGCTTTTATTTTTTGTCACCAGTAATTATATACTATTGTATTATGATGTAGTTACAAAATTAGCTTTTTGAATCTCATTCAAATAAATGTCAAGCAAATGTGTTATTTTTAAGGAAAACTTTTGGGGCGAAGTAGAAAACTAAACAAGCACTGCCAGGAAAGGTTAAATAAGCAGCTGTGGTAGAAAACATAAATAAACAGAAAGTCTCTAGCTGTCTTGAAATAGAATGAAGTCTGTAGCAATCAGTGGCTCTCATTGTGGGGACAGTTTTGGTTATCACAAATAGGGGAGGGGGCATTTAGTGGGTGGGAGCCAGGGATGCTAAATGTTTTGCAATGCTTAGAACAGTCTCACACAGCAAATAATTGTCCTGCCTAAAATATCAGTGCCCTTTGACAAATGCTGGTCAGTGTGAGATGGGGGCTAGCATGACTGAAATAGCTTTTTTAAACTGAAGTTATTTTCCTTTTTAAAAATACTATTAAACATAAAATACCCCTTTCCATTAATTCCCTTTTGGAAAAATCACAAACAGAAACAAATGATACGCTGTCTCAATGTGGGTTACTCAAAGTATGCCCATCTTCTAGCAGCTGTTAGCAGCACGTGAGGGCAACGTGCTGTGTCTACTGGGATCTGGGGAAGTAAAGAGTCAACTAATGTTCTTATACAGAGTGTTAGTTTGCTATTTTTTCTTTTTACTTTAAAACATTTTCACACCTTGATCTAGTACTATTAAAGAAAATTTCAAGGTGATTTTACATTTATTCTCATCATCTTTGTGCAATTGTATAGTCACCTGCTTGTTTTGGCTTACTATCTGAGAGTGTATTATAGTTGAGATGGTATTTCAACATCTAACCATCTTTTCAGTAACCAAACACTTTTATATAGAACCATCTGCCGAAAAAGAAGTCTGAGCAGTTGAGATGGAATGGAATTCAAGGTATAGAGGCAAGAGGATGGGTTTTGGAATCAGACCTGAAGTGGAATTTCAGTTTTGATACTGCATGTCATGTGACCATAAGCAAATTGCTGAATCTCTTTGACTTGGTAGCCTCATCTGTAAAATGAGGATGATAATGTCTACCTTTATGTTTGTTTTGAAGAGTAGAGTTACTATATGTCTGGCAGGGAGTAGGCCTTCCATAAATGGGTGCCCTATAAAGAATAATGATGATGATGATGAGGAGGAGAGTTCTGTAGCTACTGAACCTTGCTAAAAGCAACCAGATGATGATGATGATGATGATGATGAGGACGAGGAGAGTTCTGTAGCTACTGAACCTTGCTAAAAGCA
Organism: Homo sapiens; assembly: GCF_000001405.40. Lineage (NCBI taxonomy): Eukaryota > Metazoa > Chordata > Mammalia > Primates > Hominidae > Homo > Homo sapiens. Next base: position 118,092,928 of record NC_000002.12, read on the forward strand.
ACCAGATTATGATGATGATGAGGAGGAGGAGGAGGAGGAGAGTTCTGTAGCTACTGAACCTTGCTAAAAGCAACCAGATGATGATGATGAGGAGGAGGAGGAGGAGGAGGAGGAGAGTTCTGTAGCTACTGAACCTTGCCAAAAGCAACCAGATGATGATGATGATGATGATGATGAAGGAGAGTTCTGTAGCTACTGAACCTTGCCAAAAGCAACCAGATGATGATGATGATGATGATGAAGGAGAGTTCTGTAGCTACTGAACCTTGCCAAAAGCAACCAGATGATGATGATGATGATGATGATGATGATGATGATGATGGAGAGTTCTGTAGCTACTGAACCTTGCTGAAAGCAACCAGATGATGATGATGAGGAGGAGGAGGAGGAGGAGGAGGAGAGTTCTGTAGCTACTGAACCTTGCCAAAAGCAACCAGATGATGATGATGATGATGATGATGATGAAGGAGAGTTCTGTAGCTACTGAACCTTGCCAAAAGCAACCAGATGATGATGATGATGATGATGAAGGAGAGTTCTGTAGCTACTGAACCTTGCCAAAAGCAACCAGATGATGATGATGATGATGATGATGATGATGATGATGATGGAGAGTTCTGTAGCTACTGAACCTTGCTGAAAGCAACCAGATGATGATGATGATGAGGAGGAGGAGGAGGAGGAGGAGAGTTCTGTAGCTACTGAACCTTGCTAAAAGCAACCAGATGATGATGATGAGGAGGAGGAGGAGGAGGAGGAGGAGAGTTCTGTAGCTACTGAACCTTGCCAAGAGCAACCAGATGATGATGATGATGAAGGAGAGTTCTGTAGCTACTGAACCTTGCCAAAAGCAACCAGATGATGATGTTGATGATGATGAAGGAGAGTTCTGTAGCTACTGAACCTTGCTGAAAGCAACCAGATGATGATGATGATGAGGAGGAGGAGGAGGAGGAGGAGAGTTCTGTAGCTACTGAACCTTGCTAAAAGCAACCAGATGATGATGATGATGATGAGGAGGAGGAGGAGGAGGAGGAGGAGGAGGAGAGTTCTGTAGCTACTGAACCTTGCCAAAAGCAACCAGATGATGATGATGATGATGATGATGATGATGATGATGATGGAGAGTTCTGTAGCTACTGAACCTTGCTGAAAGCAACCAGATGATGATGATGATGAGGAGGAGGAGGAGGAGGAGGAGAGTTCTGTAGCTACTGAACCTTGCTAAAAGCAACCAGATGATGATGATGATGAGGAGGAGGAGGAGGAGAGTTCTGTAGCTACTGAACCTTGCCAAAAGCAACCAGATGATGATGATGATGATGATGATGATGATGATGAAGGAGAGTTCTGTAGCTACTGAACCTTGCCAAAAGCAACCAGATGATGATGATGATGAAGGAGAGTTCTGTAGCTACTGAACCTTGCCAAAAGCAACCAGATGATGATGATGATGATGATGGAGAGTTCTGTAGCTACTGAACCTTGCTGAAAGCAACCAGAATGCATGGCATGCTCATATGCCTGGATTCCACAGCAAGGAATGGTCTGCAGGATCAGGTCAGGAGGAGATGTTTCAGGGCATTTTCAGTTGGTATTTAGAGTATGTTTTCCCATGAATTAGCTATACTGTGGATTAGTTTTTTTAGTCCTTTAAGCCATAGAGTTCAATTACATTATAGACTAAGTAGGTCAGTGAGGACTAGCTTGGGAACAGAATTTCCTCTTGAATGTTGAACACAGAGCTTTGATGTGGCATAGCCCCAGTAAAAAGGCCCGTTGTCTAAGTGTTTATCACATGGAACTGACAGGTTGTGGAGGTTACTAGTACTTACAGATATTCTCATTTTCATACTAGTTATTTGTAATTCAGCCCCATTCTCTGCGGTTTACATGAGGGCTTTGTTCCAAAATTCATTCAAAGGTTGTTTGATACTGGAAAACTCAGAGGAAATGTATAAATTTTATGTGATGATTAGGAGCTAGGTTTGCTCTCAAAAAGGCCTACTTTACCCTATATGGTTTGATTCAGAAAGAGTTAACCCAATTTAATTAAGCAAATATGATTATGTGGAGCTCCCACTGTGGGCTAAGCAGGAACTTTTCTGGGTGCATAGGCACAGTGATATTAATATAATAGTGAATAAGACCTTCATAAAACATTTACAATCCATAAAGCAACTATACCTTTAATTAGAAAGTAGTCATTATAAGTGCTACACTTTTTAAAATAAACTGCTTTTGGATTGAAGGAAATATCATTTCTGTACCGATTTATGAAAGTGCCAAAGATATATTGTTGGATGGGATAAAAGTAAATTACCTGTGTAGTATTTTTCCCATTTAAAAACTGTTAGTATTCATAGAAAACATATCAAATATGTGACAGTTTGGGAGACTGAACATCATGGTAAGAATGAGGGCTTTGGAGTCAGACTGCATGGTTTTGAATCCCAGCTTGGCCTCTTACTGGAGATGTGAACTAGGTCAAGTGACTTAACCTTTCTTTGCTTTTTTGCGTCACCTATAAAATGTACATAATAATTGCACTTACCTCTGAAGGTTATTGTGAGGATTAAATGAATTACCACATGTCAGGTGCTTAAAACAGCACATAGAAAGCCCCAAAAGGAAAGATCACTTTGGTTAGAGGAATGAACAAGTACCTAGACTGATTGTAGTAGCAAAGTTTTAGGTTTTAGGAGTCAGGGACCAAGTGGATAAAACTCCTTAGAATCTAGCCATTAGATTGTTCTTCATTTTCTTCACTTCCTTTCTTTTGCTTCGTCCTCCAGCTTTCTTACAATCCCTTCTGTGATTGCAACAAGGGCAGACTGTTGAGACAGGAGTGGGATACAGTTGTGCCCCTGGGGAGAGTGAGTCAGGTCTGGTTTCTGTGTTTGGTGTATATGTAGGTGTGTGCGTGGTGGTCTGGTTTTGTAGAATGTTTTTGTGCGGATAACCAAATAATAAACATTAAAGCGGGTTATTTTGTTCTTCTGTGGAGGTTGTCCTTGTAAGCAAGTAACATTTTATTGCAAAATATACAGCGTCTTCAGTCAGAATATGCTTATCTGTAAAATATAAAATACAGTATTGTAACTGATAGGCTTAGAGATTTAGGGAGAAGAAACAGAGAGCAGGGTTTTACCCTCCAGATTCTAGTGGAAGTGTCAGATTACCTGTTCTGCTTTTCTCAGAGATGGAGCAAGCTGTTTCTACTATGATTCTAACCTTCAGGTCTCTTAGGTCATGTTTTCTGTCCTAGGAAATGTAAGGGTAGTACTTTATTTTTTATTACGTCTTGCATATAAAAATACTTTTAAAACTTTTTCTTATTCAATAAATAACTGTTAGTAATTTGAATAAATTAGTATACAAGCTTGTCATTTTCTTATTTGTCCATTTAAATTAACTAGTATTGAAATCAGTAAAATTACAATAATCATGTATTAGATACACATTAATTTCTTTTTTCTTATCTCTTGCAGGATTTCTGGTAGGTCCTACTTTAGGACAAGATGTGGTACCGTTGAAGCGTCAGTCTTTGATTCACAGACAGTTGAGCTTTTCAGCTGGGAAGCCTTTCCATTTTTTTTTTTTTAACGGCTTTCTGAACCTATGAAACCATGGCAGAAGGAGAGACAGAGTCACCTGGGCCCAAAAAGTGTGGCCCATATATTTCATCTGTCACTAGCCAGAGTGTGAACTTGATGATTCGAGGAGTAGTGCTATTTTTTATTGGAGTATTTCTTGCATTAGTGTTAAATTTACTTCAGATTCAGAGAAATGTGACGCTCTTTCCACCTGATGTGATTGCAAGCATCTTTTCTTCTGCATGGTGGGTACCCCCATGCTGTGGCACGGCTTCAGGTATGTGTAGGATGTTTCTGTAATGCTTAGAAAGGAAATAGGGTAAATGAGTATGGACGTTGTCTGAGCAATAAACCTTTTTAAAAAAGAAAATATATTTATTGAGATATAATTTAGGTATAATACACTGGACCCGTTTGAATTGAACAACTTGATGTGTTTAGGCAAATGCGTACAGTCACATGACCACTGCCAATCCAGCTGTGGAACATTTCCATCACCCTCCAGAGTCTCTCGTGTCCTCTTGCAGTCCATTCCCCACCCCCAGCCTCAGGCTACCACTGATCTGCTTTCTGTTGCCATAAATTATTTATCTCTGTTCTAGAATGCAATATAAATGGGCTCATAACGTATGTACTCCCTTCTGTCTCATTCTATCTGTCCTGTAAACTTTTAACATTTAATTCTGAAAAACAATCCTGTTTCCCTTAGGGATGAAGCATTTAACCCCTTAATTTTGTTCTTTCTTCAACCCATCTCATCTAAGTGTTATTTTAAGTTATTTGGATGATGAGCACCACCATTTGGTTTTAAGGGTTTGATGCATGTGCTGTAGTCTTGTTTCTGAAGTAATAAAAACTTGAATAATTAAAGTTTAAAGCTTCATGTTGTATTTTTGTAAATGCTTTTTTCCTTGGTATCTTGTTTTTATAAGTACCTTAGAATAATAAATATTTAAAGACATCTATAAGGTAGACTCTCTTTGCTTAAAATTAGTATCCTATTAGTTACTTTAGATATTTTTTTGGTGGTGGGCAGTGTGTAATGCATAGAGTAGAGCATTTCACAATACTTTATTGCTGCCATACTTCCACAATGGATAGCACTTTAGTGTTTTCTAATGACCAAGACCAATAGATTAATACTGTTTTTAATAATAAAGTAATAAAAGGAAACCATAATCATGTGGTAGAAGATAATTCTGATTGAAGGAGAAAATTGCTTTTTAAATACCCATTTGGTGTCTCATACTTAACATATATGAATGAATATCTTGCAACATAATATATGTCCTTCTTGGCTTCCATCCAAGAGCGGGAGGTTGAAGGATGAGGTTGCGCTTTACGGAAGTGTTAGAATGGCCTTGTGAAACTTGCTGGACAATTATAGAATCCTGTTGCACAGTTAGAGGGGCACTGTTGTAGTAAGGCTTCAGTGTTTATATACTGATGTCTCACTATTACATCGTTCACATTAAAAGTGAAGTCATGAAGGCAGTGATTCTTAGTTTCCCAGGGTTATCATTCTCCAAGAGAAAAGGCAAAAAATAGTCCAAATAAAAAACAAATTAAATTGTATCACTCTGCTGTATGTACTGGTCCTCATGCATTTTTCTTTCATTTAAATTCAGAAGAGAAAACGTTTTCTCAACAACTTTTCTAGTTCTTTGTTTCTTTTCTTCTATAGTATAGTCTGGCTGCCAGTAGAAGCTTTTTGGGACATGGAAGAGCATACATGTCTTTTCAGGATAGAACAGAGGGAAGGGAAACTGTTGTTTATTGAATGTCTGCTAATGTGCTAGGTACATCCTGTAATCCCAGGGTTCTGTAGAGCAACTTTGGGAGAGAGATGTTTGGCATTGTGCCTGTTATGGGGAGATGAGGACACTCACTGAGATGAAGAAAGAAAACCAGTGAGCCCAGGGTCCCAGAGCCAGTGAGTGGTGTGACTGGGTCCACATGTCACATGCTGGGGAAGGGAAAAGGAAGCTACTCACACTTTTCCCCCTACTCAGGATGCCACTTTTCAAGCCTCCAGACTGGGTGCCAGACCTAGATGGAATTCCCTGGCGTGTGTTGTGCATTTGGGCTGGGGCAGGAGAACTTAACTGAGGTTTCATTGTACCTCCACTATGAAGAGTAACAGGGCTGCACCTGCTGTCTTGTCCTTCTGCCCCTTTAATGTCAGCACTTTTGCCATAAACTTACATTTTAGGAAGGAAAATTTCAAATGCTAATACCACAGTTCAGCCACTACTTTCCTTCCTGTTCCCAGCCACTAGGTTTGTCACACTTACAAACTTAACCTCATTTGGGGAATTTGCATTTACATTTCTTGCTTAAGTATTTCTTCTGAAAGCAGTTTGTACCATAAGGTACTTGGGCAAAAGAAAGTAGAGAGACATTAGGAAATCTAGATTCCAGCCAATTCTGCTACCAATTTTGTTAGTTAAGTCATGGTGTTTAGTAGATGAGAGTGAAAGATATCAGATTTGTCCAAGTTGCCAGAGATGGAAAATGGATTCTCTCAAAATCTCTGCTCTGCCATCCCCTGCATCATTATTTTAGGGAAAGTATCATGGGAAAAGAAGTAAATGATTTAAGAAACATAGTGTGTTTGAGTTTGTGTGTGTATGTAATATGCATATGTTTTTGTGTATATGTGTTGGCGTGGATTTTCAAGACCTCGCTAGGGTCTTACCATCTTAAGTCAGAAAAACTGATAATCATCCTTTGATTTTCCTGTTCAACTAACATTCATAGATAGAGCAGCCACCTTTTGGAGGGGCTCCAGAATCACCACCTTCTGTGTGTAGAAAGTGCTCCTTGTTATTTGCCACCTTTCTCTATAGCACAATCCTGGAAAATTTGCTAGTGGTGGTTCTGGTGGGACAACTAATAGAGAACTTTGGTAAACTAATTTTGATGACTTTTTTTTCTTAATTCCATATTTTTAGTTTGATAATGCTGATGTTACAAGTTAACTTCCTTATGTGTGCCATGCACCAGAATTGGAATTAGAAATCTTTTCAGCATTATTGAGGGCCACAAAGAAATCTTTCTAAAGAATAAATAGAAAAAGACAACTCGTGTGGATAAAATAAGTAGAGAAGTTGCCTCAAAAATCACAAGTAGCCTGGTTGTGTCCAAACGTATGAAAATAATATCTAATGTAAAAAGAAAAGAAAAATCTTTCCTGTTTAGCTGTGCAGTCCCTTGCCCTATTCCTGTAGAGCCTTGTAAGATTCCTTGCTTTCTCTCCCGTTCTACATCCAGTTTCCAAGTCTTACATCTTTCCTCTGTCTCTTTCTTGGTCCATCCCTCAATGGCTGTGCTTGGAGTCTTTAGTCTTTGCCGGCCTCTAGTTTTGCACCCACCCTTTTCTCAGCCCCCTTGTATGGTACCCTCACTGCTAAGAAGATGGCCTCTCTCTGGTACAACAGTGATGACATTGTTTTCCTGATTGCCCATTGTCTGCAGGGTAAAGTCTTTATAATATGGCCCTTGACTGCTTTTTTCTTCTTCAGAGTCTTTCTGGACCCTGCAGCTCCCTTTGTGTCTGAAGCTTACAGCTTCCTCTTAACACCAGCAGTTTCCAGTTTTCCATGAATGTCCTCAGCCACCTCCCTTTAATGAGAGCACTATTTCTGCGCCATTTACTGCTGAATGCTCCTGCCTCAAGGGTCACCTCTTTCCGTGAAGCTTTTCTGACAGCCCAGCACCTTGCCTTCCCCTAGCACAGGCAAGGAGAAGCCTGGGACCCCTCTGTCCTGTCAGCTGCCCTTAATGCAGGATTGTATTTAATTGTTTCTGTGGTCACTTTGCAATTGGAATCGTATCTTACTCTTTTGCCTTTTTTTTTTTTTTTTTTTTTTTGAGACGGAGTCTCACTCCGTCACCTGGGCTGGAGTGCAGTGGCGCCATCTCGGCTTACTGCAACCTCCACCTCCCAGCTTCAAGCGATTCTCCTGCCTCAGCCTTCCGAGTAGCTGGGATTACAGGCGCCCACCACTACGTCCAGCTATTTTTTTGTATTTTTAGTGGAGACAGGTTTTCACCATGTTGGCCGGGCTGGTCTCAAACTCCTGACCTCGCGATTCGCCTGCCTCGGCCTCTCAAAGTGCTGGGATTACAGGTGTGAGCCACCACGCCTGGCCTTACCTTTTTAAATCTCCAGCAAATACCAAGAACCAGACATATTGTCAGGGCTTAAGTATTTGTTGAAGGAAAATATTATCTTATAGTTTTGCGTCGAAGTATACCTCATGGAGTGTTTTCGTTTATTCAGTTCCTGTTTTCTTACAAAATGTCTGACTTTAACTGTGTTCCTTTTAGTGCCTCCCTGCATTTAAGCACATTCCCATAAAAAAGTGATGACTTACTACTGATATTTTACAAACTTCTTTAGTGTTTAGCTTTGGTAGACTGTAACTAGTCACTGGGAAATAACTTAAAGGTATCACAAGAAATGTGATTTTTGCATCAGAGAACCATTTGATTTATAAGCAGGATTGTGTTTGCATATGATTTTACACAGGCATGATTTTAACAGTCTTTCTTGTTTTTTTTAAAAAAAAGTACAAGAAGAGGAAAAGAGGCCCAGACATACTCTGTTGAGCTCTCAAACAGTGGAACCTCACAGTGTTGTATATATTGCTATCAGACTCTGCCATGCCTTTATTTAAAGGAAAGAAAGAAGACATTTAATGGGAAGTGACAAGCTTCTTCGAATTCTCCCTCTCAGTGAGCAACTGAGAACCATGCATACTCAATGGATTTGATTTTTATTGGCAAATCCCAGGGTTGGCAGTGTGGCAGTTTAAATTTCTTTTTGTGTTTTTGCTTTCTCTCCTCAGTTGTCTCTCACTTGCAAGTCTGACATCACATGCATAAAAATATAGTCGATTTTACTTATTTATACCTTTGCACATACATGTCAGTATTCTCTATGTAATAATTCTTTACCTAGGCATCAGTTGCTCAGGAAAATTGACTTGGAATGTCTGCTCTTAGTTGACTTTACTCAGCAACAGGCAAAGGGAGGATATATATGGTGGGGGGATGGGGGTGACAAATGAGCTGTTAGTTTTATGACCCCTTGAGAAAAAAAGAGGTGATATTCGTTTAACTACATTTCAACTGTTAGGGATGCTTGTTGCCATTTTATTTGTATAGAAATTTTAAAATCCTGTCAGTTAATCTTGTCAGGATTTTGGAGCAGATTTTTAAATAGGAATATAGTGTGAAACTTCTAGATTTACTAATAGTTATTGGAGCTCTGCATTGCCGAGATATGTTCTTAATCTCTTGATGTTCTGTGAGCCATCTATACTCAGCACATGCCTAACTCAAAAGAGTTGTGGACTAGAAAATGCATACAGTATTGCAGCATCTCATCTCGAGATAGAAGGGTGGTCACACAGCCTTTTTCAAATGCTGCACCATTGGTCTGCTAGGCTGTGATTTTTGATACTAATTGGTTTCTGTTTTTCTTCGAAGAGTGAATGCATTGCCTGTGAGATACAGCTGGCTAATACTGGGTAGGGGGAGGGCCTCTTGTCCCTCAGGCACTTAGATTTTGGCGTTGTAATTTCATGATTCCTCTTAAGTGGTATTGGTTATTTTAAACATGCTTTTCAACTGATGTGACAGTAGTGTCTTTATTGCCAGAATGGCACAACATAATCATCCTGTTTTTAGGAAGATTAGAATATTTTCATTAAATAGTCTTTTTAATAACTAATTTAGCACTTAAAATTCCTTCCCACTAAATGAATAAAATGTTGAGGTTTGAGAAATAAGAAAGGGATGAGAATATTTTGGGACTCAATCATTGACATTTTATATACAGTTATGTATAATTAATGACACAACATTCAAAGTGTTCTTTCCAAAACTAAGAGAAGTACTAAGATGATTTCTTCTTCTAACAGTGCACTTAAAATTTAACTGAAAATTTTAAATACCTCTACACCTTGTTTCCTCCATTGTTTCTATGTGCAGAATGAGTCTTACCTGTAGATTTCTGTTGTGAGTTTTCCTGCTTTGACAATATGACCTACAGCCTCATTAAAGGGCTAGAGTGGAAAGGAGTGTCAGTAAAAGGTGCTACATGCTGAAGACTAAAACGGGAAGCTGGTAGGGGCGAGACTGATCTACGTAAGAGGCCAGCCAGAACCTTCAGAACATTGTGTGTATGATGAGCTTGTTGTATACTTTTATACTTCTAGATTCTCTTAGATTTGTGGCATATAATAAATATTTTATGGTTTGGAGTTTAGAGAGAACATTACTTAACTGCTAACTGGTTTGATACTTTTTTCAGGTCTCGTAGGTATCAGTAGTAGAAAAGTAGCATGAATCATTTAGTAGCACGAATCATTTAGTCCAGTCTGCTAAATTGTGAATCATACATTTGAAGAGTATTTTGTTGATTATAATTTAGAATGTTGTTGTAATCATTTGCAATACTTTCTTCATTGGTGTTATCCTCATTTCATTTCCTTTGGAAGGTAAGTTAAAAAATATCGGTGATTGATGTGAAATAACTTTTTTTTTTGTTTTTTTTTTTTTAAGAATCTTTAAAATGCTTGTGGTGGTTGTAGTGATTCTTTTAGCTTAAGTGTTGCCAGTACAACATTGGAGGTAACTTAATTTTTTTCTTTTTTCCCTACAGCTGTGATTGGGTTATTATACCCCTGCATTGACAGACATCTAGGAGAACCACATAAATTTAAAAGAGAGTGGTCCAGTGTAATGCGGTGTGTAGCAGTCTTTGTTGGTATAAATCATGCCAGTGCTGTATCCTTTACTCTGTAATGAAATGCATAATAACAAAGTGGCTTCCAACAAACCAAAGGTTAAACAGCCCCTTACAACTTCACTGTTGTCAAATTATGATATGCCCACTTAGTCAGAAGAAGAATGTCAACCATATTGTTGAAACATCGGTGTAGCAGCTGTGCAATTATAAAGTGGGGTATAGCCTTTCATTTCATTGTGTATTTTTCACTATCACTTAGAAACTTTGCAAATTTGAAAACTTTACTTGTTTTTCTTAAATTTGGTTACTTAATTACTTTTGTGTAGTTAATCCAAAAATGGAACAGGTACATTTTCAGAGGAGTTTTTTCCTCTCTTTCTTTGTTAAGAATTGCTAATAAGTACATGTGGTAGCTTCAGGTGCTATTTTGTCTTTTGTTTTTCTTAACTTAAAGAAGCTTTTTTTTTTTAAAGGTAGATGCATTGGTTTTAATCAATACCGACAAACCACATAAACGGCATAAGTAGAAATACCAACTTAGACCTTGGCCAAAAAATAAGTTTCTACCCTAGTACATATTTTCAAAGTTTTATTGTTTGAAGATTCAGACATTTTATTTAGTGGTTAATGAGTATTTTTACAGTGTCTCAGGTAGCCCCTATTCCCCTTCCCCTTTCTACCTTCTCTGCCCAGAAAAAAATGTTTGCCCTCATAAGGTTTTCCTCCTATCATCCTCTTTATTTCCTCTCTTGTACTTCCTCCTCATTTGCTCTGACTTTCCTTGGTAGAAGAGGAACTAGGAAATGCTATTCCTGTCTTTTTCTAGGAGATGTGGTTTAGACAATGAAGGTGGCAGGAGCCTTGGGTACTTGGAAAAGCAAGAAGTGTGACTCAGGCTGCCAAAAGTTTGCTCTTATAACTCTGCACTGGACTTGGGGCAGGCAGAGTTAGCTAGCTGGAGAGAGAGGGTGGGTCATGTGTCAAGTAGACCCCTGTGTCTTTCCCAAAAAGTATTGAGGTGTTTTGGATAAGCTTGGGGACAGAAACCATAGAAAAGAGCAGGGTCCTAGATTCTGAAAACACATCTGCCTTCCTCTGCACAGTTGTGCTGGCTGTTGCAGGTCTGTGAATTTGGAAGTCCCTCAGTGGCTATTATTAGTTTTAATTTCTGTTTGTATTGAGGACATTTCCACATGTTTATTTTGGTGAACTTTTTGAGATTTAAGATTTTATAAAAAATCTAGTGGTCAGGAGGGCTTAAAAAGTTAAAATCATATACTATTATATCTAGAAGAGAACTTAGAAATCACCTAGTTCCACATTTTCTTTGTAAAGATAATAAACAGAAGCTAAAGAGGTTAGGTAATTTACTAAGTCATTTATACTGCGACATTGCAGCAGAGCTGAGAACAGCCCTGAGACAGCCTGACTAAAGTCTAGAAACATCTCATTTTCCTACCCAGGAACCTCAAAACTGTGTCAGTTCCTCTCTGTCCGGTGGATTAGATCTTTCTCTCTTAGACACTTCCACTTTGATTTTTGTTTTTAAGTAGAGAAATTTAAATAGCCTTTTCTGAAATTCTAAAAACTTAATAAGTTCAAATTCTTTGCTTTGTTCACTCTCTTTCTCAATGAAATACTTAAATATAGCAATCTTAGATATCCTGTTGTCCTTCAAGTAAAGTCCAACATGTTTACCAAATTTATAGCATACACTTCTAATATTAGGTTACTTAGACTTTACAAAATCATTTGGCACTATTTTTTTATTTTTTGAGACGGAGTCTTGCTCTGTCACCCAGGCTGGAATGCAGTGGCACAATCTTGGCTCACTGCAAGCTTCGCCTCCCGGGTTCACGCCATTCTCCTGCCTCAGCCTCCTGAGTAGCTGGGACTACAGGCACCTGCCACCACACCCGGTGAATTTTTCTGTATTTTTAGTAGAGATGGGGTTTCACCATGTTAGCCAGGATGGTCTCAATCTCCTGACCTTGTGATTCGCCCACCTCGGTCTCTCAAAGTGCTGGGATTACAGGCATGAGCCACCGCACCTGGCCCATATGGCACTATTTTAAGATTGATATATCTATTTACGCTGGAAGCCTCCTTACTTCGCTGTGACTTTTAATTAAGTTTAGTTAGCAAACATGAAACTCATTTAATACCAAATTCCACTCTTTACATGAGTGTTTATTTCATAGGGAAATCAGAGCTCTAAACCTTTTCTTTGAACTTTAAGTATAATGACAGCATAACAATAAGAAAAGCTTTTCCAGAAGCATACCCATATGAACTGTAGGTTTCTTTTTAAATCAAGCCTTAACAAGGAAGGACCTTGAGGGAGTTGCCCACAATAGTCCTGAGATTCTGAGAAATAAGCAAGCTGGGTGTTTAGGATACTTGCTTGGTAGGGGTGGGGAAATGGTGAAAAAGAGTGTTAAAGGAAGTGGGAAATGGCTTCGTTGCAATTTCTTTTTTGGATTTCTCTATACGTGCAGCATGGTCAGTTTGGTGATACGTGTTCTCCCAAACCTCCCCCGCCTTCCCCAGTAGCTGGTTATAGAGCCAAGATGTGGCCTTTGGGACATAGATAATGCCCTTTTAATGACACTTGAAATTAATTCCTTTAGTGTAATCCTCTAGCAAAGAGATGAGAAAACTGAATTTGTAAAGCTTAATTTTACCCAGAGATTTTGGTGTAGAAAAGGGCCATACATTTGTGAATAGATGCTTAAGTAGGTGATGAAAATAAAATATCATTTGAGCAAACTGTCCTATACCAGAAAGTCTCAGGCACCAAAATAGCTTGGCAGGTTGTAAGATAATGTTCACTTCAAGGCTTTATCCTCAACAAATTAAAACTAGAACAGTTGACATAATAGAAAGGGATACTGTGTCCTTGGTACTCTTGTTTCTGAACTGCATTATTATAAAATGTGTCTGTCAGTAAATCATAGAGAGAATGTGGTACCCTGTTAAATAGCTGTCAACTCTTCTATTTTCAAGTTCCTGTACGATTCTCAAGTAATTCTAAACCTGTTGGAGAAGTAATATTGGTTTCCTTTTTTGCAAAAGTGTGTTCCTTTAGTGATACTTGTGTTCTGAGGCTTCCAGTTACATTTTTAGCAAAGAAAGCATTTCTTAAATAATGGGTAAAGCCTTATAATTGGGAATGTATGTAGACTGTTCTTTTTGTTTTGTTTTGTTTTTTGTTTTGGAGGGGTTACAGTTGGTAGGATCTATTGATTAATGTCTTTTGTGTATCTGGTATTGGGTAAATACTGGAGACAGTTTTAATCCCACCTAGCTTCATACATTGTACTAAGAGACTGAATGTACTTGAGTAGAAGCAATTAATTCCCTTCTCAACAGAGGCATCTCTTATTTAGAAAAATGAACAGATGATATTATTTGGTTACAACTTTTAAGATGACTTCTTAACACTGATCTCAGAAAGTGGATTTCGATAACAACATACAGTTGTCTCTCACACTGGCTGCACTATCCATTGGACTGTGGTGGACTTTTGATAGATCTAGAAGTGGTTTTGGCCTTGGAGTAGGAATTGCCTTCTTGGCAACTGTGGTCACTCAACTGCTAGTATATAATGGTGTTTACCAGTAAGTATTAATCCTTCAATTTTTGGTGCTTGTTTGCTAGATAAATAAATGATAACCGCTTTCAGAATTGAGATTATGAAATGAGGTTAGCCAGTTTAATCTACAGAGTAGTTTATTTTCATTGTAATTATCTTAAGTGTCATTGCAGTTCCTCTGTGGGTATTAAAGACATGTCTGTTATTCTAGATATACATCTCCAGATTTCCTCTATGTTCGTTCTTGGTTACCATGTATATTTTTTGCTGGAGGCATAACAATGGGAAACATTGGTCGACAACTGGCAATGGTAAGCTGATGCTCACTTTTCTGAATAAGATGTGGAACAAATGACAAGTTTTCTCTAAAAGGCAGTCCTTTAAGGGAAAGCAATTTGTGAAGACAACATTCTTTGATTGCTTTTTTGCACTTCCATTGAAATAAATCATTTGGAAGAATTTAATCACAGGTGTTTTAAAAGTTGAGGAGCCACTGGAGAGAAAAACTCAAAATGTGTTATGGATAGGGCAATATGATTTATTGACCATATGGGGGATATTAGTGGTTTTTAAAAAACTAATCTACAGGTCTCCCACTATATCAGAAAAGGACAGTTTTAAAAGTTAAAAAGGTCACTACTAATAAGTGTGTTGCTACAATAGGTATACATTAGGACCACCTCTAACAAATCAAGATGTTTGATCATTTTAGTGATGAAGGAAAAGGAAAAGGCTAGGGAGTGACATTCAGAGGCCACAGCAGTTTTATGAATCAGTGCTGTCACTTTTACCTTTTTAGCCAGGTTAGGAGAATTGAGTGACTTACTTTGCTGTATTTTTGGTAAAATAGCCAACCAATTATCTTACCCTGTTGGTTTCCTTTATTTTGAATTGTGGGTGTACATTTTTATAGCTGTACTTTAAAAATGTTGTTTTGACTGGAAGCTTTTGTTAATGTAACAGATTTTTTCCTTTATATCATATAGCAATTTGAAAATACAGTGATCTGAGTTCACCACAACAGCCCTATCCTTAAGTTCATGAACTATTCTTTGCTAATTTGCCTTATTGAATACTCAAAGAAACCTGCTTTGCTTCCTTTCGACATTAAAAGATTGATCTAAATTCTAAATCATATACTGCCACTACTTGCTTGTAATGCAGAAATCTCATCTTTCTCTTGCTTTTGGCTGTGGCTTTTTCACTTCCAGAATGTGAATTATTTTTTTCCCTGTCACATTTGTCATTTAATCATAGTAATTATGTAACTCTTGGATTATTTGAGGAATAAATGGGCACATAGTAATAAAATGTTCATTTTTAGAGCTTTTCAGTTTATTTGGAAGTTGCTATTCAAAAGAAGTCTTAATCTGTTAACCTTTTAACCTTTTAATTTTTGCAGTACGAATGTAAAGTTATCGCAGAAAAATCTCATCAGGAATGAAGAAGGCAAAAAATATCTTTTGTACAGAAAAGCAAGATGAAAAGGATGTGAAATGGTAGATATACCAACAAAACTTCAGACTGTAAAATTGCCAGGATGCAGTTTTCCCCTTGATTGGCGTGTGTGTATATATGGATAAATATATATATACACACACACATATTACTGCAATCTGTGATTGCTTCATCTGTAAATCAGTTGTAAACCTTTACATATTTGACTTAAATAACTGTAAGATATATATGTACTACATTAAAAAGTGTTGATTAATAGATGAAATTTTTAAATTAATTTTTTAAAACATGCCATACATTGTATCACAATGTTAATGTGCCAAGATATTGTTCCTGTCATGCAGAGTATAAGAATGCTTTGAACAATTTGTAGACTTAGTGAAATAAAATAAGAGGAAAGCCAAAAACAAACAAACAAAAAGCATATGGGGAGCTGGTATTTTCTCTTTAGCTTACTGTTGTGCCTTTTTATTTTTCTAATCACAGCAGTATGAGTTATGAGTGCCCTAATTTGTGGTTAGTTTCTAATTTAATGTTGTTTCATAGAGTTTGGAGTGTTTTGATACAGGGTGAAAATGAACTTCTGGTTTCAAACCTGCGTTACTGGAGACAGCCCAAAGAGTAATTTTCTGTTTTGACAGGTTTTACTGGAAGTATATGTGATGAGCAGAAGAGGTTATCAGCATTAAATTGTTTTGGTTCTAAATTTGGAACAGTATATATAATTAAAAGTAAGGAACATTAGAGGATTTAATTAGAATAAATACATGTTTTGGAAATACAGTGACCTCTTGCAGTGTCACAAAAGTGCAAAGTGATATTAGCTGTCATCTGCAATACAGAATCTCATTGCTTTTGCACATGGAGCATATAGGAAACTCCAAACAGATCACAATGAGGTTTCTAAATCTGTTGGGTTCTGTCTTCTATTGGGTTCTGTGAAGCAAACCACTGTAGCTTTAGCTGGGTTCAGTCATATGACTCGTTGGTGGAATGCCTAGGTTTTTCATCTTACATGCAGTCTTGGGGGTGGATGAATACATAATTTCTCATGTATTCGTGTATCCATTAGTGAATAGTTCAAGTCTGTTTAAGAGTGTATTGAGATGGCATTCTCTGCATGTTAAAGATCTTAATGGCAACCAGCACCTCTTAAGTATGGTTTAAACATATTCTTAGCTAATTTTTTCCATTAGTTTTTGAAATTGGTGGCAGTTGTCTGATCCACAAGGGCAAGATCTTCTGAGTACTCTGGGGTGTGAGTATGTGTGCACACGTGTGTGTTGGAGTGAGTGAGAGAATGTGTCTGTGCATGTGGCCATGCTTTCCTAGAATGTCAAGTAGATATTTTTACACTTTGAGTTTTAAAGCAATTACTATCAGACTGAGATCTTGTATGCCAAACTTTAATCTGCTTTTATGTTTTCAGGCTGAAGGTGTGAAAATCCTAAGAGGATTTCATATTGAATATGTGTACACAATCTTAACTATCGTGGTGGAAAACATACTACTATAATTTATTATTATATCTTCCAGATAATGTTATTCATTTAGAACAAATAAGGTATATTTTTTAGAATCAACTTTGTAAGCACTATAAAATCTTTAATAAGTTATAAGGTCTATGATGTGTTTACTTTAAAAATTGCTGTTAAAAGCAACACGTATTAAATATGTAATTATCATCTGGGTTAAGAGTCTGTTTTTCTTCTTTGTGGTAAGTCTTAGAATATGGTACTGTGGATTAATCTAATGAAATTAACATATGTGGTTGAAGTTACCAAGAAACGATGAAAAGAAACTAAATATAGTTGACCCTTGAACAACAGGAGTTAGGGGCACCACTCCCCAACATAGTTGAAAATCCATGTATAACTTTTGACTCCTCCAAAACTTAACTACTAATAGCCTACTCTTGATGGGAAGCCTTACCAATAAGAAACAGTTGATGAACACATATTGTGTATGGTATATGTATTATATACTGTTTTCTTACAATAGTGTAAGCTAAGGAAAAGAAAATGTGTTTACTCTTCATTCAGTGGAAGTGGACCATCCTAAAAGTCTTCACTCATGCTATCTTCATGCTGAGTAGTAGGCTGAGGAGGAGGAGGAGGAGGGGTTGGTCTTGCTGTTGCGGGGGTGGAAGAAGATGTGCATTATTAGTGGGCCCACACAGCTGAAAACCATGCTGTTCAAGGGTCAACTGTGTGTGGTATCGGTGAGACTGAATGATTATCGTTGGTGTTCTTAAATTATTTTCAGGTCCTCTAGAAAATAAGATAATTATAGCAAAAAATAAAATTGTTTTGAAATTTTGATAAATATATAAATGTATAGAACCTATTTTTTTCAATGAAAGAAAATGGGAAACATTTTTTAACATTGCTAGATTGGCAGTGCTTTCTTTTATTATTTCAAGTTATGGAAATTTGCACAGTTGAAAACTGGGGATAAATTCTACAAAAGTGCAAGAAAACAATTCAAATTAGCCAGAGCCCTGCTAAAACTTTTAATGTAAAATTTATTTATTTGCACTGAGCTGTTTTACCTTCTTTAAGGCCATTGGGACCTCTCAATGATGCATATGTTTCATACATCTTGTATTTTCCAGGTAGAAGTCAGACTTGGTTAATACCAATAAATACTTCTGTAATCCTATTGGCTCAGTTACCTTTATAATGAAGTATATTCTGTGTAAGGTAATTCTTCCAGTGATGGTCTGAGTAGTAGAGTCTTAGCTTTGTGTGTCTGAAAAGGTCTGTTTCATTCTGAAGAATAATTTAGCAGGCTGTAGGATTCTATGTTCATAGTTTTTTTCCCTCCCTCAGCACTTTGAAGATTTTTAACTCATTGTCTTCTGTCACCTAATGTTACAGATAAGTCTGCCATTACCGTAATTTTCTTTCCTTTGTAGATAATCTATCTTTTCACTCTAGGATATTTGCATGATTTTCTCTCTATCCTCTAACATTTTTCAGCTTCATTATGATTTGACTAGTTGTAGATTTGTTATTTTTTTTTTTTGCTTGGTATTTGGTATGTACTTTCAATCTGTGGGCTCATGTTTTCAATTCTGGAAAATTCTTAAATGTGCCTGCATATTGGAATCACATGGGGACCTATAGAAAATTCTGGTGTCTGGGTTCCACCCCCAGAGACTCTGATACAATTAGTTTGGGGTATGCCCTGAGCATTAGGATTTTTAAAAGTTCCCCAGGTGATTCTGATGTGCAACCCAGGTTGCCACTCACTGGTGTAGTTATGCATAAAATAAGGGGTAGCGTCCAGGTGAGAGAGATGAGATGGGTAGTAACATTGGAAATGAAGAATGAGGGGCACATTTTGGAATAAAATCACCTGAACTTGGTGACTTGGGTGTGAAGGTTAAAGATGAGGAAGAGTCAATGGTAAGTTCATTTTTTTATCTTGAGAAACTAGATGGATGATATTTCCATAAACCAAAAGAGAATGTAGAGAAGCAGGTGAAGGGGTAAAGTTAACAAGTTTGGTTTGATATGTTGAGGTTGAGTTATGTAGGGCACATCTGATAAAGGTATCATAAACACTTGGATATTTGAGTCTGGGATGTAGGATGTAAATGTGGAGTCATCAGCATGTGACCGTAATAAATGATGCCTTAGGAGTGGATGAAATCACATAGGGAGCATGTTATGGTGAAAAGAGAAGAACGATCAAGAGTAGGAGGAAAGCTCACACCTGTCATCCCAGCACTTTGGGAGGCTGAGGCAGGTGGATCATGAGGTCAAGAGATCGAGACCATCCTGGCCAACATTGTGAAACCGTGTCTCTACTAAAAATACAAAAATTAGCTGGGTGTGGTGGCAGGCACCTGTAGTCCCAGCTACTCGGGAGGCTGAGGCAGGAGAATCACTTGAACCCGGGAGACAGAGGTTTCAGTGAGCCGAGATCGTGCCACTGCACTCCAGCCTGGAGACAGAGTGAGACTTAGTCTCAAAAATAAATAAATAAATAAATAAATAAAAATTAAAAAAAAAGAGTAAGAGGAAAACCAGAAGAGTGATGGGATGAAACCAGGGTAGGAGGAAGTTTCAGGCAGAGTAACTGGTACAATGAAGTACAATTGGAAGGATGAATTAATCTTGATGATAAAGGAGAAGGTGTTGTTTTACATTGAAAATGTTTTTCTAACTGCTGTCTCTTAACATATAAAATATCTCCCTGTATACTAATAAAATAGCTCACAAAATAAAGAAAAGCCTGATTATATACTGAGTCTTTTATTGGGAGTGAGGGGATCTGGGGCAACTAGGGAACTTTGAAAGAATGATGGATGTTTGGACAATATCTATGAAGAATGGACATAGTAACTGACTAAAGATGAAGAAAGACTTGCCAGACAGTTTTGAGGCCATCAAGGATCCATGTGAGGATAGAGGTCAGATATTTGCAGTAGAGCCAATTGACATTGTTAACGCCATGTCTTAGTGGGCTCAGCAGCCCAGGAGTGTAGACTTGTCATGATGAAATACATTGATTGTAGCTGAGAATTCACTGGTAGGCATGGCACAAGGATATGTGAAAAATGAATAGAGACTCCCAGTGAAATATCTGCAGACGTTTTCATGGGATCCAGGCAAATTGGGAAAGGAAGTTGAATCAGCAGTGCTGACCTGATGGCATGAGGAAATAGGATGAAGTCAAATGACTGCAAGTGTTGAGATTAAAAATCCAGTTTAAGGGTAAGGTTGGTAGGTTTGGGGTTTGTAATCAGAGAGGAATGTAGTGGATCATTTCCAGATCTTGATAAAGTCCAAGGAGTGTTCTAAACAACTGTATTTACATAGTTCACTGAAGTGAGTAGAAATGAACAGCAGCGGAGTAGAGGTCCAATGCGTGGGTGAACAGATTTTGATGTTGGTATTGATGTTACCTGGAGTGATCTCAAAGGTCAGGTGGGAAGGAAGGGTGTCATCTATACTCTTTTTGACCATTTGAGCAGGTACTTATCTCAGTGCCTTGACTGTATTGGGATTTTAATTAGAATCCCTTTCCCCCCTCTTTTATTTATTTATTTTTATTTTTATTTATTTTTTTCGAGACAAGGTCTTACTCTGTCACCCAGGCTGGAGTGCAGTGGCACGATCTCGGCTCACTGCAACCTCCACCTCCCGGGTTCAAGCAATTCTCCTGCCTCAGCCCCCCCAGTAGCCGGGATTACAGGCACTCACCACCACGCCCGGCTAAGTTTTGTATTTTTAGTAGAGACGGAGTTTTACCATGTTGGCTAGGCTGGTCTTGAACTCCTGACCTCAGGTGATCCACCCGCCTCAGCCTCCCAAAGTGCTGGAATTACAGGCTTGAGTATTTATTTATTTTTTAGATATTTATCATCCTAGGTGTTCTGAGATTTTACTACAATATGTTTAGGAGTGAGTCTTTTTCTGTTAATCATGTTCAGTCAGATATATCTTTTGAATTCTGGGAAATTTACTTCTATATTTGCTGTTAGTGTTCCTTTTTTCACTTTCTCTTTTCTTTTCTTCTAAAAGTCCTCTATTCTAGACATATTTGACCTTCTGTTTCTGTTTTTTTATATAGCCCTTAGCTTTTCTTTGTTGTGTTACCTTCTAGAAGAATTACATAACTGTTGTTCCAGCTCAGCGAGTTGCTCTTCAGCTGTATCCATCCATTCAGCCCATCAGTTGAGTTTTTAATTTTATTGATAGCAATTTTAATTTCTAAGATTACTGTACTTTGAAATGGAAGTATATTGCCCTTCTTGTATTTTTTCTAAGGACATTAATTGCTCTTCTAAAGTTCGAAGCACTTCTAAAGAGCCATTGCAGGGAAGGGTGGGATGAGCCTGCCACCAGCTGATCTCCAGATGTGAGTGCCCCTGGTTTGCCTTGGGCACATCGCCATGCTTCTTGAGACTGTCCACACTTAACACTTACATCATGGGGTAGATACCATGCTGTCTCTGCCTGGTCAAAGGTTGGCAAGTAGGAGAAGTGTAGAAGGGTTGGCCAGACTGGCTGCTTTCACAGAAGCCTGGTTGAACCCATAAGGTCAGTTGCCCTTGGCATTTCCAGCTCCCAGCATCAGCTACCTCTGAGCTTAGGATGCCCCTAGTTTCATATTTAGCAAGTCCTCTCCTTGAGTATTTCAAGCTGTGGTTTCCCTCCATCCAGCTACTCACTCTTGCTTTCAGGGATTCCTTGTAGTTTCTAGTTCACAGAATGTACTTATTTTGCAGTATAGTTGTGGATTCCTTTTCTTTTTAAAAATCTCTTTTCT